>NC_000023.11:47285837-48485837 GCF_000001405.40 Homo sapiens | reverse complement strand
TGTCCAGGCCTCGTTGATGAGATGATATTTTGAAAACAAGTTCATCAACAAGTTCCGGTTTTCCTGACATTGAGCAGTTTCTGAGTTGTATCAGTTTGCCAGCTAACCAAAAGTCAAAGAAAGTTTTTTTGTTTTGTTTTGTTTTTTTAGAGACAGGGTCTTGCTCTGTCACCCAGGCTGGAGTGCAGTGGAGCTCCATCATAGCTCACGACAACCTTAACCTCCCAAGCTCAAGTGATCCTCCCACCTCAGCCTCCCAAGTAGCTGGGATTACAGGCAGGAATGTGCCACCACACCTAGCTAACTCTGCTGCTAACATTTTTGTGACATTTCCTCCTTTTATGGTGAACCATGACATATAGAAAATGCATAAAACCTATATATGTTCAGTTTAATGAATAACTACAAGGTGTTATTTGGTGTAATTGCAGGATGTTCACTGTCATTGTTGTACAGTTCTCCACGGTGAATGTACCACGATTTAATGGGCATATACTATAGATAGTGCTGCTAGCAACACTCTAGGACTCATTTCCTTTTTTTTGAGATGGAGTCTGACTCTGTCACCCAGGCTGGAGTGCAGTGGCACGATCTCAGCTCACTGCAACCTCCACCTCCCAGGTTCAAGTGATTCTCCTGCCTCAGCCTCCTGAGTAGCTGGGATTACAGGTGCCCGCCACCATGCCCGGTTAATTTTTGTATTTTTAGTAGAGATGGGGTTTTGCCATGTTGGTCAGGCTGGTCTTGAACTCCTGACCTCAGGTGATCCACCCACCTCGGCCTCCCAAAGTGCTGGGATTACAGGCGTTGAGCCACGGCACCCGGCCTCTAGGACTCATTTCTTAGGAGTGGAACTGGCACACATGCAGCTTTAGTAGGTAATGCCTAAGTTTCCACAGTGGCTGCACCATTTTACCTTCCCAGTAGCATGTACGAGGCTTTCAATTGCTGCATATCCTTTCAAATACTTAGTGTTGTTGATATTTTGAGTTTTCACTTGTATTTTCCTGATGAGCAGCTTTTCATGTGCTTACTGGCCACTCTCATGTTTTTCCTTATTGATTTACAGGACCCTTTAAATATTAAAAACTGTAAATCTCTTTCACACAATGATTTGCTGTTTCAATTTTTTCTTAAGGTGGCTTCTTGTGGCCAGGTGTGGTGGCTCAGGCCTGTAATCCCAGCACTTTGGGAGGCCTGAGGCAGGCAGATTTTGTGAGGTCAGGAGTTTGAGACCAGCCTGGCCAACATGGTGAAACCCCGTCTCTACTAAAAATACAAAAATTAGCCGGGTGAGGTGGGAGCACACGTCTGTAATCCCAGCTACTCAGGAGGCTGAGGCAGGAGAATCTCTTGAACCCGGGAGGCGGAGGTTGGAGTGAGCTGAGATAGTGCCACTGCACTCCACCCAGCCTGGGCGACAGAGCGAGACTCTGTTCTCAAAACAAAACAAAAAACAAAACAAAAAAGGCCAGGTGTGGTGGCTCACACCTGTAATCCCAACACTTTGGGAGGCCGAGGCAGGTGGATCACCTGAGGTCACGAGTTTGAGACCAGTCTGGTCAACATGGCAAAACCCCATCTCTACTAAAAATACAAAAATTAGCCATGCATAGTGGCGGGCACTGTAATCCCAGCTATTTGGGAGGCTGAGGCAGGAGAATCGCTTGAACTTGGTAGATGGAGGTTGCCGTGAGCTGAGATCATGCCACTGCACTCCAGCCTGGGTAACAGAGTAAGACTCTGTCTCAAGAAAAAAAAAAAGGTGGCTTTTTGTGATGGCTGACTTAGTCTGAATAACCTGCTATGCCATTGTCAGAAAGGGCCATCCTCTAACATCGTGGTTTTAGAACATTTGGCTATGGATAAACTTTCCTCCCATACCACGTGCAGTTCCACCTTTGGGACATGCCTATTTCCTTTACCCAGAATGCTCTTCCCTCAGATAAACACATGGCTTCCCTCCGGCAGTGCCTTCAGGTCTTTGCTCAAACATTACCTCTGAGGAATGTCTGAGGCCTTCTATGACAACCCTTTTAAAAAGTGCAAACTGGCTGGGCGCAGTGGCTCATGCCTGTAATCCTGGTACTTTGGGAGGCCGAGGATGGCAGATCGCTCGAGCCCAGTAGATCGAGACCAGCCTGGGCAACATGGCAAAACTCCATCTCCCCTAAAAATACAAAAATTTGCTAGGCATGGTGGTACATGCCTGTAGTCCCAGCTACTTGAGAGGCTGAGGTGGGAGGATTTTTTGAGCCCGGGAAATCACACCACTGAACTCCAGCCTGGGCGACAGAGTGAGACCTTGTCTCAAAACAAAAACACCAAAAGATGAAAACTGCCATGCCTAGAATTCCTGATTCTCTTCACCCTGCTTTACTTTTTTCTATTTTTTATATCCCATATTACTCTTATATATTATATATATTGCAAGATATGTAAATTGAGAAATGCAAGCTATATAGTATATATGTGTATGTAAACTCTTGCACTTACAGACTGTTTTGATTGTTGCCTCTTTTCCAAACTGGAAGTACTGTGAGAGCCAAGATATTTCTGTTTTGCTCCCTGCTCTATCTCCAAACCTAGAACAACACCTGACATACAGTATGTGCTCAATAAATGTTTACTGAATGCCTCAAATGTAAAATGCTTAAAGCAGTTCCTGGCATACAACAACAGATGTTTAGAAAAGGGTTTGTTGATTAAAATCTTATCAGTTGACATAAAAATTTCAAAGGTGAAATTTTACTGAGGTTTTTCATAAAGGTTGCCCTTACTCAAACTCTTAGATAACAAGGCAAACTTACCGTAATGGGTTAAGGTGAACAACTCATTTCATTGTCTTCCATCTACCCAAGAAAAAGAAAAGTGACTCACATATTTGGCGAAACTTTTCCATTCATTATGCTTGGCTTTACCAATTTTTTATAGCTATTGGGAGGCAGGAAAGGGAATTTTGGCCCCAGAAACCATGAGATTTGGGTCAGAAAAAGGCACACGGGGAAGGGGTCAAGGCAGGCTGAGAGTCACATTTCCAGACCTCAGGGGCCAGCAGGGTGTGGCACTGAGGGGCGGCCAGGGGCTGGGGAAACGTGTCCACTCTGCTGATGGGGCAGTCCTGGGGGCGGATCTCCTTGGCCAGCTGCCCCTTCCTCTTCAACGTGCAGGCCTCCTGGTATGGTGGCGAGATGGGGGGCTGTGTGGGTGGAGTGTACTTGTACTCTGAGCCGCCCTCTAGCTGCAGGGACAGAGGGGTAGGGAGATGGTGAGGACCTGGTAACCTAGGACAGCCTCCCTCCCACCCACCTACTGTTGGTTGGGCACTCACGTCCAGTGGGTAACTGCGGTCCGAATCATAGGAGCTCAGGTCCCCACAGGTCACAAAAGGCACAATGATGCGGGTGGGACCATCCAGCTGGTTGAAATCTGGGTCTTAGGAACAGGGGGAGACAACTGAGGACAAGGTCAGGATGCCTGGGGCCAGTCATGACACAGGCGGCGGTATGGCTGCCAAACCCTCCCCACATATCCACCAGCTACTCTCTTCCCACCCCACCAGAAATCCTTCATTTGGTTCAGATCACCTCCTCGGGGAGGCCCTCCATAATCACCCCTTCTAAAACATCGGTGCCCTGCTATTTTTCACTGCATTTATGTCCACCTGATATTGGATTATATGCTGCCTGGATGACGTCTCCCTCACTCAAATGTCATCCCAGGGGCAGGCTCTGTCTCTTCCTGCTAGAGGCTTAAGGGGCAAAAGTTTCACACCGAGGAGGTTTCCACCTGGGACATGACTGAGATCTTCCTAGGAGAGAATGTCCTTAGGCAGGTGGAGTCTCCACTGGGGCAGGGCTCAGGATCCTCCTGGGATGGAATTTTCACCAGGCCCAAGAGTTACCACTAGAGGACTGCCTGGGCTGAAGCTCCTCCCGGGACAAAATACCCATAAAGGGGTGGGATTTCCATCAGAGAATGGGGCTAAGGATCCCCTTGGGAAAAAAATTCCCATGAGGGGACAGAGCCTCCCCCAGGGGGTGAGACTGTGGGCCCTCATGGGACCTAGATTGCATAAGGTGTGGCAGAGTCCCCCAGGGTGGCCCATGCTCCAGCTCTCACCGTAAGAATGGTCCAGCAGGGGTTTGCTCAGGTCCGGGATGAAGCCCTCGGGAGGGTCATAGCCCTGACAGACAGCGAAGGCCTCTGCCAGGGGAAGGTGGAGTGAGGCATGACTGCCGCTTCCTCCTCGTGCAGTCGGCGTCCCAGAGATCCCCCTCTGCCTGCCTGGCCCCTCCACCCCACTGACCGATGCTAGAGTTCCGGCTGCTCCTGGGCTTGGCACACAGCACGCTGGAGAAGAAGACCTGCAGCTGGCTGTAGAGGAGCGTCACATCCCGGCCTCGGAATATCTGCAGGGTGAGAAGGCAAAGACAGCGGGTGAGGGTGGCCCTCAGCGACCTCCCTCTACTCCACCAAGTTCCTTGAGACTTACCTTGGCCACAAAGCAGCCCCCTGGCTTCAGGACATGTGTAGCAATGTTCAGAGCCTGTGGGCAGGACAGACGGCTGAGGCTGAGGTGGAGACAGCCAGGAGGGGGCCAAAGTGGGTCAGGGGTGGCCAGGGTTACTCACAGCTAGGAGGAGCTGGGCCTGCATATACTCATCAACATCATGGAGACCGGTTACTGTGGCAAGAGGAACAGCGTTAGGGGGGTCCCATCTGGCTCTGTGCATCTTCTTGTACCACACAGATCAGACACTAAATACATTTTCCAGGCTGTCTTACTGCTAAGGTTCCAGATGCAAATTACTGTCTGCCAACTGGATGCATATTCTGAGCTCCTAACCCTTAGGAACTCATTTCAATTCTAAAACAACCTCACACACAAGCATCATTATCATTTCCACCTCCAGCCCAGACTGTTCCTCTGAACTCCAGATTCACAAATCAGATTCTACATCTCCAATACATCCACAACCAAACTCCTGACCTACCTCCCCAAACCTGCTCCTCCCACCATCCTCCCCATCTCATCTGAGCTTTCTAATTGTTCAAATCCAAAACCTTAGTCACCTCTGATGCTCCCCCCGCATCCTCTCCTCACACCCACATCGAAGCCATTAACACATCTACTTTCAAAAGATCTGACTTGATCTTCTCCTCTCCACCACTGCCCTCACCCATTATCACTTGCCTGGACTACTCCACCCCGGAGCCCCTGCTTCTGCCCTTGGCCCTCACACAGCTCATAGTAGCCCAAGCCCAGCACAGTCCTCTTCTCCTCACAACCCTCTCATGGTTTTCTCCAAGCTCTCATCTCGGTGAAAATGCCAACAGCCTCACCATGGCCCACGAGGCCCTATAGGATCTGTCCCCTGTTACCTCTCTGATGTTACCTTTTACCACTCTCCCCCCCTCACTCTGTTCCAACCACAGTGATCTGCTTGTCATTACTCATACATAGCAAGCACCCTCCTGCCTCAGGACCTTTGCACGGGCTGCAATTTTTCCTGGATTGCTCTTCCTCCAGACATATCCATAGCTTACTCCCCCACCTCCTTTAGTCTCTGCTGTTAAGTCAGTGAGGCCTTCCCCATCCACTTGATTTAAAATTCCAACAGGTACTCCTGCTTTCCTCCTGCTCAATGATTTCCCTATGGTACCCATCCCCCACCCCACCTTTTTTTTTTGAGACGGAGTTTCGCTCTTGTTGCTCAGGCTGGAGTGCAATGGTGCGATCTCAGCTCACTGCAACCTCCGCCTCCCGGGTTCAAGCGATTCTTCTGTCTTAGCCTCCCAAGTAGCTGGGATTACAGGCACATGCCACCACACCTGGCTAATTTTTGTATTTTTAGTAGAGATGGGGTTTCATCATATTGGTCAGGCTGGTCTCGAACTCCTGACCTCAGGTGATCTGACCACCTCAGCCTCCCAAAGTGCTGGGATTACAGGCGTGAGCCACTGTGCCCGGCCTCCTCACCCCGTTTTTTTAGAGAGAGGGTCTCACTCTGTTGCCCAGGCTGGAGTGCAGTGGTGCGATCAAAGTGTACTGTAACCTCGACCTCTTGGGCTCAAGTGATCCTCCCACCTCAGCCTCCTGAGTAACTGGGACTATGGGCATGCATCACCATGCCAGCTAATATTTTAAGACAGGGTCTTGCTATGTTGCAAGGCTGGTCTCAAACTCCTGCCTCAAGTGTTCCTCTCACCTCATCCTCCCAAAGCACTGGGATTACAGGTGGAAGCCACCATGCCTGGCCCCATCCCCTTTTAATGGTACAGAGCTGAATCATTTATTTTCTTTCCCATTTGCTCCCACTAGAACATCAGCTCCATGAGGTTAAAGATTAATGGAATTTTATTCATGAATGTTTTCCCAACACAATAGGTGCTCAGTAAATGTGTGTTGAATGGCTGGCTGGCTGAAAATGAATGAACAGTGCAACGGAATTGGACAGTTGCAGAGAGATGAGAGCAGGGAAAGGTAGACAACAGACATGAAACTCAAAGGGTGGGGTGCAAGTGGGAGGAAGAGAGAGGCAGAGAGAGAACAGGCAGCAGAGGTAGGGAGAAGTTGCCAGATGTGGGAGAAAGCTGAGTGCGGAAGGGAGAGGCAGGGAGTAACTGAAGAGGTGAATAAGTCAACCAAGGTGGGAGATACAGAGAAGGACACACACAGGGGGCCCCGCCTGGCCTCCCACTTTCTGTTGCTATTTACCATCAGGAGCCCCGTCACACACCACTAGGTCCGCAGGGCAGCCCTTAAAGTGCTGGATGATCTCCTTGGCAGTGGACAGCTATGGAGAGAGGGAGGATGAGTGGCCCCACGGCCCTCCACTGCTGCCCTCAGATCCCGCCTGCCCATGGTCCTGGCCCACAGCCCCTGGGTCAGCCAAATTCCCAGGCTTTGCCTCTCTAAGACTGGGCTCCACCTCTGGGGACCCAGCATCATCATTTTCTGCTGTGTCTGTGCAATGATGACCTGCTGACTGTTTCTCCATGGTTACTCTCTCACTCTCTTTCTCTCTCTGTTTCTATCACCTCTCTGTTTCTCTTCCACTCTGCATAGACCCCAGGTAAGGGCCTTCACCCAGGATATACCCCAACACCCTCAGCCATGCTCTTACCTGGGTGATGTCCCCCTGGATCTGTACCACACCTGGTAGTGGAGCCATAGCCTGCAGGTCCACAGCCACCACGTGGCCGGACCCTTGGCCCCTGTGGACAACATGGCCCACATCAGCCTAGTTTCGCTCCCGGGCCCCTCCCACCCAGCCGGCCCTCCTGGGTCTCCCATCTGGGACCCCCACACTTACCCGATCTTCTGGCTCAGCACCTGGCTCCAGCTGCCTGGGGCTGCACACAGGTCAACTGCCCGTGTCACGCCTGGGCATACATAGTGAAAGCATCCTGATCAGCTGCACCCACTTCTCCAACCTGGAGACCCTTGCAAAATTCACCCCTCTCCCCTGGGGAGCACCCACATATCTCCATTGCCCAGGTGCCCAACTCCTCTCCGGTATTCTGCCTATCTTCCTGCCTGTCTCCCTGCCCCAGAGACCCTCTGAGTCAGCCCACCTACCACAGGGAGCTCTGCAGACCCAGCCTACTTGTTTACCTCCTGTGCCCACCTCACCGCCCAGTGACCTGCCCACCAGTCAGGGACCTTGGAAGAGTTGGAATTCCTTATCCAGTTGTAGCAGTTTGAAGGCGCTGCGAGCACGCCAGCCATTCTCCTTGGCCAGGCGGTAGTAGACATCCCGCTTGTCCTTTGACGTCCGTCCCATTTCACACACCAGTTGCTCAAGGACCTGCCGACAGTCCACTGATGCCGGCCAGTATCAGTAACCAGATGAATGGGCTACCACCTACCTCTGTAGGGCGGAGAGAACCACACAAACTAAACTGGGCTCATCTGACCCACATGACAGCTCACACAGAAGATGGGCTGACTGAAGCCCTGGCACTGACCCCACTGACCTTATAGGGCCTGAAGGACCCAATCACTGAACTCTCAGGCTCCACTGCTTATCACACAGACCCTCCTCGCCCCCATCACTTACCCCACAGTTCCCACAAAAGACCCCATAAACCCAACATTCATCCCATAGATGGCCCACTTGTGAACCTGTCCACCTCCCATCACTGTCACCCACACTCCACACATTAAACCCTGCAACTGCCACTATCAACCCTTCTCTGCTCATGTCATGCCCATTAAAATCTCACTGACTGTATCCCCAGTTGTCCCCATTGCCCCTAGATTCATATAGTCCTATTAGCCCCCATTAATCCCTTGTTTTCCACCTTTATCCTAATACTACTTCATTGTACCTCCCACTCCCTATATCTCTCTCGTTTCACCCCATTCGCCATTAATCCCTTAGATGATTAGGCCCCTTTATTACTACATCCTTATGAACCTCTAACAATGCCTGGAGAATCATGGTCTATTAGCTCCCCATTAAGCATTCAATTACTGATTTATCAGCCCCCATTAACTCAGTTTTCTCCAATAGACCCTTCATAGATCACAGCACTAGCCTCCTGCCCTGTAACTCTTTCATTAACAAACACGTTAACTGATCACACATCAGTTCCCCATTCTCCCCTCACTGTCCACCCTGCTCTCCATGGATCCATCACTGGATGATCACACTCCAACAGTTTACTATTCACCTACTATGTATCAACAGAAGTTAACCCCCCCAACCCTAGTTTACTATTGCCCTCTCTTTACTCACTCTGTCCCCTAATTCCTCGACGGTCATGCCACCATAGCCCAACTACTGACTCTGACTACAACACCATCAGCCTCTCATTATCTTTTCTTTCACCAAGGCCCCTTGATCATGACCTCCATCCATCTATTATTCCCCCCACAACCTCACCATCATCCTTGCCATTACGATGCCCCATCACTTTCCATTAACCCGTTGAATATCATACCTCCATCAATACCTGGGGGATCATTTTCCCATCCATCACTCGTTATATTCTAGTTGCTTACTCTGCCATCCCCTCATTAATCAATCAATGAACAACAGTTCGACTAAAATATTCTTATTAGCCCCCATTGATTCCCCAGTAACACCCCACCCTCACGCTCCACCCAACCTCCCAAAACAGCCTTCTGACCACACTCCCCGTCCCTCCTCATCAATACCTCAAAGATGATAGCTCCATCGGGACCACCGGGTACCCCTCCAGGCGGCTCCGACCGCTGCGTCCCATGTCCCCACCTCGAATCCACCCCGTCTACTGGTCCCCTTCTGCAGACAAACCTTGGGTCTAGAACCCACCCGGTGCCAGCCGCCCGAACCATACACAGCTACGGCGCCCAGGGCGGACCTCCCTCCTTTCCCCGCAGGCGGGACAGTGCAGGCGTGCCTCAATAGCCTCCGCCCGCATTCCTGTCCTCCGCGCCCCAGGGCCCACCTTAGTTTTCGGAGCAGGGTGGTCCGCGAGCAGCCTGTGCCTCGGCGAGAGCGCAAACGGGCGACAAGTCCTAGGGCTTCAGTTTGTGTTCGTAGTCCACCCGAATGCCCGGGGGGGCAAGCCTATGGGCTGTCGCAGCGTGGCAAACTCGGCATCGTGGATCGCCCAGGTTCCGGCGGGCCGGGACCTGATGTGAACGTACAACGTGAGCCCCGTCATCTATTGTCGACGTATCCGGGGCTCGCGAACTGCGTTTCCCGGCATGCAACGGGCACGGCCAAAGCGGCTGAATCCACGCACTGCGTGGCTGCAGCGACGCGACGCGCAAGTTGCCAGCGATTCTTTGTTCTTTTTCTTCCGAGGCCAAGATCGATTTGCTCCCCCGCCCCTCCCTTCTTGGACCGTGCTTGTTATTGAGCCTGTAAACTACATTTCCCAAGATGCCACGCGCAAGATGGCGCCCATTCATTTTTCGCGTGCCGGGAAGCGAAATTACCACTCGGGGCATAAACGTGACAGTAAGGAAAATGCGTTCTTGAAGTGCGCGAGCGCGCGGAGGCTGCTCGGCTGCAATTTCAGATCGCACTACAGCTAATGCATGGCGCTGCCTGAGTTTTACTGCCTCAGAACTTCAGTTTCCCTGTCTGGAAAGTGGGGATAATCAATAGTATAGACTTAACAGCATTATTGGGAGGGTTAAATAGGTGTAGCTTAGCCACTCTCTGGGCTTTTGTAATTCTGTGATCTTCAAATATTTTAAATTCCATCCCAGACACAAAAAAAGACTATACATCCTGACCCAGTGGACAAACGGAAAAATAATGAAAACGTTTATCATAGTGTTTACCATGTGCTAGGCTCTAAATGCCCTCAGTGGTGTGCTGGTAAATGGTTAACCACTGGCTGGGGCGGGGGTGGTGGCGGGGAGGGGTGGGGGGAAGGGAGGCTGGTTTCTAGCATTTACCAATTTCCATGGCTTAGGTACAATCTTCTTGTTAGATTTCAAGGTACCGACCTGTGGTCACTGAACAGGGAGTTTAAAAGAGATGCAGTAGTGCACTATCATGTATTATTTTTACCATACAGATAAAATGGGGGTAAATGACCTCAAGAGCATAGAGAATAGTGGAATGTGGTAAAATTAGGAAGTTACCAGTTTTGAGTAAGTTTATATCATTTCATTTTTAACCATAGCTGTTTAACTTTAGGGGGCTGAGGTGGAAGGATCGCTTGAGTCCAGGACTTCAAGACCAGCCTGGGCAATATGGTGAGATCCCCGTCTCTACAAATAATAAAAATAGCCGGGCGTGGTGGTGTGTGCGAGTAGTTCCAGCTACTTGGGAGGCTGAGGTGGGAGGATTGCATGAGCCTGGGAGGTCAAGGCTGCAGTGAGCCTTGATCTTGCCACTGCACTCCACTGTGGGTGACAGAGTGAGACCCTGTCTCAACAAACAAACAAAACCAGTTGTTAAACCAGCTGTTTAACAACCAGTTTGCAAAATTTCTGAAAATTGAACAGCTCCTCCCAACCTGTATAAGTTGGCTCCAGCATGTCCTTCCCTTTGTTCATTCATTTTAATCCTGGCAACATGCATATGAGTATTAGCCAGGGGCGGCGGCATGTGCCTTTAGTCCCAGCTACTCCAGAGGCTGAGGTGGGAGGATCCCTGGAGCCCAGGGGTTTGAATCTAGTCTGGGCAACATAGCGAGAACCCATGTCTCTTTAAAAAATAAAAGGGCTGGATGCAGTGGCTCACGCCTATAATCCCAGAACTTTGGGAGGGCGAGGCGGGGGGATCACTTGAGGTCAGGAGTTGGAGACCAGCCTGGCCAACATAGTGCAACCCCGTCTCTACTAAAAATACAAAAATTAGCTGGGCGTGGTGATGCGCACCTCTAGTCCCAGCTACTCAGGAGGCCAAGGTGGGAGGATCACTTGAACCTGGGAGGTGGAGGTTGCAGTGAGCCGACATCGTGCTACTGCACTCCAGCTTGGGCGACAGAGTGAGACCCTGTCTCAAGAAAAAAAAAAAAAACAGAATGATTGATTCCTTAGCACACGAGCTTCACCAGGCAGGGATTCCTGTTCTGTCATGTTCACTGCTGCCTCCCAGTGCCTGGAACAGGGGTGGCGCACAGTTGGTGTTCAATAAATGTTGGTTGAATTCATCCTTTTGTTGCTTCGTTCCTTAATTTTTTCCCCAGTGGTGCGTCCTGCATTTCTATGGAGCCCTGGGTGGAGGCGTAGAGACTCTGAGAACCAGGGAAGAAGCCAGAGCTTTGTCAGCAGAACTCAAGGGCATTGTGGGACTGTGGGAACATGACTCCCCTGCAGAGGCGAGCGAGTGTGAGAAAGGAAGGGTTCGAGCCACCAGGCCTCCGCTCCACAAGAGAGGAGGGGGTGCCAGGCATTGGGGGCCCATGTTCACCCTGTGGGACGCTTCCCACGTCCTGTTTTCTTGTCGCTCACGAAGAGGATGTTTAACTTTTAGCAAAGAAACTTGCTTCCTCCAGCAGGACCGGGGGTTTGGGGGACAGGAGCCAGGCTCTGAACTCTCCAGGCTCTTCCCGAAGTAGGGTGTCGGCCTGCAGCTCCCACCCGGCACCCCACTGAGTGTAAAGGTGTCCTTCCCTTGGCCTCCTGGAGGGGTCAAGGAAGGGGGAGCTGCCAGGCCAGCTCTTTCCCGGTGGGGGCATCTTAGCAGTGTGAGGGAACGAGGGGGGTGGCCCAGGGGCAGGGGACTAGGACTTTGCTGCCCAGGGGCTGCTTTGAGGAAAGGAAGTGACTGGAAAGAGTTACTCCGTGGGGAGCCTGCATGAAAGGACAGATTGGAATCCCATATGCAGCCCAGCAAGTGGGACTTTGCTTTCGCAGAGAAGAAATCATTAATTCCTCCCACAAATATGTATTGAGCAATAACTATGTGTAAAGCATTGTCTTAAGTGCTCTGCCTGTGTTAATTAATTCAATTGTCTCGATAGCCCAATGAGTTAGGCGTTATTAGGCCCTTGAGGAAGCTGAGACTCAGTGAGGTTTAGGAATTTGCTTGTTTAGCCACACAGCTAATAAGTGGCAGAGCTGAGAAAGCTTTTGCTGTTAACTGCTTCACTGTGTCCCTCCCTCCCCTGGATGCTACCGGGAAGTGAGCTGTTTTCATCAAATGTCTCCTTAGAACTGATGATAACCCAAAGTGACTTTTAACAGATTTCACGGGACTCCCATGTGTCACACAAGGGTCTGGTTTACTGAACCAACAGAAACCTTAAATGACCCTGAGAAGGAGCCCTACTTTGATGAACTAACAAAGTGTTCTTATCCCTGGCACAGCCTCAAGGCCTCGGTCCTGCTTAAAGACATCTGTTCCTTCTAAAGCAAATTCCTCTAAGCAGCCAGATCACACATTCCCTTTGTTTTCCCGCTGCCATACCGGCTTATGTTGAGCACCTGCTATCTGCAGTGCCCTGAAACTTAGCAGAGCTGTCGGGTTCTCAGAGCTGGATGGAGGTTCATCTCTCCCGTAGAAGAGTTCCTTTGGCAGAAATAAAAGTAATGATAATAATACGACATTAGATAAGTGGCCTTTGTTGAGCGCCTGCTGTGTGCCTGGTAGCCCTGTGTTGGTCCATGTTGGAAGGCCAGTAGAGGCAGGCCCTGGGAGGGAAGGGGAGCAATCAGAGCAGGAGGCTGTGGCAGGGAGGCGGCGAATGGATGCAGAGGGGAGGGGGGTTGTCTTTTTTTTTTTTTTTTAAATCCAAATAAAGTATGCTAGTTATTTGGACGGGACACTTCAGACTTGAAATATGGATACCTGCATCCCCCCCACCCCCCGACCTTTAGCCATCTGGGTCAAAGCCTCTAGTGACAGGTGTCTCTTTCCCTGGCCAGCTGGTAGCACAGATGTGTAATGGCTCTGGGTGGGGGAGGGGTATGAGGGGAGAGAGAAATCAGAGTAGATAGGAAAGGAGACAGAGGCTGGAGGAGGTTGGGCAGGAGTGTGTGCGCACGTGTGTGTGAATATGCTGAGTGTATCTCACCTGCCCGTTCTCAGCCACAGCCACACGTATGTGAGCTGTGCCTGCGTCTTCCTATGTAACTTGCCTGGTGCTGCGTTCTGTCTATGGCCGCCTGCCAAACTTGTGCTTTTTTTTTTTTTTTTTTTTGAGATGGAGTCTCACTCTGTCGCTTGGGCCGGAGTGCAGTGGCGCGATCTTGGCTCACTGCAACCTCCGCCTTCCAGGTTCAAGCAATTCTCTTGCCTCAGCCTCCCGAGTAGCTGGGATTACAGGAACCCGCCACCACGCCCAGCTAATTTTTTTTGTATTTTTAGTAGAGACGGGGTTTCGCCACGTTGGCCAGGCTGGTCTCGAACTACTGACCTCATGATTCACTCACCTTGGCCTCCCAAAGTGCTGGGATTACAGGCATGAACCACTGCACCCGGCCCAACTCATACCTTTTTTTTTTTTTTTTTTTTGGCAACCGTGTGCATTGGTACTGTCTGTCGGTGCAGTTCATCTATATGTTGTTGTGTGTGTGTGTTGCTTGGGTGTTTGTCTCCTTTGTAATGGTCGTGGGTGACAAGTGTGTCAGAGTACTTGTCCCTCCTATATGTGTATCTATGCGCACGTATCTTTCTTTGTGTGTCTGCTGCTGTATTTGTGTCTCTTCTTAGCGAGTGGCTGCAGGTATGTGTGCCCTCGGGGTGTTTCTTCTGGTGCCATGGTATGAGTACTATCTGGTTCTCTTGTTTTTTCCTTGTGTAGCTTTCAGTGTGGTTTCTGGATTTTTTCTTTGCAACGATAGTAAGCGTACTCTGCATTCCTGTGCTTTGTGTTTGTGTGCAGGTATATGCTTTCCCTATATGTTTCTTTTCTGACTTGATTTGTGACTAGCTGTGTGTGTACACGGCTGTGTGCAGCCATTTGCTGAAATGCAGTTGTGTGTGTGTGTGTGTGTGAGAGAGAGAGAGAGAGGAGAGAGAGAGAGAAGGAGACTATGGCTTTTCTGTTTGTACAAAAATCATGTCAGCCTATGAGTGCCTCTCTCTGTGACTGGAGCTGTATGTGGTTACATGTGGTCACAAGTGCACATTCAAGTTCACATACACAGAGATATCATTTTAGGGCTTGAACCTGGAAGTTTGCCTCCAGGGTCATCTGAACCTGGATTCAGGTTCAGATCCAGGGCCATCTGAACCTGGATCGTGTGTGTGGGAAAGACCCAGGACCCACACACAATGTCATCAGCTGTGTGTAATTGTGTGCTCTGTGTGTGGCTGTGAATCTGTGTGTGTGATTTGCCTGTTGATTGTCTTTGGCATGGCTGTGGGTCCACGGGCGGTGAGGTTCAGGAGTCTCGAGTGTCTGGAAATCGGCACAAGCCTATCCCTGTGTTAGTCTGTGCTCTCTGTGAGCGGCTCTGAGCCTGTCGGTATTGATAGCTGTAAGACTATCGTCACTCTGTGTGGCCACGTGTGTGACTGTCCCATGAGCCATTGCTCTTAACGTGCAGTGGTGAGTCTGTGTGTGTTCATGTCTGTCAGTCTTTATTCTCTTGTGTGGCTGTGAGTCTTTGTGCACCTCTGTGAGTGATGGCGAGTTGGCCCCCGTATCTGAGCCCCTTGATGGGGCTGTGATGGGTCCTGTTGTGTAGCTGCGATTCCTGAGTGTGCAGGAGTCTCTCTCCCGCTGTGGGGAAGTAAACGCCCCATCCCTTGTCCTCCTCCAACTGTGGGTGGGGTGAGGGCATCTAGGCCAGCTTTGAAGCCCCAGCCAGCTCCTGGCCTTTCCGGGAATTCTGTGTTCCCTGTCGGGGGTGGGCAGGCGGGCGAGGGGCCCAGACAGAGGCCTCTTGTCCACCTGGGCTTCAAGCAGCCCAGTCGAGGTGGTCCCAGACCCCAAGTCCACCCTGCCTGACATCCTGTAGCGGACACGTGGCTTGCCTGGGACAGGCATGCCTGTCATATGCCTGGAGGGGAGTGAACAGACGGACTCCCATAGAAGACAGACGGACAGACAGATAGTGGGACTTCTCAGGGCTTGGACAAGCCCCACCCCACGCTTGGGGTGGGGTCCAGGACTACAGTGCCCGCCCAGTTTGCGGACAGTGTGAGTTCACAGTCCACATTCCCCACCCAGCCACAAATGCCCTCCCTGCCTCCCTCTGGGGGCCCCCAAGATCTAGGGTCCTCTCGTGCCTAGGCTGTCTGCCTGAGGTCTGCCTGGAATAGCCTGGCTACTACCCCTGCACCTGTTCCCCTGCTGTCCCCAGGCCTCTCTGCCTGAATCTGCCTCTCTCTGCCTCTTTTCTCCTGTCCCTCCAGGAGTCTCTCTGCCTCAACCACTCTCTCTGCCCCTTCATCTCTCTGAGCTGGTGTGTCTGGTCCTACCCTCTGTTTGGGGAGCTGTCTGGCTCTGTCCCCCACCTCTTGGCCAGCCTGTGTCTCCTGTCTATGACTGAGCCCAATTGCCTGTTGCCTTTCTGCAGGTGTTTCCACGAGCCTATCCCTACCCACCTGTTTGTTTCTGAGTCTGCCTGTGTGTCCCTTTCTCCCTGTCTCTGCCTGTCTTCCAAGCTCCCCTAGCATCCCCTCCTCCCGCCCATCTGTCTTTCTGTCCCTTCTGTGGTCTGTCTGTTCCTGTGCTGTTTCTCATGCCTGCTTTCTTTGTAACTTCAGTTCTCCTACTCTCTCTCTGTCTCCTCTCTGCACCTTTTTCTGCCATCCATCCCATCCTGCTGTCCGTCTGCTCTGTGAGTCCATCCCCTCTGTCTGCCTGTCACTCTCTCTAGCTGTGGGTCTACACCCTCAATCTTTCAGGCCATTTCCCCCACCATCAACACACAAACAAACCGCTGTCTCCCTCCAAGTGGGTCCAGATAGGGGGCGCCCCTTCTCCACCTCTTCCCCCGCCCAGGGCCAGAAGGAGGGAAACGAAATTAAAATTAACATTTCTTCTCAGGAAAAAAAAAAAAGTACCGCTCCAGAGCAGGAGCCTAGGCAGCCGAGAGGGTGCCCGAACCTGAGTCTGAGTTGCGGCCACTTCAGGAGCTGAGAGGAGCAGGTAGGTGAGGAGGGAGCGTGGGCTGCGGGGATGGTGTTCCTGGGGGCCTGAGATATGAGTAGGGGTCCTGGGAGGGGGCTCGGGGTTCCTTGGAGACATTTTAGCACTAGTGGGGAATGGAATGGCGTGTATGGGGAGGTCCTTTTTGTACCCTGATCCCAGGAAGTGAATTCAGGTGTGGGTGGGAGGCTCCGGAGGGTGCTGGTGGTGGGGGATGGGACTCCTTGAGACCCTCCCTGTCCCAGGAACGGGATTCAGGACTTGGGAAAAGGATTTCCTGAGCCAGTTTGAGCTCTAATGGGGACCTTGAATGGGGGTTTCTGAGATACCTCCTTCCCAAGGAGTAAGCGCGGGAGGGAGCTGGGGTTTCTTCAGAGACGCTGTACCTACAAGACAGGGGCTCCAGGCTCGGGTGGGGATTGCAGAGACACCCCCACCCCAGGAAACTCGGTAGGCCACGGGAGGGGGTCTTTGATGAAGGTCTCAGAAATAGCTCTTCCTCCGGAGGGAAATGAGGGCTCGGGCCAGGTTCCTGAGACACCCCACACCCCACACCTAGGAAGTTTCTCAAGTCTGGCAGTGTCTCCAAATTGACTTCTGCCAGAAGATGAGTGTTTAAGACTTGCTAGGGGCCCTGGAAAAGACCTCTAGGCCCTAGAATTGGGGTCAAATGGGAGTCCCTGGGTCATTTCTGTCCCTGGGAAGGGGCTCGGTTCGGGCACTTGTCTTTGGCTTCTAGTGAGGATATTCAGAGTCGTGGCAGAGAGCAGTTTGCAGCGTCTGGGGCAGGGGTCTCCGAGTCTGTCCCCAACCCTCAGCTCACTCAACAGGTTGCATTAGCTCTGGTCTCGGGCTTGGGGGCCCAGGCGGGAAGGAGGGGGGTGAGGGCATTAGGAGGGGTGGGGCAGCCAGGCCGACACGTGTCCCTGCAAGGAGTGAGCCGCCTGGCCACGCGGTGAGGGTGGAGGGAAGGAGAGGGGGTGGCGCGGGGGACCGGGGAATGAAAGACACAGATGGCAAGAGAGACAGCGTGAGTCTGGGGTCTGGGAGGAGAGGCTATCCCTTCTCCACGTGGTCGGCTCATCTGCGCTGGGGTCCGGCTCTCTCTGTAGCTTTCTGTCTCTCTCTTCCCCACTATTTCTCTCTCACTGGCTCTCTCTGTGTCTCTCTGAGTAACTAACTGTTGGCTTCTCTCCTTCTCTGATTTTTGTTCTTCTCTCTCTCTCATCTCTTTCTCTGTCAGTCTGCCTCCATTTCTATCCCTGTCTGTTCCTGCTCCCCTGCCTTGTCTCTTTCTCCGTCTTTCCATCGGTCTCTATGGGACTCCCCTCCCCCCTTCTTCAGCTCCCCTCACTTTGAAGCATGCTCGTTCCATCTCTGATCCCCCCACCCCATTTCTTTGCCCACAGGATGGAACTGCAGGATCCAAAGATGAATGGAGCCCTCCCTTCGGATGCTGTGGGGTGAGTCAGGGGTCCAAGGAGGTGGGCTCAGGGATCAGGGGTCAGGATTTCCCTCTTATCGGCCCCTATTTCCCTGCCCTATCCAGCTACAGGCAAGAACGTGAGGGCTTCCTGCCCAGTCGTGGTCCTGCTCCTGGGAGCAAGCCGGTCCAGTTCATGGATGTGAGTGGCCCCACAGGATCTGTCCTGGTGGCACCTTCCCCAGCTAATCTCCTCCCGCACTGCTCCCTCTTCCCCACTCCTCCTCCTCCCTGCTGTTCCCCTGCCCAGCTATCTCCCCAGCACAGCTACACACTACTTGGTCGCTCCCCTCTCCAGATACTCCTCTTCCCCAGATATGCCCTTTCCAGCTCTCTCCCTGGCCTTGTTTCTCCCCACCCGCTCTTCGGCCCAGTGACTGCCCTCCCTGGCTGCTCCCCTCCCGGCCTGCCTTTCTCCTCCAGCTGTTCTTCCTCCTCCAGCACTCCCCATCCTCAGCCTATCCCCACCCGCAGCGTCTCCCCTCCCCAGCTGTTTTACCTCTGGTGGCTGCTTCACCCTCCCCCGGTCCTCTCCACTTCCAGCTGCTCCCTCCAAAGTTTGTCCTAGTTTCCCCCTTCCCAGCTCTCCCCATTCGCAGCCTCTTCCATCTTCAACTCTTCTTCCCTGCTAGCCTCTTCCCTCCTCCGATGGTCTCTCCTTGGCTTCTCTCCACCCCGCTTGCTTCTTCTCTAGTCTTTCCCTGGCCCTGGCATTAGTCTCCTTACCCTGTGCCCTGTCCCAATGTGTGCCCGGGCTTTGCTCCTTGCGTGCAGTTCGAGGGGAAGACATCGTTTGGAATGTCAGTGTTCAACCTCAGCAACGCCATCATGGGCAGCGGCATCCTGGGGCTGGCCTATGCCATGGCCCACACGGGGGTCATCTTCTTCCTGTGAGTCCATAGGTGGCCTGCGGGGCCAGGGGTGTTGTGGGGCAGGTGGGAGGCCTGGGGCCAGGTCTGAGCTGTGCCACCTGCCGCAGGGCCCTGCTGCTGTGCATTGCGCTTCTGTCGTCCTACTCCATCCACCTCCTGCTGACCTGTGCTGGTATTGCAGGTGAGACCCAGAGCCTGGATCCCAGTCCCCACTCCACCCCTTTGGACCCCAGACTCTGGAGCCACATCCAGAGCTCAACACAGACCTTGGACCCCAGACCCCAGACCCAGCTCCCTGAATGCAGACCCCAGATCCCGGACCCAGCACCCCAGAACCCACCCCCAGACCACTACACTCTACCTCTAACCCCCACCCCTCAGTCCCCGGTTCCCCAGCTCCTACCATGGTCTCAGTTCATAGTCTGGCTCCAAGACCCCTACTCTTACCTCCAGCCCTCATCCTTTTCCCTGGCCTCAGATCCCACCTCCCAGACTCTGCCCCCAAACTCAAGCCCAACTGCTTAACCCCCACCTTCATCCTCCATCAGTCAAAGCCGGTTCCCCCAAGCCCCAACTCCCCAGCTCCTGGGCCCTCTGGCCTGCACCTCTGGCCTGGCCTCCTGGACCTTCAACCCTGTTCCTGACTCCCCCCGCTAGGCATCCGAGCCTATGAGCAGCTGGGACAGAGGGCATTCGGGCCTGCGGGGAAGGTAGTGGTGGCCACAGTCATCTGTCTGCACAATGTTGGGGGTGAGGACTCTGGGAGGTGGGGGTCAGCTTGGGGGGAGAGGGCGGAGTGAGGTGGGCTTCCCCAGGCTGGGCTGGGGAAGACGGGGTGGGGGCATGAAGAGAATCCTTCTGCTTACACCTCCCCCACCTGCACCAGCCATGTCCAGTTACCTGTTCATCATCAAATCTGAGCTCCCCCTGGTTATCGGCACCTTCCTGTACATGGACCCCGAGGGGTGAGTGAGCAACACCCCTTGGCTGGCCAGCAGCCCCTTGACTCTGCCTGTGAGGCCCGGTCAGTATCTTCAGCGCTGTGTGTGCAGCTGACTTCCAGATGTTCTAGTTTGAGACTGCTGGGCAGGCCACTTGGGTCAGACTGATTCCTCTGTGTGCCTGTTGCTCTGACCACAGGAGTCCAGTCGACCGTGTGCTGATTTTGTGACTTATTCTGGCTGCTTCTGGCTGGAGGCTGACTCTTTATGTCCGGTTTACTCTGCTGCTGACCATGTGTGTGTGAATGTACATAGCCAATGGACTCAGACTCTGCCTGTGGGTTTGACTCTGCGTCTGCTGTCCTGGCTGATTCTCTTGGGCTAGCTCTGTGATTGACTACAGCTGTGTCCCGTATACTGGGATTCCAACCATATGTGTCTTACCCTCGGTCACTCTGACTTCCCCTGTCCAGCTGATTGTTTGAGCTTGATTCTAGGTTCATCTGGCTGAATCTGTCTAGCTGTGAGTGTGTGATCACTGACTCCGTCTAGCTGTGAGTGTGTGATCGCTGACTCCAGCAGTGTGTCTGTGTGCACGTAGTATGCTGTGGTACCAACTATGTGTGACTCACTCTGACTGTACGTGTCCAGCCAACTCCATCTCTGTGTTTGATTTGGTGGCTGTTCTGGCAAATTCTCTCTGGTGTGTGTGTGTGTGTGTGTGTGTGATCCCTGAATGTGGCTATGTGTCCTCTGTATTATGGTTGCAACCATATATGCTGGACTGTTCTGATTATGCATCTGGCTGACTGTGTGTGAGTCCGGATCCGCTGTGCTGGCTTGGTATGTGTGGGGGGCATGTGCACGATGGGACTCCAGCAGGGCTAGTGTGTATGCACAGTGTGTTGCAGTGCTTGTGCTCCAGCTGCACGTGTGTAGCTGCCTCTGTGTGTTTCATGAACAGCTCTGTGTGTCCAGTGGCTAACTCTGCCTCTGGTCCCATGGGCTAACTCTGCCTCTGGTCCCATGGGCTTTGCATGGTGTGTAGATGTGTCTCTGGTTTTGTCAGTCTGACTCTGGTCTGTGTGACAGTTTTTTTTTTTTTTTGACAGAGTCTCATTCTGTCGCCCAGGCTGGAGTGCAGTGACACGATCTCAGCTCACTGTAACCTCTGCCTCCCAGGTTCAAGCGATTCTCCTTCCTCAGCCTCCTGAGTAGGTGGGATTACAGGCATGCACCACCATGCTCGGTTAATTTTTTAATTTTATTTTTTTGAGACAGAGTCTTACTCTGTTGCCCAGGCTGGAGTGCAGTGGCGCCATCTTGGCTCACTGCAACCTCCACCTCCCAGGTTCAAGCCATCCTTCTGCCTCAGCCCCCATGCTCGGCTAATTTTTGTATTTTTAGTAGAGACGGGGTTTTGCCATGTTGGCCAGGCTGGTCTTGAACTCCTGACCTCAGGTGATCTGCTTGCCTTGGCCTCCCAAAGTGCTGGGATTATAGGCATGAGCCACCACACCCGGCCAGTCTGACAATTTTAACTGAGTGCTTGATCTTTACTCTCTGTGTGTATCCTTTTAGATTTTTGGTTTGATTCTGAGAACACTAGATAGCTGATAGTGTGACCAGAGATGTCTCATTATTATAGTTAGCTCCCATTGGTTTATTTCTGTGTAACTGTATATGAGATAGAAAGAGACCATGTGAATGTCTAGAACATAGGCATTCAATCAAGTTGTTTTGAATGCATGAGCAGTTGTTCAGCTGATTCTGTCTTAACTGACTGTCTTGCCTGGTCACCTTCCTCCAATATCTGTACAGATCCCACCTTTTCTCAGAGCTTGGTTCCAACAGTGTGGCCAGCTGGATGATTTCGTTTCTATTTCAGTCTTTCTTTGGCTGTGCAGCCAAATCAGTCCACAGGCATACTTTCAGGCATCCAACAAACCTTGAGCTGTTCAAACAAGCATGCATGTGTGTTTCTGACTTTTTGATGGACTCTGCATCGTGGCTTGTCTACTGGATCATCAGACTGTTGCTCTACCTGTCAGACATACCACGATCGTGACTCACTCTCTTTGTGTCTGGCACCTTGTGTTGCACTGATTTTCTCCTTTCTTTCTTTCTCTTTCTTTCTTTCTTTCTTTCTTTCTTTCTTTCTTTCTTTCTTTCTTTCTTTCTTTCTCTCTCTTTCTTTCTTCCTTTCTCTTTCTTTCCTCCCTTCCTTCTTTTTTTTCTTTCTTTCTTCCTTTTTTTTTTTTTTTTTGAGTGTCTTGATCTGTCACCCAGGCTGGAGTGCAATGGCGCGATCTTGGCTCACTGCAACCTCTGCCTCCTGGGTTCAAGTGATTCTCCTGCCTCAGCCTCGCGAGTAGCTGGGATTACAGGCACGCGCCACCATACCTGGCTATTTATTTATTTATTTATTTTTTTGAGACAGAGTCTCCCTTTGTCGCCCAGGCTGGAGTGCAGTGGCGTGATCTCGGCTCACTGCAAGCTCCACCTCCCGGGTTCATGCCATTCTCCTGCCTTAGCCTCCTGAGTAGCTGGGACTACAGGCACTCCCCACCACGCCTGGCTAATTTGTTTTGTATTTTTAGTAGAGACAGGGTTTCACCATGTTGGCCAGGCTGGTCTCAAACTCCTGACCTTAGGTGATCCACCCGCCTCAGCCTCCCAAAGTGCTGGGATTACAGGCGTGAGCCACCACACCTGGCCTGGACTGATTTTTACATTGAGTCTGACTGATTTGGGGTGTTTGACCTTCTGGTTGTGCAACCACTTGCGAAGTCTGATGGCAAGTTTTGTCCAGCTGTGTATGTGTTAGCTGTGTCCCACTGATAGTATCTGACAATCTCATAATCAGCTTGACTGTTTTTGTCAACCCTATTGTGCCGTTTGTCACTGTGACCACCTGAATGACTTCTCAAGCTGAGGTTGTCAGCTTAACTCTCCTGACTTAGGGCAGAAAGCTGCCTGTCCAGCTGTCTTCTGTGAGTGTCTGCCTGACAGTTTCCTTTGGCTGGCAGCTAGGCACTGTGTCTTCCTGTCTCTCTAGGGACTGGTTCTTGAAGGGAAACCTCCTCATCATCATCGTCAGTGTGTTAATCATCCTGCCCCTCGCCCTCATGAAACACTTGGGTAAGAGGCTCCCTGGGTTGGCCATTGGGTAGTGGGATTAGACAGAAGAAGCCAGACTGAGAAAACCCCCATTCATTTTCAAGGGCTGCAGCACACTAGGAGAGAGCTTATTTGATGTGGGCTTGAACAGATTAGTAGGAGTTTGCTATGGAGGGGAGGTTTTTCTGGGTGGAAGTAGAAGCTTATGCAAAGGTAACTGGGGTGGGTAGACCTTGAAGGCTAGACTAGGTGTTTGGAGTTCACTGTTCCGGGGGTCCATTGATTTTTTTGTTTTGTTTTGTTTTTTTGAGACCGAGTCTCACTCTGTCACCCAGGCTGGAGTGGTGCAATGGCGTGGTCTTGGCTCACTGCAACCTCTGCCTCCCGGTTCAAGCGATTCTCCTGCCTCAGCCTCCCGAGTAGCTGGGATTACAGGTGTATGCGCCACCACACCCAGCTAATTTTTGTATTTTTAGTAGAGATGGGGCTTTGCCATGTTGGCCAGGCTGGTCTCGAACTCCTGACCTCAGGTGATCCACCCGCTTAGGCCTCCCAAAGCGCTAGGATTATAGGTGTGAGCCACCACGCCTGGCTGATTTCTGAGACTCTGTGTTTTGCCCCTCTTAGGCTACCTGGGGTACACCAGTGGTCTCTCTCTGACCTGCATGCTGTTTTTCCTTGTTTCGGTGAGTCACAGAGAAGCGGGGAGAGAGTTTGGGACATTGGGACATAGCTTCCTCCATGACCTGGCTTCCCTGCTGCCCCCATCCTCAGGTCATCTACAAGAAGTTCCAACTTGGCTGTGCTATAGGCCACAATGAAACAGCAATGGAGAGTGAAGCTCTCGTGGGACTCCCCAGCCAAGGACTCAACAGCAGCTGTGAGGCCCAGATGTTCACAGTTGACTCACAGGTGTGTGTGCAGGCATGTAGGAGATTGCATCACACTCAGGCCCTCTGGTTCTGTCATATGGTGCATCCTGCTCAGAGTGGAGCTGGATATTCGACATTGGGAGCTTCTATGTGTCTGATATGGAGGGCGATTACGGGGCGGGAGGGGGATGGGAAGAAGGGGATGGACCCCTGTTGGCTCTAATCCCATGTACTCGGGCATTCCCCTAGATGTCCTACACAGTGCCCATTATGGCTTTTGCTTTTGTCTGCCACCCTGAGGTGCTGCCCATCTATACGGAGCTCTGCCGGTGAGTGGGCAGGCAAGTGGGCCTGAATGATGGGCCAGCAAGTGGGGTGGTAACCAGAATGTCTGACACTCCCTACAGCAGTCCTGGGACTGTCACTTGGTGGAAGCTAGGTTGTGTCATGGGAGGGGTTTGGGGTGGCCAGGAGGTCTTGGGGCACTCAGGGTAGTGACTGTTTGCTGATTGGGGCTTAAGTATTCTCCTATTTTAATATCCAGCACAAATGTGGATGGACAGAGTTGGGAAGCAGAGATCAGATGATCAGATGGAGGGGGTGATATGCATGGCTGGTGATATGGGGATAGGGAGGTACGGACAGACAGAGGCGGAGGCAGGGATGATATGATGGGAGATGTGTGGATGATCAGACAGAGGGACAGCATGGATGGTCAGATGGAAGAGGCAGTGGCAGTCAAACGCAGGGGAGAGGGAGACAGTCATATCGGGGGAGATATGGATGGTCAGAGAGGGGATTTTGGCTAGTCACAGGGGAGGCAGAGACGGGTGTCCCCATGTGTGCCAGCTGAATGGCAGTCTGGGAGAAGGGGACTCTGGAGGGTGGAGGCTGGCTTTGAGGGACCTGGGGCAAGTCTCAGGGTCTGGGCATGACAGTTCCACGACCTCTACACCTCAGGCCCTCCAAGCGCAGGATGCAGGCCGTGGCCAACGTGTCCATTGGGGCCATGTTCTGCATGTATGGGCTCACAGCAACCTTTGGATACCTCACCTTCTACAGTGAGTGGGGCTGGGGCTAGGGCTGGGGGGAGGGGGAAGGCCTGGGGCAGGAGCCTCTGAGCTCTTTCCTTCTGTGACCACGGACCTGTCAGTTTCCAAACAGAAGGTGTGCCTCACTTGTGTGGATTTTGTCACTGTGCATGTATGTATGGGTTTCTGGGGCATTGGTCCTGGTGCTCTCTCCACATCCTGCATCCCGTACCCTCTGTCTCATGGCCCAGGCAGTGTGAAGGCGGAGATGCTGCACATGTACAGCCAGAAGGACCCGCTCATCCTCTGTGTGCGCCTGGCCGTGCTGCTCGCGGTGACCCTCACTGTGCCAGTCGTGCTGTTCCCTGTGCGTGGGGCCCACGGCTGAGAGGGACATGGATGGATGGGTAGAGGGCATAGGCATGGATGTGTGGGTCAAGGCTGGAAACAGGAGTGGATGGATGGATGAAGGAGGCAAGGATGGACAGACAGGAAAGGGCAGCGTTTTCAGATGGACAGAGATGGCAAAAATCGATAAACAGAAGTGGGGAGGACATAGATAGCAGGAGAGAGAGGGTCAGGGGACAGGGTAGTCAGTTGGAGGGAGGAGGCACAGATGGATGGCTAGAAAGAAGAGGGAGGCAGGAAGGGTCAGTTGGAGGGTAGAATTAAGAAACAGGGATGGACAGAAAAAGGGTGGAGGCTGAAGTGATGGGATGTAGGAGGGTCAAGTCTCCCAGATGGGGAGGCAGAACTAATTAGACAGAGGAGGGAGGTAGAGGTCAGATGGAGAGAGGCAGGGAGCTCACACAGGGTGGAAGGATCGGTGGATGGTCAGACAGAAGGAGAAGGCAAAGATGGTCAGCTAGAGGAGGAGGCAAGGATTTCAGACAGTGGGTGCAGGTGCCGATGGGTGTTCAGACAGAAGGAAGAGACGTGGATTGTCAGAGGATGGAGGCAGGAAGCCTGTTCAGAACATAGAGACACAGATGTTGGGTTAGGCAGGGTGGAGCCATAGATAGTCAGAGGGAGGGGAAATCAGGGATCTCAGCCAGAGGGTGGAGCTAAAGACAGATGATCACGTGGAAGGGGGGCAGCACTTGGGTCCTGACTTCTGTCCCACCCTACTCTGGCCACAGATCCGCCGGGCCCTGCAGCAGCTGCTTTTCCCAGGCAAGGCCTTCAGCTGGCCACGACATGTGGCCATAGCTCTGATCCTGCTTGTTTTGGTCAATGTCCTTGTCATCTGTGTGCCAACCATCCGGGATATCTTTGGAGTTATCGGTCAGTAAACCTCACCCCAGTCCCATACCCCATCTAATATGGGCCTTGTCCCCAAGTCAGGTTGACTCCTGTCCCTTCTTCTTGTTCTCCAGGGTCCACCTCAGCCCCCAGCCTCATCTTCATCCTCCCCAGCATCTTCTACCTCCGCATTGTACCCTCTGAGGTGGAGCCTTTCTTATCCTGGCCCAAGATCCAGGTAAGCATTCCAGGGCAGAGCTAGGGAGAGAGGGAGCACTCCAAGGAGGGAGTGCTCACTCCAGGATGGCTGGAGGTGAAAGGGACATGCATAGGAGGGGGCTGGGAGAGCATCTGAAAGAATGGTCTGGAAGAATGAAGGTGATTGTCTAGGAAGGGGCAGAGGAGACAGAGCACCAGCAGGGTCCAGGAAGACAGGGAGCACTCAAACAGAGGCTGGCATAGAGGGAGCATTCTCCAGACAGATGGAAAGAGCACTATTGGGAAGAGAGCTGGAAGCACTTTGAAGAAGGAGGATGGAGGAACGTATTCTGTCATGGGTCCTGGGAAGGTGGAAGGACTCGCAGAAAGGGGCTGGCTGTAAGGAAGGAGAGGGCATACAGAGGAGGGTCAGGAATGGATGGAGCACTCTCTGAAGGAGGTGGAAGACTTGAGGAACATTCTCAGAAGGCAACTGGGTGAGGAGTCCCAACCAGCCCCATCTTGTCTCTCTGGCCCACAGGCCCTGTGCTTTGGAGTCCTGGGAGTCCTCTTCATGGCCGTCAGTCTAGGCTTTATGTTTGCCAACTGGGCCACAGGCCAGAGCCGCATGTCTGGACACTGATCAGGCCCTGCTGGCCCAGGTCCCTGTGCGCATGCACATGGAGGGGTCAGGGCCGCTCCCTAGGGTCCCTCCTGCCCAACATGTGGAGGTGGCTGGTTCCCATGAACGTGGTTGTCAGAGGCGGGGGACAGCAGAGGCTGCAGACTGGCCCACTTCCCTCCTCCCCAGGGATGCCAAGCTTGGATCATGGCCCTAATCCCAACCCCAACCCCATGGGAGGAGGAGGAGGAGGAAGAAGAGGAGGAGGAGGAGGAGGAGGAGGAGGAGGAGGAGGCCAGGTCCTGGTGGAGCCTTTGCCCAGCCCAGTCCTCTCTGCCTCCTCCTGGCTGAAGCTGTTTGTCAGGATTACCCTCGGGCTAAAGAGGAAAAATAAAGATGTTGAGCTACCACTCTGGACTCAGCCTTCTGATCTTTCTCTTAGTCTTGCTGGGGGAGCCTGCCGGAGTCCAGGCTGGAGCAAACTGAAGCCCTGCGAGTGGGACTGTGCCTGATCATGCATTCATTCACTTCACTCTTTCAGTAACTTGCTACTCAACTTAATATTTCACCCACTTGGCCAGGAGCAGTGACTCACGCCTGTAATCCCAGCACTTTGGGAGGTTGAGGCCGGCGGATCACTTGAAATCACAAGTTTGAGACCAGCCTGGCCACCATGGCAAAACCCCGTCTCTACTAAAAAATACTAAAATTAACTGGGTGTGGTGGTGCACGCTATAGTCCCAGCTACTTGGGAGGCTAAGGCGGGAGAATCGCTTGAACCCAGGAGGCGGAGGTTGCAGTGAGCCGAGATTGTGCCACTGTACTCCAGCCTGGGCGACAGAGTGAGACTCCATCTCACACACAGAAAAAGACTTCACTCATTCACTCGGTAAACATCTCCTGAAAGCCTACTGGGTGCCAGGCACTATTCTAGGTGCTGGGGATATAGCAGTGAACCAAGCAGACAATAGTGCCCTGGAGTTGATGTTCTGACACACGAGTGGGCAAATCCATCCTGCTGCCTATTTTGGTATGGCCCTTGAACTAAGACTGGCTTTCATATTTCTAAATGATTGAAAAAAGGTGGATCCAGCATGGTGGCTTATGCCTGTAATCACCAGCACTTTGGGAGTCTGAGGCAGGAGGATCATTTGAGAGCAGCCTGGGCAACACGGCAAGACCCCATCTCTACAAAAAATATTAAAAGAAATAGCCGGGTGTGATAGTGCAAGCCTATAGTCCCAGCTACTTGGGAGACTGAGGTGGGAGGATCGCTTCAGCCCGGGAGATTGAGGGTGCAGTGAGCTATGATCACGCCACTGCACTCTAGCCTGAGTGACAGAGTGAGACCCTGTCTCAAAAAGAAAAGGGGCTGGGTGTGGTGGCTCATGCCTGTAATCCTAGCACTTTGGGAGGCCGACGCGGGCAGATCACCTGAGGTAAGGAGTTCTAGACCAGCCTGGCCAACGTGGTGAAACCCCGTTTCTACTAAAAATACAAAAATCAGCCAGGCATGGTGGCACGCGCCTGTAATCCCAGCTACTCAGGAGGCTGAGGCAGGAGAATCGCTTGAACTTGGGAGTCAGAGGTTGCAGTGAGCCAAGATCTCACCACTGCACTCCAGCCTCTGTCTCAAAAAAAAGAAAAGAAAATGAAAAAATATTATTAAAAGAAATAATATTCTGTGACACTTGGAAATTATGTGAAATTCAAATTTCAGTGTCTAAATCATTTACATATCAATTTCAGTGTCTAAATTATTTACATATCATTTACAGTGTCTTCTTCATTTACATATTGTTTGTGGCTTTCTCGTGCAGAGCTGAGGATTTGCAACAGAGACCATATGGCCTGCAAAGCCTGAGCTATTAACTCTCTGGCCCTTTTCAGAAAATGTTAGCTGACCTCTGACCTAACAAAGAGAATAAAAGAGAAATCATTCCTCATAAAGATGGTGCAATGAAGAAAATGAGCGATGTGAGAGTGGTGTGGGGAGGTGGTGGGTGAGGAGGCATTCAGCGAGACTTCACTAAGGAGGGGGCAATGAATTTGGTCCTAGGTTGGCTGAAAGGAGCAAGCCTCATGGTTATTTTGGCAAAGGGTGTTCCAGGCAGAGGGAGCAACAGGTGCAAGGGCCCCGAGGTAGGAACGAGCATGGCTGGTCCAAGCAAGAGCAAGGAGAAGCTAGCATGAGTATGTGAGTGCCATTTTCACCACAGCCTTGTCAACAGCCTGAGCAATGCAACAGATTTTTGTCAACCTCATAGAAAAAATGGTATTGCCATTACACTTCACATACGTGTGTGTGTGTGTGTGTGTGTGTGTGTGTGTGTATTTCTAATTCTTTAATTTTTAATTTTTAACTGTTTTTGAGACAGGGTCTTGCTCTGTCATCCAGGCTGGAGTGCAGTGGTGCCATCACGGCTCACTGAAGCTTTAGCCTCCCAGGCTCAAGCTATCCTCCTGCCTCAGCCTTCTGAGTAGCTGGGACTACAGGCATGCGCCACTATGCCTGGATAATTTTTAAAATTTTCAGTAGAAATGAGATCTCTCTATGTTGCCTAGGCTGGTCTCAAACTCTTGGGCTCAAGTGATCCTCCCACCTTGGCCTCCCAAAGTGCTCGGATTACAGGCATGAGCCGTATTTATGAAATAAGGTTTTTTTTTTTTTTTTTTGGCAGGGTTTCACTGTCATCCAGCCTGGAGTACAGTAGTGAGATCACAGCTCACTGCAACCTCAACTTCCCGGGTTCAAGTGATTCTCTTACCTCAGCCTCCCAAGTAGCTGGGACCACAGGCATATGCCACCACACCCGGCTTATTTTATTTTATTTTATTTTATTTTATTTTATTTTTTAGATGAAGTCTTGCTCTTGTCTCCCAGGCTGGAGTGCAATGGCACGATCTCGGATCAGTGCAACCTCTGTTCCCCGGGTTCAAGTGATTCTCTTGCCTCAGCCTCCCGAGTAGCTGGGACTACAGATGTGTGCCACCACACCTGGCTAATTTTTTGTATTTTTAGTAGAAACGGGGTTTCACCATGTTAGTCAGGATGGTCTCGATCTCCCGACCTCGTGATCCACCTCCCGACCTCGTGATCCGCCTGCCTCAGCCTCCCAAAGTGCTAGGATTACAGGTGTGAGCCACTGCGCCCGGCCTTTTTTGTATTTTTTTGTAGAGACGGGGTCTCACCATGTTGCCCAAGCTGGTCTCGAATTCCTGGGCTCAAGTGATCCACCCATCTCGGCCTCCCAAATTGCTGAGATTATAGGCATGAAGCACCGCACCCAGCCTGAAGGAAGCTTTTAGATGTTTGAGAGACATTTGCTTATCCTCCCAGATAATTTTTACGCATTTATAAGCTACTACACATATATATTATTTCCCTGCTTCTATTTACAAATAGGGCAGTTGTCTGTAGTTGATTAATACTATATGCTCCTTGTTTCACTGTTCTTTATCCCTTACTGCCACTAAACTTAAGCTCAACAAGCCATTCTTTTTGAGAATAACGGTAGCCTGAAATTCCAGCACCTGGCCTTCAAACTGCAAGTCTTGGCTGGGCACGATGACTCATGCTTGTAATCCCAGCACTTTGGGAGGCCAAGGCAAGAGGATGACTTGAGGCCAGGAATTTGAGACCAACCTGGGCAACATAATGAGATCCTGTCCCTAAGTTTTTTTTTTAATTAGCTGGGCATGGTGGTGTGCACCTGCAGTCTCAGCTACTCAGGGAGGCTGGGGTGGGAGAATTGCTTGAACTAAGGAGTTCAAGGCTGCAGTGAGCTGGATTGGACCATTGCACTCCAGCCTGGGCAACAGAGTGAGACCTTGTTTCAAAAACAAAAAAAAAAAACAAAAAAAACAAACAACAACAACAACAACCCCCCCCCACCAGAAACCTCATACCCATTAATAGTAACTCCCCACTCCGCCCAGCCTTTGGGAACCATGAATCTACTTTCTGTCCCTACGGATTTGCCTATTCTTGGCATTCATATAAGTGGAATCATACACTGTGGTCTTTTGTGTCTGGCTTCTTTCACTTAGCATATTTTCAAGGTTTATGCATGCCACAGCATGTATCAGTACTTCATTAAATCTTCCGATCCATGAAAAATGGGCTATCTTTCCATTTATTTAGGTCTTTAATTTCCTTCAGCAATGTTTTGTAGTTTTCAGTGCAGAAGTCTTACACTTCCTTGGGATGCAAGTCCTACTTAGGGGATTTTAGTAGTCTTTTGGTGCTGCTATGATAGAATACCTCAGACTGGGTAATTTGTATAGAACAGACATTTATTTTCTCACAGTTCTGGAGGCTGGAAAGTCCAAGATCAAGGCACCAGCATCTGGTCAGCGCTTTTTGCTGCATTCTCATATGGCAGAAGGCAGAAGGACATGAGAGAAGCAACTCCCTCCATCTCATTTATAAGGACACCTAATCTCATTAGGGAGAACCCCTCATGGCCTAGTCACTTCTTAAAGACCCTATCTCTTAATACTGTCACATTGACAACACCTGAGTTTTGGAGGGGACACATTCAGACCATACTAGGGATTAAAAATAACATCTTAATTTTTAGCAATCTAGTTCAGATTGATACCAACTTAATTTCAATACTATACAAAACATTGCTCTTATATAGCTTTGTCCACTCCCTTTACTGCCACTAAACTTAAGCTCAACAAACCATTCTTTTTGATAATAATGGTAACCTGAAATTCCAGCACCTGGCCTTAAAACTGCAAGTCTTGACTCATGCCTATAATCTGGGCACTTTGGGAGGCTAAGGAGGATGACTTGAGGCCAGGAATTTGAGACCAACCTGGGCAACATAGTGAGATCCTGTCTCTACACAATATTTATTTATTTATTTATTATTTATTTATTTATTTATCTATTTATTTAGAGACAGAGTCTTGCTTTGTTGCTCAGGCTGGAGTGCAATGGCACGATTTTGGCACACTGCAACCTCTGCCTCCCGGGTTCAAGCGATTTTCCTGTTTCAGCCTCCTGAGTAGCTGGGACTACAGGCATGCGCCACCGTGCCCAGCTAATTTTTGTATTTTTAGTAGAGACAGGGTTTCACCATGTTGGCCAGGCTGGTTTCAAACTCCTGACCTCAGGTGATCCGCCTGCCTTGGCCTCCCAAAGTGCTGAGATTACAGGTGTGAGCCACCGCGCCCAGCCCCAATTTTTTTTTTTTAATTAGTCGGGCATGGTGGTTTGCACCTGCAGTCCCAGCTACTCAGGGAGGCTGAGGTGGGAGAGTTGTTTGAACCTAGGAGTTCAGGGCTGCAGTGAGCTGTGATTGCACCACTCACTCCAGCCTGGGCAACAGAGTGAGACCTTGTCTCAAAAAGAAAAAAAAGCAAGTCTTCATATTTAACAGAAAGAACCCCAAAAAGAGATGAGGGCAATGTCCCTACTCCTAGCATCAGCAGAAGATGAATTTTTCATTTTGATTATTACACTTTTAAACTCCAGAAATTTCTATTTGGTTCATTTTTTATATTTCTATGTCTGTATTGATACTCTCTATTTGGTGAGATATTGTTTCTATACTTTAGTTCTTTAGACATAGTTTCTTTGAGGTTTTTGGACGTATTTTAAATAGCTCATTTAAAGTCTTTTTATTAGAAAACCCAGCATCTGGCTGGGCGTGGTGGCTCACACCTGTAATCCCAGCACTTTGGGAGGACAAGGCAGGTGGATCACTTGAGGTCAGGAGTTCAAGACCAGCCTGGCCAATATGGTGAAACCCTGTCTCTACTAAAAATACAAAAAGTAGCCAGGTGTGGTAGTGGGTGCCTGTAGTCCCAACTACTTGGGAGGCTGAGGCAGTAGAATTGCTTGAGTCTGGGAGGCAGAGGTTGCAGTGAGCCGAGATTGCACCACTGCACCCCAGCCGGGGCGACAGAGCAAAACTCTGTCTCAAAATAAATAAATAAATAAAATAAAATACATTAAGAAAAAAGGAAAACCCAACATCTGGGCTTTCTCAGGGATGGTTTCTATAGGTGGTCTTTTTTCTTTATTCTGTGGATGGGTCGTATTTTCTTCTTTCTTTGCAGGTGTCATAATTTTTTATTGAAAACTGGACATTTCAAATAATATAATGTGGCAACTCTGGAAACCAGATTCTGTCCCTTCCCTGGGGTTTCTTGTTGCTGTTTTGTTTGTTTGTTTTCAATGTTTGTTTAGGCTGAGCTCGGTGGCTCATGCCTGTAATCCAAGCACTTTGGGAGGCCAAGGCAGGAGGATCATTTGAGCCTAGGAGTTTGAGACCAGCTCGGGCAACATAGTGAGACCCCGTCTCTTAAAAAAGAAAAAAAAATTGGCCGAGCGCGGTGGCTCACGCCTGTAATCCCAGCACTTTGGGAGGCCGAGGCAGGTGGATCGTGAGGTCAGGAGATTGAGACCATCCTGGCTAACACGGTGAAACCCCGTCTCTACTAAAAATACAAAAAAATTAGCCAGGCGTGGTGGCGGGCCCCTGCAGTCCCAGCTACTCGGGAGGCTGAGACAGGAGAATGGTGTGAACCCGGGAGGCGGAGCTTGCAGTGAGCTGAGATCGCACCACTGCACTCCAGCCTGGGCGACAGAGTGAGACTCCATCTCAAAAAATAAATAAATAAATAAATAAATTAAATTAGCTTGGTGTGGTGGCGCATGCCTATAGTCCCAGCTACTCAGAGGCTGATGCTGGAGGATTGCTTGAGCCTGGGAGATCAAGGCTGCAGTGAGCCGTGTTAGTGCCACTGTACTCCAGCCTGAGAGACAGAGCAAGACCCTGTCTCAAAACACAAGTTTGTCTAGTTTTTTTCCTGAACAAATTCTGTAGTCTCTATTCCTTGTCCTCTGTGGCCACTGAAGTCTCTTGGTTAGCTTAGTGGCCACTAATGATTGAACAGAAATTTCTTTAAATGCCTGGAACCAGTATGTCTCCCAGTCTTTGCCAAGGGGATTTGTGTATGTGTTGGGACATACCTTCTGCACTCAGCCTGGCAGTTTACAACGTTGCCTTATCTTTCTCTTCCTGCTTGCTCAGAGCCTCGAGGTCTGCAGAGGTGAGAGATTAAAGCCTACTTAGTTCTTCTGTGGGCATTCGCCTAGCTGCAGCCCAGGGCGTATGTGTGTGGCCTTCTAGATTCCCAGGCATGTGTTGGAGTTATTCAAGCCCCATTTTCCAGCCTTTCCTTCTTCTTCTTCTTCTTCTTTTTTTTTTTTTTTTTGAGATAGAGTCTTGCTCTGTTGCCAGGCTGGAGTGCAGTGACGCGATCTCGGCTCACTGCAACCTCTGCCTCCTGGATTCAAGCAATTCTCCTGCCTCAGCCTCCTGAGTAGCTAAGATTACAGGTGCACACCACCACACCTAGCTAATTTTTGTATTTTTAGTAGAGATGGGGTGTCTAGTAGAGACCATGTTGGCCAGGATGGTCTCGATCCCTTGACCTCGTGATCCACCTGCCTCAGCCTCCCAAAGTGCTGGGATTACAGGCATGAGCCACCATGCCTGGCCTCCAGCCTTTCCTTTTAAGCTTGCTGGTTGATGTATTGTTTGCCTCAACTGCTATTCACTACCCCAGGTTGTAGCATCAGTTTGAGTGAGGTCAAATGAAGACAAGCCTTTCAAGTGGGTTCTTCCAGGGAACCACCAGACAAGTCAAAACAAACAACTGTAATTCTTTGTGAATAAGGTCCATTCTTTTCTCTCTGGTACTGGTACCTGTACTGGGAATGCAGATCATTATCTTCAGGGCTACCACCAAGCTGGGAGCAGGAGATGGGACAAGGGTAAGTTAAAATACCACAAAGCTTACTGTTCTTATGGAGATTCAGCTGGTTTTTCTCCTTCCTTCCTTCCTTTCTTTCTTCCTTCCTTCCTTCTTTCCTTCCTTCCTTCCTTCTTTCCTTCCTTCCTTCCTTCCTTCCTTCCTTCCTTCCTTCCTTCCTTCCTTCCTTCCTTCTTTTTCTTCCTTTTTCTTTTTTGACAGTCTTGCTCTGTTGCCCAGGCTGGAGTGCAGTGGTGCCATCTCAGCTCACTGCAACCTCCACTTCCCAGGTTCAAGCAATTCTCGTGTCTCAGCCTCCTGAGTAGCTGAGATTACAGGCACGTGCCACCACGCCTGGCTAATTTTTGTATTTTTAGTAGAGACGGGGTTTCACCATGTTGGCCAGGCTGGTCTCGAACTCCTGACCTCAGGTGATCTGCCTGCCTTGGCCTCCCGAAGTGCTGGATTACAGGCGTGAGCCACTCAGCTGGTTTTTCTTGATTAAACATTCCTCTGCTTGTTACAAGCTTTCGGTTAGTTTTCAAAGTTCTGAAAAAGTTGATCCTGACAGTTTTTGCCAGTTTTTTCACTGATTTTTATAGAGGCATAGATTTTTGGAGTTCTCTATTCCACCATTTACTTTGTGTTAGCAACATTAAACATTTTAAACATCATTACTTGACATTAAAAGGTTTAAATTTGATGATAACTTTAGTTTCCATTTTCACATGTCCTTTGATTACTTTAACTCTAATCTCCTTCTCTTTCAGTGTTTGTGTTGTTGTGGCCTAGAACTTTATTTTTGTTGCTTTTTCTTTCTTTTTCCACATGTTCTAATGTGGCCTAGTATTTTAGTACCACTTCAAATTTATGATCCCCAAATGCTCCCAATCAATATTTTTCCAAATGACATCATCTTTATGAACACTGGATTATAATTAAACTACATTAAAGCAGCATGTGTTTTAGTGAATAATTCCTTAAATAATAAAGTAATAGGTCTGGGTGAGCTCACATAAGGAGCATTGATGCTTTTTACCAAAGCTGGAAAATTCTCAGCCATTATTCCTTTGAACATTGTTCTCCATAAATCTTTCTATTCTCCCTTTCTAGAATTTGTGTTCAATATATGTGAGCTCTTTTCATTCTATCCTCCATATCTTTATATTTTCCATTTCTTTTTTGTTTTTTTTTTTTTTGACACGGAGTTTCACTCTTGTCCAGGCTGGAGTGCAATGACACAATCTCGGCTCACTGCAACCTCCACCTCCCAGGTTCAAACAATTCTCGTGCCTCAGCCTCCTGAGTAACTGGGATTACAGGCATGCATCACCATGCCTGGCTAAGTTTTGTATTTTTAGTAGAGATGGGGTTTCACCATGTTGGTCAGGCTGGTCTCGAATGCCTGACCTCAGGTGATCCACCCGCCTCAGCCTCCCAAAGTGCTGGGATTACAGGCTTGAGCCACCATGCCTGGCCTATTTTCTGTTTCTTTATCTCTAATGGTGTGTTTTCCTCAGAGCTATATTTTCGTTCGCTAATTATTTCTTCGTTTGTGTCTAATCTGCAGTTTAATAAGTTTATTAATTATTTAAATCACCATTTTCACTTCTAGAAGTTGTATTTGGTTATTGTGCAGGTGTTCAGATAAGCCTGTTGTTTCTCATCCTGATCTTTCATTAAGAAATGTATTTTTAGCTTGGGCAATATAGTAAGACCCCATCTCTAAAAAAAAAAAAATAGGTGGGTATGGTGGCATGTGCCTGTAGTCCTAGCTACTTGGGAGGCTGAGGCAGGAGGATTGCTTGAGCCCAGGAGTTTGAGGCTGCAGTGAGCTATAATTGCCCCACTGCACTCCAGCCTGGATGACAGGGCGAGACCCTGTCTCAAAAAAAATTGTATGTTTTTCCCTTTTTACTTGGGAATAATATAGATTTATGGGAAATTGCAAAAATAGTACAGATATGTCCCATATACCCTTTACTGAGTTTCCTCTATATTATAGTAGTGTAAAAATACTATAGTACAATATCAAAATCAGGAAATTGACATTGGAGCAATAGTGTGTATGCCTTTTTATCCCATGTGTAGACTCCTGTAACCAACACCGTAATCAAGATACAGAACATGGCTGTGCTTTGTAGACAGTGTGTGTCCCGGGTGGTCCTCAGGCACTGTCAGGAGATTTTGGACTCTCTGAAGATCATCCTTGGATCTTGGGTTAAAAATCTGTATTCTAGTCTGAACCATGGGAAGAAAAAAATAGTCGATCTGTGGTTTTTCTACTTGAAGGACACAATGTTTTCCAAACTAGCACCTTTGCAGAGGTTTGCTGTACTTAGTCGTGGAGCTCATTCTTCAGTGGCTTCTGCTACATCTGTTGCAACTAAAAAAAAAAAATCCAGACCGGGTGTGGTGGCTCACGCCTGTAATCCCAGCAATTTGGGAGGCCAAGGCTGGTGGATCACCTGAGGTTGGGAGTTCGAGACCAGCCTGGCCAACATGGAGAAACCCCATCTCTACTAAAAATACAAAATTAGCCCGGCACAGTGGTGCATGCCTGTAATCCCAGCTACTTGGGAGGCTGAGGCAGGAGAATTGCTTGAAACCGGGAGGCAGAGGTTGCAGTGAGCTGAGATTGTGCCACTGCACTCCAGCCTGGGCAACAAGAGCAAAACTCCATCTCAAAACAAAAAACAAACAAACAAAAAAAACCCGAAGAAAACAGTCCAAGGCCCTCCAACCTCTGACTACATTTTTGAAAGGGAATCTAAGTGTGGTGCGCACAATTACCATCCTTTACCTGTAGCCCTGGAGAGAGGAAAATGTATTTACTTATGGGATGTAGAAGGCAGAAAATATTTTGACTTTCTGAGTTCTTACAGTGCTGTCAACCAAGGGCATTGTCACCCCAAGATTGTGAATGCACTAAAGAGTCAAGGGAAGAAATTGACCTTAACCTCTAGAGCTTTCTATAATAACGTACTTGGTGAATATGAGGAGTATATTACTAAACTTTTCAACTACCACAAAGTTCTTCCTATGAATACAGGAATGGAAGCTGGAGAGACTGCCTGTAAACTAGCTCATAAGTGGGGCTATACTGTGAAGGGCATTCAGAAATACAAAGCAAAGGTTATTTCCGCAGCTGGAAACTTTTGGGGTAGGACGTTTTCTGCTATCTCCAGTTCCACAGACCTGACGAGTTATGATGGTTTTGGACCGTTTATGCCTGGCTTCGACGTCATTCCCTGCAATGATCTGCCTGCACTGGAGAGTGCTTTTCAGAATCCAAATGTGGCTGCATTCATGGTAGAACCAATTCAGGGTGAAGCAGGTGTTGTTCCAGATCCAGGTTACTTAATGGGAGTGCGAGAGCTCTGCACCAGGCACCAGGATCTGTATATTGCTGATGAAATACAGTCAGGATAGGCCAGAACTGGTAGATGGCTGGCTGTTGATCATGAAAATGTCAGACCTGATATAGTCCTCCTTGGAAAGGCCCTTTCTGGGGGCTGATACTCTGTGTCTGCAGTGCTGTGGGACGATGACATAATGCTGACCATTAAGCCAGGGGAATGTGGGTCCACATACGGTGGCAATCCACTAGGCTGCCAAGTGACAATTGCAGCCCTTGAGGTTTTAGAAGAAGAAAACCTTGCTGAAAATACAGAAAAAAAATGGGTATTATCTTGAGAAATGAACCCATGAAGCTACCTTCTGATGTTGTAACTGCCGTAAGAGGAAAATAATTATTTATTTATTTATTTATTTATTTATTTATTTATTTATTTATTTGAGTCAGAGGTTCACTCTGGTTGCCCAGGATGGAGTGTAATGGCGCAATCTCGGCTCAATGCAACCTCCACCTCACAGGTTCAAGTGATTCTCCTACCTCAGCCTCCTGAGTAGCTGAGATTACAGGCACGCACTGCTATGCCCAGCGAATTTTTGTATTTTTAGTAGAGATGGAGTTTTGCCATGTTGGTCAAGCTGGTCTCGAACTCCTGACCTCAGGTGATCCAGCTGCCTTGGCCTCCCAAAGTGTTGGGATTACAGGCATGAGCCACTGCGCCCGGCGAGGAAAGGAATTATTAAACGCTATTGTTATTAAAGAAACCAAAGATTGTGATGCTTGGAAGGTGTGTCTACGACTTCAAGATTATGGACTTCTGGCCAAGCCAACCTGTGGCGACATCATCAGGTTTCACCTCTGCTGGTGGTCAAGGGGGATGAGATTCGAGAGTCCAGTGAACTCATTAACAAGGCCATCTTATCATTCTGAGGGTAGCAGCTGTTTTCAATGGTTCCTGGGAGCCGGCTGGAGACAGGTGGTCCTGTAAAAGCTCTGCTCTAAATGTAGGCACATTCCACTCCCATGTGCCGTCAAAATCTTTTTGTGTATATATGTTTTTTTCAGTTGATACATAATAGAAGAACGTTTATGAACCTGCCGTTTGCTTTTGTAATATAAGTAAGAGAATGTAGTGGCATCTATATTCAATGAAAGTGTTTTGATGTGCATATGTACTTTCTAAGGTGAAATGCATCTATGTATACAGACAGCCTTTAAATCACATCCTTCAGTATAATTTATATATGCTTTCATAATTTCCTTGCTGGTATAAATGTTTTGTATTTGAAAAAGTTATCTCTAGCATATTACATAAAAGGCTTCACCTTATAAAGTCAAATCTTTGTTATCATTGAATTTTAGGAAGGATGAATGGTTAAGCATATATAAAATACTAATATTAAGTAAACTTCATGTTGGCCAACATCAGGATGTATTCTATGGATGTCATTATTTTCAATTAAGAATTAGTGTTTAAAATTCCTAAATTGTTTGAGTGTTTGATTATAATTTGTAAAAGAAAGTTTAATATTTCTTTGAATTTAAAATAAAGCTTATATTTCAGAAAAAAAAAAGATACAGAACATGGCTGGGTGCAGTGGTTCATCTCTGTAATCCCAGCACGTTGGGAGGCTGAGGCAGGCAGATCACTTGAGATCAGGAGTTTGGGACCAGCCGGGCCAACATGGAGAAACCCTGTCTCTACTAAAAATACAAAAATTAGCCAGGCATGGTGGCACGTGCTTATAATCCCAGCTACATGGGAGGCTGAGACAAGAGAACCACTTGAACCCGAGAGGCAGAGGTTGCAGTGAGCAGAGGTCATGCCACTGCACTCCAGCCTGGGAGACAGAGCAAGACTCTGTCTCAAAAAAAAGTTACAAACCATTTTCATCACCACAATGCTATCCCTTGTGCTACTCATTTTTGGTAATACTGTCCTCCCATCCACCATCCCTAATCCCTGGCAACCACAAATCTGTTTTTCATTTCTACAATTTTGTCTTTTCTACAATGCTGTGCAAATGAAATCTTATAGTATATAACATTTTAGGGGCTTATTTCACTCAGCATAATTCCCTGGAGATTCATTCAAGGCATTAATATTTATGTATCAATAGTTCATTTTTATTGGTGAGTAGTAATTCGTGGTATGGATGTACCACAGTTTGACCATTCACTTATTGTTGGACATATTGATTATTTCGAGCTTCTGGCGATTACAAGTAAAGCTGCTATGAACAATTATGTATAAGTTTCTGGATGGGCATAAATTTTAATTTCTCTGAAGTGTAATTGTTGAATTGTGTGCTCATTGCATGTTTAGTTTTATAAGACACTATCAAACAGTTTTCCATAGTGGCTGTAAGATTTTACCTTCCCAGCAGCATTTTACAAGGTGTCCAATTTCTCTGCATCTTTGTCACCATTTCGTGTTGTCACTATGTCTTTTATTTTAGCTGTTGTAATAAGTGTGTAGTGATACCTCATCATGGTCTTAATTTGCATCTAGTGAAGCAAATTAGTGTTGAACATCTTTTCATGAGCTTATTTGCTTATTTCCTCTTCAGTGAAATGTATGTTCATATATTTTGATCATTTTCTAATTGGATTATTTGTTTGTTTTTTGCCGTTGAGTTTTTTGTTGTTGTTGTTTGTTTTTGAGAGAGCCTCTCGCTCTGTTACTCAGGCTGGAGTGCAGTGGCATGATCTTGGCTCACTCCAACCTCCGCCTCCCAGGTTCAAGTGATTCTCATGCCTCAGCCTCCCAAGTAGCTGGGATTACAGGCGTGAACCATCATGCCTGTCAATTTTTGTATTTTTAGTAGAGATGGGTTTTTGCCATGTTGCTCAGGCTGATCTCAAACTCCTGCCCTCAAGGGATCTGCCCTCCATCCACCTCAACCTTTCAAAGTGCTGGGATTACAAGCGTGAGCCATGGCCTACTGTTGAGTTTTGAGAGTACTATACATATCCATTATACATTCTGGATGTGAGTCCTTTCTTGGATATGTGGTTTGCAAACATTCTCTCCCATTCCATACCCTGTTTTTTCATCCTTTTAACAGGGTTTCTTGCAGGGCAAAAGTTTTAAATTGGATGAAATCTAATTTTTTTTCCTTATGGATTATGCTTTTTGAACTGTTTACTATGCCCTAGATCTCAGATGTTTCTCCTATGTTTTCTTGTAAAAGTTTCTGTTTTAGTTTTATATTTTAGATTTAAATCTATGATCCACTTGAGTTTTTTTTTTTTGTATAAAGGTATGAAGATTAGGTCTTTTTTTTATTAGCTTATGGCTCTGCAACTTCTCCAGCACCATTTGTTGAGCAGACAATCCTTCCTTCTTTTTGTCGCTTTGTAAAAAGTCAGTGTGGGGCTATTTCTAGGTTCTCTATTTTGTTCCAGTGATCTGTGTGTCTATTCTTCGCCCCATACGACACAGTCTTGATTCCTGTAGCTATATAAGAAGTATTGAAATATGGTAGAGCCATTCCTCCCACCTTATTCTTCTTTTTCAAAAAGTGTCTTAGCTATATATATATATGCATATGTATATATATTTTTGAGATGGAGTCTCACTTGTGTCGCCCAAGCTGGAGTGCACTGGGGTAATCTCGCCTCACTGCAACCTCTGCCTCCTGGATTCAAGCGATTCTCCTGCCTCAGCCTCCTGAGTACCTGGAATTTCAGGCGTGAGCCACCACACCCGGCTAATTTTTATATTTTTAGTGGAGACGTGGTTTCTCCATGTTGGCCAGACTGGTCTTGAACTCCTGACCTCAAGTGATCTGCTAGTCTTGGCCTCCCAAAGTGCTGGGATTATAGGTGTGAGTCTTAATGGTCTCCATTCACACACAATGATTTTAAAATAGACTCCCCTCTGCCTTTCCCTTCCCCAGAAATGTTCCCCTCTGCACCGTGCAATGGTACCTATGAGAAAGAACTGTCCCATTCCCAAATCACTGTCCCCACCCCAGCCCCCAGGCCCTTGGTTGGTGAGACCCTTGATGGGCAGTCTCATGCTTCTGTCCAGGGGACTTTCCCACCGTTGCTCCCCTGCATGGAGACTAAGTGGACTCTTCTATTCCCTGGCCATCACAGAGTCTACAGTGCACACATCTGCCTGATTCCTCCACGTTACCCAGATGACGATTTCATCTGTGTCTCCTCCCACATACTCCCAAATGGACCATCCCAGACCTTGAACCCAAAAATGGTTCAGAGAGCGAAGGCCAAGATGCCCAACCACATGCTGCAGAATCCTGCTCCAGGACTGAAGTGTATAGTCTCTATCAAAATAAAAACTGGAGGCCAGGCACAGCAGCTCACCCCTGTAATCCCTGCATTTTAGGAGGCCAAGGCGGGAGGATCGCTTGAGCCCAGGAGTTTGAGACCAGCCTGGGTAACATAGCGAGACTTTCTTGACAAACCTAAAAAAGTTAGTGGGGTGTGATGGTGCATGCCTGTAGTCACAGCTACTCCGGAGGCTGAAGAGGGAGGATCGCTTGAGCCCAGGAGTTCAAGGCTGCATTGAGCTATGATCATGCCACTGCACTCCAGCCTGGACAGAGCACGACCCAATCTCTAGAAGAAACAAACAAACACCCAGCAACTGGAAACATCCTCCTCTAGAATGGTGGTCAGGAACATCTGTCTGCCTTGTTCCCTGATGTCTCTCCAGCACCTAGAATAGCGCTCAGCACGAGGACACACTCATTAGGGTTTTGTTGAATAAATGACTCCTTTGACACATCAATTCCACTTCTAAGAATCTTTCCTAAAGAAATATTCACACATGTGCACAGAGCTGTGTGGACAATAATGAGAGGAGCAAACAACTGGGGAACGTTTGCAAAGGTTTATTAACTGGCAGTGACTGATACAGGGGAATCGGATGAGGGGAGTACATGCTGAACAGGAAACAGAGTGAGGGGGGCTTGACCAGGACACGTGGCAATGGAGAAAAGCAGATGGGAGATACTTATACTGGTACTCGGTGTGTGTGTGTGCATGTGAGGTGTGTGTGTAAATGCAGAGGAAAAAATCAGAAATTAAACACTCAGACCTGATCTCAGTAGTCACATCTGGGGAGAGAGGAGGGTAGTGCTGTTCTATGGAGAGAATACCTGACAATACTTGTTTTCTGAGGTAGGTGCATGGATACACAAGCCGAAATATGCATTAAGCATGTCTTGCTCATCAAAAGAAAACGCTAATGTCTAACAGAATGGCACACTGCAAGAAAATACAACGGAAACGCCAATATCGAACTCTTGGCACACTAAGAAAAATGATGCTCAACTTTTCACTGTTGTGAACACTTGCTTTCACTTGCTATGCACCTGATGACGAGGGGTCCGCAGCCATGCCCATGTTCGTGAAAGGTCACCACGTTCTGCTTCTCATCATGGGCATGTGTCATATTCCCTGAGGCTGAGGCAAGAAGAGGGAAGGAAAGTAAGTGGCAGTGAGTTCCCACCACGTGACAACTCAATCTCAACTCCTCCTGACCTGCAGACCCTGCCCACTCCGATTCTGCCCTATCTCAGGACCTGCACACACCTTCCACGGTTCCTCGAAGTGAACCATCTGTTCATGCCACAGTGACTTCCTCGCCTAGGCTATCAATTCCTAGGCTAGAGGAAGGTGTGGCCTGCATATCAGGGCTGACCTGGGGTTTGGGAGCCCACAGCATCCTGGGTAGGGAGCATCCCTGGACCTACAGGCCAGGGAGTAAAAAGAGAATGCGAAATCGGCCGGGCGCAGTGGCTCATGCCTGTAATCCCAGCACTTTGGGTGGCCGAGGTGGGCCGATCACGAGGTCAGGAGATCGAGACCATCCTGGCTAACATGGGGAAACCCCGTCTCTACTAAAAATACAAAAAAATTAGCTGGGCGTAGTGGCAGGCCCCTGTAGTCCCAGCTACTGGGGAGGCTGAGGCAGAATGGCGTGAACCCAGGAGGTGGAGCTTGCAGTGAGCCGAGATCGCACCTGGGTGACAAAGAGAGACTCCATCTCAAAAAAAAAAAAAATACGAAAGAGCATGGGAAATCTCATCATTCAGCCTCAATGCTGTACCCTAGAAAATTATGAGAAGGGAATGGTTTGGGGAACAAGTGAGAAGATGGGATACCAGTATCATAACAGAATAGCACATCTGCAGGGATGTGAGGGGTGAGCCGAAGATTCACTTATGGAGTTACTCGTCATCTTCCTCAGGGTCGCTGATCTCTTCATAAATCACCAGCTGCTTTCTCTCACGCAGTCTGTGGGTCCAGTCATGTTTCCGCCTTTTGGGTCCTATGATGAATAGTTGGAAGATGAGGGTTGGGTAGGTTGGAGAGTGTTAGGCTCTGTTTTCTCCAAAAAAGGAGATGCCTACCCCCTCCCAAGTGCCCATGGGCCTTCTTTATCCAGTTTTTCACATTCTCTGGCTTAGAGAGGCTGAGACCTTAGATCCACACCAATACAGGCCAAATGCAAACTAAAATTTTAGCTTCTGGCTCCTTCCATTGTGAGGTTTAGATTCCCAACCTCTTCACTTACGGGAACATTCACCGATACCTCCTTTCATTCAGCAAGCATTTGTTAAGGGCACACAGGCACACTTTGTTTTATTGCTCCTCATTTTTACAGTGCTTCACAGATGCTGCAATTTTTTTTGGAAATTCTCACCAATTTTATACTTTTCCATTATTATTATGTCTGTTATGGTGATCTGTGATCAGTGAGCTTTGACATTATTACTGCAATTGTTTTTGTTGTTTTTTAGTCTTTTAAAATAATTTTTGTTCTTTATTTTGTGGGTACGCAGTAGGTGTATATTCTTATGGGGTACGTGAGATGTTTTGATACAGGCATGCAAATGCGTAGTAATCACATCGTGGAAAATAGGGTATCCATCCCCTCAGCCATTTATCCTTGTGTTACAAACAATCCAATTACATTCTATCAGTTCTTTTTAAACACACAATTAAGTTATTATTGACTATAATCACCCTGTTATGTGTAATTGTTTTGGGGGTACCATGAACTGCACCCATAGAAGATGACAAACTTAATCGATTAATGTTGTGTGTGTTCTGACTGCTCCACCGATGAGCTCTTCCCCATCTCTCCTCCTTTTCTTGGGCCTCCCTATTTCCTGAGACACAGCAACACTGAAATTAGGACGATTAAGAACCCTACAATGGCCGCTAAGTGTTCAAATGAAAGGAGGAGTCACATGTCTCTCACTTTAAATCAGAAGCTAGAAATGGCTAAGCTTAGTGAGGAAGCATGCTGAAAGCCAAGACAGGATGAAAGCTAGGCCGCTTGCACCAAACAGCCAAGCTGTGAATGCAAAGGAAAAGTTCTTGAAGGAAATAATAGTATATAATGTAAAGGAAAAGTTCTTGAAGGAAATAATAATACTAATACTCCAGTGAACACACGAATAAGAAAGCAAAACTGCCTTACTGCTCAAATAGAGAAAGTTTGAGTGGTCAGGATAAAACATGACACCAGCCACAACATTCCCTTAAGCCAAAGTCTAATTCAGAGCAAGACCAGAACTCTCTTCAAGTCCATGAAAGCTGAGAGAGTTGAAGAAGCTGCAGAAGAAACGTGTGAAGCTAGTAGAGGTTGGTTCGTGAGGTTTAAGGAAAGAAGCCGTCTCTATAACATAAAAATGCAAGGCGAAGCAGCAAACCCTGATGGAGAAGCTGCAGCAAGTTATCCAGAAGATCTAGCTAAGGTCACTGATGAAGGTGGCTACACGAAACAACAGATTTTCAATGTAGATAAAATAACCTTCTATTGGAAGGAGATGCCATCTAGGACTTTCATAGCTAGAGAGGATTGACTCCAACTTTGAAAGAAGTTCTACTGTGGGTAAAATGCTATCCAATAGCATCACATACTACAGAGAAATCCTTCATGAAAGGGAGAGCTAATTGATGTGGCAAATTTCATTGTTGTCTTCTTTTATGAAACTGCCACAGCCACTCCACCCTTCAGCAACCACCACCTTGATAAGCCAGCAGCCATCAACACCAAGGCAAGATCCTCCACCAGCAAAAAGAGTGTGACTCACTGAAGGCTCAGAAGATTGTTAGCATTATTGACAATGAATTATTTTAAAATTAAGGTATATATATTTTTAGACATAACACTATTGCACACTTAGTAGACTACACTGTAGCGTAAACATAATGTTTTATGCACTGTCAAACAAAAAACAATGTGTGTGACTCACTTTATTGCAGTGGTCTGGAACTGAACCTGCAATATCTCTGAAGTACACGTGTATTGGGTATCAGGCATTGAGCTGAGTAAGATATGATCCCAGGTTATCACAGATAGAATTGCTTGAGCACCTTTCATGTCATCAGGCCTTCTAGATTAAATTTAATGCTTCCAAACAATTTATGAACTATGATTCTTTATTTCCATCTTATGGACTAGGAATCTGCAGCTGAGGAAATTTGGGAGACTTGCCCCAAGTCACATGTTTTTTTTTTAAATTACACTTTAAGTTCTAGGGTACATGGTCACAACGTGCAGGTTTGTTACATATATATACATGTGCCATGTTGGTGTGCTGCACCCATTAACTCGTCATTTACATTAGGTATATCTCCTAATGCTATCCCTCCCCCCTCCCCCGACCCCATGACAGGCACCAGTGTGTGATGTTCCCCACCCTGTGTCCAAGTGTTCTCATTGTTCAATTCCCACCTATGAGTGAGAATATGAGGTGTTTGGTTTTCTGTCCTTGCGATAGTTTGCTCAGAATGATGGTTTCCAGCTTCATCCATGTCCCTACAAAGGACATGAACTCATCCTTTCTTATGGCTGCATAGTATTCCATGGTGTAGATGTGCCACATTTTCTTAATCCAGTCTATCATTGATGGACATTTGGGTTGGTTCCAAGTCTTTGCTATTGTGAATAGTGCCGCAACAAACATATGTGTGCATGTGTCTTTATAGCAGCATGATTTATAGTCCTTTGGGTATATACCCAGTAATGGGATGGCTGGGTCAAATGATGTTTCTAGTTCTAGATCCTTGAGGAATCCCCACACTGGCTTCCACAATGGTTGAACTAGTTTACAGTCCCACCAACAGTGTAAAAGTGTCAGATGGGTAGATTGCAAAAATTTTCTCCTAATCTGTAGGTTGCCTATTCACTCTGATGGCAGTTTCTTTTGCTGTGCAGAAGCTCTTTAGTTTAATTAGATCCCATTTGTCAATTTTGGCTTTTGTTGCCATTGCTTTTGGTGTTTTAGTCTTGAAGTCCTTGCCAATGCCTGTGTCCTGAATGGTATTGCCTAGGTTTTCTTCTAGGGTTTTTATGGTTTTAGGTCTAACGTTGAAGTCTTTAATCCATCTTGAATTAATTTTTGTATAAGGTGTAAGGAAGGGATCCAGTTTCAGCTTTCTACATATGGCTAGCCAGTTTTCCCAGCACCATTTATTAAATAGGGAATCCTTTCCCCATTGTTTGTTTTTGTCAGGTTTGTCAAAGATCAGATGGTTGTAGATATGTGGCATTATTTCTGAGGACTCTGTTCTGTTCCATTGGTCTATATCTCTGTTTTGGTACCAGTACCATGCTGTTTTGGTTACTATAGCCTTGTAGTATAGTTTGAAGTTAGGTAGCATGATGTCTCCAGCTTTGTTCTTTTGGCTTAGGATTGTCTTGGCAATGCAGGCTATTTTTTGGTTCCACATGAACTTTAAAGTAGTTTTTTCCAATTCTGTGAAGAAAGTCATTGGTAGCTTGATAAGGATGGCATTGAATCTATAAATTACCTTGGGCAGTATGGCCATTTTCACGATATTGATTCTTCCTATCCATTAGCATGGAATGTTCTTCCATTTGTTTGTGTCCTCTTTTATTTCATTGAGCAGTGGTTTGTAGTTCTCCTTGAAGAGGTCCTTCACATTCCTTGTAAGTTGGATTCCTAGGTATTTTATTCTCTTTGAAGCAATTGTGAATGGGAGTTCACTCATGATTTGGCTCTCTGTTTGTCTGTTATTGGTGTATAAGAATGCTTGTGATTTTTGCACATTGATTTTGTATCCTGAGACTTTGCTGAAGTTGCTTATCAGCTTAAGGAGATTTTGGGCTGAGATGATGGGGTTTTCTAGATATACAATCATGTCATCTGCAAACAGGGACAATTTGACTTCCTCTTTTCCTAATTGAATACCCTTTATTTCTTTCTCCTCCCTGATTGCCCTGGCCAGAACTTCCAATACTATGTTGAATAGGAGTGGTGAGAGAGAGCATCCGTGTTTTGTGCCAGTTTTCAAAGGGAATGCTTCCAGTTTTTGCCCATTCAGTATGATATTGGCTGTGGGTTTGTCATAAATAGCTCTTATTATTTTGAGATACATCCCATCAATACCTAGTTTATTGAGAGTTTTTAGCATGAAAGGCTGTTGAATTTTGTTGAAGGCCTTTTCTACATCTAGTGAGATAATTATTTGGTTTTTGTCTTTGGTTCTGTTTATGTGATGGATTACGTTTATTGATTTGCATATGTTGAACCAGCCTTGCATCCCAGGGATGAAGCCAATTTGAGCATGGTGGATAAGCTTTTTGATGTGCTGCTGGATTCGGTTTGCCAGTATGTTATTGAGGATTTTTGCATCGATGTTCATCAGGGCTATGGGTCTAAAATGTTCTTTTTTTGTTGTGTCTCTGCCAGGCTTTGGTATCAGGATGATGCTGGCCTCATAAAATAAGTTAGGGAGGATTCCCTCTTTTTCTATTGATTGGAATAGTTTCAGAAGGAATGGTACCAGCTCCTCTTTGTACCTCTGGTAGAATTTGGCTGTGAATCCATCTGGTCCTGGACTTTTTTTGGTTGCTAGGCTATTAATTATTGCCTGAATTTCAGAGCCTGTTATTGGTCTATTCAGGGATTCAACTTCTTCCTGGTTTAGCCTTGGGAGGGTGTATGTGTCCAGGAATTTATCCATTTCTTCTAGATTTTCTAGTTTATTTGCATAGAGGTGTTTATAGTATTCTCTGATGGTAGTTTGTATTTCTGTGGGATCGGTGGTGATATCCCCTTTCTCATTTTTTATTGCGTCTGTTTGATTCTTCTCTCTTTTCTTCTTTATTAGTCTTGCTAGCGGTCTATCAATTTTGTTGATCTTTTCAAAAAACAAGCTCCTGGGTTCATTGATTTTTTGAAGGCTTTTTTGTGTCTCTAACTCCTTCAGTTCTGCTCTGATCTTAGTTATTTCTTGCCTTCTGCTAGCTTTTGAATGTGTTTGCTCTTGCTTCTCTAGTTCTTTTAATTGTGATGTTAGGGTGTCAATTTTAGATCTTTCCTGCTTTCTCTTGTGAGCATTTAGTGCTATAAATTTCCCTTTACACACTGCTTTATATGTGTTCCAGAGATTCTGGTATGTTGTATCTTTGTTCTCATTGGTTTCAAAGAACATCTTTATTTCTGCCTTCATTTCGTTATGTACCCAGTAGTCATTCAGGAGCAGGTTGTTCAGTTTCCATGTAATTGAGCGGTTTTGAGTGAGTTTCTTAATCCTGAGTTCTAGTTTGATTGCAGTGTGGTCTGAGAGACAGTTTGTTATAATTTCTGTTCTTTTACATTTGCTGAGGAGTGCTTTACTTCCAACTATGTGGTCAATTTCGGCAAAAGTTCAATGTGGTGCGGAGAAGAATGTATATTCTGTTGATGTGGGGTGGAGAGTTCTGTAGATGTCTATTAGGTCCACTTGGTGCAGAGCTGAGTTCAATTTCTGGATATCCTTGTTAACTTTCCGTCTCATTGATCTGTCTAATGTTGACAGTGGGGTGTTAAAGTCTCCCATTATTATTGTGTGGGAGTCTAAGTCTCTTTGTAGGTCTCTAAGGACTTGCTTTATGAATCTGGGTGCTCCTGTATTGGATGCATATATATTTAGGATAGTTAGCTCTTCTTGTTGAATTGATCCCTTTACCATTATGTAATAGCCTTCTTTGTCTCTTTTGATCTTTGTTGGTTTAAAGTCTTTTTTATCAGAGACTAGGATTGCAACCCCTGCCTTTTTTTGTTTTCCATTTGCTTGGTAGATCTTCCTCCATCCCTTTATTTTGAGCCTATGTGTGTCTCTGCAAGTGAAATGGGTCTCCTGAATACAGCACACTGATGGGTCTTGACTCTTTATCCAATTTGCCAGTCTGTGTCTTTTAATTGGAGCATTTAGCCCATTTACATTTAAGGTTAATATTGTTATGTGTGAATTCGATCCTGTCATTATGATGTTAGCTGGTTATTTTGCTCGTTAGTTGATGCAGTTTCTTCCTAGCATCGATGGTCTTTACACTTTGGCATGTTTTTGCAGTGGCTGGTACTGGTTGTTCCTTTCCATGTTTAGTGCTTCCTTCAGGAGTTCTTATAAGGCAGGCCTGGTGGTGACAAAATCTCTCAGCATTTGTTTGTCTGTAAAGGATTTTATTTCTCCTTTTGCTTATGAAGGTTAGTTTGGCTGGATATGAAATTCTGGGTTGAAAATTCTTTTCTTTAAGAATGTTGAATATTGGCCCCCACTCTCTTCTGGCTTGTAGAGTTTCTGCCGAGAGATCCGCTGTTAGTCTGATGGGCTTCCCTTTGTGGGTAACCTGACCTTTCTCTCTGGCTGCCCTTAACATTTTTTCTTTCATTTCAACTTTGGTGAATCTGACAATTATGTGTCTTGGAGTTGCTCTTCTCGAGGAGTATCTTTGTGGTGTTCTCTGTGTTTTCTGAATTTGAATGCTGGCCTGCCTTGCTAGGTTGGAGAAGTTCTCCTGGATAATATCCTGCAGAGTGTTTTCCAACTTGGTTCCATTCTCCCTGTCACTTTCAGGTATACCAATCAGACATAGATTTGGTCTTTTCACATAGTCCCATATTTCTTGGAGGCTTTGTTCATTTCTTTTTACTCTTTTTTCTCTAACCTTCTCTTCTCACTTCATTTCATTCATTTGATCTTCAATCACTGATACCCTTTCTTCCACTTGATCGAATCGGCTCCTGAGGCTTCTGCATGCATCACGTAGTTCTCGTGCTGTGGTTTACAGCTCCATCATATCATTTAAGGTCTTCTCTATGCTGTTTATTCTAGTTAGCCATTCGTCTAATGTTTTTTCAAGGTTTTTAGCTTCTTTGCGATGAGTTTGAACATCCTCCTTTAGCTCAGAGAGGTTTGTTATTACCGATTGTCTGAAGCCTTCTTCTCTCAACTCATCAAAGTCTCCATCCAGCTTTGTTCCGTTGCTGGCAAGGAGCTGCCTTCCTTTGGAGGAGAAGAGGCACTCTGGTTTTTAGAATTTTCAGTTTTTCTGCTCTGGTTTCTTCCCATCTTTGTGGTTTTATCTACCTTTGGTCTTTTTTGATGGTGATGTACAGATGGGGTTTTGGTGTGGTTGTCCTTTCTGTTTGTTAGTTTTCATTCTAACAGTCAGGACCCTCAGCTGCAGGTCTGTTGGAGTTTGCTGGAGGTCCACTCCAGACCCTGTTTTCCTGGGTATCACCAGCAGAGGCTGCAGAACAGCAAATATTGCAGAACAGCAAATGTTGCAGCCTGATCCTTCCTCTGGAAGCTTCGTCTCAGAGGGGCACCCAGCTGTATGAGGTGTCAGTTGGCCCCTACTGGGAGGTGTCTCCCAGTTAGGCTACTCGGGGATCAAAGACCCACTTGAGGAGGCAGTCTGACTGTTCTCAGATCTCAAACTCTGTGCTAGGAGAACCACTACTCTCTTCAAAGCTGTCAGACAGGGACGCTTAAGTCTGCAGAAGTTTCTGCTGCCTTTTGTTCCGCTATGCCCTGCCCCCAGAGGTGGAGTCTACAGAGGCAGGCAGGCTTCCTTGAGCTGCGGTGGGCTCCACCCAGTTCAAGCTTCCTGGCCACTTTGTTTACCTACTCAAGCCTCAGCAATGGCGGGCGCCCCTCCCCCAGCTTCACTGCCGCCTTGCAGTTCGATCTCAGACTGCTGTGCTAGCAGTGAGTGAGGCTCCGTGGGCATGGGTCACTCCGAGCCAGGCGCAGGATATACTCTCCTGGTGTGCCGTTTGCTAAGACCACTGGAAAAGCACAGTATTAGGGCGGGAGTGTCCCGATTTTCCAGGTGCCATCTGTCACGGCTTCCCTTGGCTAGGAAAGGGAATTCCCCAACCCCTTGCACTTCCCCGGTGAGGCGATACCCCGCCCTGCTTCGGGTCATACTCCATGGGCTGCACCCACGGTCCAACCATTCCCAATGAGATGAACCCGGTACCTCTGTTGGAAATGCAGAAATGCGTCATTCATGCTGGGAGCTCTAGACTGGAGCTGTTCCTATTTGGCCATCTTGGAACCTCTCCCCTGTCACGTGGTTTTTTATATGGATGACAACTCCACCCTGTGTCTCTGGAAGTCAAGTCTAACATCTCATCTGGAGCTGAGCAAGCTCCTCAGCCCAGGCTGGACCCAGGCTTGTCTGGGGTCCATGCCACACACCCAGTCCACACACCTGAACATAGCCAGGGAAGCCAGAGGGGTTGTTCCCAAATTGTTTGCTCTTACCAGATGTCTTGTTAATCTTCTCAGGGGTACTTGGTTTTCCTGGGGGCACAGCTGTTTCCCATCGTTTTGTGGGATCCCATATAAGCTTGTAGACAGCTGCTGGGAGAATAAATGTAAAAACATAGGGAGGGGAGAAAACACTGTGGGGAAAGATGGTGTGGGGAGATGAATACAGGGATGGGAGAGGTAAAGAAATGGTTTGCTGAAATTAAACTAGGCAGCAAAGAAAGCAGTACCAGATCTGGCATACCACCCTACCGAGGCATCAACATTGAATGTGGAATTAAGTGAGATGGTACCCATACCAATTCTGGTTGCATTGGGATATGTCACTGACCAACAATCTTAAGCTAGTTTTTTTTTTTTTTTCTTCTTTTTTGAGATGGAGTCTTGCTCTGTCGCCAGGCTGGAGTGCAGTGGCACGATCTTGGCTCACTGCAACATCCGACTCCTGTATTTAAGTGATTCTTCTGCCTCAGTCTCCAGAGTACCTGGGACTACAGGCAGGTGCTGCCACGCCAGGCTAAGTTTTGTATTTTTAGTAGAGACGAGGTTTCACCATGTTGGGCAGGATGGTCTCGATCTCTTGACCTCGTGATCTGCCCACCTCAGCCTCCCAAAGTGCTGGGATTACAGTTGTGAGACACCGCGCCCGGCCCTTAAGCTACTTTTTATTCAGCTTCCTCACTTATGAAATAGTGAATAATACATGTAAAATAGGCTAAGGGAAAGTCCTCTCTGAGCTTGTAAACACTGTTTATGTGTAGTAATAATAACAATTAATACCTTTCATGATCCTTCTTTGAATTTGGCCTCCATACTGGCAACCCAATCCCAGATCCCTTTACCCTCTAAACCAGAGTTGAATCTGCACTTGTGGGGTCACTCATTCAGGGGCCTCCGAGGATCCCCTGGGCTGGGACTGGGGCTTCTCAGATGCCCCAGGTGCACACAAGGCCATCAAGGAGCTCACAGTAGGGAGGGGCCAACAGTCAAAGCGATTCCTAAGCCATGTGAGTGGCCCCGGTAACAGAGCAGAGGCCAGCTGGTCCTTCCTGTTGCGAGAGTGGGTGTCTCAACGGAAGCACCAGGAGGCCCTATGGGGTGAAGCCCTAGTGAGCAACATCTGAACTTCATAAACAAATGCAAACGTGAATGAGCTTTAAATGGCTTGGAGCTCTGGATTAGACTACCACTGCCACTGTGCCCCAGGAAAATTCTTTAACATCTCTGTACAATGATAGCCTCATTTTATTATTATGCTGCTGATAACTATGATCTAAAACATGTCCAACATGGTGAAACCCTGTCTCTACTAAAAATACAAAAATTAGCCAGGTGTGGTGGTAGGTGCCTGAAATCTCAGCCATGTGGGAGGCTGAGGCAGAAGAATCACTTGAACCCAGGAAGCGGAGGTTGCAGTGAGCTGAGGTCCTGCCGCTGTACTTCAACCTGGGTGTCACAGCAAAACTCCGTCAAAAATGAAAAAAAAAGTAACAACAACAACAACAAAACAATAGAAAGACTGGAGAGAAGGCACTACTTAAAGAAATAACATTCTAGAATTTTCTGAACTGAACAAAGACATGAATCTTCAAACTGAAAAGAGCCATCTAGTTCTGAGCCTGATTAACACACATGTGCACACACACCTGCGTGCACGCACACACACACACACACACCCTTGGAGTAAAATTTCTAGGATAGAGATAAAATCCTGAAAGGTCCCAGAGAGAAAGAGAGAAGAGAGAATGCAATGGAGAAGTTTTTCAAGGAGCTGATTAAAAATAAGTTTGGGCCAGGTGCAGTAGCTCACGCCTGTAGTCTCAGCACTTTGGGAAGCTGAGACGGGAGGATTGCTTGAGCTCAGGAGTTTGAGACCAGCCTGGCCAACACGGCGAAACCCATCTGTACAAAAAATACAACAAGTAGCTAGGTGTGGTGCCACGTGCCTGCAGTCCCAGCTACTTGGAAGGCTGAGGCAGGAGAATCTCTGAGTCCAGGAGGTGGAGATTGCCATGAGCTGAGATGGTGCCACTGCATTCCAGCCTGGGTGACAGAGCCAGGCACTGTCTCAGAACAACAAAACAAAACAAAAACAAACAAACAAAAAAAGTTGAACCTAGATATCTGTATACAGCCAGGATAATCCACAATGAGGGAAAAAATAGTTCAGAAAATTAATGACACATATACCCTTCAGAAATAATTATTGGTATACAGCCCTATGAGAAAAGAAAAGTAAATTTAAGAGGAAGGTGATTTCAATAAGCAATTGTTAGAAGAAAAATAGTAAAATTTATTAAACAGTGTAAACTTTTGATTGTAAACTTAAAAAATTATAGTCTTGAAATAAAATTCCCAGTATTATAAACATGGAAGATGGGACGAGGGACAGGAAAAAAAAAGAGAAGTTCTTTTGTTGTTCAAGGAATGGATACCGACACTAATGAATGATAGAATGGTAGAGTGGCTAAAAGCATTAGCATTTTATTTTGTTTTATTTTAGAGACGGCCTCACTCTGTTGCCCAGGCTAGAGTTCCATAGCACAATCATGGCTCACTGTAGCCCCAGCCTCTTCAGCTCAAGTGATCCTCCTGCCTCAACCTCCCATGTAGCTGGGACTACAGGCGTGCACCACCAAGGCTGGCTAATTAAAAATTTGTTTTTTTGGTAGAGAGAGTGTTTTCCTATGTTGCCCAGGATGATCTTGAACTCTTATCCTCAAGCAATCCTCCCACCTCAGCCTCTCAAAGTGGTGGGATTATAGGAGTGAGTCACTGTGCCCACTTAACGCTAGTATTTTAGAGTGCAAACTCTGGAGCCAGACAGCTTGGGTTCAGTTTCTGGCTTCTCAACTTATTAAGGTATGTGACCTTGTGTAACTCATATAACCTTTCCGTGTTTCAGGCTACTCAAGAGTAAACTGGGGATAACCACACTATCTAACTCACTTGATTGCTATGATTAAATGGGTAAGTACGTGTAAAGCACTTAGAATAGCGCCTGTCATGTGGTTAAGTTAGTATATATCTTTTAGGTGTTGTTAGTAATGACTTCAAATTACTTTTAAAATGTAAAGGCATATCTGGTTCAAGAAGAAGATGGTGAACCAGGAATAGCTGCTGGCTTCCTTCCCAAACCCAACCCTGCAGATGCCACAGAAGAGGTGGGAAGTGGTTGGAGTTCAGAACAGTTCCCAGTAACAAAACCCTTGATGGTTTAGCCCCACTGGGGGATGAGATGGCTTAGAGTGGGAAAGGTCAGAGGCCACAGATGGAGAATCAGCCCAGGCGGAGCTTTCTAAGTTGCATTCTTTTTTTCTCCTTATTTTCTAGAAGGCTTATTACCTGTTCTGTAAACATACAGAGCAGAAACTTGGCAGGGCTGGCCCAGTGCTAGCCCAAAGTGGCCTGATAACATTAAAGAATAAGGGGCTTGGAAAGCTCCTAGAAAAAGTGCAGACTCATCAAAGCTGGTCAGTAACTGAGCATTCCTTTCCTACTTCTCCCTCTGCCCTCTGAGCTACGCAATTACAACCGGTATCACTCACCCGTAGACCCCCTCCACGCTGTAAGGCAGAAATCCTGTAAGGGTCTCTGGGGGCTCATAGGCTAGGGACTGGAAAGAATTGGCTCAGCTCAGCTCTAGAGGCTCCCTATCCTACGACCTATCAATCCAGAAACCCTAAAACTCACATGGAGTGTCTGGGCTTACACATCTTCCCAGGAAGAAAGGGTTATATAGAAAAACTATCTGACAGCCCAGGCAGGGTGGCTCACACCTATAATCCCAGCATTTTGGAAGGCTGTGGTGGGAGGATCACCTGAGGTCAGCAGTTTAAGACCAGCCTGGCCAACATGGTGAAACCCCATCTCTACTAAAAATATAAAAGTAGTTGGGCGTGGTGGTGCACACCTGTAACTCCAGCTACTCAGGAGGCTGGGGCAGGAGAATCACTTGAACCTGGGAGGCGGAGGTTGCAGTGAGCCGAGATCACACCATTGCACTCCAGCCTAGCCAACAAGAGTGAAACTCTGTGTAAAAATAAATAAAGAAAAAAAGGCAAGGTGCGGTGGCTCACGCCTGTAATCCCAGCACTTTGGGAGGCTGAGGCGGGTGGATCACCTGAGGTCAGGAGTTCGAGATCAGCCTGGCCAACAAGGTGCAACCCCGTCTGTACTAAAAATACAAAAATTAACCTGGCATAGTGTCACATGCCTGTGGTTCCAGCTACTCAAGAGGCTGAGGCAGGAGAATTGCTTGGACTCGGGAGGCAGAGGTTCAGTGAGCCAAGATCGTGCCACTGCACTCCAGCCTGGGTGACAGAGCAAGACTCTATCTCAAACGAATAAATGAATAAATAAATAAATAAATAAAAAGAAAAACTATTGGATAGATTGGATATGAAAACATTAACTGCTCAAATAAATTATTCGGTGGAATAGATTGGATATTAAAACTGATAGAGTTGAAAAAGCAATTACTGAGCTGAGGAAATGCGTCTAAAGAATTCATGAAAGTAATCGGTAATGGATAGAGAAGAAGTAAATGAAAGAAAAGTTAATTAATAGGGAGGATAGAAGAATAAATGTCAAAACACATCTAATAGTAGCCTTATAAGAAGAGAATATAGTCATTAAAAAGGAGAGTGTACTTAAATAAGTAATCAATGAGAATTCCTCAGATTTAAAAAAATGACTTAAGATTTAAAGGTATTATAGTACACACACAGGAACAGTGAAATGTAAAATTGTGAAAGACAAGGAAAAAATATTTTAAAATGATCGGAGAGAAATAGCAGGTTACTTACAGAGGAAAATACAATGTCAAGCATGTAAGACTTCAGGAGATTGAAGACACAGGGAAATGTTAAAGCAAACAAGTATTTATTGCACTTATTAAAGACTGTAAGGAAGGGTCAGCTGCAGTGGCTCATGCCTGTAATCCCAGAACTTTGGGTGCCCGAGGCAAGAGGATTGGTTGAGCCCAGGAGTTCAAGACCAGCTTGGGCAACATGGTGAAACCCTGTCTCTACAAAAAATAGAAAAATCCGCCGGGCACATCAAGTTCCTGCGTCTGTAGAGAACTGAAAAAAAAAAATACCTGGGTGTGGTGGTGCGTACCTGTAGTTCCAGCTACTTGGGAGGCTGGGGCAGGAAGATTGCTTGGGCCCTGGAATTTCAGGCTGCAGTGAGCTAGGATTGGGTCACTGCCCTCCAGCCTGAGTTACAGAGTGAGACTTTGTCTCTGAAAATAAAAAGAAAAAAAGATCGTAAGGACGATTTTACTCAGAGGGGGGACTACTGTGATAGGTACAGGGACCACTGCAATGGGGTCTTGCAGTGGGAGAGTGATATTGGGATCGACTTCAACTCCACAAGGACAAGTGGGGATTTGTAGTCAGGGAGTAGGAGCCGGGGGTCAGAAGATGGGAAATTACTTGGAGGAAGCCTCAGGTGCAGGGGGATTCTGGCTAAACCGACTTGACAGGTTTTTTGCTGAAAAAGGCTAAATGGGCAGAGTCCCTGGATGAAGGACAGAGCCTGAGGTTGAGACCTAGTCAGAAACAGGACTCAGAGGAGCCCGATTCAAGTTTGGTCAAAGGAGAGTGTCTCTGTCTGAAAGCATAAGCAAGAAAGCCAACAGCAGTAAAATGAATGGGTCACAAAGGAGAATTTTTGTGCATTGCTAAGCAGGGCTCTGCTTTAACCATTGTGAAAGAAGTGAGTCATTCTTTTTTTTTTTTAGATGAAGTCTCGCTGTGTCACCCAGGCTGGAGTGCAGTGCGTGATCTCGGCTCACTGAAACCTCAGCTTCCTGGGTTGAAGCGATTCTCCTGCTTCAGCCTCCCGAGTAGCTGGGACTACAGTCACGTGCCTCACACCGGACTAATTTTGTATTTTTACTAGAGACAGGGTTTTACCATGTCGACCAGGCTGGTCTCGAACTCCTGACCTCAAGCCATCTGCCCGCCTTGGCCTCCCAAAGTGCTGAGATTTCAGGCGTGTGCCACTGAAACCCACCTGAATTGAGTCATTTTCCACATACACAACTAGGTCAGAGTTGAGTGGCCAGGGGAGAAACCAATCAGGGCACATTGCACCTGCTCCAAGAATTGAATTTTCCACAAAGCTGGTGGCTGAAATGGCCTGCTGCCACCCTAAGAGCACTTTTACCTAGTAACTGCTGAAACAACCTGCAATGACTCTAAGGCTTGTTTTACCTATTGTCCACACTCACCAATCAGAGCTTCCAGCTCCTGAAAGCTTCTCTGGTGCCAAGGGACTTGCTTTAAAAACTATAGGTAACATTTCTGTTTCTAATAAAACTCTCAACTTTCTCGTTGTTCTTTGGACATACCAAAGACCAGCCAGTTTGTGTGTATGCTTCAGATTACAATTCTATGATTCTCAAATAAAATGTTTAGAGATTCATGGGCGTGGTGGATCATGCCTGTAATCCCAGCCGTTTGGGAGGCTGAGGCCGGCGGATCACTTCAGCCCAGGGGTTCGTGACCTGCCTGGGCAACATGGTGAAATCCTGTCTCTACAAAAATTACAAAAAATTAGCTGGATGTGGTGGTGCATGCCTGTAATCCCAGTTATTCCAGAGGCTGAGTCGGGGAGGCAGAGGTTGCAGTGAGCCGAGATTGTGCCACTGCACTCCGGGGTGGGCGACAGAGTGAGACCCTGTCTTAAAAAACAAAAACAAAAACCATAATATAACATCCTTAATATTGCGATTTAAAAAAGAGATTCATCTCCATAGGTTTTGACTTTGATATTTGTGGTGTCAGAAATCGGGTCCGAAGCTGACTCACCTTGGAGATATCAATGACCTCTGGAACTATGGCGTGAGGTCTGCACACTTGGTCCCCTTGAGCTTTTGCTTTTCTGGTTGCCTCTTTCCCCCCGGTGAGACTTTCTTGGATCAAACTGCCATTTGTCGGGGAGTTGAGTTCAGTTTTATTTGGGAATTTGTTAGGAAGGGTCTTTCTCTGTCTCCTGGTTATGAAACCTCCTCTTTTCTTTTCCTTTCTTTTCTTGTCTTGTCTTTTTTATCTTGTCTTTCTCTTTTCTTTCTTTTTTTTTTTTTTTTTGAGACAGTGTTTTGCTCTGTCGCACAGGCTGCAGTGCAGTGGTGTGATCTGGGCTCACTGCAACCTTCACCTCCCAGGCTCAAGTGATTCTCGTGCATCGTCCTCCCGAGTAACTGGGATTACAGGTGTGCGCCACTACGCCTGGATAATTTTTGTGTTTTTTAGTAGACATGTGGTTTCACCCTGTTAGCCAGGCTGGTCTTGAAGTCCTGAGCTCAAGTGATCTGCCCGCCTCGGCCTCCCAAAGTGCTGGGATTATAGGCGTGAGCCACTACACCCAGCCAGAGACGGCCTGTTTAAGAGGGATTTTCTCCCTCCTGGTTATGAGGCCGGGTTACAGAGATTTTTCTGTTAGAGAAGGCTTCTCATGCTTCCTGGTAAGTTTGTACTTTATTTTCTGAGTCGTTTGCATGCTTAGAGTTTAATTTGGCTTTTGTGTATTAGGCATTAAACCGAATCACCTAGATTAATTTATTTACACACAGGCTCTCAAAGTTCAAAGGCATGCCAACATAGTTCCCTCTTTCTGGGACGCCAGCTGGTAATATGTGCCAACATTACGGGGATCATTCACGCAGTCTGTTTTCCTCAAACTGAACTAAAATAATACAGTCCAAATGGGACTCCTATCTCAGTTGGTATCTTGAGGCTCCAGAACACATTCAAGACTCAAAGGCTGCCTCACTGCAAGATATTGTCTAAAGCTAGCTGAGATTTTCTTCTCCAACACCTTCCCCTCTCCTTCGTTTACCTCTTCCTCTTTATCCTTCTTTAAGCAAAACTCTTTTTCCAAAACTCCTCAGCTACTCTGGCATACTGACTATTAAAATAAAGACAGTTGAAAGACATCAGATACAAATAAAATAAAATCACTGACCTTTGTAGTGTTTCTTAAAAGCAAAAGATGAAATTCCCATGTAAAAGATCTCCTTCCTATACTAAAAGGAAAGACAACACTCTTATCTTCAAGGATGAGGAATTGAGACCAAGAGAACATTATACAAAGCTTATTGGAATACCTCTTATCTTTTGGGCCTCCTCACATAATTCAGTCACATTTTTACAGTTAACAATTCTTTGTCTAATTCAACATGTTGGTAACTGACTCAAACTGCTTTACCCAAAATTTGGGTCACCACCTTCATAAGATTACCTATTGAGGAGAAAAATCTTAAATAAAGTTTAGCCTTCTTCCATTTTGTCAGAAATATAATTTAGATCCAACGTCTTTTATAAATCGGTGAGTTTGTATGGTTTACTGTCCCATAATCAAAATTCTAAAATGAAAGTTATCTTTGTTTATGTACGTATCTGTGTTTGGGCGTATTCCTGCGTATGTACATGTGTTATGTTAAATGTGTCTACATGGTAAAATCCGGAATCGTTGGCAAACAATTATTTAAAGAATCCTATTCAGATTGGCTTAAATAGGTACTCATATAAATACACAGTAATTAACTAAAACGCATTTAGTTCATGCAACTTAATTAAGTAGTTGAAAAATAAGCTGGTTTTAAAATTGTTGGTAAAATAAAATGAGAAATGTTTTCAAAATTGTGACCACACCTTTTTGGCTGGGTTTACTGGTTCTATATTTGTCTCTGTTGGATGTGTTAAGGTTATGAAACATAAACCTAACCTAAAAACAGAATGGTCTTTTATGTGCAATTCTTTGATAAGTAAGACTAATTTAATATTGTGAGTGTAATAAAACAGCTGTATTTTCTGAGTTATTGGCAAAATACTCATATATTTAAGGTTTTTGCTCGGGTGGATACCTGACATTTACAGGCTATAATAATGTTTTAATAGGAGAATAACTCCAAATGACTAGCTTTATTTATTTATTTATTTATTTTTAAAATTTTTTTTAGAGCAGAGTCTCCCTCTGTTGCCCAGGCTGGAGTGCAGTGGTGCTATCTCGGCTCGCTGCAACCTCTGCCTCCCAGGGTCAAGAGATTGTCCTGTCTCAGCCTCCCAAGTAGCTGGGACTCTAGGCGTGCGCCCCCATGCCTGGATAATTTTTGTATTTTTTTTTTTTTTTTTTTTTGAGACGGAGTCTCGCTCTTTCGCCCAGGCCAGACTGCGGTGGCCCTATCTCGGCTCACTGCAAACTCCGCCTCCTGGGTTCACACCATTCTCCTGCCTCGGCCTCCCGAGTAGCTGGGACTACAGGCGCCCGCCACCACGCCCACCTAATTTTTTGTATTTTAGTAGAGTTGGGGTTTCACCTTGTTGGCCAGGCTGGTCTTCAACTCCTGACCTCAAGTGATCTGCCCTTCTTGGCCTCCCTAAGTGCTGGGATTACAGGCGTGAGCCACCGACCCCGGCCGACTGGCTTTGTTTAATATGTCAGTTTTCATAAGTAATCTAGGTATAACTGTTAAAATGAATAAATGAGGTAACTGTGAGATACATGTTTATAAGTGAACTTTTCATGTAATTTGAAATGTTTTTTCTCTTGCTCTTACCATATGGAGATGAAATATTAAAGTTGTGTTATGTTAGATTAAGTAATAGGTACTCACTAAATGCTGGGATCATTTCCAACTAAGAAAACAATGGATCCACCTGCCTAGGCCTCCCAAAATGCTGGGATTAGAGGCGTGAGCCACCATGCCCAGTGAGGAAAAGAAGTATTAAACGCTATTGTTATTAAAGAAACCAAAGATCGTGATGCCTGGAAGGTGATTCAAAGACTCGAGATAATGGACTTCTGGCCAAGCCAACCCATGGTGACATCATCAGGTTTGTGCCTCCACTGGTGATCAAGGAGGATGAGATTCGAGAGTCCAGTGAAATCATTAACAAGACCATCTTGTCTTTCTGAGGGTAGCAGCTGTTTTCAGTGGTCCCTGGGAGCCGGCTGGAGACAGGTGGTCTTGTAAAAGCTCTGCTCTAAATGTAGGCACATTCCACTCCCATGTGTCTTCAAAGCCTTTGTGTGGAATATCCATTTTTTTCAGTTGATACACAATAGAACAACGTTTATGAACCTGCCTTTTGCTTCCTAACGTAAGTAAGAGAATGTAATGGCATCTATATTCAGTGAAGGTGTTTTGATGTGCATCTGTACTTTCTAAGGTAAAACGTATCTATGTATACAGAACAGCCTTTAAATCACGTCCTTCAGTATACTTTATATATGTTTTTATAATTTCCTTGCTGGTATAAATGTTTTGTATTTGAAAAAGTTATCTATGGAGTATTACATAAAAGACTTCACCTTGTAAAGTCAAATCACTGTTATCATTGAATTTTAGGAAGGATGAATGGTTAGTCATATGTAAAATACTAATATTAAGTAAACTTCATATTGGCGAACACCAGAATGTATTCTATGGTTGTCATTATTTTGAATTAAGAATTAGTGTTTAAAATTCCTAAATTGTTTTGAGTGCTTGATTATAATTTGTAAAAAACGTTTATTTTTAATATTTCTTTAAATTTAAAATAAAGCTTATATTTCAGAAAAAAAAAAAGATACAGAACATGGCCAGGTGCAGTGGTTCACGCCTGTAATCCCAGCACATTGGTAGGCCAAGGTAGGCAGATCACTTGAGGTCAGGAGTTCGAGACCAGCCTGACAAGATGGTGAAACCTCGTCTCTACTAAAAATACAAAAGTTAGCCAGGCGTGGTGGCACGTGCCTGTATACCCAGCTACATGGGAGTCTGAGACAGGTGAATGGCTCAAACCTGGGAGGCAGAGGTTGCAGTGAGCCGAGAGCCTGCCACTGCATTCCAGCCTGGGTGACAAAGTGAGACTCAGTCTTGGAATAAAAAAAAAAAAAAAAAGGTATAGACCATTGCCATCACCACAATGCCATCCCTTGTGCTACTCATTTTTAGTAATACTCACTCTCCTCCTATCCACCATCCCTAACCCCTGACAACCACTAATCTATTTTTCATTTCTACAATTTTATCTTTTCTACAATGCTGTACAAATGAAATCTCATAGTATATAACATTTTAGAGGCTTGTTTCACTCAGCATAATTCCCTGGAGATTCATCCAAGATATTAATATTTGTGTATCAATAGTTCATATTTTTGTTGTTGTTGTTGTTGAGATGGAGTCTCACTATGTCGCCCAGGCTGGAGCGCAGTGGCGTGGTTTTGGCTCACTGCAACCTCTGCCTCCCGGGTTTAAGCGATTCTCGTGCCTCAGCCTCCCAAGTAGCTGGGACTACAGGTGCACGCCACCATGCCCAGTTGATTTTTGTATTATTAGTAGAGACAGGGTTTCACCATATTAGCCAGGCTGGTCTCGAACTCCTGACCTCATGATCTACTTGCCTCCTGACCTCATGATCTGCCTGCCTCGGCTTCCCAAAATACCGGGATTACAAGTGTGAGCCACCGTGCACGGCCAATGGTTCATTTTTATTACTGAGTAGTATTACATGGTATGGATGTACCACAGTTTCACCATTCACCTATTGTTGGACATATTGATTATATCCGGCTATTTGGCTATTACAAATAAAGCTGCTATGAACAATTATGTACAAGTTTCTGGATGGGGATAAATTTTAATTTCTATGAAGTGGTAATTGATGAATTGTATGGTCACTGCATGTTTAGTTTTATAAGAAACTACCAAACTGCTTTCCAGAGTGGCTGTAAGATTTTACCCTCTCAGCAGCATTTTACTAGATGTCCAGTTTCTGTGCATCCTTTCCAGCATTTCGTATTGTCACTATGTCTTTCATTTTAGCTGTTGTAATAAGTGTGTAGTGATGCCTCATCGTGGTCTTAATTTGCATCTAGTGAAGCAAGTAAGTGTTGAACAGCCTTTCATGTGCTTATTTGCTTATTTCCTCTTCAGTGAAATGTATGTTCATATATCTTCATAATTTTCTAATTGAATTATTTGTTTGTTTGTTTTTACCGTTGTTTTGTTTTTGAGACAGAGTCTCGCTCTGCTACCGAGGCTGGAATGCAGTGGCATGATCTTGGCTCACTCCAACCTCTGCCTCCTAGGTTCAAGCGATTCTCATGCCTCAGCCTCCCGCGTAGCTGGGATTACAGGTGCGAACCATCATGCCTGTCTAATTTTTGAATGTTTAGTAGAGATGGGTTTTGCCATGTTGCCCAGGCTGGTCTCGAACTCCTGGCCTCAAGGGATCTACCCTCCGTCCACCTCGACCTCCCAAAGTGCTGGGATTACAAGCGTGAGCCACCACGCCTGGCATACCGTTGAGTTTTGAGAGTACTATACGTATCCGTTATATATTCTGGATGTGAGTCCTTTCTTGGATACGTGGTTTGCAAACATTTTCTCCCACTTTACACCCTGTTTTTTCATCCTTTTAACACGGTTTCTACAGAGCAAAAGTTAAATTGGATGAAATCTAATTTATTTTTTTCCTTATGGATTATGCTTTTTGAACCGTTCACTATGCCTAGATCTCAGACGTTTCTCCTACTCTTTCTTGTAAAAGTTTTTTTAGTGTTATATTTTAGATTTAAATCTATGAGCCACTTGAGTTTTTAATATATGTATATATATATGTATATATATATGTGTATATATATGTATATATATGTGTATATATATGTGTATATATATGTATATATATATGTGTATATATATGTATATATATATGTATATATATATGAAGATTAGGTGTTTTCTTGTTGTTGTTTGTTTGTTTGTTGTTGTTGTTGTTGTTGTTGTTTTGTCTATGGATATGCAACTGCTCCAGCACCATTTGTTAAGCAGACGATCCTTCTTTTTGTCTCTTGGGGAAAATCAGTGTGGGGCAATTTCCAGGTTCTCTGTTTTGTTCCAGTGATCTATGTGTCTATTCTTCTCCCAATACTACACAGTCTTGATTCCTGTAGCTATATAAGAAGTATTGAAATATGGTAGAGCCATTCCTCCCACCTTATTCTTCTTTTTCAAAAATTGTCTTAGTTACATATACATTTTTTGAGAAGGAGTCTCACTTTTGTCGCCCAAGCTGGAGGGCAGTGGGGTGATCTCGGCTCACTGCTGTCTCTGCCTCCCGTGTTCAAGCGATTCTCCTGTCTCAGCTTCCCAAGTAGCTGGAATTTCAGGTACCCGTCACCACACCCAGCTAATTTTTGTATTTTTAGTAGAGACGGTGTTTCTCCATGTTAGCCAGGCTGGTCTCAAACTCCTGACCTCAAGCGATCCACCCATCTCGGCCTCCCAAAGTGTCTTTGTTCAGTTCAGAAAATTCTAGAACATTATTTCTTCAAGTACTGCCTTCTCCCCAGTCTTAATATTCTTTTTTTTATTTTTTTCACTTTTGTGACGTAGTTTTGCTCTGTCACCCAGGGTGTAGTGCAGTGGCAAGACCTCAGCTCACTGCAACCTCCGCTTCCCAGGTTCAACTGATTCTCCTGCCTCAGCTTCCCAAGTAGCTGGGATTTCAGACGCCCGCCACCACACCGGGCTAATTTTTGTATTTTTAGTAGACACAGGGTTTTGCCATGTTGGACAGGCTGGTCTCGAACTCCTGACCTCAGGTGATCTGCCTGCCTCAGCCTCCCAGAGTGCTGGGATTACAGGCGTAAGCCACTGCGCCCGGCCCAGTCTTTCTATTCTGTATGTCTGGAACTTCTACTAGATGAACGGTGAAACTTCTGGGATCTATTCTCCATTTCCTTTATTATTTTACTTTCATACTTTCTATTTCGTAATCGTTTTCTACTATACAGTGAAGTAGTGCCGTGCCTGAAGTTTTTCATTGGGTTGTTCCAATTTCTCTTATGATATGCAAAAGCTTTGTCGTATATTAGAGATGGTTACTTTTACTGCGGATGCTTCACCATTTTCTCCAAAATTTGCCTCTTTACACAGTTGTTTATGGTGTCTTTTGACTTAGATGATACTTTAATTTTTACATCTTTAAGTATGTCAGATTCATTGTTCATAGCCTTGGTGTAATGTCAGGAAGTGCCTATGCCAACTCAAAATGTCTTACACTGTAATATTTTCCTAAATTTTCGTCTAGTTCTTTATGACTTCACGTTTTCACATTTAAGTCAGTGAATTTTTAGAATTTATTATTTTATGTGGTTTAAAGTAAGTATTTTAATATTTATTTTTTCAAATGGATAGACACTTGTCAAGCAATCGTTTATTATACAACCCATCTTTTGCCCAGTGTTTGGAAATGCATGCTGAATTTTGCACATAACTTAGTCTGTTTCTTGACTTTCTATTTTTTTTTTCACTAATCTGTTTCTATATGTATTCATTTTTTATTGTTGCTGTAACAAATTGTCAATAGCTAAGACAACGCTGGGCTGGGCACGGTGGCTCACGCCTGTAATCCCAGCACTTTGGGAGGCCGAGACGGGCGGATCGCTTGAAGTCAGGAGTTCGAGACCAACCTTGCCAACATGGCGAAACCCCGTCTCTACTAAAAATACAAAAATTAGCCGGGTGTGGAGGTGCACGCCTGTAATGCCAGCTATTCGGGAAGCTGAGACAGGAGAATCCCTTGAACCCGGGAGGCAGAGTTTGCAGTGAGCCGAGATCACCCCACTGCCCTCCAGCTTGGGTGACACGAGTGAGACTCCATATCAAAAAAAAATTATATAGCTAAGACAATTTTTGAAAAAGAAGAATAAGGTAGGAGGAATGGCTCTACCATATTTCAATACTTCTTATATAGCTACAGGAATCAAGACTGTGTAGTATTGGCAGAAGAATAGACACATAGATCACTGGAGCAAAATAGAGAACCTAGAAATAGCCACACACTGATTTTTTACAAAGAGACAGAAAGAAGGAAGGATCGTCTGCTTAACAAATGGTGCTGGAGCAGTTGCATATCCATAGGCAAAAAAAAAAAAAAAAAAAAATAAGACCTAATCTTCATAACTTTATACAAAAAAGTAACTCAAATGGATCATATATTTAAATCTGAAATATAAAACTAAAAAAAAAAGCTTTTACAAGAAAACATAGGAGAAACGTCTGAGATCTAGGGCATGGTGAACAGTTCAAAAAGCATAATCCATAAGGAAAAAAAGTAAATTAGATTTCATCCAATTTAAAACTTTTGCTCTGCAAGAAACCCTGTTAAAAGGATGAAAAAACAAAGTATGGACTGGGAGAAAATGTTTGCAAACCACATATCCAAGAAAGGACTCACATCCAGAATATATAATGGATATGTATAGTACTCTCAAAACTCAACCGTAGGCCGGGTGTGGTGGCTCAGTCGTGTAATCCCAGCACTTTGAAAGGTCGAGGTGGATGGAAGGCAGATCCCTTGAGGCCAGGAGTTTGAGACCAGCCTGGGCAACATGGCAAAAACCCATGTCTACTAAAAATACAAAAATTAGACAGGCATGTTGATGCATGCCTGTAATCCCAGCTACGCGGGAGGCTGAGGCACAAGAATCGCTTGAACCTGGAAGGCAGAGGTTGGAGTGAGCCAAGATCATGCCACTGCACTCCAGCCTGGGTAACAGAGAGAGACTCTGCCTTAAATAATAATAATAATAATAATAATAATAATAATAATAATAACTCAAAGGTAAAAAAAAACCAAATAATCCAATTAGAAAATTATGAAAAGATATGAGCATACATTTCACTGAAGAGGAAATAAGCAAATAAGCACATGAAAAGATGTTCAACACTCATTTGCTTCACTAGATGCAGAATAACACCACGATGAGGTATCACTACACACTTATTACAATAGCTAAAATAAAAGACATAGTGACAACACCAAATGGTGACAAGGATGCAGAGAAAATGGACACCTCATTAAGTGCTGCTGGGAAGGTAAAAGCAGTTTGGTAGTTTCTTATAAAACTAAACATGCAGTGACCATACAATTCAACAATTACACTTCAGAGAAGTTAAAATGTATGCCCATCCAGAAACTTGTACACAATTGTTCATAGCAGCTTTACTTGTAATAGCCAAAAGCTGGAAATAATCAATATGTCCTGCAATAAGCGAATGGTTGAACTGTGGTACATCCATACCATGGAATACTACTCCGTAATAAAAATGAACAATTGGCCGGGCGCAGTGGCTCACGCATGTAATCCCAACACTTTGGGAGGCCGAGGCGGGCGGATCACGAGGTCAGGAGATCGAGACCATCCTGGCTGACACGGTGAAACCCCATCTCTACTAAAAAATACCAAAAATTAGCCGGGAGTGGTGGCGGGCGCCTGTAGTCCCAGCTACTCAGAAGGCTGAGGCAGGAGAATGGCATGAACCCAGGAGGCGGAGCTTGCAGTGAGCAGTGATTGCGCCACTGCACTCCAGCCTGGGCGACAGAGTGAGACTCTGTCTCAAAAAAAAAAAAAAAAAAAAGAATTACCCGGTCGTGGTGGCACGCGCCTGTAGTCACAGCTACTCGGGAGGCTGAGGCAGTAAAATCTCTTGAACCTGGGAGGCAGAGGTTGCAGTGAGCCGGGATCGCACCACTGCACTCCAGCCTGGGCAGCAGAGTGAGACTCCGTCTCAACAACAAAAACAACAATGAACTACTGATACAAAAATATTAATATATTGGATGAATCTCCATGGAATTATGCTGAGTGAAATAAGCCTGTAAAATGTTATATACTATAAGATTTCATTTGTACAGCATTGTAGAAAAGACAAAATTGTAGAAATGAAAAAGATTAGTAGTTGCCAGGGGTTAGGGATGGTGGACGGGAGGAGAGTGGGTATTACTAAAAATGAGTAGCACAAGGGATAGCACTTTGGTGATGGAAATGTCCTGTACCTTTTTTTTTTCTTTCTTTCTTTTTTTTTTTTTTTTTCCCGAGAGGGATTTTCACTCTGTCACCTAGGCTGGAGTGCAGTGACACGATCTCAGCTCACTGCAACCTCTGTCTTCCTGGTTCAAGCTATTCTCCTGTCTCTGCCTCCCATGTAGCTGGGATTACAGGTGCGTGCCACCATGCCTGGTAAGTTTTGTATTTTTAGTAGAGACGGGGTTTCTCCTTGTTAGCCAGGCTGGTCTCAAACTCCTGACCTGAAGTGATCCACCCACCTCGGGCTCCCAAAGTGCTGGGATTACAGGCGTGAACCACCGCACCTGGCCATGATCTGTATCTTATTTTTTTCTGAAATATAAGCTTTATTTAAAATTTAAAAAATTATTAAAAATAAACATTCTTTGGCCAGGCGCAGTGGTGGCTCATGCCTGTAATCCCAGCACTTTGGGAGCCCGAGGCGGGTGGATCACGAGGCCAGGAGATCGAGACCACGGTGAAACCCCGTCTCTGCTAAAAATAAATAAAAAAATAAAAATAAAAATAAAAAATAAACAAACATTTTTCTACAAATTTTAATCAAGCACTCAAAGCAATTCAGGAATGTTAAACACTAATTCTTAATTGAAAATAATGACATCCATAGAATACATCCTGGTGTTAGCCAACATGAAGTTTACTTAATATTAGTATTTTATATATGCTTAACCATTCATCCTTCCTAAAATTCAATGATAACAATGATTTGACTTTATAAGGTGAAGCCATTTATGTAATACCCCAGAGATAACATTTTCAAATACAAAACATTTATACTAGCATGGAAATTATAAAAACATATATAAATTATACTGAAGGATGTGATTTAAAGGCTGTCAATACACATAGATGCATTTTACCTTAGAAAGTACACATGCACATCAAAACATTCATTGAATATAGATGCCATTAAATTCTCTTACTTACGTTACAAAGCAACGGGCAGGTTCATAAACGTTGTTCTAGTATGTATCAACTGCAAAAAACATATATTCCACGAAAAGGTTTTGAAGACACATGGGAGTGGAATGTGCCCACATTTAGAGCAGAGCTTTTACAGGACCACCTGTCTCCAGCCGGCTCCCAGGGACCACTGAAAACGGCTGCTACACTCAGAACGACAAGATGGTCTTGTTAATGATAACAATTGACCCTGGAATCTCATCCTCCTTGACCACCAGCAGAGGTGAAACCTGATGATGTCGCCATGGGTTGGCTTGGCCAGAAGTCCATTATCTCGAAGTCTTAGACACACACTTTCCAAGCAGCACAATCTTTGGTTTCTTTAATAACAATAGCATTTAATAATTCTTTTCCACACCGGGTGTGGTGGCTCACACCTGTAATCCCAACACTTTGGGGGGCCAAGGTGGGTGGATCACCTGAGGTCAGCAGTTCGAGACCGGCCTGGCCAACGTGGTGAAACCCCGTCTCTACTAAAAATACAAAAGTTAGCTGGGCATAGTGGTGCGTGCCTGTAATCCCAGCTACTCGGGAGGCTGAGGCAGGAGAATCACTTGAACCCAGGAGGCAGAGGTTGCAGTGAGCCAAGATCGCACCATTGCAATCCAGCCTGGGCAACCAGAGTGAACCTGTGACTTAAGCAAATAAATACATAAATAAAATAATTATTTTCTTCTTACAACAGTTACAACATCAGAAGGTAGCTTCATGGGTTCATTTCTCAGGAGAATACCCATTGTTTCTGCATTTTCAGCAAGGTTTTCTTCTTCTAAAACTTCAAGGGCTGCGATGGCCACTTGGCAGCCTAGTGGATTGCCACCGTATGTGGACCCACGTTCCCCTGGCTTAATGGTCAGCATTATGTTATCATTCCACAGCACCGCAGACACAGAGTATCAGCCCCCAGAAAGGGCCTTTCCAAGGAGGACTATATCAGGTCTGACATTTTCATGATCAACAGCCAGCCATCTACCAGTTCTGGCCACTCCTGTCTGTATTTCATCAACAATAAACAGAACCAAGCTGGGAGCACGAGATGGGACGAGGGTAAGTTAAAATACCACAAAGCTTACTGTTCTTACGGAGACTCAGCTGGTTCTTTTCTTTCTTTCTTTCTTTCTTTCTTTCTTTCTTTCTTTCTTTCTTTCTTTCTTTCTTTCCTTCCTTCCTTCCTTCCTTCCTTCTTTCCTTCCTTCCTTCCTCCCTCCCTCCCTTCTTCCCTTCCCTTCCTTCTTCCCTTTCCTTCCCTTCCTTCTTCTCTTCCCTTCTTCCCTTCCCATCTTCCCTTCCTGTCTTCCCTTCCCATCTTCCCTTCCCTTTCTTCCCTTCCTTCTTCCCTTCCGTTCTCCCTTCCCTTCCTTTTCCTTCTCCTTTCGCTTCCCTTCTCCCTTCCCTTCCCTTCCCTTCCCTTCCCTTCCTTTCCCTTCCCTTCCCTTCCCTTCCCTTCCCTTCCCTTCTCCTTTCCCTTCCCTTCCCTTCCCTTCCCTTCCCTTCCCTTCTCCTTTCCCTTCCCTTCTCCCTTCCCTTCTCCCATCCCTTCTCCCTTCCCTTCCTTTTCTTTTCGACAGTTTTTCTCTGTCACCCAGGCTGGAGTGCAGTGGTGGGATCTCAGCTCAATGCAACCTCCCCTTCCCGGGTTCAAATCATTGAGTGAACCCAGGAGGTTGAGACCAGCCTGGGAAACATAGCAAAAGGCAGGGTGGTGCAGGCCTGCAGTCCCGAGGCCGAGGCAGGAGGATCACTTGAACCCAGGAGGTAGAGACCAGCCTGGACAACATAGCGAAACTGTCTCTACTAGAAAAATTAAAGATATTAGTGGGGGCTGGGTGGTGTGTGCCAGTGGTCCCGAGGCCGAGGCAGGAGGATTGCTTGAGCCCAGGAGGTCAAGGCCAGCCTGGCCAACATAGTGAAACCCCATTTCTACTAATAAGAAGAACAACCAAAAATAGCATGGGCGGGGTGGCTCACCCCTGTAGTTCCCAGGCTGAGGTGGGAGGATTGCTTGAGCCCAGAAGGTCGATACCAGCCTGGTCAACATAGCGAAAGCCTGTCTCTCCTAAAAAAAATTATCAGGGCAGAATGGCACACGCCTATGGTCCCGAGGCTGAGGTGGAAGCATTGCTTGAGCCCAGGAGGTTGAGGCCAGTCTGTGCAACATAGCAAAACCCGGTTTCTACTGAAAAACAAAAAAAATACCGTGGGCAGGGTGGTGCATGCCTGTGGTCCCCAGGCTGAGGAGGTGGGAGGATCCCTTGAGCCCTGGAGGTTGAGGCCAGCCTGGCCTACATAGAGAAACCCAGTTTCAACTAAAAAATAATAATAATAATAACAAAAACAAACCTGGGCAGGGTGGTGCATGCCTGTAGTCCCGAGAATGAGATGGGAGGATTGACCAAGGCGGATGTAACCAATACCACAATCACATCCCATAAGTAAATACATTTTCCTCTCTCCAGGGCTACAGGTAAAGGATGGTAATTGTGCGCACCACACTTACATTCCCTTCCAAAAATGCGGCACTATTCACAATAGCAAAGACTTGGAACCAACCCAAATGTCCAACAATGATAGACTGGATTAAGAAAATGTGGCACATATACACCATGGAATACTATGCAGCCATAAAAATTGATGAGTTCATGTCCTTTGTAGGGACATGGATGAAATTGGAAATCATCATTCTCAGTAAACTATCGCAAGAACAAAAAACCAAACACCGCATATTCTCACTCATAGGTGGGAATTGAACAATGAGATCACATGGACACAGGAAGGGGAACATCACACTCTGGGGACTGTTGTGGGGTGGGGGGAGGGGGGAGGGATAGCATTGGGAGATATACCCAATGCTAGATGACGAGTTAGTGGGTGCAGCGCACCAGCGTGGCACATGTATACATATGTAACTAACCTGCACAATGTGCACATGTACCCTAAAACTTAAAGTATAATAATAAAAGAAAAAAAAAAGAAAACTACAAAAAAAAAAAAAAAAGAAAAAAAAATAAGAATAAAAGAGGTTGGAGGGCCTTGGACTGTTTTTTTAGTTCCAACAGATGTAGAAGCCACTGAAGAATGAACTCCACGACTAAGTACAGCAAACCTCCGCAAATGTGCTAGTTTGGAAAACATTGTGTCTTTCAAATAGAAAAATCACAGATCGACTATTTTTTCTTCCCACGGTTCAGACTAGAATCCAGATGTTTAACCCAAGATCCAGGGACGGTCTTCAGAGAGTTCAAAATCTCCTGATGGCGCCTGAGGACCACCCACTTTGTCGCACAAAGTGTGGCTGGAGGAGGCGACAACATTCTGCAATGTCACTGCCCAAGGATGATGGACCAATCAGGGCAGTTAGTGAACTCCATCTGGCCAATTAGAAGTCAGAACAGTAGGCGGAACAAGCGAAGCTGATGTGGCGTCTGTCAGTCCAGGCTCTAGGGACAGAACCTTCCCAAGGCGGGGGGGAGGGGAGACTCTGATTTTCCCGCCGAAAGCGTCCCCTTGGATTGGCTACTTTAAATTCAGAGTACGCACACGCCGATTTGCCCTTTTGATTCTTCCACAATCAGGGTAAGCATGCGCTGATTTTCTCTTTCCATTCTTCCTACCCCTCCCCTCCGCCGTGGTGCACTTCTTATCTAATTTTAATAATGTATTTATGTGAGGCAGGTCGCCATCTCAAATTCTTCCTGTCAGTTTCTAACTTTTTCAGGTATGGGATTTTTCCTAGGAGCTCTGTAGTAACTTAAAAAATCTGGGCTGGGCGTGGTGGCTCACGCTTGTAATCCCAGCACTTTGGAGGCCCACAGGTGGTGGATCGCTTGAACCCGGGAGGCGGAGGTTGCAGTGAGCCACGATCGCGCCACTGCAACACAGCCTGGGCAACAGAGCGAGACCCTGTCTCAAAAAAAAAAAAAAAAAAAAACTCCTGGGCTCAAGCGATCCTCTCGCCTCGGCCCCGGGACTACAGGCGTGCACCACCCCGCCCAGAGCACCAAAGGTCCTGAGGCTGGAAAGACTCAGGCTGTTTCTCTCGCAGGTGAGACTGCTCCCAGTGCCATGAACGGAGACGACGCCTTTGCAAGGAGACCCAGGGATGATGCTCAAATATCAGAGAAGTTACGAAAGGTGAGGTGACCTGGAGGGGGCAGAGTAGTGGCCCAGGGGACAGTGTGGGGTGACCAGGTTTCTGAGGAGGGGAGGACAGAGGTACTAGGGACAAGGAGCAGGGTCTCGGGGGAGATTTGGACCCTTGGGAGCCTCCCACCCTCGCTCTGTCATCACCTAGCATCCCTGGAGACAAGTCTCTGACCTTGCACTTCATTTGGTGACTCCCACTCCATTCTGGAAGGTGGGAAGAGAGCCAGCCAGCAGCATTAAAGCCCTACTGTGTGGCAGGGGCGAAGCTAGGGAAGTTCCCTCATGTTCTGTCAGTTAGCCATGGCATCAACCAGGACAGACTATCATCCCCACTTCTCAGATCCCACACACAGGAAGCGGCTCCAGCTGAATGGCAGACATGCCTAGCTGAGTCCCTGCCATAATTCCTTTTTTTTTTTTTTTCCAGGCCTTCGATGATATTGCCAAATACTTCTCTAAGAAAGAGTGGGAAAAGATGAAATCCTCGGAGAAAATCGTCTATGTGTATATGAAGCTAAACTATGAGGTCATGACTAAACTAGGTAACAGAAAGTTCTAGAAGCAGACAAGTCTGGGGACACATGAGCATCCCTTTTCCTGTTTTGGCTACTTCTTAGGCTGCAGAAAGTACCCCACATTTTCCTTTTGTGCAGGGAAAAATCACAAGGCAGCTTCTGGGTGTTCTCCTCTTCTGTATCCTGTCAGGGCTGAGGGCAGGGACTGGCCACAGTGGAGCTCATACCTGGATCCTGCACGTTTCTCTCCCATAGGCGTCTTTTCTGATGAGCCCAACTGTCTCTGTGGCATCCCGGCACCCCCACACCCAACACGCACACCCTCCCTTCCTTCTCTTGGCTTGTCTCTCTCTCTCTCTCTCTCTTTTTTTTTTTTTAAGTCAGAGTCTCACTCTGTCACCTAGGGAAGAGTGCAGTAGTGCAAGCATAGCTCACTGCAGCCTCGAACTCCTGGGCTCTAGCAATCCTCCTGCCCAGCCTATGGAGTAGCTGAGGCTACAGGCACGTGCCACTATGCCCAACTAATTTTATTTTATATTTTGTAGATATGTGGGTCTCTCTATGTTGCCCAGGCTAGTGTTGAGCGCCTCACCTCAAGCAATCCTCCAGCCTCAGCCTCCCAAAGGGCTGGTACTACAGACATGAGCCACCGTGCCAGGCCCAAGCTTGCCTCTTAAGAAATAAACATTTTGCTCCTTTCTAGGTTTCAAGGTCACCCTCCCACCTTTCATGCGTAGTAAACGGGCTGCAGACTTCCACGGGAATGATTTTGGTAACGATCGAAACCACAGGAATCAGGGTGAGTAGACTGGAAGGGGCTGGAAAGGGTCTCCTCAAGCCCAGTTGCTTTTCAGCTCAGCTACCTGGGAAAGATCCTCAGGCATTTGTTCCCTCATACACATCGGGGCTGAGTGAAAAAAAAAAATTGCATGCAGAAAGTTAACTACAGAGGCCAATCACATAAAATTCTAAAACATGCAAAACAAGAAAATATATTTTTATGGATAATAAGTAAATGGTAAATGTATACAAACATGAATGTGAATAAAACGCCATCAAATTAAGGTGACTGGCTGTAAGTGGAGGAGGGAGGGAGGGCAGGGATTGCTGAGTGCGGCACAGACAGCTTCAGCTGTGACTTGCTGATAGTGTGTTTTGTGTTTTTTGTTATTGTTATTTTTTTTTGAGACAGAATTTCACTCTTGTCACCCAGCCTGGAGTGCAATAGCAAAATCTGAGCTCACTGCAACTTGCACCTCCCAGGTTCAAGCGATTCTCCTGCCTCAGCCTCCCGAGTAGCTGGGATTACAGGCGCTCGCCTCCACACCCAGGTAATTTTTGTATTTTTGGTAGAGACGGGGTTTCACCATGTTGGCCAGTCTGGCCTCAAACTACCTGACCTCAGGTGATCCACTCGCCTCAGCCTCCCAAAATGCTGGGATTACAGGCGTGAGCTACCACTCCTGGACTGTTTATACTATTGCTAATATTCTGAATAAATAAATCAGATCTAAGATAACTGTGGGGTAATGTTGAGACCCGACTGTACTCAGTTTTGTTCCCCATACTTTTCTGTGTTTTTGAAATATTTCTTTTTTAAATGACATGTTGTTCTTCCTAAGCACTGTTAATGAATCAAAGGACATTTAAGAAAATGTGAAAAGTGAAAAAATAAAAAAAAAGAAAATGTTAAAACTGTAGATCCGCCAAAAACTTCCAGAGTTTGTTTCATTAACAGCATGTAGGTATTGGATAAGTATCTTAGGAGTGAGGGTGATGAACACATTATGTAATAAGCGTCGCTGTTTCTCTGTATTTTATCAAAACCAAATAGTCCTCACATTCCCCAACAACCCCAATTCTCCGTGATGAGCTTGGAAGAGAGTTTGAAAGAGTGATCCCTCATCCAGCACACAGAGAGCTTTCCCACTTCTCAGTGAGCAGAGATAACATAGGGTGAAAAAAAGACAAGTTTCGCGTAGAGATCTTTGTGCATTTCAGGAATATAAAGGGGACATATGTGTTTACTTGCTCTTCTGCTCTGAGAACACAGTTACAAGACAAGGTCAGAATGTCCAGACTGTCTCCCATAGACCTATTACTTCCCAACTAAACAGGCCAGATTCTACGATCTCCCACAGTCACTATAAGAGGTCTGAAAATCCAGTGCTTGAGTATCTGCCAAGTTTTTGACATTAAATGAGTGCCAAATATTTATACTGAAAATATTTCAGAGCCACTGGACTAAATCATCGATGGTTCATCACACAGTTAACAGCTTAATTGACATACCATAAGATTCACCCATTTGAAGTGTACAGTGATTTTTAGTTGTTGCACATCTTGAGTGATTACAGTTTAGATTCCCAACCAATCAATTTAACTATTTGGGAAAAAGTAAAAGATATGTAATGGAAAAAGATGAGACTGTGATGGGGTTTAATACCCATGTGATAAACCACGAGATGGAAAATTCTGAATTGATGCCACAGATAAATGCACCAACCATGACTAAACATAATTCAGAAGCAAATCTCAAATAACTCCTCAACAATGAGTGGACTCACAACCTCTGCTGCAGAATGCCCTCATGCGACAGAAGTCTCTCTAGAGTTTGGAAATCTTTACCAACAAAGAAAAATTCTGATGTATTCTCTTTCAGTTGAACGTCCTCAGATGACTTTCGGCAGCCTCCAGAGAATCTTCCCGAAGGTGAGTGTCTCTCAAATCTAAAGGACCAGAGAACGTTTGTCCCTGCACGGATGCGAACACTGATAAGAGTGGGAGAATATCAAACATGCCCTCACTGCCTCCTTCTCCCCATGTCTATCACAACAACTTATGTGGCACCGACGGCTTGCTAATATTAACAGTTGTGATCCTTAATACTTCTTTGGTTTTCATAGTGATGCCAGATTACTATTTTAAGCAGTTCACATGGGTTAATTTATTTAATCCTTAAGAAGACCTCTATGACGATGTTTCTATTACTATCTCCAAATACTATCGAGCCACACACTTCAATTGTCACCCATATAAAAGACATGTAACTTGGTGCAAATCTTCTAAGTTCTCTGAGATCCAGACTCCTGGTCCATGAAATGGAAGTAAAGAATCATAGTTCATGTTTTAGATCGTAGTTATCAGCAACATAATAATAAAATGAGGCTATCGGGGTACAGAGATGTTAAAGAATTTTCCTGAGGCACAGTGGCAGTGGTAGTCTAATCCAGAGCTCCAAGCCATTTAAAGCTCATTCACGTTTGCATTTGTTTATGAAGTTCAGATGTTGCTCACTAGGGCTTCACCCCATAGGGCCTCCTGGTGCTTCCATTGAGACACCCACTCTCGCAACAGGAAGGACCAGCTGGCCTCTGCTCTGTTACCGGGGCCACTCACATGGCTTAGGAATCGCTTTGACTGTTGGCCCCTCCCTACTGTGAGCTCCTTGATGGCCTTGTGTGCACCTGGGGCATCCGGGAAGCCCCCGTCCCAGCCCAGGGGATCCCTCGAAGGCCCCTGAATGAGTGATCCCACAACTGCAGATCCAACTCTGGTTTGGAGGGTAAAGGGATCTGGGAGTTGGGTTGCCAGTGTGGAGACCAAATTCAAAGAAGGATCATGAAAAGTATTAGTTTTTTATTATTACTACATTTAAAGAGTGTTTACAAGCTCAGAGAGCACTTTCTTGTAGCCTATTTTACATGTACTGTTGACTATTTCGTAAGTGAGGAAGCTGAATAAAAAGTAGCTTAAGGGCTGGGCGCAGTGTCTCACGACTGTAATCCCAGCACTTTGGGAGGCTGAGGTGGGTGGATCACGAGGTGAAGAGATGGAGACCATCCTGCCCAACATGGTGAAACTTTGTCTCTACTAAAAATAGAAAACTTAACGGTGCGTGTTAGAGCCTACCTGTAGTCCCAGCTACTCTGGAGGCTGAGGCAGGAGAATGGTTGAACCTGGGAGATGGAGGTTACAGTGAGCTGAGATCGCGCCACTGCACTCAAGCCTGGCAACAGAGCAAGACTCCGTGTCAAAAAAAAAAAAAAAAAAGGAAAAAGAAGTAGCTTAAGGTCGTTGGTCAGTGACACATCCCAATGCAACCAGAGTTGGTATGGGTACCACCTCACTTAATTCCACATTCAATGTTGGCGCCTCGGTAGGGTAGTATGCCATGTCTGGTACTGCTTTCTTTGCTGCCTAGTTTAATTTCAGCAAACCATTTCTTTACCTCTCCTGTCCCTGTATTCATCTCCCCACACCATCTTTCCCAGCAGTGTTTTATCGCCTCTCTATGTTTTTACATTTACTCTCCCAGCAGCTGTCTACAAGCTTATATGGGATCCCTTGTATTTTATAGAAGCTCTTTCTTTTCTAGACCTTGTGAATTCTTAGAATGCTATTCTCCAAATCTTCTGTATACCAAACTCTCAATTAAATGGAGATTTTTGCTGTTTGCAAGAATGTGAGTCTTAAAAGAGTGTGAAGATAAGCATTCTAGCCCTGGAAAGCCCATTCGTTTAGGCCATTCCTTTCCCTTCTAACCTCCCAGGTTTCTCCTAATTTAGGCCTGTGTAACTCTCCCAGTCTTGTTGAGAGCATTGAATAAGCTAATGCACGTGAAGACCCTTTGTAAGCTCTAAAGCACTGTAGAAATGTCACTGATACTGTTTATCTGCGACCTTCACATTGTAAAGATCATGCCCAAGAAGCCAGCAGAGGAAGAAAATGGTTTGAAGGAAGTGCCAGAGGCATCTGGCCCACAAAATGATGGGAAACAGCTGTGCCCCCCGGGAAATCCAAGTACCTTGGAGAAGATTAACAAGACATCTGGTAAGAGGAAAGAATTCGGGAACAACCCCTCTGGCTTCCCTGGCTGTGTTCAGGTGCGTGGACTGGGTGTGTGGCATGGACCCCAGACAAGCCAGGGTCCAGGCTGGGCTGAGGAGCTCGCCTAGCTCCAGATGAGATGTTAGACATGACTTCCAGAGACACAGACTGGAGTTGTCATCCATATAAAAAAAACCACGTGACGTGGGGAAAGTCTTCCAAATTTCCTCAGCTCCAGGTTCCTAGTCCATAAGATGGAAATAAAGAATCATAGTTCATAAATTGTTTGGAGACATTAAATGTAATCTAGAAGGCCTGATGACATGAAAGGTGCTCAAGCAATTCTATCTGTGATAACCTGGGATCATATCTTACTCAGCTCAATGCCTGTTACCCAATACAGGTGTGCTTCAGAGATATTGCAGGTTCGGTTCCAGACCACTGCAATAAAGTGAGTCACACACATTTTTTTTTTGTCTTGCAGTGCATAAAAACATTACATTTACATTATACTGCAGTCTACTAAGTGTGCAATAGCATTAAGTCTGAAAATGCACATACCTTTATTTTAAAATAATTCATCGATAAAAAATGCTAACAATCTTCTGAGCCTTCAGTGAGTCACACTCTTTTTGCTGGTGGAGGGTCTTGCCTCGGTGTTGATGGCTGCTGGCTGATCAAGGTGGTGGTTGCTGAAGATTGGAGTGGCTGTGGCAGTTTCTTAAAAGATGACAACAATGAAATTTGCCACATCAATTAGCTCTCCCTTTCATGAAGGATTTCTCTGTAGTATGTGATGCTATTGGATAGCATTTTACCCACAGTAGAACTTCTTTCAAAGTTGGAGTCAATCCTCTCTAGCTATGAAAGTCCTAGATGGCATCTCCTTCCAATAGAAGGCTATTTTATCTACATTGAAAATCTGTTGTTTCGTGTAGCCACCTTCGTCAGTGACCTTAGCCAGATCTTCTGGATAACTTGCTGCAGCTTCTCCATCAGGGTTTGCTGCTTCGCCTTGCACTTTTATGTTATAGAGACGGCTTCTTTCCTTAAACCTCACGAACCAACCTCTACTAGCTTCACACGTTTCTCCTGCAGCTTCTTCAGCTCTCTCAGCATTCATGGACTTGAAGAGAGTTCTGGTCTTGCTCTGAATTAGACTTTGGCTTAAGGGAATGTTGTGGCTGGTTTCACGTTTTATCCTGACCACTCAAACTTTCTCTATTTGAGCAGTAAGGCAGTTTTGCTTTCTTATTCGTGTGTTCACTGGAGTATTAGTATTATTATTTCCTTCAAGAACTTTTCCTTTGCATTATGTACTATTATTTCCTTCATGAACTTTTCCTTTGCATTCACAGCTTGGCTGTTTGGTGGAAGAGGCCGAGCTTTCAGCCTATCTTGGCTTTCAGCATGCTTCCTCACTAAGCTTAGCCATTTCTAGCTTCTGATTTAAAGTGAGAGACATGCGACTCTTCCTTTCATTTGAACACTTAGCGGCCATTGTAGGGTTCTTAATCGTCCTAATTTCAGTGTTGCTGTGTCTCAGGAAATAGGGAGGCCCAAGAAAAGGAGGAGAGATGGGGAAGAGCTCATCGGTGGAGCAGTCAGAACACACACAACATTAATCGATTAAGTTTGTCATCTTCTATGGGTGCAGTTCATGGTACCCCAAAAACAATTACATACAACAGGATGATTATAGTCAATAATAACTTAATCGTACATTTAAAAAAACTAAAAGAGTGTAAATGAATTGTTTGTAACACAAGGATAAATGTTTGAGGGGATGGATACCCTATTTTCCATGATGTGATTATTACGCATTGCATGCGTGTATCAAAACGTCTCGCGTACCCCATAAGTATATACACCTACTGTGTACCCACTAACATAAAAAACAAAAATTATTTTAAAAGACTAAAGAGCAACAAAACAATTGCAATAATAATGTCAAAGCTCACTAATGACAGATCACTATAACAGATATACTAATAACGGAAAAGTATAAAATTGGTGAGAATTCCCCCCAAAAAATTGCAGTATCTGTGAAGCACTATAAAAATGAGGTACAATAATACAAGGTATGCCTGTGTGCCCTTAACAAATACATGCTGAATGAAAGGAGGTATCGGTGAATGTTCCCGTAAGTGAAGAGGTTGGGAATTTAACCTGACAACGGAAGGAGCCAGAAGCTAAAATTTTAATTTGCATTTGGCCTGTATTGGTGTGGATCTAAGGTCTCAGCCTCTCTAAACCAGGGAATGTGAAAAACTGGATAAAGAAGGTCCGGGGCACTTGGGAGGGGAGAGGCATCTCCTTCTTTTGAGAAAACAGAGCCTAACGCTCTCCAATCTACCCAACCCTCATTTTCCAACTCTTCCCCATCATAGGACCCAAAAGGGGGAAACATGCCTGGACCCACAGACTGCGTGAGAGAAAGCAGCTGGTGGTTTATGAAGAGATCAGCGACCCTGAGGAAGATGACGAGTAACTCCGTAAGTGAACTTTCGGACCACCCTCCACATCCTTGCAGATGTACTATTCTGTTATGGTACTGGTATCCCATCTTATCACTTGTTCCCCAAATCATTCCCTTCTCATAATTTTCTAGGGTACAGCATTGAGGCTGAATGATGAGATTTCCCATGCTCTTTCTTTCTATTTTTTTTCCTTTTTGAGAGGGAGTCTTGCTCTGTCGCCCACGCGGGAGTGTAGTGGCGCGATCTTGGCTCACTGCAACTTGTGCCTCTCAGGTTCAAGCAATTCTCCTGCCTCAGCCTCCTGAGTAGCTGGGATTACAGGTGCACACCACCACACCAGGGTAATTTTTGCATTTTTAGTAGAGACGGGGTTTCACCATGTTGGTCAGGCTGGACTTGAACTCCTGACCTCGTGATCCACCTGCCTCGGCCTCCCAAAGTGCTGGGTTTACAGGCATGAGCCACCATGCCCGGCCAATTTCCCATACTCTTTCTACTCCCTGCCCTGTATATCCAAGGTTGCTCCCTACCCAGGATGCTGTGGGTTCCCAAACCCCAGGTCAGCCCTGATATGCGGGCCACACCTTCCTCTAGCCTAGGAATTGAAAACCCAGGCGAAGAAGTCACTGTGGCATGAACAGATGGTTCACTTCGAGGAACCGTGGAAGGCGTGTGCAGGTCCTGAGGTAGGGCAGAATCAGAGTGTGCAGGGTCTGCAGGTCAGGAGGAGTTGAGATTGAGTTGTCACGTGGTGGGAACTCACTGCCACTTACTTTCCTTCTCTCTTCTTGCCTCAGCCTCGGGGATATGACACATGCCCATGATGAGAAGCAGAACGTGGTGACCTTTCACGAACATGGGCATGGCTGCGGACCCCTCGTCATCAGGTGCATAGCAAGTGAAAGCAAGTGTTCACAACAGTGAAAAGTTGAGCGTCATTTTTCTTAGTGTGCCAAGAGTTCGATGTTGGCGTTTCCGCTGTATTTTCTTGCAGTGTGCCATTCTGTTAGACATTAGCGTTTTCGTTGATGAGCAAGACATGCTTAATGCATATTTCGGCTTGTGTATCCATGCACCTACCTCAGAAAACAAGTATTGTCAGGTATTCTCTCCATAGAACAGCACTACCCTCCTCTCTCCCCAGATGTGACTACTGAGGGGAGGTCTGAGTGTTTAATTTCCGATTTTTTCCTCTGCATTTACACACACACCACACACGCACACACACACACCAAGTACCAGTATAAGCATCTCCCATCTGCTTTTCTCCATTGCCATGCGACCTGGTCAAGCCCCCCTCACTCTGTTTCCTGTTCAGCATGTACTCCCCTCATCCGATTCCGTTGTATCAGTCACTGACAGTTAATAAACCTTTGCAAACGTTCCCCAGTTGTTTGCATCTCTCATTATTGTGCACACAGCTCTGTGCACGTGTGTGAATATTTCTTTAGGAAAGATTCTTAGAAGTGGAATTGATGTGTCAAAGGAGTCATTTATTCAACAAAAAACTAATGAGTGTGTACTAGTGCTGAGAACTGTTCGAGGTGCTGGAGAGACATCAGGGAACAAGGCAGACAGATGTTCCTGACCACCATTCTAGAGGAAGATATTTCCAGTCGTTGGTATTGTTTGTTTGTTTGTTTCTTCTAGAGATGGGGTCTTGCTCTGTCCAGGCTAGAGTGCAGTGGCACGATCATAGCTTAATGCAGCCCTGAACTTGTGGGCTCAAGGGATCCTCCCACCTCAGCCTCCAGAGAAGCTGTGACTACAGCCACGCACCATCATGACCCACTGATTTTTTTAGGTTTTGTCAAGAAAGTCTCGCTATATTACCCAGGCTGGTCTCCAACTCCTGGGCCCAAGCAATCCTCCCACCTTGGCCTCCTAAAGTGCTGGGATTACAGGAGTGGGCCACTGCGCCTGGCCTCCAGTTTTTATTTTGATAGAGACTATACACTTCAGTCCTGGAGCAGGATTCTGCAGCAGGTGGTTGGGCATCTGGGCCTTTGCTCTCTGAATGATTTTCAAGTTCAAGGGCTGGGACGGTCCATTTGGGAGTATGTGGAAGGAGACACAGATGAAATCGTCATCTGGGGAACGTGGAGGAATGAGGAAGATGCGTGCACTGTAGACCGTGATGGACAGGGAATAGAAGAGTCCACTCAGTCTCCATGCAGGGGAGCAACGGTGGGAAAGTCCCCTGGACAGAAGCATGAGACTGCCCATCAAGGGTCTCACCAACCAAGGGCCTGGGGGCTGGGGTGGGGACGATGATTTCGGAAGGGGCCAGTTCTTTCTCACATGTACCATTGCACAGTGTGGAGGGGAAACAGGTCTGCGGAAGGGGAGCGCAGATGGGAGTCTATTTTCGAACCAACCATTGTGTGTGAATGGAGACATCAAGTCCTCCCGGTTCTCCCCAGCCTTGGAAGGAGGACACTATCATCTTTATGCCTATATGTTAGATGAGAGACGGAGTCCCAGCCAGATGGCAGGCGTCTTGTCTGAGGTCCCACAGCTGGCAGGTGCAGGAGGGGCTGAGTTTGGAGCTCACTGACTTCAGAAACATTAAGGAGGACAGGTGTGTGTGGTGGAGGGAGGGGGAATTGAACAAGCCCCGGGCTCTGTCCCCAGTCACAAGGTAGAGGCTGTGGGTTCGTTTTCCAAGACAAGGAGCCCTAGGAGAGAGAGAGTGCGGGGAGGGAGAGGCAGTCGTGATCACAGCAGGGACAGTGGGAGACAGAGATATGCAGGGTGGGCAGAAGAGGGGCAGGCAAAGAAGCAGGGGAGACCCAAGGCCAAGTGGGGGCTGCCACAGCCACCAGAGGGAGAGGGTGCCTGGAAGGAGGTTGTGGGGCTCCAGGAGCAGTAGAGGTTCCCCAGATCTGTGAGCATGCCCTGCCTGGCACTGCAGGAAGAGGTGGCTGCCACCCAGGTCAGTGTGGACGTACCTCTACCTGTGTCTCAGGGGAAACAAATTCTATTTTATCCCAGTATAGTTCTGTATTACACAAATGTAACATTCGGCTACTAGATATTGAGTGCCTTATCCTCCATGCAAATACAGCAGAGGATACCCTAAAAGAGATACTGAAGCTTTTGATTTTTCTTTCTCCCTGGGATGATGGGATCCATAAGTTGGGTCCCCCAGCCCACAAGACAGGTGCAAGGAAGGGTGGTTGGAAGATTGTGAGTTATGACAGGGAACATTATTTCTTAGGTTCCTTGGGTATATAAAGCTCCGGACTATCTGTCTATCATGGATAAAGAGTGAACATGGTCCCCTCTCCACAAATGTGTTTTTCTCCTCGATTATCACTGTAAAGGGCTGAAGTTACACCAAGTTCTGATACATTACTTTTTCGTGTTATTTTTGAGACAGGATCACAGTCTGTCGCCCAGGCTGGAGTGCAGTGATGCAATTACAGCTCACTGCAGCCTCGATCTCCCAGGCTTAAGGGATTCACCCACTTCAGCTTCCGATCTAGCTGGGACTACAGGCACACGCCACCGCACCCAGCTAGTTTTTGTATTTTTTTGTAGAGACGGCATCCACTATGTTGCCCAGGCTGGTCTCGATCTCCTGGCCTCAGGCAATCCTCCTGCCTCAGCCTCCCAAAGTGCTGGGATGACAAGTGTGAGCCACCTCGCCAGGCCTTCACTTTCTTTAATGAACAATTATCAGAGTTTCATCTTAGAGGCAAAAGTGGCTACTGCCAGCCAATCTGTCTGTGGTGTTGGAGGGGAATCTGGCTGATTCAGACGTTTCAGATGAACTTTTAAATTAACCTACATGATGATTATCCTAAGGCCGTTTCCTCCTCCGTGTTTTTCTGATTCAGGGTTTGGAGTTTTTCAGAGGCTTTGTTACAAAGAGCATCTCCTGGTCGGGCACAGTGACTCACGCTGTAGTGCCAGCACTTTGGGAGGCCGAGGCAGGCAGATCACTTGATGTCAGGAGTTTGAGACCAGCCTGGCCAACAGGGTGAAACCCCCGTCTCTACTAAAAATACAAAAATTAGCCAGCCGTGGTGGCGGGCTCCTGTGAATTCCAGTTACTGCAGGGGCTGAGGCAGGAGAATCCCTTGAACCTGGGAGACGGAGGGTGCAGTGAGCTGAGATCACGCCACTGCACTCCAGCCTGGGCGACAGAGTAAGTCTCTGTCTCAAAAAACAAACAAACAGCATCTCTCGCCTACAGTGATTTGAGCTGTGGTCTTGTCTCCTTGGGTTTCTCTATCAGTCTGACCCCATCTACTCTATCTCCCAGGAATGCCTCAATATTTCTGGTGGACCGCTGACACGCTTTCCTATTTTCCTCTACTGTTACGAATTGACCCTTGAAAATATTTTCTTCCCAGTTCGATGGAATGTTGAGTAGGGCACGGGATCTATCTGCCATCTTGCTCCAATCATCTGGTTTTAGATATTGTATGTACTTTTGTCACTATATACGTGTAATTTTTCTCAATTTGGTTTTCTAAATGGTTATTATTGGTATGTAGAAAACCTATCTATTACTGTATATAATATTTTGTTACCTGTCTGGGTGCAGCCTCCCCTGCATTTTGGCACAAGACTCAATCAGTTTTATTCTCCAAAAGAAAACTGACAGGCTGGGTGCGGTGGCTCACGCCTGTAATTCCGCACTTTGGGAGACTGAGGAGGGTGGAACACCTGAGGTCAGGAGTTTGAGACCAGCCTGGCCAAGATGGTGAAACCCCATCTCTACTAAAAATACAAAAAATAATTTAGCCATGCGTTGTTGGCGCACGCCTGTAGTCCTAGCTACTAGGGCAGCTGAGGCAGGAGGATCACTTGAACTCAGGAGGTGGAGATTGCAGTGAGCCGAGATCACCCCACTGCACTCCAGCCTGGGCGACAGCAATTCTAACTCTAAAAAATAAAAAAAAAGAAAAGAAAAAGGAAAAAAGAAAATTCACATCACAGGCAATAGATAGCTATAAAAGGATACTTTATGAAAGATTTCACAGGAGAGACTGATGGAAAGAAAGAAGTATATATCTTACAGAGCTAAGCAGTTCACTGCAAAAATCAACAGAACTGCCTTTTTCTCCAAAAATAGTACCCCTAAGCTATATTACTACTGGTTCTTCTAGTCCTTCCCCCTATCCCAAATCCTCAAATTGTCCATTTCCTTATTGGGATAATTTTCCTCTGCCCAGATCTGGGTCCTCCACAACACTTAACCCTGTCTTCGGGTGTTTGCATGCCCATTGTTTTAGCTCAGGTTCCCAAGGAAACAGGCTTTGGGCCATACAGGAAACATCTAGGCAGACTATACTGAGAAACCATGCCTGGAACGGTGCAGGGGGAGAGGAGAGGAGAGGCAATTTATGTAACTGACTCTCACTCCTGGTTCCTTTTCTTATTGGTCAAAATTTACCCCACAGGCATGAACTCCCCCACACTTCTAGATTGCATCATCTGCCCCTTTGACAGCTGTCTGGGAAGCCAGATCCCACACTTTGAAGCATAGTGTTTCATACAATCCCAAAGTGGTACCAGAGGCCAGGCATGGTGCCTTACTCTGTAATTCAATGCCATCCCCATCAAGCTACCAATGACTTTCCTCACAGAATTGGAAAAAACTACTTTAAAGTTCATATGGAACCAAAAAAGAGCCCACATTGCCAAGTCAATCCTAAGCCAAAAGAACAAAGCCGGAGGCATCACGCTACCTGACTTCAAACTATACTACAAGGCTACAGTAACCAAAACAGCTTGTTACTGGTACCAAAACAGAGATATAGATCAAAGGAACAGAACAGAGCCCTCAGAAATAATGCCACATATCTACAACCATCTGATCTTTGACAAACCTGACAAAAACAAGCAATGGGGAAAGGATTCCCTATTTAATAAATGGTGCTGGGAAAACTGGCTAGCCATATGTAGAAAGCTGAAACTGGATCCCTTCCTTACACCTTATACAAAAATTAATTCAAGATGGATTAAAGACTTCAACATTAGACCTAAAACCATAAAAACCCTAGAAGAAAACTTAGGCAATACCATTCAGGACATAGGCATGGGCAAGGACTTCATGACTAAAACACCAAAAGCAATGGCAACAAAAGCCAAAATTGACAAATGAGATCTAATTAAACTAAGGAGCTTCTGCACAGCAAAGGAAACTACCATCAGAGTGAACAGGCAGCCTACAAAATGGGAGAAAATTTTCACAACCTACTCATCTGACAAAGGGCTAATATCCAGAATCTACAATGAACTCAAACAAATTTACAAGAAAAAAACAAACAACCCCATCAAAAAGTGGGCGAAAGATATGAACAGACACTTCTCAAAAGAAGACATTTATGCAGCCAAAAGACACATGAAAAAATGCTCACCATCACTGGCCATCAGAGAAATGCAAATCAAAACCACCACGAGATACCATCTCACACCAGTTAGAATGGCAATCATTAAAATGTCAGGAAACAACAAGTACTGGAGAGGATGTGGAGAAATAGGAACACTTTTACACTGTTGGTGGGACTGTAAACTAGTTCAACCATTGTGGAAGTCAGTGTGGCAATTCCTCAGGGATCTAGAACTAGAAATACCATTTGACCCTGCCATCCCATTACTGGGTATATACCCAAAGGATTATAAATCATGCTGCTATAAAGACACATGCACACATATGTTTATTGCGGCACTATTCACAATAGCAAAGACTTGGAACCAACCCAAATGTCCAACAATGATAGACTGGATTAAGAAAATGTGGCACATAGACACCATGGAATACTATGTAGCCATAAAAAATGATGAGCTCATGTCCTTTGTAGGGACATGGATGACACTGGAAACCATCATTCTCAGCAAACTATTGCAAGGACAAAAAACCAAACACCGCATGTTCTCACTCATAGGTGGGACTTGAACAATGAGAACACATGGACACAGGAAGGGGAACATCACACTCCGGGGCCTGTTGTGGGGTGCGGGGACGGGGGAGGGGGGAGGGGGAGGGAAAGCATTAGGAGATATACCTAATGCTAAATGACAAGTTAATGGGTGCAGAACACCAACATGGAACATGTATACATATGTAACAAATCTGCACATTGTGCACATGTACCCTAAAACTTAAAGTATAGTAATAAAAAAATTAAAAAAATTAAGAAAAGGTTTTCAAGGGTCAATTCGTAACAGTAGAGGAAAATAGGAAAGCGTGTCAGCGGTCCACCAGAAATATTGAGGCATTCCTGGGAGATAGAGTAGATGGGGTCAGACTGATAGAGAAACCCAAGGAGACAAGACCACAGCTCAAATCACTGTAGGCGAGAGATGCTGTTTGTTTGTTTTTTGAGACAGAGACTTACTCTGTCGCCCAGGCTGGAGTGCAGTGGCGTGATCTCAGCTCACTGCACCCTCCGTCTCCCAGGTTCAAGGGATTCTCCTGCCTCAGCCCCTGCAGTAACTGGAATTCACAGGAGCCCGCCACCACGGCTGGCTAATTTTTGTATTTTTAGTAGAGACGGGGGTTTCACCCTGTTGGCCAGGCTGGTCTCAAACTCCTGACATCAAGTGATCTGCCTGCCTCGGCCTCCCAAAGTGCTGGCACTACAGCGTGAGTCACTGTGCCCGACCAGGAGATGCTCTTTGTAACAAAGCCTCTGAAAAACTCCAAACCCTGAATCAGAAAAACACGGAGGAGGAAACGGCCTTAGGATAATCATCATGTAGGTTAATTTAAAAGTTCATCTGAAACGTCTGAATCAGCCAGATTCCCCTCCAACACCACAGACAGATTGGCTGGCAGTAGCCACTTTTGCCTCTAAGATGAAACTCTGATAATTGTTCATTAAAGAAAGTGAAGGCCTGGCGAGGTGGCTCACACTTGTCATCCCAGCACTTTGGGAGGCTGAGGCAGGAGGATTGCCTGAGGCCAGGAGATCGAGACCAGCCTGGGCAACATAGTGGATGCCGTCTCTACAAAAAAATACAAAAACTAGCTGGGTGCGGTGGCGTGTGCCTGTAGTCCCAGCTAGATCGGAAGCTGAAGTGGGTGAATCCCTTAAGCCTGGGAGATCGAGGCTGCAGTGAGCTGTAATTGCATCACTGCACTCCAGCCTGGGCGACAGACTGTGATCCTGTCTCAAAAATAACACGAAAAAGTAATGTATCAGAACTTGGTGTAACTTCAGCCCTTTACAGTGATAATCGAGGAGAAAAACACATTTGTGGAGAGGGGACCATGTTCACTCTTTATCCATGATAGACAGATAGTCCGGAGCTTTATATACCCAAGGAACCTAAGAAATAATGTTCCCTGTCATAACTCACAATCTTCCAACCACCCTTCCTTGCACCTGTCTTGTGGGCTGGGGGACCCAACTTATGGATCCCATCATCCCAGGGAGAAAGAAAAATCAAAAGCTTCAGTATCTCTTTTAGGGTATCCTCTGCTGTATTTGCATGGAGGATAAGGCACTCAATATCTAGTAGCCGAATGTTACATTTGTGTAATACAGAACTATACTGGGATAAAATAGAATTTGTTTCCCCTGAGACACAGGTAGAGGTACGTCCACACTGACCTGGGTGGCAGCCACCTCTTCCTGCAGTGCCAGGCAGGGCATGCTCACAGATCTGGGGAACCTCTACTGCTCCTGGAGCCCCACAACCTCCTTCCAGGCACCCTCTCCCTCTGGTGGCTGTGGCAGCCCCCACTTGGCCTTGGGTCTCCCCTGCTTCTTTGCCTGCCCCTCTTCTGCCCACCCTGCATATCTCTGTCTCCCACTGTCCCTGCTGTGATCACGACTGCCTCTCCCTCCCCGCACTCTCTCTCTCCTAGGGCTCCTTGTCTTGGAAAACGAACCCACAGCCTCTACCTTGTGACTGGGGACAGAGCCCGGGGCTTGTTCAATTCCCCCTCCCTCCACCACACACACCTGTCCTCCTTAATGTTTCTGAAGTCAGTGAGCTCCAAACTCAGCCCCTCCTGCACCTGCCAGCTGTGGGACCTCAGACAAGACGCCTGCCATCTGGCTGGGACTCCGTCTCTCATCTAACATATAGGCATAAAGATGATAGTGTCCTCCTTCCAAGGCTGGGGAGAACCGGGAGGACTTGATGTCTCCATTCACACACAATGGTTGGTTCGAAAATAGACTCCCATCTGCGCTCCCCTTCCGCAGACCTGTTTCCCCTCCACACTGTGCAATGGTACATGTGAGAAAGAACTGGCCCCTTCCGAAATCATCGTCCCCACCCCAGCCCCCAGGCCCTTGGTTGGTGAGACCCTTGATGGGCAGTCTCATGCTTCTGTCCAGGGGACTTTCCCACCGTTGCTCCCCTGCATGGAGACTGAGTGGACTCTTCTATTCCCTGTCCATCACGGTCTACAGTGCACGCATCTTCCTCATTCCTCCACGTTCCCCAGATGACGATTTCATCTGTGTCTCCTTCCACATACTCCCAAATGGACCGTCCCAGCCCTTGAACTTGAAAATCATTCAGAGAGCAAAGGCCCAGATGCCCAACCACCTGCTGCAGAATCCTGCTCCAGGACTGAAGTGTATAGTCTCTATCAAAATAAAAACTGGAGGCCAGGCGCAGTGGCCCACTCCTGTAATCCCAGCACTTTAGGAGGCCAAGGTGGGAGGATTGCTTGGGCCCAGGAGTTGGAGACCAGCCTGGGTAATATAGCGAGACTTTCTTGACAAAACCTAAAAAAATCAGTGGGTCATGATGGTGCGTGGCTGTAGTCACAGCTTCTCTGGAGGCTGAGGTGGGAGGATCCCTTGAGCCCACAAGTTCAGGGCTGCATTAAGCTATGATCGTGCCACTGCACTCTAGCCTGGACAGAGCAAGACCCCATCTCTAGAAGAAACAAACAAACAAACAATACCAACGACTGGAAATATCTTCCTCTAGAATGGTGGTCAGGAACATCTGTCTGCCTTGTTCCCTGATGTCTCTCCAGCACCTCGAACAGTTCTCAGCACTAGTACACACTCATTAGTTTTTTGTTGAATAAATGACTCCTTTGACACATCAATTCCACTTCTAAGAATCTTTCCTAAAGAAATATTCACACACGTGCACAGAGCTGTGTGCACAATAATGAGAGATGCAAACAACTGGGGAACGTTTGCAAAGGTTTATTAACTGTCAGTGACTGATACAACGGAATCGGATGAGGGGAGTACATGCTGAACAGGAAACAGAGTGAGGGGGGCTTGACCAGGTCGCATGGCAATGGAGAAAAGCAGATGGGAGATGCTTATACTGGTACTTGGTGTGTGTGTGTGCGTGTGTGGTGTGTGTGTAAATGCAGAGGAAAAAATCGGAAATTAAACACTCAGACCTCCCCTCAGTAGTCACATCTGGGGAGAGAGGAGGGTAGTGCTGTTCTATGGAGAGAATACCTGACAATACTTGTTTTCTGAGGTAGGTGCATGGATACACAAGCCGAAATATGCATTAAGCATGTCTTGCTCATCAACGAAAACGCTAATGTCTAACAGAATGGCACACTGCAAGAAAATACAGCGGAAACGCCAACATCGAACTCTTGGCACACTAAGAAAAATGACGCTCAACTTTTCACTGTTGTGAACACTTGCTTTCACTTGCTATGCACCTGATGACGAGGGGTCCGCAGCCATGCCCATGTTCGTGAAAGGTCACCACGTTCTGCTTCTCATCATGGGCATGTGTCATATCCCCGAGGCTGAGGCAAGAAGAGAGAAGGAAAGTAAGTGGCAGTGAGTTCCCACCACGTGACAACTCAATCTCAACTCCTCCTGACCTGCAGACCCTGCACACTGTGATTCTGCCCTACCTCAGGACCTGCACACGCCTTCCACGGTTCCTCGAAGTGAACCATCTGTTCATGCCACAGTGACTTCTTCGCCTGGGTTTTCAATTCCTAGGCTAGAGGAAGGTGTGGCCCGCATATCAGGGCTGACCTGGGGTTTGGGAACCCACAGCATCCTGGGTAGGGAGCAACCTTGGATATACAGGGCAGGGAGTAGAAAGAGTATGGGAAATTGGCCGGGCATGGTGGCTCATGCCTGTAAACCCAGCACTTTGGGAGGCCGAGGCAGGTGGATCACGAGGTCAGGAGTTCAAGTCCAGCCTGACCAACATGGTGAAACCCCGTCTCTACTAAAAATGCAAAAATTACCCTGGTGTGGTGGTGTGCACCTGTAATCCCAGCTACTCAGGAGGCTGAGGCAGGAGAATTGCTTGAACCTGAGAGGCACAAGTTGCAGTGAGCCAAGATCGCGCCACTACACTCCCGCGTGGGCGACAGAGCAAGACTCCCTCTCAAAAAGGAAAAAAAATAGAAAGAAAGAGCATGGGAAATCTCATCATTCAGCCTCAATGCTGTACCCTAGAAAATTATGAGAAGGGAATGATTTGGGGAACAAGTGATAAGATGGGATACCAGTACCATAACAGAATAGTACATCTGCAAGGATGTGGAGGGTGGTCCGAAAGTTCACTTACGGAGTTACTCGTCATCTTCCTCAGGGTCGCTGATCTCTTCATAAACCACCAGCTGCTTTCTCTCACGCAGTCTGTGGGTCCAGGCATGTTTCCCCCTTTTGGGTCCTATGATGGGGAAGAGTTGGAAAATGAGGGTTGGGTAGATTGGAGAGCGTTAGGCTCTGTTTTCTCAAAAGAAGGAGATGCCTCTCCCCTCCCAAGTGCCCCGGACCTTCTTTATCCAGTTTTTCACATTCCCTGGTTTAGAGAGGCTGAGACCTTAGATCCACACCAATACAGGCCAAATGCAAATTAAAATTTTAGCTTCTGGCTCCTTCCGTTGTCAGGTTAAATTCCCAACCTCTTCACTTACGGGAACATTCACCGATACCTCCTTTCATTCAGCATGTATTTGTTAAGGGCACACAGGCATACCTTGTATTATTGTACCTCATTTTTATAGTGCTTCACAGATACTGCAATTTTTTGGGGGGAATTCTCACCAATTTTATACTTTTCCGTTATTAGTATATCTGTTATAGTGATCTGTCATTAGTGAGCTTTGACATTATTATTGCAATTGTTTTGTTGCTCTTTAGTCTTTTAAAATAATTTTTGTTTTTTATGTTAGTGGGTACACAGTAGGTGTATATACTTATGGGGTACGCGAGACGTTTTGATACACGCATGCAATGCGTAATAATCACATCATGGAAAATAGGGTATCCATCCCCTCAAACATTTATCCTTGTGTTACAAACAATTCATTTACACTCTTTTAGTTTTTTTAAATGTACGATTAAGTTATTATTGACTATAATCATCCTGTTGTATGTAATTGTTTTTGGGGTACCATGAACTGCACCCATAGAAGATGACAAACTTAATCGATTAATGTTGTGTGTGTTCTGACTGCTCCACCGATGAGCTCTTCCCCATCTCTCCTCCTTTTCTTGGGCCTCCCTATTTCCTGAGACACAGCAACACTGAAATTAGGACGATTAAGAACCCTACAATGGCCGCTAAGTGTTCAAATGAAAGGAAGAGTCGCATGTCTCTCACTTTAAATCAGAAGCTAGAAATGGCTAAGCTTAGTGAGGAAGCATGCTGAAAGCCAAGATAGGCTGAAAGCTCGGCCTCTTCCACCAAACAGCCAAGCTGTGAATGCAAAGGAAAAGTTCATGAAGGAAATAATAGTACATAATGCAAAGGAAAAGTTCTTGAAGGAAATAATAATACTAATACTCCAGTGAACACACGAATAAGAAAGCAAAACTGCCTTACTGCTCAAATAGAGAAAGTTTGAGTGGTCAGGATAAAACGTGAAACCAGCCACAACATTCCCTTAAGCCAAAGTCTAATTCAGAGCAAGACCAGAACTCTCTTCAAGTCCATGAATGCTGAGAGAGCTGAAGAAGCTGCAGGAGAAACGTGTGAAGCTAGTAGAGGTTGGTTCGTGAGGTTTAAGGAAAGAAGCCGTCTCTATAACATAAAAGTGCAAGGCGAAGCAGCAAACCCTGATGGAGAAGCTGCAGCAAGTTATCCAGAAGATCTGGCTAAGGTCACTGACGAAGGTGGCTACACGAAACAACAGATTTTCAATGTAGATAAAATAGCCTTCTATTGGAAGGAGATGCCATCTAGGACTTTCATAGCTAGAGAGGATTGACTCCAACTTTGAAAGAAGTTCTACTGTGGGTAAAATGCTATCCAATAGCATCACATACTACAGAGAAATCCTTCATGAAAGGGAGAGCTAATTGATGTGGCAAATTTCATTGTTGTCATCTTTTAAGAAACTGCCACAGCCACTCCAATCTTCAGCAACCACCACCTTGATCAGCCAGCAGCCATCAACACCGAGGCAAGACCCTCCACCAGCAAAAAGAGTGTGACTCACTGAAGGCTCAGAAGATTGTTAGCATTTTTTATCGATGAATTATTTTAAAATAAAGGTATGTGCATTTTCAGACTTAATGCTATTGCACACTTAGTAGACTGCAGTATAATGTAAATGTAATGTTTTTATGCACTGCAAGACAAAAAAAAAATGTGTGTGACTCACTTTATTGCAGTGGTCTGGAACCGAACCTGCAATATCTCTGAAGCACACCTGTATTGGGTAACAGGCATTGAGCTGAGTAAGATATGATCCCAGGTTATCACAGATAGAATTGCTTGAGCACCTTTCATGTCATCAGGCCTTCTAGATTACATTTAATGTCTCCAAACAATTTATGAACTATGATTCTTTATTTCCATCTTATGGACTAGGAACCTGGAGCTGAGGAAATTTGGAAGACTTTCCCCACGTCACGTGGTTTTTTTTATATGGATGACAACTCCAGTCTGTGTCTCTGGAAGTCATGTCTAACATCTCATCTGGAGCTAGGCGAGCTCCTCAGCCCAGCCTGGACCCTGGCTTGTCTGGGGTCCATGCCACACACCCAGTCCACGCACCTGAACACAGCCAGGGAAGCCAGAGGGGTTGTTCCCGAATTCTTTCCTCTTACCAGATGTCTTGTTAATCTTCTCCAAGGTACTTGGATTTCCCGGGGGGCACAGCTGTTTCCCATCATTTTGTGGGCCAGATGCCTCTGGCACTTCCTTCAAACCATTTTCTTCCTCTGCTGGCTTCTTGGGCATGATCTTTACAATGTGAAGGTCGCAGATAAACAGTATCAGTGACATTTCTACAGTGCTTTAGAGCTTACAAAGGGTCTTCACGTGCATTAGCTTATTCAATGCTCTCAACAAGACTGGGAGAGTTACACAGGCCTAAATTAGGAGAAACCTGGGAGGTTAGAAGGGAAAGGAATGGCCTAAACGAATGGGCTTTCCAGGGCTAGAATGCTTATCTTCACACTCTTTTAAGACTCACATTCTTGCAAACAGCAAAAATCTCCATTTAATTGAGAGTTTGGTATACAGAAGATTTGGAGAATAGCATTCTAAGAATTCACAAGGTCTAGAAAAGAAAGAGCTTCTATAAAATACAAGGGATCCCATATAAGCTTGTAGACAGCTGCTGGGAGAGTAAATGTAAAAACATAGAGAGGCGATAAAACACTGCTGGGAAAGATGGTGTGGGGAGATGAATACAGGGACAGGAGAGGTAAAGAAATGGTTTGCTGAAATTAAACTAGGCAGCAAAGAAAGCAGTACCAGACATGGCATACTACCCTACCGAGGCGCCAACATTGAATGTGGAATTAAGTGAGGTGGTACCCATACCAACTCTGGTTGCATTGGGATGTGTCACTGACCAACGACCTTAAGCTACTTCTTTTTCCTTTTTTTTTTTTTTTTTTGACACGGAGTCTTGCTCTGTTGCCAGGCTTGAGTGCAGTGGCGCGATCTCAGCTCACTGTAACCTCCATCTCCCAGGTTCAACCATTCTCCTGCCTCAGCCTCCAGAGTAGCTGGGACTACAGGTAGGCTCTAACACGCACCGTTAAGTTTTCTATTTTTAGTAGAGACAAAGTTTCACCATGTTGGGCAGGATGGTCTCCATCTCTTCACCTCGTGATCCACCCACCTCAGCCTCCCAAAGTGCTGGGATTACAGTCGTGAGACACTGCGCCCAGCCCTTAAGCTACTTTTTATTCAGCTTCCTCACTTACGAAATAGTCAACAGTACATGTAAAATAGGCTACAAGAAAGTGCTCTCTGAGCTTGTAAACACTCTTTAAATGTAGTAATAATAAAAAACTAATACTTTTCATGATCCTTCTTTGAATTTGGTCTCCACACTGGCAACCCAACTCCCAGATCCCTTTACCCTCCAAACCAGAGTTGGATCTGCAGTTGTGGGATCACTCATTCAGGGGCCTTCGAGGGATCCCCTGGGCTGGGACGGGGGCTTCCCGGATGCCCCAGGTGCACACAAGGCCATCAAGGAGCTCACAGTAGGGAGGGGCCAACAGTCAAAGCGATTCCTAAGCCATGTGAGTGGCCCCGGTAACAGAGCAGAGGCCAGCTGGTCCTTCCTGTTGCGAGAGTGGGTGTCTCAATGGAAGCACCAGGAGGCCCTATGGGGTGAAGCCCTAGTGAGCAACATCTGAACTTCATAAACAAATGCAAACGTGAATGAGCTTTAAATGGCTTGGAGCTCTGGATTAGACTACCACTGCCACTGTGCCTCAGGAAAATTCTTTAACATCTCTGTACCCCGATAGCCTCATTTTATTATTATGTTGCTGATAACTACGATCTAAAACATGAACTATGATTCTTTACTTCCATTTCATGGACCAGGAGTCTGGATCTCAGAGAACTTAGAAGATTTGCACCAAGTTACATGTCTTTTATATGGGTGACAATTGAAGTGTGTGGCTCGATAGTATTTGGAGATAGTAATAGAAACATCGTCATAGAGGTCTTCTTAAGGATTAAATAAATTAACCCATGTGAACTGCTTAAAATAGTAATCTGGCATCACTATGAAAACCAAAGAAGTATTAAGGATCACAACTGTTAATATTAGCAAGCCGTCGGTGCCACATAAGTTGTTGTGATAGACATGGGGAGAAGGAGGCAGTGAGGGCATGTTTGATATTCTCCCACTCTTATCAGTGTTCGCATCCGTGCAGGGACAAACGTTCTCTGGTCCTTTAGATTTGAGAGACACTCACCTTCGGGAAGATTCTCTGGAGGCTGCCGAAAGTCATCTGAGGACGTTCAACTGAAAGAGAATACATCAGAATTTTTCTTTGTTGGTAAAGATTTCCAAACTCTAGAGAGACTTCTGTCGCATGAGGGCATTCTGCAGCAGAGGTTGTGAGTCCACTCATTGTTGAGGAGTTATTTGAGATTTGCTTCTGAATTATGTTTAGTCATGGTTGGTGCATTTATCTGTGGCATCAATTCAGAATTTTCCATCTCGTGGTTTATCACATGGGTATTAAACCCCATCACAGTCTCATCTTTTTCCATTACATATCTTTTACTTTTTCCCAAATAGTTAAATTGATTGGTTGGGAATCTAAACTGTAATCACTCAAGATGTGCAACAACTAAAAATCACTGTACACTTCAAATGGGTGAATCTTATGGTATGTCAATTAAGCTGTTAACTGTGTGATGAACCATCGATGATTTAGTCCAGTGGCTCTGAAATATTTTCAGTATAAATATTTGGCACTCATTTAATGTCAAAAACTTGGCAGATACTCAAGCACTGGATTTTCAGACCTCTTATAGTGACTGTGGGAGATCGTAGAATCTGGCCTGTTTAGTTGGGAAGTAATAGGTCTATGGGAGACAGTCTGGACATTCTGACCTTGTCTTGTAACTGTGTTCTCAGAGCAGAAGAGCAAGTAAACACATATGTCCCCTTTATATTCCTGAAATGCACAAAGATCTCTACGCGAAACTTGTCTTTTTTTCACCCTATGTTATCTCTGCTCACTGAGAAGTGGGAAAGCTCTCTGTGTGCTGGATGAGGGATCACTCTTTCAAACTCTCTTCCAAGCTCATCACGGAGAATTGGGGTTGTTGGGGAATGTGAGGACTATTTGGTTTTGATAAAATACAGAGAAACAGCGACGCTTATTACATAATGTGTTCATCACCCTCACTCCTAAGATACTTATCCAATACCTACATGCTGTTAATGAAACAAACTCTGGAAGTTTTTGGCGGATCTACAGTTTTAACATTTTCTTTTTTTTTATTTTTTCACTTTTCACATTTTCTTAAATGTCCTTTGATTCATTAACAGTGCTTAGGAAGAACAACATGTCATTTAAAAAAGAAATATTTCAAAAACACAGAAAAGTATGGGGAACAAAACTGAGTACAGTCGGGTCTCAACATTACCCCACAGTTATCTTAGATCTGATTTATTTATTCAGAATATTAGCAATAGTATAAACAGTCCAGGAGTGGTAGCTCACGCCTGTAATCCCAGCATTTTGGGAGGCTGAGGCGAGTGGATCACCTGAGGTCAGGTAGTTTGAGGCCAGACTGGCCAACATGGTGAAACCCCGTCTCTACCAAAAATACAAAAATTACCTGGGTGTGGAGGCGAGCGCCTGTAATCCCAGCTACTCGGGAGGCTGAGGCAGGAGAATCGCTTGAACCTGGGAGGTGCAAGTTGCAGTGAGCTCAGATTTTGCTATTGCACTCCAGGCTGGGTGACAAGAGTGAAATTCTGTCTCAAAAAAAAATAACAATAACAAAAAACACAAAACACACTATCAGCAAGTCACAGCTGAAGCTGTCTGTGCCGCACTCAGCAATCCCTGCCCTCCCTCCCTCCTCCACTTACAGCCAGTCACCTTAATTTGATGGCGTTTTATTCACATTCATGTTTGTATACATTTACCATTTACTTATTATCCATAAAAATATATTTTCTTGTTTTGCATGTTTTAGAATTTTATGTGATTGGCCTCTGTAGTTAACTTTCTGCATGCAATTTTTTTTTTTCACTCAGCCCCGATGTGTATGAGGGAACAAATGCCTGAGGATCTTTCCCAGGTAGCTGAGCTGAAAAGCAACTGGGCTTGAGGAGACCCTTTCCAGCCCCTTCCAGTCTACTCACCCTGATTCCTGTGGTTTCGATCGTTACCAAAATCATTCCCGTGGAAGTCTGCAGCCCGTTTACTACGCATGAAAGGTGGGAGGGTGACCTTGAAACCTAGAAAGGAGCAAAATGTTTATTTCTTAAGAGGCAAGCTTGGGCCTGGCACGGTGGCTCATGTCTGTAGTACCAGCCCTTTGGGAGGCTGAGGCTGGAGGATTGCTTGAGGTGAGGCGCTCAACACTAGCCTGGGCAACATAGAGAGACCCACATATCTACAAAATATAAAATAAAATTAGTTGGGCATAGTGGCACGTGCCTGTAGCCTCAGCTACTCCATAGGCTGGGCAGGAGGATTGCTAGAGCCCAGGAGTTCGAGGCTGCAGTGAGCTATGCTTGCACTACTGCACTCTTCCCTAGGTGACAGAGTGAGACTCTGACTTAAAAAAAAAAAAAGAGAGAGAGAGAGAGAGAGACAAGCCAAGAGAAGGAAGGGAGGGTGTGCGTGTTGGGTGTGGGGGTGCCGGGATGCCACAGAGACAGTTGGGCTCATCAGAAAAGACGCCTATGGGAGAGAAACGTGCAGGATCCAGGTATGAGCTCCACTGTGGCCAGTCCCTGCCCTCAGCCCTGACAGGATACAGAAGAGGAGAACACCCAGAAGCTGCCTTGTGATTTTTCCCTGCACAAAAGGAAAATGTGGGGTACTTTCTGCAGCCTAAGAAGTAGCCAAAACAGGAAAAGGGATGCTCATGTGTCCCCAGACTTGTCTGCTTCTAGAACTTTCTGTTACCTAGTTTAGTCATGACCTCATAGTTTAGCTTCATATACACATAGACGATTTTCTCCGAGGATTTCATCTTTTCCCACTCTTTCTTAGAGAAGTATTTGGCAATATCATCGAAGGCCTGGAAAAAAAAAAAAAAGGAATTATGGCAGGGACTCAGCTAGGCATGTCTGCCATTCAGCTGGAGCCGCTTCCTGTGTGTGGGATCTGAGAAGTGGGGATGATAGTCTGTCCTGGTTGATGCCATGGCTAACTGACAGAACATGAGGGAACTTCCCTAGCTTCGCCCCTGCCACACAGTAGGGCTTTAATGCTGCTGGCTGGCTCTCTTCCCACCTTCCAGAATGGAGTGGGAGTCACCAAATGAAGTGCAAGGTCAGAGACTTGTCTCCAGGGATGCTAGGTGATGACAGAGCGAGGGTGGGAGGCTCCCAAGGGTCCAAATCTCCCCCGAGACCCTGCTCCTTGTCCCTAGTACCTCTGTCCTCCCCTCCTCAGAAACCTGGTCACCCCACACTGTCCCCTGGGCCACTACTCTGCCCCCTCCAGGTCACCTCACCTTTCGTAACTTCTCTGATATTTGAGCATCATCCCTGGGTCTCCTTGCAAAGGCGTCGTCTCCGTTCATGGCACTGGGAGCAGTCTCACCTGCGAGAGAAACAGCCTGAGTCTTTCCAGCCTCAGGACCTTTGGTGCTCTGGGCGGGGTGGTGCACGCCTGTAGTCCCGGGGCCGAGGCGAGAGGATCGCTTGAGCCCAGGAGTTTTTTTTTTTTTTTTTTTTTGAGACAGGGTCTCGCTCTGTTGCCCAGGCTGTGTTGCAGTGGCGCGATCGTGGCTCACTGCAACCTCCGCCTCCCGGGTTCAAGCGATCCACCACCTGTGGGCCTCCAAAGTGCTGGGATTACAAGCGTGAGCCACCACGCCCAGCCCAGATTTTTTAAGTTACTACAGAGCTCCTAGGAAAAATCCCATACCTGAAAAAGTTAGAAACTGACAGGAAGAATTTGAGATGGCGACCTGCCTCACATAAATACATTATTAAAATTAGATAAGAAGTGCACCACGGCGGAGGGGAGGGGTAGGAAGAATGGAAAGAGAAAATCAGCGCATGCTTACCCTGATTGTGGAAGAATCAAAAGGGCAAATCGGCGTGTGCGTACTCTGAATTTAAAGTAGCCAATCCAAGGGGACGCTTTCGGCGGGAAAATCAGAGTCTCCCCTCCCCCCCGCCTTGGGAAGGTTCTGTCCCTAGAGCCTGGACTGACAGACGCCACATCAGCTTCGCTTGTTCCGCCTACTGTTCTGACTTCTAATTGGCCAGATGGAGTTCACTAACTGCCCTGATTGGTCCATCATCCTTGGGCAGTGACATTGCAGAATGTTGTCGCCTCCTCCAGCCACACTTTGTGCGACAAAGTGGGTGGTCCTCAGGCGCCATCAGGAGATTTTGAACTCTCTGAAGACCGTCCCTGGATCTTGGGTTAAACATCTGGATTCTAGTCTGAACCGTGGGAAGAAAAAATAGTCGATCTGTGATTTTTCTATTTGAAAGACACAATGTTTTCCAAACTAGCACATTTGCGGAGGTTTGCTGTACTTAGTCGTGGAGTTCATTCTTCAGTGGCTTCTACATCTGTTGGAACTAAAAAAACAGTCCAAGGCCCTCCAACCTCTTTTATTCTTATTTTTTTTTCTTTTTTTTTTTTTTTTGTAGTTTTCTTTTTTTTTTCTTTTATTATTATACTTTAAGTTTTAGGGTACATGTGCACATTGTGCAGGTTAGTTACATATGTATACATGTGCCACGCTGGTGCGCTGCACCCACTAACTCGTCATCTAGCATTGGGTATATCTCCCAATGCTATCCCTCCCCCCTCCCCCCACCCCACAACAGTCCCCAGAGTGTGATGTTCCCCTTCCTGTGTCCATGTGATCTCATTGTTCAATTCCCACCTATGAGTGAGAATATGCGGTGTTTGGTTTTTTGTTCTTGCGATAGTTTACTGAGAATGATGATTTCCAATTTCATCCATGTCCCTACAAAGGACATGAACTCATCAATTTTTATGGCTGCATAGTATTCCATGGTGTATATGTGCCACATTTTCTTAATCCAGTCTATCATTGTTGGACATTTGGGTTGGTTCCAAGTCTTTGCTATTGTGAATAGTGCCGCATTTTTGGAAGGGAATGTAAGTGTGGTGCGCACAATTACCATCCTTTACCTGTAGCCCTGGAGAGAGGAAAATGTATTTACTTATGGGATGTGATTGTGGTATTGGTTACATCCGCCTTGGTCAATCCTCCCATCTCATTCTCGGGACTACAGGCATGCACCACCCTGCCCAGGTTTGTTTTTGTTATTATTATTATTATTTTTTAGTTGAAACTGGGTTTCTCTATGTAGGCCAGGCTGGCCTCAACCTCCAGGGCTCAAGGGATCCTCCCACCTCCTCAGCCTGGGGACCACAGGCATGCACCACCCTGCCCACGGTATTTTTTTTGTTTTTCAGTAGAAACCGGGTTTTGCTATGTTGCACAGACTGGCCTCAACCTCCTGGGCTCAAGCAATGCTTCCACCTCAGCCTCGGGACCATAGGCGTGTGCCATTCTGCCCTGATAATTTTTTTTAGGAGAGACAGGCTTTCGCTATGTTGACCAGGCTGGTATCGACCTTCTGGGCTCAAGCAATCCTCCCACCTCAGCCTGGGAACTACAGGGGTGAGCCACCCCGCCCATGCTATTTTTGGTTGTTCTTCTTATTAGTAGAAATGGGGTTTCACTATGTTGGCCAGGCTGGCCTTGACCTCCTGGGCTCAAGCAATCCTCCTGCCTCGGCCTCGGGACCACTGGCACACACCACCCAGCCCCCACTAATATCTTTAATTTTTCTAGTAGAGACAGTTTCGCTATGTTGTCCAGGCTGGTCTCTACCTCCTGGGTTCAAGTGATCCTCCTGCCTCGGCCTCGGGACTGCAGGCCTGCACCACCCTGCCTTTTGCTATGTTTCCCAGGCTGGTCTCAACCTCCTGGGTTCACTCAATGATTTGAACCCGGGAAGGGGAGGTTGCATTGAGCTGAGATCCCACCACTGCACTCCAGCCTGGGTGACAGAGAAAAACTGTCGAAAAGAAAAGGAAGGGAAGGGAGAAGGGATGGGAGAAGGGAAGGGAGAAGGGAAGGGAAAGGAGAAGGGAAGGGAAGGGAAGGGAAGGGAAGGGAAGGGAAAGGAGAAGGGAAGGGAAGGGAAGGGAAGGGAAGGGAAAGGAAGGGAAGGGAAGGGAAGGGAAGGGAAGGGAGAAGGGAAGCGAAAGGAGAAGGAAAAGGAAGGGAAGGGAGAACGGAAGGGAAGAAGGAAGGGAAGAAAGGGAAGGGAAGATGGGAAGGGAAGACAGGAAGGGAAGATGGGAAGGGAAGAAGGGAAGAGAAGAAGGAAGGGAAGGAAAGGGAAGAAGGAAGGGAAGGGAAGAAGGGAGGGAGGGAGGAAGGAAGGAAGGAAAGAAGGAAGGAAGGAAGGAAGGAAGGAAAGAAAGAAAGAAAGAAAGAAAGAAAGAAAGAAAGAAAGAAAGAAAGAAAGAAAAGAACCAGCTGAGTCTCCGTAAGAACAGTAAGCTTTGTGGTATTTTAACTTACCCTCGTCCCATCTCGTGCTCCCAGCTTGGTTCTGTTTATTGTTGATGAAATACAGACAGGAGTGGCCAGAACTGGTAGATGGCTGGCTGTTGATCATGAAAATGTCAGACCTGATATAGTCCTCCTTGGAAAGGCCCTTTCTGGGGGCTGATACTCTGTGTCTGCGGTGCTGTGGAATGATAACATAATGCTGACCATTAAGCCAGGGGAACGTGGGTCCACATACGGTGGCAATCCACTAGGCTGCCAAGTGGCCATCGCAGCCCTTGAAGTTTTAGAAGAAGAAAACCTTGCTGAAAATGCAGAAACAATGGGTATTCTCCTGAGAAATGAACCCATGAAGCTACCTTCTGATGTTGTAACTGTTGTAAGAAGAAAATAATTATTTTATTTATGTATTTATTTGCTTAAGTCACAGGTTCACTCTGGTTGCCCAGGCTGGATTGCAATGGTGCGATCTTGGCTCACTGCAACCTCTGCCTCCTGGGTTCAAGTGATTCTCCTGCCTCAGCCTCCCGAGTAGCTGGGATTACAGGCACGCACCACTATGCCCAGCTAACTTTTGTATTTTTAGTAGAGACGGGGTTTCACCACGTTGGCCAGGCCGGTCTCGAACTGCTGACCTCAGGTGATCCACCCACCTTGGCCCCCCAAAGTGTTGGGATTACAGGTGTGAGCCACCACACCCGGTGTGGAAAAGAATTATTAAATGCTATTGTTATTAAAGAAACCAAAGATTGTGCTGCTTGGAAAGTGTGTGTCTAAGACTTCGAGATAATGGACTTCTGGCCAAGCCAACCCATGGCGACATCATCAGGTTTCACCTCTGCTGGTGGTCAAGGAGGATGAGATTCCAGGGTCAATTGTTATCATTAACAAGACCATCTTGTCGTTCTGAGTGTAGCAGCCGTTTTCAGTGGTCCCTGGGAGCCGGCTGGAGACAGGTGGTCCTGTAAAAGCTCTGCTCTAAATGTGGGCACATTCCACTCCCATGTGTCTTCAAAACCTTTTCGTGGAATATATGTTTTTTGCAGTTGATACATACTAGAACAACGTTTATGAACCTGCCCGTTGCTTTGTAACGTAAGTAAGAGAATTTAATGGCATCTATATTCAATGAATGTTTTGATGTGCATGTGTACTTTCTAAGGTAAAATGCATCTATGTGTATTGACAGCCTTTAAATCACATCCTTCAGTATAATTTATATATGTTTTTATAATTTCCATGCTAGTATAAATGTTTTGTATTTGAAAATGTTATCTCTGGGGTATTACATAAATGGCTTCACCTTATAAAGTCAAATCATTGTTATCATTGAATTTTAGGAAGGATGAATGGTTAAGCATATATAAAATACTAATATTAAGTAAACTTCATGTTGGCTAACACCAGGATGTATTCTATGGATGTCATTATTTTCAATTAAGAATTAGTGTTTAACATTCCTGAATTGCTTTGAGTGCTTGATTAAAATTTGTAGAAAAATGTTTGTTTATTTTTTATTTTTATTTTTATTTTTTTATTTATTTTTAGCAGAGACGGGGTTTCACCGTGGTCTCGATCTCCTGGCCTCGTGATCCACCCGCCTCGGGCTCCCAAAGTGCTGGGATTACAGGCATGAGCCACCACTGCGCCTGGCCAAAGAATGTTTATTTTTAATAATTTTTTAAATTTTAAATAAAGCTTATATTTCAGAAAAAAATAAGATACAGATCATGGCCAGGTGCGGTGGTTCACGCCTGTAATCCCAGCACTTTGGGAGCCCGAGGTGGGTGGATCACTTCAGGTCAGGAGTTTGAGACCAGCCTGGCTAACAAGGAGAAACCCCGTCTCTACTAAAAATACAAAACTTACCAGGCATGGTGGCACGCACCTGTAATCCCAGCTACATGGGAGGCAGAGACAGGAGAATAGCTTGAACCAGGAAGACAGAGGTTGCAGTGAGCTGAGATCGTGTCACTGCACTCCAGCCTAGGTGACAGAGTGAAAATCCCTCTCGGGAAAAAAAAAAAAAAAAAGAAAGAAAGAAAAAAAAAAGGTACAGGACATTTCCATCACCAAAGTGCTATCCCTTGTGCTACTCATTTTTAGTAATACCCACTCTCCTCCCGTCCACCATCCCTAACCCCTGGCAACTACTAATCTTTTTCATTTCTACAATTTTGTCTTTTCTACAATGCTGTACAAATGAAATCTTATAGTATATAACATTTTACAGGCTTATTTCACTCAGCATAATTCCATGGAGATTCATCCAATATATTAATATTTTTGTATCAGTAGTTCATTGTTGTTTTTGTTGTTGAGACGGAGTCTCACTCTGCTGCCCAGGCTGGAGTGCAGTGGTGCGATCCCGGCTCACTGCAACCTCTGCCTCCCAGGTTCAAGAGATTTTACTGCCTCAGCCTCCCGAGTAGCTGTGACTACAGGCGCGTGCCACCACGACCGGGTAATTCTTTTTTTTTTTTTTTTTTTTGAGACAGAGTCTCACTCTGTCGCCCAGGCTGGAGTGCAGTGGCGCAATCACTGCTCACTGCAAGCTCCGCCTCCTGGGTTCATGCCATTCTCCTGCCTCAGCCTTCTGAGTAGCTGGGACTACAGGCGCCCGCCACCACTCCCGGCTAATTTTTGGTATTTTTTAGTAGAGATGGGGTTTCACCGTGTCAGCCAGGATGGTCTCGATCTCCTGACCTCGTGATCCGCCCGCCTCGGCCTCCCAAAGTGTTGGGATTACATGCGTGAGCCACTGCGCCCGGCCAATTGTTCATTTTTATTACGGAGTAGTATTCCATGGTATGGATGTACCACAGTTCAACCATTCGCTTATTGCAGGACATATTGATTATTTCCAGCTTTTGGCTATTACAAGTAAAGCTGCTATGAACAATTGTGTACAAGTTTCTGGATGGGCATACATTTTAACTTCTCTGAAGTGTAATTGTTGAATTGTATGGTCACTGCATGTTTAGTTTTATAAGAAACTACCAAACTGCTTTTACCTTCCCAGCAGCACTTAATGAGGTGTCCATTTTCTCTGCATCCTTGTCACCATTTGGTGTTGTCACTATGTCTTTTATTTTAGCTATTGTAATAAGTGTGTAGTGATACCTCATCGTGGTGTTATTCTGCATCTAGTGAAGCAAATGAGTGTTGAACATCTTTTCATGTGCTTATTTGCTTATTTCCTCTTCAGTGAAATGTATGCTCATATCTTTTCATAATTTTCTAATTGGATTATTTGGTTTTTTTTTACCTTTGAGTTATTATTATTATTATTATTATTATTATTATTATTATTATTATTTAAGGCAGAGTCTCTCTCTGTTACCCAGGCTGGAGTGCAGTGGCATGATCTTGGCTCACTCCAACCTCTGCCTTCCAGGTTCAAGCGATTCTTGTGCCTCAGCCTCCCGCGTAGCTGGGATTACAGGCATGCATCAACATGCCTGTCTAATTTTTGTATTTTTAGTAGACATGGGTTTTTGCCATGTTGCCCAGGCTGGTCTCAAACTCCTGGCCTCAAGGGATCTGCCTTCCATCCACCTCGACCTTTCAAAGTGCTGGGATTACACGACTGAGCCACCACACCCGGCCTACGGTTGAGTTTTGAGAGTACTATACATATCCATTATATATTCTGGATGTGAGTCCTTTCTTGGATATGTGGTTTGCAAACATTTTCTCCCAGTCCATACTTTGTTTTTTCATCCTTTTAACAGGGTTTCTTGCAGAGCAAAAGTTTTAAATTGGATGAAATCTAATTTACTTTTTTTCCTTATGGATTATGCTTTTTGAACTGTTCACCATGCCCTAGATCTCAGACGTTTCTCCTATGTTTTCTTGTAAAAGCTTTTTTTTTTAGTTTTATATTTCAGATTTAAATATATGATCCATTTGAGTTACTTTTTTGTATAAAGTTATGAAGATTAGGTCTTATTTTTTTTTTTTTTTTTTTTTGCCTATGGATATGCAACTGCTCCAGCACCATTTGTTAAGCAGACGATCCTTCCTTCTTTCTGTCTCTTTGTAAAAAATCAGTGTGTGGCTATTTCTAGGTTCTCTATTTTGCTCCAGTGATCTATGTGTCTATTCTTCTGCCAATACTACACAGTCTTGATTCCTGTAGCTATATAAGAAGTATTGAAATATGGTAGAGCCATTCCTCCTACCTTATTCTTCTTTTTCAAAAATTGTCTTAGCTATATAATTTTTTTTTGATATGGAGTCTCACTCGTGTCACCCAAGCTGGAGGGCAGTGGGGTGATCTCGGCTCACTGCAAACTCTGCCTCCCGGGTTCAAGGGATTCTCCTGTCTCAGCTTCCCGAATAGCTGGCATTACAGGCGTGCACCTCCACACCCGGCTAATTTTTGTATTTTTAGTAGAGACGGGGTTTCGCCATGTTGGCAAGGTTGGTCTCGAACTCCTGACTTCAAGCGATCCGCCCGTCTCGGCCTCCCAAAGTGCTGGGATTACAGGCGTGAGCCACCGTGCCCAGCCCAGCGTTGTCTTAGCTATTGACAATTTGTTACAGCAACAATAAAAAATGAATACATATAGAAACAGATTAGTGAAAAAAAAAATAGAAAGTCAAGAAACAGACTAAGTTATGTGCAAAATTCAGCATGCATTTCCAAACACTGGGCAAAAGATGGGTTGTATAATAAACGATTGCTTGACAAGTGTCTATCCATTTGAAAAAATAAATATTAAAATACTTACTTTAAACCACATAAAATAATAAATTCTAAAAATTCACTGACTTAAATGTGAAAACGTGAAGTCATAAAGAACTAGACGAAAATTTAGGAAAATATTACAGTGTAAGACATTTTGAGTTGGCATAGGCACTTCCTGACATTACACCAAGGCTATGAACAATGAATCTGACATACTTAAAGATGTAAAAATTAAAGTATCATCTAAGTCAAAAGACACCATAAACAACTGTGTAAAGAGGCAAATTTTGGAGAAAATGGTGAAGCATCCGCAGTAAAAGTAACCATCTCTAATATACGACAAAGCTTTTGCATATCATAAGAGAAATTGGAACAACCCAATGAAAAACTTCAGGCACGGCACTACTTCACTGTATAGTAGAAAACGATTACGAAATAGAAAGTATGAAAGTAAAATAATAAAGGAAATGGAGAATAGATCCCAGAAGTTTCACCGTTCATCTAGTAGAAGTTCCAGACATACAGAATAGAAAGACTGGGCCGGGCGCAGTGGCTTACGCCTGTAATCCCAGCACTCTGGGAGGCTGAGGCAGGCAGATCACCTGAGGTCAGGAGTTCGAGACCAGCCTGTCCAACATGGCAAAACCCTGTGTCTACTAAAAATACAAAAATTAGCCCGGTGTGGTGGCGGGCGTCTGAAATCCCAGCTACTTGGGAAGCTGAGGCAGGAGAATCAGTTGAACCTGGGAAGCGGAGGTTGCAGTGAGCTGAGGTCTTGCCACTGCACTACACCCTGGGTGACAGAGCAAAACTACGTCACAAAAGTGAAAAAAATAAAAAAAAGAATATTAAGACTGGGGAGAAGGCAGTACTTGAAGAAATAATGTTCTAGAATTTTCTGAACTGAACAAAGACACTTTGGGAGGCCGAGATGGGTGGATCGCTTGAGGTCAGGAGTTTGAGACCAGCCTGGCTAACATGGAGAAACACCGTCTCTACTAAAAATACAAAAATTAGCTGGGTGTGGTGACGGGTACCTGAAATTCCAGCTACTTGGGAAGCTGAGACAGGAGAATCGCTTGAACACGGGAGGCAGAGACAGCAGTGAGCCGAGATCACCCCACTGCCCTCCAGCTTGGGCGACAAAAGTGAGACTCCTTCTCAAAAAATGTATATGTAACTAAGACAATTTTTGAAAAAGAAGAATAAGGTGGGAGGAATGGCTCTACCATATTTCAATACTTCTTATATAGCTACAGGAATCAAGACTGTGTAGTATTGGGAGAAGAATAGACACATAGATCACTGGAACAAAACAGAGAACCTGGAAATTGCCCCACACTGTTTTCCCCAAGAGACAAAAAGAAGGATCGTCTGCTTAACAAATGGTGCTGGAGCAGTTGCATATCCATAGACAAAACAACAACAACAACAACAACAACAAACAAACAAACAACAACAAGAAAACACCTAATCTTCATATATATATACATATATATATACATATATATACACATATATATATACATATATATACACATATATATACACATATATATACATATATATACACATATATATATACATATATATATACATATATTAAAAACTCAAGTGGCTCATAGATTTAAATCTAAAATATAACACTAAAAAAACTTTTACAAGAAAGAGTAGGAGAAACGTCTGAGATCTAGGCATAGTGAACGGTTCAAAAAGCATAATCCATAAGGAAAAAAATAAATTAGATTTCATCCAATTTAACTTTTGCTCTGTAGAAACCGTGTTAAAAGGATGAAAAAACAGGGTGTAAAGTGGGAGAAAATGTTTGCAAACCACGTATCCAAGAAAGGACTCACATCCAGAATATATAACGGATACGTATAGTACTCTCAAAACTCAACGGTATGCCAGGCGTGGTGGCTCACGCTTGTAATCCCAGCACTTTGGGAGGTCGAGGTGGACGGAGGGTAGATCCCTTGAGGCCAGGAGTTCGAGACCAGCCTGGGCAACATGGCAAAACCCATCTCTACTAAACATTCAAAAATTAGACAGGCATGATGGTTCGCACCTGTAATCCCAGCTACGCGGGAGGCTGAGGCATGAGAATCGCTTGAACCTAGGAGGCAGAGGTTGGAGTGAGCCAAGATCATGCCACTGCATTCCAGCCTCGGTAGCAGAGCGAGACTCTGTCTCAAAAACAAAACAACGGTAAAAACAAACAAATAATTCAATTAGAAAATTATGAAGATATATGAACATACATTTCACTGAAGAGGAAATAAGCAAATAAGCACATGAAAGGCTGTTCAACACTTACTTGCTTCACTAGATGCAAATTAAGACCACGATGAGGCATCACTACACACTTATTACAACAGCTAAAATGAAAGACATAGTGACAATACGAAATGCTGGAAAGGATGCACAGAAACTGGACATCTAGTAAAATGCTGCTGAGAGGGTAAAATCTTACAGCCACTCTGGAAAGCAGTTTGGTAGTTTCTTATAAAACTAAACATGCAGTGACCATACAATTCATCAATTACCACTTCATAGAAATTAAAATTTATCCCCATCCAGAAACTTGTACATAATTGTTCATAGCAGCTTTATTTGTAATAGCCAAATAGCCGGATATAATCAATATGTCCAACAATAGGTGAATGGTGAAACTGTGGTACATCCATACCATGTAATACTACTCAGTAATAAAAATGAACCATTGGCCGTGCACGGTGGCTCACACTTGTAATCCCGGTATTTTGGGAAGCCGAGGCAGGCAGATCATGAGGTCAGGAGGCAAGTAGATCATGAGGTCAGGAGTTCGAGACCAGCCTGGCTAATATGGTGAAACCCTGTCTCTACTAATAATACAAAAATCAACTGGGCATGGTGGCGTGCACCTGTAGTCCCAGCTACTTGGGAGGCTGAGGCACGAGAATCGCTTAAACCCGGGAGGCAGAGGTTGCAGTGAGCCAAAACCACGCCACTGCGCTCCAGCCTGGGCGACATAGTGAGACTCCATCTCAACAACAACAACAACAAAAATATGAACTATTGATACACAAATATTAATATCTTGGATGAATCTCCAGGGAATTATGCTGAGTGAAACAAGCCTCTAAAATGTTATATACTATGAGATTTCATTTGTACAGCATTGTAGAAAAGATAAAATTGTAGAAATGAAAAATAGATTAGTGGTTGTCAGGGGTTAGGGATGGTGGATAGGAGGAGAGTGAGTATTACTAAAAATGAGTAGCACAAGGGATGGCATTGTGGTGATGGCAATGGTCTATACCTTTTTTTTTTTTTTTTTTATTCCAAGACTGAGTCTCACTTTGTCACCCAGGCTGGAATGCAGTGGCAGGCTCTCGGCTCACTGCAACCTCTGCCTCCCAGGTTTGAGCCATTCACCTGTCTCAGACTCCCATGTAGCTGGGTATACAGGCACGTGCCACCACGCCTGGCTAACTTTTGTATTTTTAGTAGAGACGAGGTTTCACCATCTTGTCAGGCTGGTCTCGAACTCCTGACCTCAAGTGATCTGCCTACCTTGGCCTACCAATGTGCTGGGATTACAGGCGTGAACCACTGCACCTGGCCATGTTCTGTATCTTTTTTTTTTTTCTGAAATATAAGCTTTATTTTAAATTTAAAGAAATATTAAAAATAAACGTTTTTTACAAATTATAATCAAGCACTCAAAACAATTTAGGAATTTTAAACACTAATTCTTAATTCAAAATAATGACAACCATAGAATACATTCTGGTGTTCGCCAATATGAAGTTTACTTAATATTAGTATTTTACATATGACTAACCATTCATCCTTCCTAAAATTCAATGATAACAGTGATTTGACTTTACAAGGTGAAGTCTTTTATGTAATACTCCATAGATAACTTTTTCAAATACAAAACATTTATACCAGCAAGGAAATTATAAAAACATATATAAAGTATACTGAAGGACGTGATTTAAAGGCTGTTCTGTATACATAGATACGTTTTACCTTAGAAAGTACAGATGCACATCAAAACACCTTCACTGAATATAGATGCCATTACATTCTCTTACTTACGTTAGGAAGCAAAAGGCAGGTTCATAAACGTTGTTCTATTGTGTATCAACTGAAAAAAATGGATATTCCACACAAAGGCTTTGAAGACACATGGGAGTGGAATGTGCCTACATTTAGAGCAGAGCTTTTACAAGACCACCTGTCTCCAGCCGGCTCCCAGGGACCACTGAAAACAGCTGCTACCCTCAGAAAGACAAGATGGTCTTGTTAATGATTTCACTGGACTCTCGAATCTCATCCTCCTTGATCACCAGTGGAGGCACAAACCTGATGATGTCACCATGGGTTGGCTTGGCCAGAAGTCCATTATCTCGAGTCTTTGAATCACCTTCCAGGCATCACGATCTTTGGTTTCTTTAATAACAATAGCGTTTAATACTTCTTTTCCTCACTGGGCATGGTGGCTCACGCCTCTAATCCCAGCATTTTGGGAGGCCTAGGCAGGTGGATCCATTGTTTTCTTAGTTGGAAATGATCCCAGCATTTAGTGAGTACCTATTACTTAATCTAACATAACACAACTTTAATATTTCATCTCCATATGGTAAGAGCAAGAGAAAAAACATTTCAAATTACATGAAAAGTTCACTTATAAACATGTATCTCACAGTTACCTCATTTATTCATTTTAACAGTTATACCTAGATTACTTATGAAAACTGACATATTAAACAAAGCCAGTCGGCCGGGGTCGGTGGCTCACGCCTGTAATCCCAGCACTTAGGGAGGCCAAGAAGGGCAGATCACTTGAGGTCAGGAGTTGAAGACCAGCCTGGCCAACAAGGTGAAACCCCAACTCTACTAAAATACAAAAAATTAGGTGGGCGTGGTGGCGGGCGCCTGTAGTCCCAGCTACTCGGGAGGCCGAGGCAGGAGAATGGTGTGAACCCAGGAGGCGGAGTTTGCAGTGAGCCGAGATAGGGCCACCGCAGTCTGGCCTGGGCGAAAGAGCGAGACTCCGTCTCAAAAAAAAAAAAAAAAAAAAATACAAAAATTATCCAGGCATGGGGGCGCACGCCTAGAGTCCCAGCTACTTGGGAGGCTGAGACAGGACAATCTCTTGACCCTGGGAGGCAGAGGTTGCAGCGAGCCGAGATAGCACCACTGCACTCCAGCCTGGGCAACAGAGGGAGACTCTGCTCTAAAAAAAATTTTAAAAATAAATAAATAAATAAATAAAGCTAGTCATTTGGAGTTATTCTCCTATTAAAACATTATTATAGCCTGTAAATGTCAGGTATCCACCCGAGCAAAAACCTTAAATATATGAGTATTTTGCCAATAACTCAGAAAATACAGCTGTTTTATTACACTCACAATATTAAATTAGTCTTACTTATCAAAGAATTGCACATAAAAGACCATTCTGTTTTTAGGTTAGGTTTATGTTTCATAACCTTAACACATCCAACAGAGACAAATATAGAACCAGTAAACCCAGCCAAAAAGGTGTGGTCACAATTTTGAAAACATTTCTCATTTTATTTTACCAACAATTTTAAAACCAGCTTATTTTTCAACTACTTAATTAAGTTGCATGAACTAAATGCGTTTTAGTTAATTACTGTGTATTTATATGAGTACCTATTTAAGCCAATCTGAATAGGATTCTTTAAATAATTGTTTGCCAACGATTCCGGATTTTACCATGTAGACACATTTAACATAACACATGTACATACGCAGGAATACGCCCAAACACAGATACGTACATAAACAAAGATAACTTTCATTTTAGAATTTTGATTATGGGACAGTAAACCATACAAACTCACCGATTTATAAAAGACGTTGGATCTAAATTATATTTCTGACAAAATGGAAGAAGGCTAAACTTTATTTAAGATTTTTCTCCTCAATAGGTAATCTTATGAAGGTGGTGACCCAAATTTTGGGTAAAGCAGTTTGAGTCAGTTACCAACATGTTGAATTAGACAAAGAATTGTTAACTGTAAAAATGTGACTGAATTATGTGAGGAGGCCCAAAAGATAAGAGGTATTCCAATAAGCTTTGTATAATGTTCTCTTGGTCTCAATTCCTCATCCTTGAAGATAAGAGTGTTGTCTTTCCTTTTAGTATAGGAAGGAGATCTTTTACATGGGAATTTCATCTTTTGCTTTTAAGAAACACTACAAAGGTCAGTGATTTTATTTTATTTGTATCTGATGTCTTTCAACTGTCTTTATTTTAATAGTCAGTATGCCAGAGTAGCTGAGGAGTTTTGGAAAAAGAGTTTTGCTTAAAGAAGGATAAAGAGGAAGAGGTAAACGAAGGAGAGGGGAAGGTGTTGGAGAAGAAAATCTCAGCTAGCTTTAGACAATATCTTGCAGTGAGGCAGCCTTTGAGTCTTGAATGTGTTCTGGAGCCTCAAGATACCAACTGAGATAGGAGTCCCATTTGGACTGTATTATTTTAGTTCAGTTTGAGGAAAACAGACTGCGTGAATGATCCCCGTAATGTTGGCACATATTACCAGCTGGCGTCCCAGAAAGAGGGAACTATGTTGGCATGCCTTTGAACTTTGAGAGCCTGTGTGTAAATAAATTAATCTAGGTGATTCGGTTTAATGCCTAATACACAAAAGCCAAATTAAACTCTAAGCATGCAAACGACTCAGAAAATAAAGTACAAACTTACCAGGAAGCATGAGAAGCCTTCTCTAACAGAAAAATCTCTGTAACCCGGCCTCATAACCAGGAGGGAGAAAATCCCTCTTAAACAGGCCGTCTCTGGCTGGGTGTAGTGGCTCACGCCTGTAATCCCAGCACTTTGGGAGGCCGAGGCGGGCAGATCACTTGAGCTCAGGACTTCAAGACCAGCCTGGCTAACAGGGTGAAACCACATGTCTACTAAAAAACACAAAAATTATCCAGGCGTAGTGGCGCACACCTGTAATCCCAGTTACTCGGGAGGACGATGCACGAGAATCACTTGAGCCTGGGAGGTGAAGGTTGCAGTGAGCCCAGATCACACCACTGCACTGCAGCCTGTGCGACAGAGCAAAACACTGTCTCAAAAAAAAAAAAAAAGAAAGAAAGAAAAGAGAAAGACAAGATAAAAAAGACAAGACAAGAAAAGAAAGGAAAAGAAAAGAGGAGGTTTCATAACCAGGAGACAGAGAAAGACCCTTCCTAACAAATTCCCAAATAAAACTGAACTCAACTCCCCGACAAATGGCAGTTTGATCCAAGAAAGTCTCACCGGGGGGAAAGAGGCAACCAGAAAAGCAAAAGCTCAAGGGGACCAAGTGTGCAGACCTCACGCCATAGTTCCAGAGGTCATTGATATCTCCAAGGTGAGTCAGCTTCGGACCCGATTTCTGACACCACAAATATCAAAGTCAAAACCTATGGAGATGAATCTCTTTTTTAAATCGCAATATTAAGGATGTTATATTATGGTTTTTGTTTTTGTTTTTTAAGACAGGGTCTCACTCTGTCGTCCACCCCGGAGTGCAGTGGCACAATCTCGGCTCACTGCAACCTCTGCCTCCCCGACTCAGCCTCTGGAATAACTGGGATTACAGGCATGCACCACCACATCCAGCTAATTTTTTGTAATTTTTGTAGAGACAGGATTTCACCATGTTGCCCAGGCAGGTCACGAACCCCTGGGCTGAAGTGATCCGCCGGCCTCAGCCTCCCAAACGGCTGGGATTACAGGCGTGATCCACCACGCCCATGAATCTCTAAACATTTTATTTGAGAATCATAGAATTGTAATCTGAAGCATACACACAAACTGGCTGGTCTTTGGTATGTCCAAAGAACAATGAGAAAGTTGAGAGTTTTATTAGAAACAGAAATGTTACCTATAGTTTTTAAAGCAAGTCCCTTGGCACCAGAGAAGCTTTCAGGAGCTGGAAGCTCTGATTGGTGAGTGTGGACAATAGGTAAAACAAGCCTTAGAGTCATTGCAGGTTGTTTCAGCAGTTACTAGGTAAAAGTGCTCTTAGGGTGGCAGCAGGCCATTTCAGCCACCAGCTTTGTGGAAAATTCAATTCTTGGAGCAGGTGCAATGTGCCCTGATTGGTTTCTCCCCTGGCCACTCAACTCTGACCTAGTTGTGTATGTGGAAAATGACTCAATTCAGGTGGGTTTCAGTGGCACACGCCTGAAATCTCAGCACTTTGGGAGGCCAAGGCGGGCAGATGGCTTGAGGTCAGGAGTTCGAGACCAGCCTGGTCGACATGGTAAAACCCTGTCTCTAGTAAAAATACAAAATTAGTCCGGTGTGAGGCACGTGACTGTAGTCCCAGCTACTCGGGAGGCTGAAGCAGGAGAATCGCTTCAACCCAGGAAGCTGAGGTTTCAGTGAGCCGAGATCACGCACTGCACTCCAGCCTGGGTGACACAGCGAGACTTCATCTAAAAAAAAAAAAGAATGACTCACTTCTTTCACAATGGTTAAAGCAGAGCCCTGCTTAGCAATGCACAAAAATTCTCCTTTGTGACCCATTCATTTTACTGCTGTTGGCTTTCTTGCTTATGCTTTCAGACAGAGACACTCTCCTTTGACCAAACTTGAATCGGGCTCCTCTGAGTCCTGTTTCTGACTAGGTCTCAACCTCAGGCTCTGTCCTTCATCCAGGGACTCTGCCCATTTAGCCTTTTTCAGCAAAAAACCTGTCAAGTCGGTTTAGCCAGAATCCCCCTGCACCTGAGGCTTCCTCCAAGTAATTTCCCATCTTCTGACCCCCGGCTCCTACTCCCTGACTACAAATCCCCACTTGTCCTTGTGGAGTTGAAGTCGATCCCAATATCACTCTCCCACTGCAAGACCCCATTGCAGTGGTCCCTGTACCTATCACAGTAGTCCCCCCTCTGAGTAAAATCGTCCTTACGATCTTTTTTTTTTTTTATTTTCAGAGACAAAGTCTCACTCTGTAACTCAGGCTGGAGGGCAGTGACCCAATCCTAGCTCACTGCAGCCTGAAATTCCAGGGCCCAAGCAATATTCCTGCCCCAGCCTACCAAATAGCTGGGATTACAGGTACGCACCACCAAATCCAGCCATGTATATATATATATATATTTAAATTCTCTACAGACCCAGGAACTTGATATGCCCGTCTAATTTTTGAATTTTTTGTAGAGACGGGGTTTTGCCATGTTGCCCAGGCTGGTCTTGAACTCCTGGGCTCAATCAATCCTGTTGCTTCAGGCTCCCAAAGTTCTGGGATTACAGGCATGAGCCACTGCAGCTGGCCCTTCCTTACAGTCTTTAATAAGCCCAATAAATACTTGTTTGCTTCAACATTTCCCTGTGTCTTCAATCTCCTGAAGTCATATGGCTGACATTGTCTTTACTCCACCGGTATAAAAATTCCTTTCTTTCGTCGGGTGCAGTGGTTTATGCCTGTAATCCCAGCACTTTGGGAGGCCGAGGCAGGCAGATAACTTGAGGTCAAGGGTTCCAGACCAGCCTGGCCAACATGGCAAGACCACATCTCTACTAAAAGTACAAAAATTAGCCGGGTGTGGTGTTGTGTGCCTGTAGCCCCAGCTACTCAGGAGGCTGAGGCAGGAGATTTGCTTGATCCCAGGAGGCAGAGGTTGCCGTGAGCTGAGATCATGCCACTGCACTCCAGCCTGGGTGAGAAAGCGAGACTCAGTCAAAAAAAAATCATATTTTTCAACACCTTGGAATTATTACACGATTGTATCCTTGCCTCCAGTGTAGTATTTGAGAGATCCGATGTCAGTTTAATTATTTTTCCTCTGTAAGTAACCTGCTATTTCTCTCTGTTCATTTTTAAAATATTTTTTCTTTGTCTTTCACAATTTTACATTTCACTTTTCCTGTGTGTGTGTGTGTGTGTGTGTGTGTACTATAATACCTTTAAATCTTAAGTCATTTTTTTAAATCTGAGGAATTCTCATTGATTACTTATTTAAGTACACTCTCCTTTTTAATGACTATATTCTCTTCTTATAAGGCTACTATTAGATGTGTTTTGACATTTATTCTTCTATCCTCCCTATTAATTAACTTTTCTTTCATTTACTTCTTCTTTATCCATTACCGATTACTTTCATGAATTCTTTAGATGCATTTCCTCAGCTCAGTAATTGCTTTTTCAACTATATCGGTTTTAACATCCAATCTATTCCGCTGAATTATTTATTTGAGCAGTTAATGTTTTCATATCCAATCTATCCAATAGGTTTTCTATTTACTTATTTATTTATTTATTTGAGACAGAGTCTTCCTCTGTCGCCCAGATTGGAGTGCAGTGGCACGATCTTGGCTCACTGAACCTCTGCCTCCCGAGTCCAAGCAATTCTCCTGCCTCAGCCTCTTGAGTAGCTGGAACCTCAGGCGTGTGACACTATGCCAGGCTAATTTTTGTATTTTTGGTAGAGACGGAGTTTCACCTTGTTGGCCAGACTGGTCTCGAACTCCTGAACTCAAGGGATCCACCTGTCTCGGCCTCCCAAAGTGCTGGGATTACAGGCGTGAGCCACTGTGCCTGGCCTTTTATTTACTTATTTTTTCAGAGTTTCACTCTTGTTTCCCAGGCTGGAGTGCAATGGTGTGATCTCACCTCAATGCAACCTCCACCACCCAGGTTTAAGTGATTCTTCTGCCCCAGCCTCCTGAGTAGCTCGGGTTACAGGCATGCACCACCAAATTCTATCATTCATTAGCATCTGTATCCATTCCTTGAACACCAAAACAGCTTATCTTTTCTTTCTTGTCCCTGCTCCCATCTTCCAAGTTTATAATACTGGGAATTTTAGTTCAAGACTGTAATTTTTAAATTTTTCAATCTAAAGTTTACACTTTTCAATAAATTTTACTATTTTTCTCCTCACCATTGCTTACTGAAATCACCTCCTTCCTCCTAAATTTAGTTTTCCCTTCTCACAGGACTGTATACCAATAATTATTTCTGAAGGGTATATGCGTCATGAATTTTCTGAAATATTTTTCCCCTCATTCTGGATTATCCTGGCTGTATATAGATATCTAGGTTCAACTTTTTTTATTGTTTGTTCTTGTTTTGTTTTTTTGAGATAGTGCCTGGCTCTGTCACCCAGGCTGGAATGCAATGGCACAATCTCGGCTCACTGCAATCTCCACCTCCCGGACTCAAGCAATTCTCCTGCCTCAGCCTCCCAAGTAGCTGGGACTACAGGCATGTGGCACCACACCTGGTTACTTGTGTTTTTTGTAGAAGTGGGTTTCGCCTTGTTGGCCAGGCTGGTCTCAAACTCCTGAGCTCAAGCGAGCATCCGGTCTTGGCGCCGAAAGTGCTGGGACTACAGGCATGAGCCACTGCGCCTGGCCCAAAGTTATTTTAAATCAGCTCCTTGAAAAACCTCTCCATTGCATTCTCTCTTCTCTTTTTCTCTCTGGGACCTTTCAGGATTTTATCTTTATCCTAGAAATTTTACCCCGAGGGTGTGTGTGTGTGTGTGCGCTCGTGCGTGCACAGGTGTGTGTGCACATGTGTGTTAATCAGGCTCAGAACTAGGTGGCTCTTTTCAGGTTGAAGATTCATGTCTTTGTTCAGCTGGGAAAATTCTAGAACATTATTTCTTCAAGTACTGCCTTCTCTCCAGTCTATTTTTTTTTTTCATTTTTGAGATGGAGTTTTGCTCTGACACTGAGGTTGGAGTGCAGTGGCAGGACCTCAGCTCACTGCAACATCTGTTTCCCGGGTTCAAGTGATTCTCCTGCCTCAGCCTCCCAAGTAGCTGGGATTTCAGGTGCCCCCCACCACACTGGGCTAATTTTCGTATTTTTAGTAGAGGCGGGGTTTCACCATGTTGGACAGGCTGGTCTCGAACTCCTGACCTCAGGTAATCTGCCTCCCTTGGCCTCCCAAAGTGTTGGAATAACAGGCGTGAGCCACCGCGCCCATCCCAGTCTTTCTATTCTCTACCTCTGGATCTTCTATTGGATGAACGTTGAAAGTTCTTGGATCTCTTCTCCACTTCCTTTATTATTTTCCTTTCGTAATTTCTGTTTTGTAATCCTTTTCTGCTATATGATAAAGTAGTGCCATGCCTGAACACATTTTTTCATTGGGTTGTTCCAGTTTCTCTTATTGATATGGAAACGCTTTGTTATATATTAGAGATGGTTACTGTTAATTTATTGGGGATGCTTCATTTTCCCCAAAATTTGCCTTTTTTTTTTTTTTTTGAGATGGAGTCTCACTCTGTTGCCGAGGATGGAGTGCAGTGGTGCGATCTCGGCTCACTGCAAGCTCCACCTCCCAGGTTCATGCCATTCTCCTGCCAGGTTCATACCATTCTCCTGCCTCAGCCTCCCGAGCAGCTGGGACTACAGGCGCCCACCACCACACCCGGCTAATTTTTTGTACTTTTAGTAGAGACGGGGTTTCACCGTGGTAGCCAGGATGGTCTCGATCTGCTGACCTCGTGATCTGCCCGCCTTGGCCTCCCAAAGTACTGAGATTACAGGCATGAGCCACTGTGCCTGGCCTAATATTTGCCTTTTTAAACAGTTTTTTATGGTGTCTTTTGACTTAGATGATACTTTAATTTTTACGTCTTTAAATATGTCAGATTCATTATTTATAGCCTTGGTGTAATATCAGGAAGTGCCTATGCCAACTCAAGATGTCTTACACTGTAATATTTTCCTAAAATTTCATCTAGTTCTTTATGACTTCACGTTTTCACATTTAAGTCTCTGAATTTTTAGAATTTATTATTTTATGTGGTTGAAAGTAAGGATTTAATGTTTATTTTTCCAAATGGATAGACACTTGTCAACAATCCTTTATTACACAACCCATCTTTTGCCCACTGTTTGGAAATGCATGCTTAAGTTTGTATATAAATTAGTTTGTTTCTTGACTTATTATTTTGTTTCACTAATTAATCTATTTCTAAGTGTATTCATTTTTGATTGCTGCTGTAACAAATTGTCAATAGCTAAGACAACACTGGGCCCGGTGGCTCACACCTGTATTCCCAGCACTTTGGGAGGCTGAGACGGGCAGATCGCTTGAGGTCAGGAGTTTGAAACCAGCCTGGCCAACATGGCGAAACCCTGTCTCTACTAAAAATACAAAAATTAGCCGGTGTAGTGGCGTGCACCTGATATCCCAGCTACTCGGGAAGCTGAGACAGGAGAACCGCTTGAACACGGTAGACAGAGATTGCAGTGAGCCGAGGTCACCCCACTGCCCTCCAGCTTGGACGACAAAAGTGAGACTCCATCTCAAAAAATATTTATATAGCTAAGACAATTTTTGAAAAAGAAGAATAAGGTGGGAGGAATTGCTCTACCATATTTCAATACTTCTTATATAGCTACAGGAATCAAGACTATATATTATTGGGAGAAAAATAGACACATAGATCACTGTAACAAAATAGAAATCCTAGAAATAGCCCCACACTGATTTTTTACCAAGAGACAAAAATAGGGAAAGATCATCTGCTTAACAAATGATGCTGGGGCAGTTGCAGAGCCATAGGCCAAAAAGAAAAAAAAAAAACCAAAAAGGCCTAATCTTCACACCTTTATACAAAAAAGTAAGTCAAGTGGATCATAGATTTAAATCTAAAATATAAAACTATAAAAGGCCGGGCACGGTGGCTCACGTCTGTAATCCCAGCACTTTGGGAGGCCGAGGTGGGCAGATCACGAGGTCAGGAGATCGAGACCATCCTGGCTAACACAGTGAAACCCTGTCTCTACTAAAAATACAAACAAGTTAGCCAGGTGTGGTGGCAGGCGCCTGTAGTCCCAGCTACTCGGGAGGCTGAGGCAGGAGAATGGTGTGAACCCGGGAGGTGGAGCTTGCAGTGAGCCGAGATCGTGCACTCCATCCTGGGCAACAGAGCAAGAATGCATCTCAAAAAACAAACAAACAAACAAAAAAACTAAAAAAAAAGTTTTACAAGAAAATATAGGAGAAGCGTCTGAGATCTAGGGCATAGTGAATGGTTCAAAAAGCATAATACATAAGGAAAAAATAAATTAGATTTCATCCAATTTAAAACTTTTGCTCTGCAAGAAATCTTGTTAGAAGGATGAAAAAATATGGTATGATCTGAAAGAAAATGTTTGCAAACCACATATCCAAGAAAGGACTCACATCCAGAATATGTAATGGATATGTATAGTACTCTCAAAACTCAACAGTAGGCTGAGCGTGGTGGCTCACATTTGTAATCCCAGCACTTTGAAAGGTCGAGGTGGACGGAGGGCAGATGCCTTGAGGCCAGGAGTTCAAGACCAGCCTGGGCAACATGGCAAAAAACCCATCTCTACTAAAAATACAAAAATTAGACAAGCATGATGATGCGTGCCTGTAATCCCAGCTACTCTGGAGGCTGAGGCATGAGAATCACTTGAACCTGGGAGGCGGAGGTTGGAGTGAGCCAAGATCGTGCCACTGCACTCCAGCCTGGGTAACAGAGCAAGACTCTGTCTCAAGAAAAAAAAATAATAAAAACCTCAATGGTAAAAAATACAAACAAATAATCCAGTTAGAAAATCATGAAAAGATATGAACATACATTTCACTGAAGAGGAAATAAGCAAATAAGCACATGAAAAGATGTTCAACACTCATTTGCTTCACTAGATGCAGAATAACACCACGATGAGGTATCACTACACACTTATTACAATAGCTAAAATAAAAGACATAGTGACAACACCAAATGGTGACAAGGATGCAGAGAAACTGGACACCTTATTAAGTGCTGCTGGGAAGGTAAAATCTTACAGCCACTCTGGAAAGCAGTTTGGTAGTTTCTTATAAAACTAAACATGCAATGACCATACAATTCAACAATTACACTTCAGAGAAATTAAAATGTATGCCCATCCAGAAACTTGTACATAATTGTTCATAGCAGCTTTACTTGTAATAGCCAATAGGTGGAAATAATCAATATGTCCTAAAATAAGTGAATGGTCAAACTGTGCTACATCCATCCCCTGGAATACTACTCAGCAATAAAAATGAACTATTGTCAGGGCACAGTGGCTCACCCTGTTATCACAGCACTTTGGGAGGTCGAGGCAGGCGGATGATGATGTCAGGAGTTCAAGACCAGACTTGCCAGTATGTTGAAACCCCATCTTTACTACTGATACAAAAATTACCCGGGTGTGGTGGCGCGCACCTGTAGTCAGAGCTACTCGGGAGGCTGAGACTGGAAAATTGCTTGAACCCAGGAGGCAGAGGTTGCAGTGAGCCGAGACACTGCACTCTAGCCTGGGTGACAGAGTGAGACTCTGTCTCAACAACAACAACAATGAACTATTGATACACAAATATCAATATCTTGGAGAAATCTCCATGGAATTATGCTGAGTGAAATAAGCCCATAAAACATGATATACTATAAGATTTCACTTGTACAGCATTGTAGAAAAGACAAAATTGTGGAAACGAAAAACAGATTTGTGGTTGCCAGGGATTAGGGATGGCGGATGGGAGGAGAGTATTACTAAAAATGAGTAGCACAAGGGATAGCATTGCGGTGATGAAAATGTACTGTACATTTTTTTTTTCAAGAGGGATTCTCACTCTGTCTCCTAGGCTGTAGTGCAGTGGCACGCTCTCGAGCTCACTGCAACCTCTGCCTCCTGGGTTTGAGCTATTCTCCTGTCTCAGCCTCCCATGTAGCTGGGACTACAGGCGGGTGCCACCATGCCTGGTTAATTTTTGTACTTTTAGTAGAGACGGGGTTTCTCCATGTTGGCCAGGCTGGTCTCAAACTCCTGACCTCAAGTGATCTGCCCACCTCGGCCTCCCAAAATGCTGGGATTACAAGCGTGAACCACTGCACCCGGCCATGTTCTGTCTGTTTTTTTTTCTGAAATACAAGCTTTGTTTAAAATGTAAAGAAATATTAAAAGTAAACTTTTTTTTACAAATTATAATCAAGCACTCAAAACAATTTAGGAATGTTAAACACTAATTCTTAATTCAAAATAATGACATCCATAGACTATATCCTGGTGTTGGTCAATATAAAGTTTACTTAATATTAGTATTTTATAGGCCGGGCACAGTGGCTCACGCCTGTAATCCCAACACTTTGGGAGGATGAGGCGGGCGGATCACGAGGTCAGGAGATCGAGACCATCCTGGCTAACACGATGAAACCCTGTCTCTACTAAAAATACAAAAAATTAGCCAGGCGTTTTGGTGAGCACCTGTAGTCCCAGCCACTCGGAAGGCTGAGGCAGGAGAATGGCGTGAACCCAGGAGGTGGAGCTTGCAGTGAGCGGAGATCGAGCCACTGCACTCCAGCCTGGGTGACAGGGTGAGACTCCGTCTCAAAACAAAAACAAAAACAAAAACAAAACAAAAAAACTAGTATTTTTTATATGCTTAACCATTGATCGTTCCTAAAATTCAATGAAAACAATGATTTGACTTTATAAGGTGAAGCCTTTTATGTAATACGCTAGAGATATCTTTTTCAAATACAAAACCTTTATACCAGCAAGGAAATTATAAAAGCATATATAAAGTATACTGAAGGATGTGATTTAAAGGCTGTCTGTATATACAGATGCATTTCACCTTATAAAGTACACGTGCACATCAAAACACTTTCACTGAATATAGATGCCATTACATTCTCTTAACACTACAAAGCAAATGTCAGGTTCATAAACATTGTCCTATTATGTATCAACTGAAAAAACATATATACACAAAAAGATTTTGAAGACACATGGGAGTGGAATGTGCCTACATTTAGAGCAGAGCTTTTACAGGACCACCTGTCTCCAGCCGGCTCCCAGGAACCACTGAAAACAGCTGCTACCCTCAGAACGGCAAGATGGTCTTGTTAATGATTTCACTGGACTCTCGAATCTCATCCTCCTTGATCACCAGCAGAGGCGAAACCTGATGATGTCACCATGGGTGGGCTTGGCCAGAAGTCCATAATCTCGAAGTCATAGACACACCTCCCAAGCATTACAGTCTATGGTTTCTTTAATAACAATAGCATTTAATAATTATTTTCCTCCCGGGCACAGTGGCTCACGCCTGTAATCCCAACACTTTGGGAGGCTGAGGCGGGTGGATCGCCTGAAGTCAGGAGTTCGAGACCAGCCTGGCCAACGTGGCGAAACCCCGTCTCTACTAAAAATACAAAAATTAGCTGGGCATAGTGGTGCATGCCTGTAATCCCAGCTACTCAGGAGGCTGAGGTAGGAGAATCGCTTGAACCCAGGAGGCAGAGGTTGCAGTGAGCCAAGATTGCACCATTGCACTCCATCCTGGGCAACCAGAGTGAACCTCTGACTCAAATAATAATAATAATAATAATTCTGTTCCTTTTATGGCAGTTACAACATCAGAAGGTAGCTTCATGGGTTCACTTCTCACGATAATACCCATTTTTTTTCTGCATTTTCAGCAAGATTTTCTTGTTCTAAAACCTCAAGGGCTGCGATGGTCACTCAGCAGCCTAGTGGATTGCCACCGTATGTGGACCCATGTTCCCCTGGCTTAATGCTCAGCATTAAGCCATCATCCCACAGCACTGCAGACACAGAGTATCAACCTCCAGAAAGGGCCTTTCCAAGGAGGACTATATCAGGTCTGACATTTTCATGATCAACAGCCAGCCATCTACCAGTTCTGGCCAATCCTATCTGTATTTCATCAGCAATGAACAGAACCAAGCTGGGAGCACGAGATGGGACAAGGGTAAGTTAAAATACCACAAAGCTCCCTGTTCTTACGGAGATTCCGCTGATCTCTCTCTTGCTCTTTCTTTCTTTTTTTTTTTTTTTTCAGTCTTGCTCTGTCGCTCAAGCTGGAGTGCAGTGGTGTGATCTCAGCTCAATGCAACCTCGGCTTCCCAGGTTCAAATCATTGAGTGAGCCCAGGAGGTCAAGACCAACCTGGGAAACATAGCAAAAGGCAGGGTAGTGCATGCCTGTAGTCCCAAGGCCGAGGCGGGAGAATCACTTGAGTCCCGGAGGTAGAGACCAGCCTGGACAACATAGCGAAACTGTCTCTAGTAGAAAAATTAAAAATATTAGTGGGGGCGGGGTGGTGTGAACCTGTAGTCCCGAGGCCAAGGCAGGACGATTGCTTGAGCCTAGGAGGTTGAGGCCAGCCTGGCCAACATAGTGAAACCCCATTTCTACTAACAACAAGAACAACAAAAAAATAGCGTGGGTGGGGTGGCTCACTCCTGTAGTTTTGAGGCCAAGGTGGGAGGATTGCTTGAGCCCAGGAGGTTGATACCAGCCTGGCCAACAAAGCGATAGCCTGCCTCTCCTAAAATAAATAAATAAATAAATAAATAAATAAATGAAAATAAAAATGAGCAGGGCAGAATGGCACACGCCTATAGTCCTGAGGCCAAGATGAAAGCATCATCTGAGCCTAAGAGATTGAGGCCAGCCTGGGCAACATATCGAAACCTGGTTTCTACTAAAACGAAACAAAACAAAACAAAAAATAGCTTGGGCAGGGTGGTGCGTGGCTGCGGTCCTGAGGCAGGAGGATCCCTTGAGCCCAGGAGCTTGATGCCGGCCTGGCCAACATAGGGAAACATGGTTTCTACTAAAAAAAAAAAAAAAAAAAAAAAAAAAATCGTAGGCAGGGTAGTGCATGCCTGTAGTCTCGAGGCCATGGTGGAAGAATGCCTTGAGCCCAGGACGATGAGACCAACCTGGCCAATGAGACCAGCCTGGCCAACATAGCAAAACCTGGTTTCTACTTAAAAAAAAAAAAAAAAAAAAAAGCGTAGGCAGGGTGGTGAATGCCTGTAGTCCCGAGGCCGAGGTGGGAGGATCGCTTGAGCCCAGGACGTCAAGACCAGCCTGGCCAACACAGCAAAACCTTCTCTATTAAAAAATCAAAAAATAAAAAATATTAGTGGGGGTGGGGTGGTTTGCGCCTGTAGTCCCGAGACAGAGGCGGGAGGATTGGCCAAGGCAGATGTAACCAATACCACAATCACATCCCATAAGTAAATACATTTTCCTCTCTCCAGGGCTACAGGTAAAGGATGGTAATTCTGCACACCACACTTAGATTCCCTTTCAAAAATGTAAGCAGAGGTTGGAGGGCCTTGGACTGTTTTTTCAGTGGCAACAGATATAGAAGCCACTGAAGAATGAACTCCACGACTAATTATAGCAAACCTCCGCAAATGTGCTAGTTTGGAAAACATTGTGGCTTTCAAGTAGAAAAATCACAGATTGACTATTTTTTTCTTCCCACAGTTCAGACTAGAATCCAGATTTTTAACCCAAGATCCAGGAACAGTCTTCAGAGAGATCAAAATCTGACGGCGCCTGAGGACCACCCACTTTTTCGCAGTGGCGACAAGGTGTGGCTGGAGGAGGAGACATTATTCTGCAATGTCGCTGCCCAAGGATGATGGACCAATCAGGGCAGTTAGTGAACTCCATCTGGCCAATTAGAAGTCAGAACAGTAGGCGGAACAAGCGAAGCGGATGTGGCTTCTATCAGTCCCGGCTCCAGGGACACAACCTTCTCAAAGTGGGGGTGGAGACTCTAATTTTCCCGCCTAAAGCATCCCCTGGGATTCGCTACTTTAAGTTCAGAGTACGCATGCTCTGATTTTCTCTCTCTTTCGATTCTTCCATACTCAAGAGTACGCACGGTCTGATTTTCTCTTTGGATTCTTCCAAAATCAGAGTAAGAATACACTGATTTTCTTTTTCCATTCTTCCTACCCCTCCCCTCCTCCGTGGTGCATTTGCTATCTAGTTTTAATAAGGAGTGTATATGAGGCAGGCCGCCATCTTAAATCTTTCCTGTCAGTTTCTAACCGCCATCTCAAATCTTTCCTGTCAGTTTCTAACTTTTTCAGGTATGGGATTTTTCCTAGGAACTCTGTAGTAACTTAAGAAATTTGGGCCTGGGGTGGTGGCTTACACTTGTAATCCCTGCACTTTTGGAAGCCACAGCTGGTGGATTGCCTGAACCCAAGAGGCGGAGGTTGCAGTGAGCCATGATCACGCCAGTGCACTCCCGACTGGGCAACAGAGCGAGACCCTGTCTGAAAAAAAAAATCACTCAAATCTTTCCTGCTGGGCTCAAGTGATCTTCTCACCTAGGCCTTGGGACTACAGGCGCGCACCACCCCGCTTCTGCTAAATTTTGTTTGTTTGTTTTTTTTAGTAGAGATGGTTTTGCTACGTTTGTGAGCCTGGTCTCAAGCTCCTGGGCTAAGGCGATCCGCCCACCTTGGCCTTCCAAAGTGCTGGGATGGTACAGGCCTGCTCCACCAACCCCAGCTAACTTTTTGTTTATTTTGTAGACGGGGGTTTTGCTGTGTTTCCCAGCCGGGTCTCGACCTCCTGGGCTCAAGTGACCTGCACGCCTCGGCCTCCCAAAGTGCTGGGATTACAGGCCTGAGCCACTGCGCCTGGCTGATTGCTGCAACTTGAAATGCCCCACATTCTCTCTAAGTGATGGCGGGCTCTTGTAGTCTCAGAAATTCTAGCTCTCTTCGTTCTAATAACTTACAAATCACCCAGTAATAGCCTCTGAACACATTCATATTAGCGATGCTCATTTCTCTTCAGCAGAACAGAACCCCCCATCCCTCTGCCTGATCAGATCCATCACCAAAGAGACCACGTTATCTCTGGGACTAACTTCCCTTCCTTTATTTATTGAGCGGGGGTGTCAGCATGCCCCACTGAATAAAATTACACAGTCATGTCCCTGCCTCCCCAACAAGGGTCCATACATCTTTCAGGGGAAGCCTAGCTCCAGGGAAATTACTAACAACATTAGCCAACCCCCTCCCAAAGACTCAAGGCTGCTTTGCCCATAGGAAACCTGTCATCCCCTATCAATACTTCTCCCAGAGACCCCTGGTTCCTGGTTTTCGTCTGATTTCTCCCCATATCCTTACTCAGGGACAGATAAGCCCCGGATGGAGAAATGCAGCACCTGATTCCAGGTGACTGAGTGGCCGGCCTTCACTGATTTCTCCCTCCACAAGACCAAAGGTCCTGCGGCTGGAAAGTCTCAATCTGTTTCTCTTGCAGGTCAGACTACTCCCTGTGCCATGAACGGAGATGACACCTTTGCAAGGAGACCCACGGTTGGTGCTCAAATACCAGAGAAGATACAAAAGGTGAGGTGACCTAGAGGGAGCAGAGTAGTGACCCAGGGGACAGTGTGGGGTGACCCGGTTTCTGAGGAGGGGAGGACAGAGATACTGGAGACAAGGAGCAGGGTCTCAGGGGAGATCTGGACCCTTGGGAGCCTCCCACCCTCACTCTGTCATCACCTAGCATCCCTGGAGACAAGTCTGTGACCTTGCACTACATTTGGTGACTCTCAGTCCATTCTGGAAGGTGGGAGGAGAGCCAGCCAGCAGCATTAAAGCCCGACAGTGTGGCAGGGGTGAAGCTAGGAAGGTCCCTCATGTTCTGTCAGTTAGCCGTGGCATCAACCAGGAAGGATTATCCCCACTTCCCAGATCCAGCACACAGGAAGCGACTCCAGCTGAATGGCAGACATGCCTAGCTGAGTCCCTGCCATAATTCCTTTTTTTTTTTTTTGTAGGCCTTCGATGATATTGCCAAATACTTCTCTAAGGAAGAGTGGGAAAAGATGAAAGTCTCGGAGAAAATCGTCTATGTGTATATGAAGAGAAAGTATGAGGCCATGACTAAACTAGGTAACAGAAAGTTCTAGGTACAGACAAGTCTGGGGACACATGAGCATCCCTTTTCCTGCTTTGGCTATTTCTTAGGCTGCAGAAAGTACCTCACATTTTCCTTTTGTGTAGGGAAAAATCGCAAGGCAGCTTCTGGGTGTTCTGCTCTTCTATATCCTGTCAGGGCTGAGGGCAGTGACTGGCCACAGTGGAGCTCATACCTGGATCCTGCACGTTTCTCTCTCTTAGGCTTCTGTTCTGATGAGCCCAACTGTCTCTGTGGCATCCCGGCAACCATCCTACCCCCACCCCACACACACCCACTCTACCTTCTCTCGGCTTGTCTCTTTCTTTTTTTTTTTTTTTTGTTTGAGTCAGTCTGAATCTGTCACCTAGGCTAGAGTGCAGTAGTGCAATCATAGCTTACTGCAGCCTTGAATTCCTGGCCTCAAGCAATCCTCCAGCCTTAGCCTCCCAAAGTGTTGGTACTACAGACATGAGCCACCGTACCAGGCCCAAGCTTGTCTCTTAAGGAATAAACATTTTGCTTCTTTCTAGGTTTCAAGGCCATCCTCCCATCTTTCATGCGTAATAAACGGGTCACAGACTTCCAGGGGAATGATTTTGATAATGACCCTAACCGTGGGAATCAGGGTGAGTAGATGGGAAGGGGCTGGAAAGGGTCTCCTCAAGCCCAATTGCTTTTCAGCTCAGCTACCTGGGAAAGAGCCTCAGGCATTTGTTCCCTCATACACATCGGGGCAGAGTGAAAAAAAAAATTGCATGCAGAAAGTTAACTACAGAGGTCATTCATATAAAATTTTAAAACATGCAAAAGAAGAATATATATTTTTATGGATAATAAGTAAATGGTAAATGTATACAAACATGAATGTGAATAAAAAGCCATCAAACTAAGGTGACTGGCTGTAAGTGGAGGAGGGAGGGAGGGCAGGGATTGCTGAGTGCTGCACAGACAGCTTCAGCTGTGACTTGTTGATAGTGTGTTTTGTTTGTTTTTGTTTTTGAGATGGAGTTTCACTCTTCTCGGCCAGGGTGGAGTGCAATAAGGCAATCTCAGCTCACTCCAACTTTCACCTCCTGGGTTCAAGTGATTCTTCTGCCTCAGCCTCCCGAGTAGCTGGGGTTACACGCACGTGCCCCCACACTCAGCTCATTTTTTAATTTATGGTAGAGACGGGGTTTCACCATGTTGGCCAGGCTGGTCTCAAACTTCCTGACCTCAGGTGATCCACCCGCCTCAGCCTTCCAAACTGCTGGGATTACAAGTGTGAGCTACCACGCCCGGCCTGTTTGCAGTTTTTCTAATATTCTGAATAAATAAATCAGACCTAACTTAGCTGTGGGGTAATGTTGAGATCCGACTGGACTCAATATTATTCCCCATACTTTTCTGTGTGTTTGAAATATTTCTTTTTTAAATGACATGTTGTTCTTCCTAAGCACTGTTAATGTATCAAAGGACAGTTAAGAAAATGTTACAAGTGAAAAAAAAAAAAAAGAAAGAAAGTGTTAAAACTGTAGATCCGCCAAAAACTTCCAGAGGTTGTTTCATTAACAGCATGTAGGTATTGGATAGGTATCTTAGGAGTGAGGTTGATGAACACATTATGTAATAAAGATCGCTGTTTCTCTGTATTTTATCAAAACCAAATAGTCTTCTCATTCCCAAATAACCCTGATTCTCTGTGATGAGCTTGAAAGAGAGTTTGAAAGAGTGATCCCTTATCGAAAACACAGAGAGCTTTCCCACTTGTCAGAGAACAGAGATAACATAGGATGAAAAAAAGACAGGTTCTTGGGTAGAGAGCTTTGTGCATTTCAGGAAAATAAAGGGGACATATGTATTTACTTGCTCTTCTACTCTGACAACATAATTATAAGACAAGGTCAGAATGTCCAAACCGTCTCCAATAGACCTATTACTCGCCAACTAAACAGGCCAGATTCTACAATCTCCCGCAATCACTATAAGAGATCTGAAAAGCCAGTGCTTGAGTATCTGCCAAGTTTTTAACGTTAAAGGACTGTCTTTGTACTGAAAATCTTTCAGAGCCACTGGACCAAATCATCCGTGGTTCACCACACATTTAACAGCTTAATTCACATACCATAAGATTCACCCATTTGAAGTGTACAATGATTTTCAGTTGTTGCACATCTTGAGTGGATACAGTTCAGATTCCTAACCAATCAATTTAATTATTTGGGAAAAAGTAAAAGATATGTAATCGAATAAGATGAGACTGTGATGGGGTGTAGTCCCCATGTGATAAACCATGAGATGGAAAATTCTGAATTGATGCCACAGATAAATGCATCAACCATGACTAAACATAATTCAGAAGCAAATCTGAAATAACTCCTCAACAATGCGTGGACTCATAAGCCTCTGCTGCAGAATACCCTGATGCGACAGAAGTCTCTCTAGAGTTTGGAAACCTTTACCAACAATGAAAAATTCTGATGTATTCTCTTTCAGTTCAACGTCCTCAGATGACTTTCGGCAGGCTCCAGGGAATCTTCCCGAAGGTGAGTATCTTTCAGATCTAAAGGACCAGAGAACCTTTGTCCCTCCAAGGATGCGAACACTGGTAAGAGTGGGAGAATATCAACAATGCCCTCACTGCCTTCTTCTCCCCATGTCTATCACAACACCTGATGTAGCACCGACGGCTTGATAGTACCAACATTTGTGATTGTTCATACCTCTTTTGTTTTCATAGTGATGCCAGATACTATTTCAAGCAGTTCACATGGATTAATTTATTTAATCCTTAAGAAGACATTGTTTCTATTATCTCCGAATAATAATGAGTAACACATTTCAGTTTTCATCCATATGATAGCCATATGACTTGGCACAAATCTTCTGAGTTCTCTGAGCTCCAGATTCCTGGTCCATGAAATGGAAGTAAAGAATTATAGTTTATGTTTTAGATCATAGTTATCAGCAACATAATAATAAAATGAGGCTATCGTGGTACAGAGATGTTAAAGAATTTTCCTGAGGCGCAGTGTCAGTGGTAGTCTAATCCAGAGCTCCAAGCCATTTAAAGCTCATTCACGTTTGCATTTGTTTATGAAGTTCAGATGTTGCTCACTAGGGCTTCACCCCATAGGGCCTGCTGGTGCTTCCATTGAGACACCCACTCTCGCAACAGGAAGGACCATCTGGTCTCTGCTGTGTTACTGGGGCCACTTGCATGGCTTAGGAATCGCTTTGATTGTTGGCCCCTCCCTACTGTGAGCTCCTTGAGTGCCTTGTCTGCACCTGGGGCGTCTGGGAAGCCCCAGTCCCAGCCCAGGGGATCCCTCGGAGGCCCCTGAATGAGTGATCCCACAAGTGCAGATTCAACTCTGGTTTGGAGGGTAAAGGGATCTGGGAGTTGGGTTGCCAGTGTGGAGACTGAATTCAAAGAAGGATTGTGAAAGGTATTAATTGTTATTATTACTACATTTAAAGAGTGTTTACAAGCTCAGAGAGCACTTTCTTGTAGCCTATTTTACATGTATGGTTCACTATTTCATAAGGGAGGAAGCTGAATTAAAAGTAGCTTAAGATCAGGGCGCGGTGGCTCACGACTGTAATCCCAGCACTTTGGGAGGCTGAGTCGGGCAGATCACAAGGTCAGGAGATCGAGACCATCCTGCCCAACATGGTGAAACCTCGTCTCTACTAAAAATACAAAACTTAGTGGGGCGTGGTAGTGCCTGCCTGTAGTCCCAGATACTCTGGAGGCTAAGGAAGGAGAATCGCTTAAACGCGGGAGTCAGATATTGCCTTGAGCCGATATCATGCCACGGCTCCCCATTCTGGCGACACAGCAAGACTCCGTCTCAAAAAAAAAAAAAAAAAAGAAAAAGAAAGCAGCTTAAGATTGTTGGTCAGTACACATCCCAATGCAACCAGAATTGGTATGGGTACCACCTCACTGAATTCCACATTCAATTGGTGCCTCGGTAGGGTAGTATGTCATATCTGGTACTGCTTTGTTTGCTGCCTAGATTAATTTCAGCAAGCCATTTATTTCCCTCTCCCTTCCTTGTGTTCATCTCCCCACACCATCTTTCCCAGCAGTGTTTTGTCGCCTCCCTATGTTTTTACATTTACTCTCCCAGCAGCTGTCTACAAGCTTATATGGGATCCCTTGTATTTTACAGAACCTCTTCCCTTTGTAGACCTTGTGAATTCTTAGAATGCTACTCTTCTCCAAATCATCTGTATATCACACTCTCAATTAAATGGAGATTTTTGCTGTTTGCAAGAATGTGAGTCCTAAAAGAGTGGGAAGATAAGCATTCTATCCCTGGAAACCATATTCACTTAGGCCATTCCTTTCCCTTCTAACCTCCCCTCCCAGGTTTCTCCTAATTTAGGCCTGTGTAACTCTCCCAGTGTTGTTGAGAACATTGAATAAGCTAATGCATGTGAAGACCCTTTGTAAGCTCAAAAGCACTATAGAAATGTCACTGATACTATTTATCTATGACCTTCACATTATAAAGATCATGCCCAAGAAGCCAGCAGAGGAAGGAAATGTTTCGAAGGAAGTGCCAGAAGCATCTGGCCCACAAAACGATGGGAAACAGCTGTGCCCCCCGGGAAAACCAACTACCTCTGAGAAGATTAACATGATATCTGGTAAGAGGAAGCAATTCAGGAACAATCCCACTGGCTTCCCTGGCGACGTTCAGGTGTGTGGACTGGGTGTGTGGCATGGATCCCAGATAACCCTGGGTCCAGGCTGGGCTGAGGAGCTTGCCCAGCTCCAGATGAGATGTTAGACATGACTTCCAGAGACAGACTGGAGTTGTCATCCATATAAAAAAAAACCACGTGACTTGAGGAAAGTCTTCCAAATTTCCTCAGCTCCAGGTTCCTAGTCCATAAGATGGAAATAAAGAATCATAGTTCATAAATTGTTTGGAGACATTAAATTTAATCTAGAAGGCCTGATGACATGAAAGGTGCTCAAGCGATTCTATCTGTGATAACCTGGGATCATATCTTACTCAGCTCAATGCCTGTTACCCAATACAGGTGTCCTTCAGAGATACTGCAGGTTCGGTTCCAGACCACTGCAATAAAGTGAGTCACACACATTGTTTTTTGTTTGACAGTGCATAAAACGTTATGTTTACACTACAGTGTAGTCTACTAAGTGTGCAATAGCATTATGTCTAAAAATGTATATACCTTAATTTTAAAATAATTCATTGTTAAAAATGCTAACAATCTTCTGAGCCTTCAGTGAGTCACACTCTTTTTGCTGGTGGAGGGTCTTGCCTCGGTGTTGATGGCTGCTGGCTGGTCAAGGTGGTGGTTGCTGAAGATTGGAGTGGCTGTGGCAGTTTCTTAAAAGAACACAACAATGAAATTTGCCACATCGATTAGCTCTCCCTTTCATGAAGGATTTCTCTGTAGTATGTGATGCTATTGGATAGCATTTTACCCACAGTAGAACTCCTTTCAAAGTTGAACTCAATCCTCTCTAGCTATGAAAGTCCTAGATGGCATCTCCTTCCAATAGAAGGCTATTTTATCTACATTGAAAATCTGTTGTTTCGTGTAGCCACCTTCATCAGTGATCTTAGCTAGATCTTCCGGATAACTTGCTGCAGCTTCTCCATCAGGGTTTGCTGCTTCACCTTGCACTTTTATGTTATAGAGACGGCTTCTTTCCTTAAACCTCACGAACCAACCTCTGCTAGCTTCACAGGTTTCTCCTGCAGCTTCTTCACCTCTCTCAGCTTTCATGGATTTGAAGAGAGTTCTGGTCTTGCTCTGAATTAGACTTTGGCTTAAGGGAATGTTGTGGCTGGTTTCATCTTCTATCCTGACCACTCAAACTTTCTCTATTTGAGCAGTAAGGCAGTTTTGCTTTCTTATTCGTGTGTTCACTGGAGTATTAGTATTATTATTTCCTTCAAGAACTTTTCCTTTGCATTATATACTATTATTTCCTTCAAGAACTTTTCTTTGCATTCACAGCTTGGCTGTTTGGTGCAAGAGGCCTAGCTTTCAGCCTGTCTTGGCTTTCAGCATGCTTCCTCACTAATCTTAGCCATTTCTAGCTTGTGATTTAGAGTGAAAGGCATGCGACTCTTCCTTTCATTTGAACACTTAACGGCCATTGTAAGGTTGTTAATAATCCTCATTTCAGTATTGCTGTGTCTCAGGAAATAGGGAGGCCCAAGAAAAGGAAGAGAGACGCGGAACAGCTCATCGGTGGAGCAGTCAGAAGACACAAAACATTAATCGATTAAGTTTGTCATATTCTATGGGTGCAGTTCCTGGTACCCCCAAAACAATTACACACAACAGGGTGATTATAGTCAATAATAACTTAATTGTACTTAAAAAAACTAAAAGAGCATAAATGGATTGTTTGTAAGGCAAGGATAAATGCTTGAGGATGGATACCCTATTTTCCATGATGTGATTATCATGCATTGCATGCCTGTATCAAAGCATCTCATGTACCCCATAAGAATATACACCTACTGTGTACCCACAAAATAAAGAACAAAAATTATTTTAAAACACTAAAAAACAACAAAAACAATTTTAGTAATAATAGTAAAGCTCACTGATCACAGATCACTATAACAGATATAATAATAATGGAAAAGTGTAAAATTGGTGAGAATTTCCAAAAAAAAAAATTGCAGCATCTGCGAAGCAGTATGAACATGAAGTGCAACAAAACAAGGTATGCCTGTGTGGCTTTAACAAATACGTGCTGTATGAAATTAGGTATGGGGGAATGTTCCCGTAAGTGAAGAGGTTGGGAATCTAAGCCTGAGAAGGGAAGGAGCCAGAAGCTAAAACTTTAATTGGCATTTGGCCTATATTGGTGTGGGTCTAAGGTCTCAGCCTCTCTAAGCCAGAGAATGTGAAAAACTGGATAAAGAAGGCCCATGGGCACTTGGGAGGAAGCAGGCATCTCCTTTTTTTGAGTAAACAGAGCCTAACACTCTCCAACCTACCCAACCCTCACTTTCCAACTATTCTCCATCATAGGACCCAAAAGGGGGGAACATGCCTGGACCCACAGACTGCGTGAGAGAAAGCAGCTGGTGATTTATGAAGAGATCAGCGATCCTGAGGAAGATGATGAGTAACTCCGTAAGAGAACCTTCCACTCATCCCCTGCATCCCTGCAGATGTGCTATTCTGTTATGATACTGGCATCCCATCTGTCACTTGCTCCCCAAATCATTCCCTTCTTATAATTTTCTAGTGTACAGCATTGAGGCTGAATGATGAGATTTCCCATGCTCTTTCTACTCCCTGCCCTGTATATATCCAGGGATGCTCCCTACCCAGGATGCTGTGGGGTCCCAAACCCCAGGTCAGCCCTGATATGCGGGCCACACCTTCCTCTAGCCTAGGAATTGATAGCCCAGGCGAGGAAGTCACTGTGGCATGAACAGATGGTTCACTTCGAGGAACCGTGGAAGGTGTGTGCAGGTCCTGAGATAGGGCAGAATCGGAGTGTGCAGGGTCTGCAGGTCAGGAGGAGTTGAGATTGAGTTGTCACGTGGTGGGAACTCACTGCCACTTACTTTCCTTCTCTCTTCTTGCCTCAGCCTTGGGGATATGACACATGCCCATGATGAGAAGCAGAACGTGGTGACCTTTCACGAACATGGGCATGGCTGTGGACCCCTCGTCATCAGGTGCATAGCAAGTGAAAGCAAGTGTTCACAACAGTGAAAAGTTGAGCGTCATTTTTCTTAGTGTGCCAAGAGTACGATATTAGCGTTTCCATTGTATTTTCTTGAAGTGTGTCATTCTGTTAGATATTAACATTTTCACTGATGAGCAAGACATACTTAATGCATATTTTGGTTTGTGTATCCATGCACCTACCTTAGAAAACAAGTATTGTCAGTTACCTCTGCATGGAACAGCATTACCCTCCTCTCTCCCTAGATGTGACTACTGAGGGCAGTTCTGAGTGTTTAATTTCAGATTTTTTCCTCTGCATTTACACACACACACAAACCACACCACACACACACACACACACACACAGACACACACCAAGTACCAGTATAAGCATCTCCCATCTGCTTTTCCCATTGCCATGCGTCCTGGTCAGGCTTCCCTCACTCTGTTTCCTGGTCAGCATGTACTCCCCTCATCCGATTCCCCTGTAGCAGTCACTGACAGTAAATAAACCTTTGCAAACGTTCCCCAGTTGTTTGCTCGTGCCATTATTGTGCACACAGCTCTGTGCACGTGTGTGCATATTTCTTTAGGAAAGATTCTTAGAAGTGGAATTGCTGTGTCAAAGGAGTCATTTATTCAACAAAACACTGAGTGCGTCCTCGTGCTGAGCGCTGTTCTAGGTGCTGGAGCGACATCAGGGAACAAGACAGACAGGAGTTCGTGACCCCATTCTAGAGAAGGATGTTTGCAGTTGTTGGGTTTTATTTGTTTGTTTGTTTCTTCTAGAGATGAGAGTCTTGCTCTGTCCTGGCTGGAATGCAGTGGCATGATCATAGCTCAATGCAGCCTTGAACTCCTGGGCTCAAGCAATCCTCCCTCCTCAGCCTCCAGAGAAGCTGTGACTACAGGCATGCACCATCATGATCCACTAATTTTTTTAGGTTTTGTCAAGAAAGTCTTGCTCTGTTACCCAGGCTGGTCTCAAAGTCCTGGGCCAAAGCGATCCTCCCACCTTGGCCTCCTAAACTACTAGGATTACAGGAGTGAGCCACCATGCCTGACCCCCAGTTTTTATTTTGATAGAGACTATACATTTCAGTCCTGGAGCAGGATTCTGCAGCAGGTGTTTAGGCATCTTGGCCTTTGCTCTCTGAATGATTTCCGGATTCAAGGTCTGGGACAGTCCATTTGGGAGTATGTGGGAGGAGACACAGATGAAATCGTCATCTGGGGAACATGAAGGAATGAGGAAGATGTGTGCACTGTAGACCCTGTGATGGCCAGGGAATAGAAGAGTCCACTTAGTCTCCATGCAGGGGAGCAATCGGTACGAAAGTCCCCTGGACAGAAGCATGAGACTGCCCATCAAGGGTCTCACCAACCAGGGGCCTGGGGGCTGGGGTGGGGACGATGATTTGGGAATGGGACAGTTCTTTGTCACATGTACCATTGCACAGTGTGGAGGGGAAACAGTTGTGGGGAAGGGAAGGGCAGAGGGGAGTCTATTTTAGAACAAACCATTGTGTGTGAATGAAGACATCAAAGCTCCATTCACACACAATGGACTTGAAACACCAGCCCCAGGTGGAGGCAGAATTGGAGCAGTTTTGACCGTCCATGGCCCATTACCTTGGCCTTCTGGTTCTCTCCAGCCTTCGAAGGAGGACACTATCATCATTATGCCAATATAATAGATGAGAGACGGAGTTCCCGACAGATGGTAGGCGTCTTGTCTGAGGTCCCACAGCTGGCAGGTGCAGGAGGAGCTGTGTTTGGATCTCTCTGACTTCAGAAACTTTAAGGAGGACAGGTGTGTGTGGTGGAGGGAAGGGGAATTGAACAAGCCCCGGGCTCTGTCCCCAATCACAATGTGAAGGCTGTGGGTTCATTTACCGAAGACAAGGAGCCCTAGGAGAGAGAGAGTGCAGGGAGGGAGAGGCAGTCGTGGTCACAGCAGGGACAGTGGGAGACAGAGATATGCAGGGTGGGCAGAAGAGAGGCAGGCAAAGAAGCAGGGGAGACACAAAGCCACATGTGGGCTGTCACAGCCACCAGAGGGAGAGGGTGCCTGGAAGGAGGTTGTGGGGCTCCAGGAGCAGTAGAGGTTCCCCAGATCTGTGAGCATGCCCTGCCTGGCACTGCAGAAAGAGATGGCTGCCACCCAGGTCAGTGTGGACGTACCTCTACCTGTGTCTCAGAGGAAACAAATTCTATTTTATCCCAATATAGTTCTGTATTACACAACATTTGGCTACTAGATATCGAGAGCCTTATCCTCCAAGCAAATAGAGAAGAGGATACCCTAAAAGAGATACTTACTGAAGGATTTGATTTTTCTTTCTCTCTGGGATGATGGGATCCATAAGTTGGGTCCCCCAGCCCACAAGACAGGTGCCAGGAAGGGTAGCTGGAAGATTGTGAGTTATGACAGGGAACATTTTTCCTTAGGTTCCATGGGTATATAAAGCTCCTGACTATCTGTCTATCATGGATAGATAAAGAGTGAACACGGTCCCTTCTCCACAAATGTGTTTCTCTCCTTCATTATTACTGTAAAGGGCTGAAGTTACACCAAGTCCTGATATATTACTTTTTTTTTTTTTGACATGATCGCAGTCTGTCGCCCAGGCTGGAGTGCAGTGATGCAAGTACAGCTCACTGCGGCCTCGATCTCCCAGGCTCAAGGGATTCTCCCACTTCAGCTTCCGATCTAGCTGGGACTACAGGCACACGCCACCACACCCAGCTAGTTTTTGTATTTTTTTATAGAGACGGCATCCACTATGTTGCCCAGGCTGGTCTGGATCCCCTGGCCTCAGGCAATCCTCCTCCCTTAGCCTCCCAATCCCAATGTGCTGGGATGACAAGTGTGAGCCACCTCGCCAGGCCTTCACTTTCTTTAATGAGCAATTATCAGATTTTTCATCTTAGAGGCAAAAGTGGCTACTGCCAGCCAATCTGTCTGTGGTGTTGAAGGGGAATCTGGCTGATTCAGATGTTTCTAATGAACTTTTTTTTTTAAATTATACTTTAAGTTCTACGGTACATGTGCACGACGTGCAGGTTTGTTACATATGTATACATGTCCCATGTTGGTGTGCTGCACCCATTAACTCGTCATTTAACCTGAGGTATATCTCCTAATGCTATCCCTCCACCCTCCCCCCACCCCACAACAGGCCCCGGTGTGTGATGTTCCCCTTCCTGTGTCCATGTGTTCTCATTGTTCAATTCCCACCTATGAGTGAGAACATGCGGTGTTTGGTTTTTTGTCCTTGGGATAGTTTGCTGAGAATGATGGTTTCCAGCTTCATCCATGTCCCTACAAAGGACATGAACTCATCATTTTTTATGGCTGCATAGTATTCCATGGTGTATATGTGCCACATTTTCTTAATCCAGTCTATCATTGTTGGACATTTGGGTTGGTTCCTCTAATGAACTTTTAAATTAACCTACATGATGATTATCCTAAGGCCCTTTCCAGCTCCGTGTTTTTTTTGATTTAGGGTTTGGGGATTTTCAGAGGCTTTGTTACAAAGAGAATCTCCTGGGCGGTCGCGGTGACCCACTCTGTAATATCAGCACTTTGGGAGGCCAAGGCAGGCAGATCACTTGAGGTCAGGAGTTTGTGACCAGCCTGACCAACAGGGTGAAACCCCCGTCTCTTCTAAAAATACAAAAATTAGGCAGTAGTGGTGGGCTGGCCTGTGAATTCCAGTTACTGCAGGGAGTGAAGTGGGAGAATCCCTTGAACCTGGGAGACGGAGGGTGCAGTGAGCCGAGATCACGCCACTGCACTCCAGCCTGGCGACAGAGTAAGTCTGTCTCAAAAAGCAAACAGCATCTCTCGCCTACAGTGATTTGAGCTGTGGTCTTGTCTCCTTGGGTTTCTCTATCAGTCTGACCCCATCTACTCTATCTCCCAGGAATGCCTCAATATTTCTGGTGGACCGCTGACACGCTTTCCTATTTTCCTCTACTGTTAAGAATTGACCCTTGAAAACATTTTCTTCCCAGTTCAATGGAATGTTGAGTAGGGCACGGGATCTATCTGCCATCTTGCTCCAATCATCTGGTTTTAGATATTGTATGTACTTTTGTCACTATATACGTGTAATTTTTCTCAATTTGGTTTTCTAAATGGTTATTATTGGTATGTAGAAAACCTATCTATGATTGTATATTATATTTTGTTACCTGTCTGGGTGCAGCTTCCCCTGCATTTTGGCACAAGATTCAACCTGTTTTATTCTCCAAAATAAATGTGACAGGCTGGGTGCGGTGGCTCACGCCTGTAATCCCAGCACTTTGGGAGACTGAGGCGGGTGGAACACCTGAGGTCAGGAGTTTAAGACCAGCCTGGCCAAGATGGTGAACCCCCTTCTCTACTAAACATACAAATGAAAAACTTAGCCAGGCATTGGTGTTGCATGCCTGTAGTTCCAGCTACCAGGGCAGCTGAGGAGGGAGGATCACATAAACTCAGGAGGCAGAGATTGCAGTGAGCCGAGATCGGGCCACTGCACTCCAGCTCGGGTGACAGAGACTCTGTCTCTAAATAAAAAAGAAAAAGAAAAAAAAGAAAATTCATTTCACAGGCAATAGATATCCCATAGGCATGAACTCCCCTACACTTCTAGATTGCATCACCCGCCCCTTTGGCAGCTGTCTGGGAAGCCAGATCCCACACTTGGAAGTGTAGTGTTTCATACAATCCAAAAGTGGTAGCAGAGGCCAGGCGTGGTGGCTCACACCTGTAATCCCAGCACTTTGGGAGGCCAAGGCAGGCGGATCATGAGGTCAGGAGTTGGAGATCAGCCTGGCCAGAATGGAGAAACCCCGTCTCTACTAAAAATACAGAAATTAGTTGGGCATGGTGGTACACGCCTGTAATCCCAGCTACTCGGGAGGCTGAGGTAGGAGAATCGCTTGAATCTGGGAGGCAGAGGTTTCAATGAGCTGAGATAACACCACTGCACTCCAGCCTGGGCAACAGAGGGTGACTCCGCCTCAAAAACAAAACAAAACAAAAACAAACAAAAGCAAAACAAACGAACAATAAAAAGTGGTAGCAGAAATCAGAAAGTCCAGATATGTTGGTAATTGGCCTGGCTGTACGGCAGCAGCCAAGGGTGAACACTAAATGCTCCCAGGCAAGTCCTAAGTTCACCAAGTAATTGGAGTACCCATCTGTGTTAGTTAATTGCCTTTATCTGAAGGAAAAATAAAACTCATGTCTCTATGACAACCAGGTGCTTACAGCTTGGAGCGAGGCACCTAGGCTAAACTCCCCTGGTGACAGGGAGATAAGGACATCATCTTCCTCAATGTTCACATTTCAAAGAGATGGCACCAAGGCCCTGAAGAAAGACATTCCTAAGGGACGGGCATGGTGGCTCATGCCTGTAATCCCAACACTTTTGGAGGCTGAGGCTGGAGGATCACTTGAGGCCTGGAGTTCAAGTTCAAGACATTCCTGGGTTCTAGGATGGCCAGAGGCTTACGTATCAAAGGAAGAATTTACAAATACAAAATTTCTAAAGGAAATGCTCTAAGGAAAGTGAAATGGAGACAGGTTTCTTCTTCTCTCTTGGCAACAGGAAAAATTCAATTTTATGTTTAGTTACCCTTACAATTTCCCCCTTTTGTTAATTGTTTTATAGGAACACTACAATTTTCTAATTATCTCCACTGCTGTTTCTATCTTTCTCTGCATAGTTTGCAGCTACCTAGATATCCAACAAGTCCATAGTAAGATGCAAAGCTAAGCAATTATCAAGATTGTAATAGAATGATTTTTTATTTTTCGGGATGGAGTTTCGCTCTTGTTGCCCAGGCTGGAGTGCAATGGTGCGATGTCGGCTCACTGTAACCTCTGTTTCCTAAGTTCAAGCAATTCTCCTGCCTCAGCCTCCTGAGTAGCTGGGATTACAGGCATGTGCCACTACGCCCAGCTAATTTGGTATTTTTTTAGAGATGGGATTTCACCATTTTAGCCAGGCTGGTCTTCAACTCCTCACCCTAGGTGATCCACCCACCTCGGCTTCCCAAAGTGTTAGGATTACAGATGTGAGCCACCATGCCCTACCTAGAAAGAATTTTTAAATTCAGTATAATACTCACCCTGTCAGGGGGTGGGGCAACCTTTAAGCACATCATACTGGTTAATTGTGTCAAAGTCAAAATAAATTATAGAGACAAATCCCTAAATCAAATGCTGTATTTGGGAATCACAAAATTGCAATTCAGGGCATATACACGGACTAGGGTGGTCTTCATTATGTCCAACGAACAAACAGAAGTTGGAAATTTTATTAGAAAGAAAAATGTTACATATTGTTTTGAAATGAGTCTCATTGGCCCTGGAGAAGCTGGTTCATTCGCACAATCAGCTTTCACATTCCCTCTTTTGATCAACATCTTTCTTTCAAAACCTCACCGATCAGCCATCTTAAAGTGAGGCTTCATTGTCACTCCATGCCAGGATGGACCTGTGCCGGTTGTCTTTATCCCATGTCAAGGGAAAGGTAAGGGAGTCTAGATCAGGGACATGGGCCATATTTGAGCAACAAAGAGGACAGAAGGAAAAAAAATTTCAGGCAGGTTTGCCTGGAGTTCAGCATCAAGTTCCATCTTGTTAGTCCCATCTATATTAGCAATCATCTTGATGCACTGGGATAACATTATTTTCTTGGGAGAACTGGCTTAACAAATATTAGGCAACAAGTATGGAGCTCAAAGATCATAATTCTAAAATAATTAGCAATTGTTTATTTTATTTTATTTTATTTATTTTATTATTTTACTTTATTTTATTTTATTTTATTTTATTTTATTTTATTTTATTTTATTTTATTTATTTTATTTTATTGCAATGGATTCTTGCTCTGTCGCCCAGCCTGAAGTGCAGTGGCGTGATCCCGGCTCACTGCAACCTACATCTCCCGGGTTCAAGCGATTCTCCTGCCTCAGCCTCCCCAGTAGCTGGGATTACAGGTGCCCACCAACATGACTGACTTATTTTTGTCTTTTCAGTAGAGACAGGGTTTCACCATGTTGGCCAGGCTGGTCTCGAACTCCTGACCTCAAATGATCCCCCCTCTTTGGCATCCCAAAGTGCTGGGATTACAGGCGTGAGCCACCACACCCAGCTATAATTAGCAATAGTATAATAAATTTAGTTTGTACAATGGTTTTGAACCAAGATCCCAAGCCTAAGGGCCACCAGCTAAACAAATCAAAAAGCTATGGGGGAATTGAATGAGACCTCTTGTAGTCTTTGAGTAGCATTTGAGGACTGGGTTGAATTAAAGCAGAGTGCCAACTCTAAAGGGACCACTAGGTGAGGTAAAGGATTTGGGCGTCGGGTTCTGTCAAGTGAAAAATGTAGACATTCAGGGGGTAAGAGTCTCATTACGATATGAAGACTTATTCTGACGTCTTGGGAAAAGCTGTCTATAGTGTGGAAACGTCAACTTCTCATCCTGATTTGTCGTTCGAATGTCTCCGGTTATGGCATTGGACAGTTTGGTGAACTTTTTGTGTGGTCCATACATCAGGCAGCAGACTTGTTCCTTAAAATGTATGCACTTTTATCTTACAGAACTTGTAGATCAAAAATAAAATCCTATCCCCCGCCAACCCACAACCATTTGAATGGACTTCTTCCTCAGCCAGGGCTCTTTTAAAATTTAACCTGAGAGATGGTTTCAGGCCATGACAGGAAGTGGGGGTCAGGCATGCCTCATTATACCTCTCTGGCATCAACATCAACACAGACTTTCAGTCTAATAAGAAACATGTTACAACCTAGTCTCTCTGAAGCCTAGTACCTGAAGGCTTCCTCTGCAAATAAGAACTTGGGTCTCCACAATCCTTTATCTTAACCCAGGCATTCCTTTCTGTTGATCCTAGGGTTTTGTTTTGAGATGGAGTCTCTCTCTGTCGCCCAGGCTGGAATGCAATGGGCGGGATCTTGGCTCACTGCAACCTTTGTCTCCCGGGTTCAAGCAATTCTTTTGCCTCCTGTAGCTGGGACCACAGGCGTGGGCCACGACACCCAGCTAATATTTTGTCCTTTTAGTAGAAAAGGGGTTTTGCCATGTCGCTCAGCCTGGTCTTGAACTCCTGGCCTCAAGTGATCTGTCCGCCTCGGCCTCCCAAGGTGCTGGGATTCCAGGCGTGAGCCAACACGCCCGGCCTACTAATTAGGTTTCTTCTTGCTTAGGAAAACTGAGCTTTGAAAGGGTAAGTTTTTAAGTCCGTGTAACTTTCTGTATTGCTTTTGAAGTCTGTGGACTATCACTCTGGTTAAATGAGTGACTATTATTTCCACAGTGACCCATGATCCTGTTTTGCACAAGTGTTTTGAGCCTTTTAACATCTTTGACAAACTTCCCCAAAATGCAATTCTTTTTTAATTTAACTACTGCTGTTGAACAAACTAATCAAACTCTAATTTAAGTCTTTTTAACCTAAAATTGACTTTGAGATTTACCAGTGAGGCCCCTGGAGAGCCTCAAAGAATGTGTCTCTCATTAGGCTTATTTGATATGTTAGATTATATGAAAAGCAATGTCAAATAATAAAAAATACTAATCGCTGTTTACATTTACATAGATATGTTATTGACGTTAATGTTCAGAAGATCATGTAAAATTTACAGAGGTCTGATGGTCCTGGTGTGATGCTATTAGTCATGATTCTGGTTGTTATCTTAAAATGCTCTCTATAATAGAAATAACTGAATTTTCTTGTCAATTATTGAACTTTCGTCAGATTTTCATCGCTACTATTCTAAGCTTTATCATCTACAGTGCTGATTCTTCTCTAAAGGCATCCAGAATCAGATTCTTAAAAAATATTTTAACAAGTACTGTTGAATATAGATTTGTAATAACTTTCAGATCAATGAACTAAATAAATAATTTTTGAAAACTCTAATGAAAACTGATGGGTTCATGCAACTGATTATCAAGATCAAGCAGAACAAACATTAATTATATGAGGCTAAATAACCAATAATGTTTTTATGACCTTTATTTAAAACTTTATTTATTCTTGGGCTAGGTGCAGTGGCTCACACCTCTGATCCCAGCACTTTTGGAGGCCGGAACAGGAGGATCTCTTGAGTGCAGGAGTTCAAGACCAACCTGGGAAATATAGGAGACCCGGTTTCTGAAAGAAATTAAGAAAATAAAACTTTATTTGTTTTTTACCTAAATGTTTTGTTTTCCACATTTAAGAAAATTTTCTGGTGGGATGTGGTGGCTCACTTTGGAAGCCAAGGCAGGAGGATCGCTTGAGCCCGGGAGTTCAAGACCAGATTGGGCAACATGGCAAAATCCTGTCTCTAAAAAAACAAAAACAAAAATAAAAAGATTAGCTGGGCATGGTGGCATGTGCCTGTGATCCCAGCTACTTGGGAGGCCGAGGTGGGAGGATCACTTGAGTTGGGACCCAGAGGTTGCAGGGAGCCGTGTTTGCACCACTGCACTCCAGCCTGTGCAACGGGGCACAATCCTTTCTCAAAAAAATGAAAACAAAGAGAAAATTTTCTCTGTTAAACTATCTATAGTTTATAATAATTTTGTGAAGTATACTTTTGTAAACTGAGATGGAAATGTTTGCTTTTTCTTACTACTCAATTCCTCCAGAATTCAAAAACTATTTGTAAATATTCCTATGGCAATATGGTTATTCACACAGGTCCAGTAAAAACCTGCTCTTGGTGCCTCATTCAACTCCAACATGGCAAAAGTCTCCAGCCCTACAGAGAGTCCCTGATTGCTATTTTCCAGAAATAGGCTGGAAAGGATGGTTACAATAGCACTCACTCCAAGATGGAGTTCCCAAGCTTCATGAATACAGAACTGGATGCCTTCATGAAGAACCAGAGGGCCCCAGTGTCTTTGACCACATGATGAAGAAACTGGACCTCACTAGTGATGGGCAGCTAGATTTCCAAGAATTTCTGCATCTGATGGATGGCATGACTGTGGCTTACCATGACTCTTTTCTCAAGGCTGCCCATTCCAAGAAGCGGATCTGAGGATCCCCTGGGCCTGGTTTCCAAGCCAACCCCTTTCTTTCCAGCCTCACCATCACCATCTGCTCACAGCCCACACATACCCTGGGCCCAGCACAATTACCACCTCATGCAGGCCCTGCCTGCAGGTAGTAATAAAACCATTCCCTCCTCCATGCTGCTCCACCGCTCCCCCTCCCTCCCCTTCCTCCCCCTCCCTTCGCCCTTCTCCCCTGCTTTCCTCCCCTCCCCTCTCCTCTCCTCCTTTCCTCTTCTCTTCTCTCAAGTACACCCGCCGCCTCATGCAGGCCCTACCTGCAGGTAGTTATAAAACCATACTTCTTTTCTCTTTTCTATCTTTCTTTCTTTTTTTTTTTTTTTTTTTTTTTTAGCAACGGGGGTCTAGTTATGTTGCCCAGGTTGATCTTGAACTTCTGGGCTCAAGTGGCCTCCCAAAGCTCTGGGATTTTAGGTGTGAGCCATTGCACCTGACCCACCTTTTTTCTAAACACACACAAAAAAATCTGCTCTCTCTTTATAGACAGATACAATTAAAAACATTGGTTATAAGGCCGGGCATGGTGACTCACACCTGTAATCCCAGCACTTTGGGAGGCTGAAGTGGGTGGATCACCTGAGGTCAGGAGTTTGAGACCAGCCTGGCCAACAAGGGGAAACCACATCTCTACTAAAAATTATAAAGAAAAAATGTAGTAGGGCATGGTGGTGTACATGTGTAATCCTAGCCACTCAGGAGGCTGAAGCAGGAGAATTGCTTGAACCCAGGAGGCGAAGGCTGCAGTGAGCTGAGATCTCACCAGTCTGGGTGACAGAGCAAGACTCTGTCTCAAAAAGAAAAAAAAATTGGTTGTATTACCAAGGCTTTCATCAAAATGCATGGAATGCCTGACTTCAAGTGTTTTTAGCTTTAGAGTGGGTGAATAAAAACGGTCACTTTCTGTCAGGCCCAGGAACCTTAAGAAGGTAGGTGAAATCTAAAGTCGGCCTTGGTTTGACTTTCTATGCTCAAGAGGTTTTTAAATCTGAGATTCCTAAGTGATCAATGTATAGAGAAAAATTATGTTGCTAAAGAAAAGCTCTAATAGACCAGTTATTAGATTGTAGCTCTCTGCATTTTTTCGAGTTCTTGTGTTTTTTTTTCTTTTTGTGTTGTTGTTGTTGTTTTTGAGACAGAGTCTCGCTCTGTCACCAGGCTGGAGTGCAGTGGCGGGATCTCGGCTCACTGCAACCTCTGCCTCCCGCATTCAAGCGATTCTCCTGCCTCAGCCTCCCGAGTAGCTGGGACTACAGGTGCATGCCACCACGCCCGGCTAATTTTTGTATTTTCAGTAGAGACGGTGTTTCACCATGTTGGCCAGGATGGTCTCAATCTCTTGACCGTGTGATCCGCCCGCCTCGGCCTCCCAAAGTGGTGGGAATACAGGCCTGAGCCACTGCGCCTGGCCGAGTTCTTGTTATCTACATACAGACTAGACTAGATCCAACTTTTTCCCATAAAATTACTAAAAACAGAAATTGCTCTGTTCCTGAAGCCTGCTGATGAAAAGAGTCAAACTCTGGAAAACACTTGAAGAGACTTATTCTGAGCCAAATAGGAGCGACCACGGCCCATGACACAGCCTCAGGAGGTCCTGAGTTGCCCAAGGAGGTTGGGTGCAGCTTGGTTTTATAGATTTTATGAAGACTCAATCAAATACATTTAAGAAATACATTGGTTTGGTCCAGAAAGGCAGGACAACTTGAAGCAGGGGCTTCCAGTTTATAGGTAGATTAAAAAATTTTCTAGTTGACAATTGGTTGGGTTTTCTAAAAACCTACGATTGGCCGGGCCTGGTGGCTCATGCCTATAATCCCAGCACTTTGGGAGGCTGAGGCAGATGAATCACCTGAGGTGAGGAGATGGAGACCAGCCTGGCCAACATGGTGAAACCCCGTCTCTACTAAAAATACAAAAAAATTAGCTGGATGTGATGGCGGGTGCCTGTAACCCCAACTACTGGGTAGACTGAGACAGGAGAATTGCTTGAATCCGGGTGGCAGAGGTTACAGTTGGCAGAGAATGCACCATTATACTCCAGCCTGGGCAACAGATCTAGACTCTGTCTCAAAACAACAAACAAACAAACAAACAAACATGCCTAGGATCAACAGAAAGGAATGCCTGGGTTAAGATAAAGGATTGTGGTGACCCAAGTTCTTATTTGCAGAGGAAGCCTTCAGGTACTAGTCTTCAGAGAGACTAGGTTGTAACACGTTTCTTGTGAGATTTAAGTCTGTGTTGATATTGATGCCAGAGAGGTATAATGAGGCATGTCTGACGAACACGTCCTGTCATGGCCTAAAACAGTCTCCCAGGTTAATTTTAAAAGAGCCCTTGCTGAGGAGGACGTCCATTCAGATGGTTAAGGGTGGGGGTGCTTAGGATGCTATTTTTGGTTTACAAATACTCTAAGATAAAAACACCATAATTTTTTTTTTTTTTTTTGAGACGGAGTCTCACACTGTCGCCAAGGCTGGAGTGCAGTGGTGAGATCTCGGCTCACTGCAACCTCCGCTTCCCGCGTTCAAGCGATTCTCCTGCCCAAACCTCTCGAGTAGCTGGGGCTACAGGCACGTGACAACATCCCCGGCTAATTTTTTGTATTTTTAGTAGAGGCGGGGTTTCACCGAGTTACCCAGGATGGTCTCTATCTCCTGACCTCATGATCTGCCCACCTCAGCCTCCCAAAGTGCTAGGATTACAGGCATGAACCACTGCACCCATCCAAACTGCATACATTTTAAGGAACAAGTCTCGTGTCTGATGTATGGACCACACAAAGAGTTCGCCAAACTGTCGAATGCCATAACCAGAGACATTCGAACCACAAATCAGGATGAGAAGTTGACGATTCCACATTGTAGACAGCTTTTCCGAAGACATCAGAATAAGTCTTCATATCATAATGAGACCCTTATCCCCTTAATGTCTACATTTTTCACTTGGCAGACCATGACTCCCAAATCCTTTGATTCACCTAGTGAATCCTTTTTATAGAGTGGTCCCTTTTATAGAGTTGGCACTCTGCTTTAATTCAACCCAGTCCTCAAATGCTACTCAAAGACTATAAGAGGTCTCATTCAATTCCCCCATAGTCTTTTGATTTGTTTAGCTGGTGGCCCTTAGGCTTGGGATCTTAGTTCAAAATCATTGTACAAACTAAATTTATTCTACTATTGCTAATTATAGCTGGGTGCGGTGGCTTGTGCCTATAATCCCAGCACTTTGGGATGCCAAGGAGGGCGGATTACTTGAGGTCAGGAGTTCGAGACCAGCCTGGCCAACATGATGAAACCCTGTCTCTACTGAAAAGACAAAAATTAGCCGGGTGTGGTGGTGAGCACTTGTAATCCAAGCTACTCGAGAGGCTGAGGCAGGAGATTCGCTTGAACCCAGGAGGTGGAGGTTGCAGTGAGCCGGGATCACGCCACTGCACTCTAGCCTGGGCGACAGAGGAAGACTGCATTGCAATAAAATAAAATAAAATAAAATAACGATAGCTAATTACTTTTGTATTATGATCTTTGAGCTCCATTCTTGTTGCCTGTCTAATATTTGTTAAGCCAGTTCTACCAACAGGAAAATGTTGGCCTAGTGCTTCAAGATGAATGCTAATATAGATGGGACTAACAAGATGGAATTTGATGCTGAACTCCAGACAAACCTACCTGAATTTTTTTTCCTTCTGGCCTCTTTGTGGCTCAAATATGGCCCATGTCCCTGATCTAGACTCCCTTACCTTTCCCTTGACATGGGACAAAGACAACCGGCCCATGTCCATCCTGGCATGGAGTGACAATGAAGCCTCACTTTAATATGGTTAATCAGTGAGGTTTTCAAACAAAGATGTTGATCAAAAGAGGGAATATGAAAGCTGATTGTGTGAATGAACCAGCTTCTCTAGGGCCAATGAGCCTCATTTCAAAACAATATGTAACATTTTTCTTTCTAATAAAATTTCCAACTTCTGTTTGTTCGTTGGACACACTGAAGACCACCCTAGTCCTTGTATATGCCCTGGATTGCAATTTTGTGATTCCCAAATACAGCATTTGATTTAGGGATTTGTCTCTATAATTTACTTTGACTTTGACACAATTAACCAGTATGATGTGTTTAAAGGTCCCCCCGCCCAAACAAGGGGAGTATTATACTGAATTTAAGAATTCTTTCTAGGCAGGGCATGGTGGCTCACATTTGTAATCCTAACACTTTGGGAGGCCAAGGTGGGCGGATCACCTGGGGTAAGGAGTTCAAGACCAGCCTGGCTAAAATGGTGGAACTGCATATCTACAAAAAATACAAAATTAGCTGGGCGTAGTGGCACATGCCTGTAATCCCAGCTACTCGGGAGGCTGAGGCAGGAGAATCGCTTGAACTCAGGAGACAGAGGTTGCAGTGAGCCGACATCGCACCGTTGCACTCCAGCCTGGGCAACAAAAGTGAAACTCCGTCCTGAAAAAAAAAAATCATTCTATTATAATCCTGATAATTGCTTTGCTTTGCATCTTACTATGGATTTGTTGGATATCTAGGTGGCTGCAAACTACACAGAGAAAGATAGAAACAGCAGTGGAGATAATTAGAAAATTGCAGTGTTACTATAAAACAATAACAAAAGGGGGAAATTGTAAGGGTAACTAAACATAAAATTGAATTTTTCCTGTTGCCAAAAGGGAAGAAGAGACCTTTCCCCATTTCACTTTCCTTAGAGCATTTTCTTGAGAAAATTTGTATTTGTAAATTCTTCCTTTGATCTGTAAGCCTCTGGCCATCCTAGAACCCAGGAATGTCTTGAACTTGAACTCCAGGCCTCAAGTGATCCTCCAGTCTCAGCCTCCCAAAGTGTTGGGATTACAGGCATGAGCCACCACGCCCATCCCCTAGGAATGTCTTTCTTCAGGGCCTTGGTGCCATCTCTTTGAAATGTGAACATTGAGGAAGATGATGTCCTTGTCTCCCTGTCACCAGAGGAGTTTAGCCTAGGTGCCTCGCTCCAAGCTGTAAGCACCTGGTTGTCACAGAGACATGAGTTTTACTTTTCCTTCAGATAAAGGCAATTAACTAACACAGATGGGTACTCCAGTTACTCGGTGAACTTAGGACTTGCCTGGGAGTATTCAGTTTTCACCCTTGGCTGCTGCTTTACAACTAGGCAAAGTAGCTACATACCTGGACTTTCTGACTTCTGCTACCACTTTTGTGTTTGTTTGTTTGTTTGTTTTGTTTTGTTTTTGAGATTGAGTCTCTCTCTGTCGTCCAGGCTGGAGTGTAATGGTGAGATCTCAGCTCAGTGCAACCTCTGCCTCTCGAGGTCAAGCGATTCTCCCACCTCAGCCTCCCGAGTATCTGGGATTACAGGTGCACGCCACCATGCCCAGCTAAATTTGTATTTTTAGTAGAGACGGGGTTTCACCATGCTATCCAGGCTGGTCTCGAACTCCTGACCTCATGATCTGCCTGCATCGGCCTCCCAAAGTGCTGGAATTACAGGCGTGAGCCACCACACCTGGCCTCTGCTACCACTTTTGGATTGTATGAAACACTACACTTCCAAGTGTGGGATCTGGCTTCCCAGACAGCTGCCAAGGGGGCAGATGATGCAATCTAGAAGTGTAGGGGAGCTCGTGCCTGTGGGATAAATTTTGACCGTTAAGAAAAGGAACCAGGAGTGAGAGCCAGGTATGTAAATTCCCTCTCCTCTCCTCTCCCCCTGCACCGTTCCAGGCATGGTTTCTCGGTATAGTCTGTCTAGAGGTGTCTGGAATGGCCCAAATTCTGTTTCGTTGGGAACCTGAGCTAAAACAATGGGCATGCAAACACTCGAAGAGAGTGCTAAGTGTTGTGGAGGACCTAGATCTGCACAGAGGAAAATTATTGCAATAAGAAAATGGACAATTTGAGGATTTGGAATAGAGGGAAGGACTAGAAGAACCAGTAGTAGAATAGCTTAGGGGTAATAATTTTGGAGAAAAAGGCAGTTCTGGTGATTTTTGCTGTGAACTGCTCAGCTCTGTAAAATATACACTTCTTTCTTTCCATCAGTCTCCTCTATGAAATCTTCCATAAAGTATCCTTTTATAACTATCTATTGCCTGTGAAGTGATTTTTCTTTTTTCTTTTTCTTTTTATTTAGAGATAGAATGTCTGTCACCCAAGCTGGAGTGCAGTGATGCCACCTCGGCTCACTGCAATCTCTGCCTCCCGAGTTCAAGTGATCCTCCCGTCTCAGCTGCCCTAGTAGCTGGGAATACAGGCATGCGCCACCAGGCGTGGCTAATTTTTTTTTATTTTGTGTTTTTCGTAGAGATGCGGTTTCACCATCTTGGCCACGTTGGTCTCGAACTCCTGACCTCAGGTGATCTACACACCTCAGCCTACCAAAGTGCTGGGATTACAGGCATGAGCCACCACACCCAGATTATCAGTTTTTTTTTTTTTTTTTTGAGAATAAAACAGATTGAGTCTTGTGCCAAAAGGCAGGGGAAACTGCACCCAGACAGGTAACAAAATATTATATATAGTAATAGATAGGTTTTCTGCATACCAATAATAACCATTTAGAAATCCTAATTGAGAAAAATTACACGTATATAGTGACAAAGGTACATAAAATATCTAAAACCAGATGATTGGAGCAAGATGGCAGATAGATCCCATGCCCTACTCAACATTCCTTCGAACTGGGAAGTGCAGTGGGAGATCTCGCCACTGCACTCCAGCCTGGGCGACAGAGTGACATTCTGTCTCAGAAAAAAGAAAAAAACGAAAAATAGTAATAAAAGTAATGTATCAGAACTTGACGGAACTTCAGACCTTCACTGTAATAGTGAAGGAGAGAAACACATTTGTGGAGAGGGGACCATGTTCACTCTTTATCTATCCATGATAGACAGATAGTTGGGAGCTTTATATACTCATGGAACCTAAGGAAAAATATTCCCTGTCATAACTCACAATCTTCCAGCCACCCTTCCTTGCACTTGTCTTGTGGGCTGGGGGACCCCACTTATGGATCCCATCTTCCCAGGGAGAAAGAAAAATCAAATCCTTCAGTATCTCCTTTAGGGTATCCTCTCCTCTATTTGCATGGAGGATAAGGCACTCAATTTCTAGTATCGGAATATTACATTTGTGTAATACAGAACTATATTGGGATAAAATAGAATTTGTTTCCTCTGAGACACAGGTGGAGGTACGTCCACACTGACCTGGGGGGCAGCCACCTCTTCCTGCAGTGCCAGGCAGGGCATGCTCACAGATCTGGGGAACCTCTGTTTCTCCTGGAGCCCCACAACCTCCTTCCTGGCACCCTCTCCCTCTGGTGGCTGTGACAGCCCACACTTGGCCTTGGGTATCCCCTGCTTCTTTGCCTGCCCTTCTTCTGCCCAGGCTGCACATCTCTGTCTCCCACTGTCCCCACTATGTCCACGATTGCCTCTTCCTCCCTGCACTCTCCATCTCTAAGGGCTCCTTGTCTTGGAAAATGAACCCACAACCTCTACCTTGCGACTGGGGACAGAACCCGGAGTTTGTTCAATTCTCCCTCCCTCCACCACACACACCTTTCCTCCTTAATGTTTCTGAAGTCAGTGAGCTCCAAACTCAGCCCCTCCTGCACCTGCCAGCTGTAGGACCTGTGACAAGACGCCTACCATCTCTCTGGGACTCTGTCTCTCATCTATCATATAGGCATAATGATGATAGTGTGCTCCTTCTGAGGCTGGGGAGAAACAGGAGGCCAAGGTGATGGGCTATGGATGTTCAAAACAGCTCCAATCCTGCCTCCACCTGGGGCTGGTGTTTCAAGTCTGTTGTGTGTGACTGGAGGTTTAATGTCTTCATTCACACACACTGGTTTGTTCTAAAACGGACTTCCCTCTGCCCATCCCTTCCCCACAACTGTTTCACCTCCGCACCGTGCAGTGGGACCTGTGAGAAAGAACTGTCCCATTCCCAAATCATCGTCCCCACCCCAGCCCCCAGGCCCTTGGTTGGTGAGACCCTTGATGGGCAGTCTCATGCTTCTGTTCAGGAGACTTTTCCACCATTGATCCTTTGCATGGAGACTAAGTGGACTCTTCTATTCCCTGGCCATCACAGGGTCTACAGTGCACGCATCTTCCTCATCCCTCCACATTCCCCAGATGACGATTTCATCTGTGTCTCCTCCCACATACTCCCAAATGGACTGTCCTAGCCCTAGAACCCGAAAATGGTTCAGAGAGCGAAGGCCAAGATGCCCAACCACCTGCTGCAGAATCCTGCTCCAGGACTGAAGTGTATAGTCTCTATCAAAATAAAAACTGAAGGCCAGGTGCGGTGGCTTACGCCTGTAATCCCAATATATTAGGACGCCAAGGTGGGAGGATTGCTTGAGCCCAGGAGTTGGAGACCAGCCTGGGTAACATAGTGAGACTCTCTAGACAAAACCTAAAAAAATCAGCGGGGCGTGATGGTGCATGCCTGTAGTCACAGCTACTCTGGAGGCTGCTGTGGGAGGATCACTTGAGCCCAGGAGTTCAAGGCTGCATTGAGCTATAATCATGCCACTGCACTCTAGCCTGGATAGAGCAAGACCCCATCTCTAGAAGAAACAAACAAACAAACCAAGAAACCCAACAACGGGAAACATCCTCCTCTAGAATGGGGGTCAGAAACATCTGTCTGCCTTGTTCCCTGATGTCTCTCCAGCACCTAGAACAGCGCTCAGCACGAGTATGCACTCATTAGTTTTTTGTTGAATAAGTGACTCGTTTGACACAGCAATTCCACTTCTAAGAATCTTTCCTAAAGAAATATTCATACACATGCAGAGAGCTGTGTGCACAATAATGAGAGGAGCAAACAACTGGGGAACGTTTGCAAATGTTTATTAACTGTCAGTGACTGATAGAGGGGAATCGGATGAGGGGAGTACAAGCAGATGGGAGGTGCTTATAGTGTTACTTGGTGTGTGTGTGTGTGGGGGGGTGTGTAAATGCAGAGGAAAAAATCTGAAATTAAACACTCAGACCTCCCCTCAGCAGTCACATCTGGGGAGAGAGGAGGGTAGTGCTGTTCTATGGAGAGAATACCTGACTATACTTGTTTTCTAAGGTAGGTGCATGGATACACAAACCGAAATATGCATTAAGCATGTATTGCTGAACAGTGAAAATGTTAATATCTAACAGAATGGCACACTGTAAGAAAGTACAACGGAAACGCTAACATCGAACTCTTGGCACACTAAGAAAAATGACGCTCAACTTTTCACTGTTGTGAACACTTGCTTTCACTTGCTATGCACCTTATGATGAGGGGTTCGCAGCCACGCCCATGTTCGTGAAAGGTCACCACATTCTGCTTCTCATCATGGGCATGTGTCATATCCCTGAGGCTGAGGCAAGAAGAGAGAAGGAAAGAAAGTGGCAGTGAGTTCCCACCACATGACAACTCAATCTCAACTCCTCCTGACCTGCAGACCCTGCACACTCTGATTCTGCCCTACCTCAGGGCCTGCACACGCCTTCCACGGTTCCTCGAAGTGAACCATCTGCTCATGCTACAGTGACTTCCTCACCTGGTTTATCGATTCCTAGGCTAGAGGAAGGTGTGGCCCGCATATCAGGGCTGACCTGGGGTTTGGGAACCCACAGCATCCTGGGTAGGGAGCATCTCTGGATATACAGGGCAGGGAGTAGAAAGAGCATGGGAAATCGGCCGGGTGCGGTGGCTCACACCTGTAAATCCAGCACTTTGGGAGACCGAGGCAGGTGGAGAGGCAAGTTCGAGACCAGCTTGACCAACATGGGGAAAGTTCATCTCTACTAAAAATACAAAAATTAGCCGGGTGTGTGGGGTGCACACGTGTAATCCCAGCTACTCAGGTTGCTGAGGCAAGAAAATTGCTTGAACCGGGATGCAGAAGTTGCAGTGAGGCGAAATCGGGCCACCACATCCAGCCTGGGCGACAGAGCAAGAATCCCTCCAAAAAAAAAAAAAAAAAAAAAAAGACAGAAGGAAAGAAAGAAAAGAAAGAAAGAAAGAGAATGGGAAATCTCATCATTCAGCCTCAATGCTGTACCCTAGAAAAGGGAATTATTTGGGGAGCAAGTGACAGATGGGATACCAGTATCATAACAGAATAGCACATCTGCAGGGATGTGGGGGATGAGCGGGAGGTTCACTTACGGAGTTACTCGTCATCTTCCTCAGGGTCGCTGATCTCTTCATAAATCACCAGCTGCTTTCTCTCATGCAGTCTGTGGGTCCAGGCATGTTTCCCACTTTTGGGTCCTATGATGGAGAAGAGTTGGAAAGTGAGGGTTGGGTGGGTTGGAGAGTGTTAGGCTCTGTTTTCTCAAAAAAGTAGATGCCTCCCCACCACCAAGTGCCCATGGGCCTTCTTTATCCAGTTTTTCACATTCTCTGGCTTAGAGAGGCTGAGGCCTTAGATCCACACCAATACACGACAAATACCAATTAAAGTTTTAGCTTCTGGCTCCTTCCGTTGTCAGGTTTAGATTCCCAACCTCTTCACTTATGGGAACACTCACCCATACCTCCTTTCATGCTGCACGTATTTGTTAAGGGCACAAGGCAAACCTTGCTTTATGGCACCTCATTTTTATCCTGCTTCGCAGATACTGTAATTTTTTTTTGAAATTCTCACCAATTTTACACTTTTCCATTATTATTATATCTGTTATAGTGATCTGTGATCAATGAGCTTTGATATTATGATTGCAATTGTTTTGTTGTTCTTTAGTCTTTTAAAATATTTTTTTTATTTTTGTGGGTACACAGTAGGTGTATATACTTATGGGGTACGTGAGATGTTTTGATACATGCATGCAATGCATAATAATCACATCATAGAAAATAGGGTATCCATCCCCTCAGCCATTTATCCTTGTGTTACAAACAATTCATTTACACTCTTTTAGTTTTTTTAAATGTACAATTAAGTAATTATTGATAATAATCACCCTGTTGTGGGTAATTGTTTTAGGGGTAACAGGAACTGCACCCACAGAGGATGACAAACTTAATTGATCAATGTTGTGTGTGTTCTGACTGCTCCACCGATGAGCTCTTCCTTGCCTACCTTCCTTTTCTTGGTCCTCCCTATTTCTTGAGACACAGCAATACTGAAATTAGGACAATGAACAACCCTACAATGGCCACTAAGTGTTCAAAGGAAGGGAAGAGTCGCATGTCTCTCACTCTAAATCACAAGCTAGAAATGGCTAAGCTTAGTGAGGAAGCATGCTGAAAGCCAAGACAGGCTGAAAGCTCGGCCTCTTCCACCAAACAGCCAAGCTGTGATTGCAAAGGAAAAGTTCTTGAAGGAAATAATAGTATATAATGCAAAGGAAAGGTCTTGAAGGAAATAATGATACTAATACTCCAGTGAACAGACGAATAAGAAAGTAAAGCAGCCTTACTGCTGAAATAGAGGAAGATTGCGTGGTCAGGACAGAACATGAAACCAGCCACAACATTCCCTTAAGCCAAAGTCTAATTCAGAGAAAGACCTGAACTCTCTTCACGACCATGAAAGCTGAGAGAGGTGAAGAAGCTGCAGAAGAAACACGTGAAGCTAGTAGAAGTTGGTTCGTGAGGTTTAAGGAAAGAAGCCATCTCCATAACATAAAAGTGCAAGGTGAAGCAGCAAACCCTGATGGAGAAGCTGCAGCAAGTTATCCAGGAGATCTAGCTAAGATCACTGATGAAGGTGGCTACACTAAACAACAGATTTTCAATGTAGATAAAATAGCCTTCTATTGGAAGGAGATGCCATCTAGGACTTTCATAGCTAGAGAGGATTGACTCCAACTTTGAAAGAAGTTCTACTGTGGGTAAAATGCTATCCAGTAGCATCACACAGTACAGGGAAATCTTTCATGAAAGGGAGAGCTAATCAATGTGGCAAATTTCATTGCTGTGTTCTTTTAAGAAACTGCCACAGCCACTCCAATCTTCAGCAACCACCACCTTGATCAGCCAGCAGCCATCAACACCGAGGCAAGACCCTCCACCAGCAAAAAGAGTGTGACTCACTGAAGGCTCAGAAGATTGTTAGCATTTTTTATAAATGAATTATTTTAAAATTAAGGTATGTACATTTTTAGACAATGCTATTGCACACTTAATAGACTACAGGATAGTGTAAACATAAAGTTTTTATGCACTGTGAAATGACAATAACAAAAAAATGTGTGACTCACTTTATTGCAGTGGTCTGGAACAGAACCTGCAATATCTCTGAAGTACACCTGATTGGTTATCAGGCATTGAGCTGCGTAAGATATGATCCCAGGTAATTACAGATAGAATTGCTTGAGCACCTTTCATGTCATCAGGCCTTCTAGATTAAATTTAATGCCTCCAAACAATTTGTGAACTATGATTCTTTATTTCCATCGCATAGACTGGGAATCTGGAGCTGAGAAAATTTGAAAGACTTGCCCCAAGTCACGTGGTTTTTATATGGATGACAACTCCACTCTGTGTCTCTGGAAGTCATGTCTGACATCTCTTCTGGAGCTGGGCAAGCTCCTCAGTCCAGCTGGGACCTAGACTTGTCTGGGGTCCATGCCACACACCCAATCCACACACCTGAACATAGCCAGGAAAGCCAGAGGGTTTGTTCCCGAATTGTTTCCTCTTACCAGATCTCTTGTGAATCTTCTCAGAGGTATTTGCTTTTCCCGGGGGGCACAGCTGCTTCAGATCGTTTTGTAGGGCAGATGGTTCTGGCACTCCCTTCTAATCATTCCCTTCCTCTGCTGGCTTCTTGGGCATGATCTTTATAATATGAAGGTCACAGATAAACAGTATCGGTGACATTTCTATAGTGCTTTAGAGCTTACAAAGAGTCTTCACATGCATTACCTTAATCAATGTTCTCAACTTTGCTGGGAGAGTTACACTTGCCTAAATTAGGAGAAACCTGGGAGGGGAGGTTAGAAGGGAAAGGATTGGTCTAAAGGAATGGGGTTTCCAGGGTTAGATTGGTTATCTTCACACTCTTTTAAGACTCACATTCTTGCAAACAGCAAAAATCTCCATTTAATTGAGAGTGTGATATACAGAAGATTTGGGGCATAGCATTCTAAGAATTCACAGGTCTACAAAAGGAAGAGCTTCTATAAAATACAAGGGATCCCATATAAGCTTGTAGACAGCTGTTGGGAGAGTAAATGTAAAAACATAGGGAGGGGACAAAACACTGCTGGGAAAGATGGTGTGGGGAGATGTATACAGGGAAGGGAGAGGGAAAGAAATGGTTTGCTGAAATTAATCTAGGCAGCAAAGAAAGCAGTACCAGATCTGGCATACCACCCTACTGAGGCATCAACATTGAATGTGGAATTCAGTGAGGTGGTACCCATATCAATTCTTGCTGCATTGGGGTGGGTCACTGACCAACAGTCTTAAGCCACACTTATTCAGCTTCCTCAATTATGTAATAGTGAATAATACATGTAAAATAGGCTAAGGGAAAGTCCTCTCTGAGCTTATAAACACTGTTTAAATATAGTAATAATAACAATTAATACCTTTCATGATCCTTCTTTGAATTTGGCCTCCATACTGGCAACCCAATCCCAGATTCCTTTACCCTCTAAACCGGAGTATAATACGTACTTGTGGAGTCACTCATTCAGGGGCCTCCAAGGAATCCCCTGGGCTGGGACGGGGGCTTCTTGGATGCACCAGGTATAGACAAAGCCCTCAAGGAGCTCGCAGTAGGGAGGGGCCAACAGTCAAACCGATTCCTAAGCCATGCGAGTGGCTCTAGTAACGGATCAGAGGCCAGCTGGTCCTTCCTGTTGCGAGAGTGGGTGTCTCAATGGAAGCACCAGCAGGCCCTATGGGGTAAAGCCCTAGTGAGCAACATCTGAACTTCATAAACAAATGCAAACGTGAATGAGCTTTAAATGGCTTGGAGCTCTGGATTAGACTACCACTGACACTGTGCCCCAGGAAAACTCTTTAACATCTCTGTACAATGATAGCCTCATTTTATTATTATGCTGCTGATAACTATGATCTAAAACATAAACTATGATTCTTTACTTCCATTTCATGGACCAGGAATCTGGAGCTCAGAGAACTTAGAAGATTTGCGCCAAGTTACATGGCTTTTATATGGATGACAACCAAAGTGTGTGACTTGTTATTCTTTGGAGATAATAACAGAAACAACGTCATAGACGTATTCTTAAGGATTAAATAAATTAATCCATGTAACCTGCTTAGAATATCTGGCAGCACTATGAAAACAAAAGAAGTATTAAGGATTACAACTGTCAGTGTTATCAAGCCGTCAATGCTACATCAGGTGTTGTGATAGACATGGGAAAAAGAGACAGTGAGGGCATTTTTGATATTCTCCCACTCTTACCAGTTTTCGCATCCATGGAGGGACAAAGGTTCTCTGGCCATTTAGATTTGAGAGATACTCACCTTCGGGAAGATTCTCTAGAGTTTGCTGAAAGTCATCTGAGGACATTCAACTGAAAGAGAATACATCAGAATTTTTCTTTGTTGGTAAAGATTTCCAAAAAGTGCTGGGATTATAGGCCTGAGCCACTGTACCTAGCGTTGTCTAAGCTATTGAAAATTTGTTACAGCTGCAATAAAAAATGAATGCACATAGAAACATTTATTAGTGAAACAAAATAGAAAGTCAAGAAACAGACTAATCTATACGCAAATTTCAGCATGCATTTTCAAACAGTGGGCAAAAGATGATGGGTTGTATAATAAATGATTGCTTGACAAGTATCTATCTATTTGAAAAAATAAAGATTAAATCCTTACTTTAAACCACATAAAATAATAAATTCTAAAAAATCAGTTACTTAAACGTGAAAATGTGAAGTCATAAAGAACTAGATGAAAATTTAGCAAAATATTACAGTGTAAGACATCTGGAGGTGTCATAGGCACTTCCTGATATTACACTAAGGCTATGAACAATGAATCTGACATAACAATGTAAAAATTAAAGTATCATCTAATTCAAAAAACACCACAAAACTGTTTAAAAAGGCAAATGTTGGGGAAATTGGTGAAGCATCCTCAATAAATTAACAGTAACCATCTCTAATATACAACAAAGATTTTGCATATCAGTAAGAGAAACTGGAACAACCCAATGAAAAAATGTGTTCAGGCATGGCACTACTTCACCGTATAGGAGAAAAGGATTATGAAATAGAAAGTATGAAATGAAAATAGTAAAGGAAATGGAGGATAGAGCCCAGAAGTTTCAACGTTCATCCAATAGAAGTTGCAGAGGTAGAGAATAGAAAGACTGGACCAGGTGCCGTGGCTCACGCTTGTAATCCCAGCCCTTTGGAGGCTGAGGCAGGCACCTCACCTAAGGTCAGGAGTTTGAGACCAGACTGGCCAACATGGCGAAACCCCGTCTCTACTGAAAATACAAAAATTAGCCCGGTGTGGTGGTGGGCGCCTGAAATCCCAACTATGTGGAAGCCTGAGGCAGGAGAATCACTTGAACCCGGGAGGCAGAGGTTGCAGTGAGCTGAGATTGTGCCACTGCACTCCAGCCTGGATGACAGAGCAAAACTCCGACTCAAAAAGGAAAAAAAAAAAAAAAAAGAATAGAAAGACTGTAGAGAAGGCGGTACTTGAAGAAATAATGTTCTAGAATTTTCTCAACTGAACAAACACATGAATCTTCAAACTGAAAAAAGTCACCTAGTTCTGAACCTGATTAACACACAGGCGCACACACACACACACACACGCTCACACACACACGCACACATATATACACACACACTCCCTAGGAGTAAAATTTCTAGGATAAAGATAAAATCCTGAAAGGCCCCAGAGAGAAAGAGAGAAAAGAGAATGCAATGGAGATGTTTTTCAAGGAGCTGATTAAAAATAACTTTGGGCCAGGCACAGTGGCTCACGCCTGTAGTCCCAGCACTTCGGTAGGCCAAGATGGGAGGACAGCTTGAGCTCAGGAGATTGAGACCAGCCTGGCCAACAAGGCAAAACCCATCTCTACAAAAAATACAACAAGTAGCCAGGTGTGGTGCCACGTGCCTATAGTCCCAGCTGAGTCTGGGAGGTGGAGATTGCTGTGAGCCGAGATGGTGCCACTGCATTCCAGCCTGGGTGACAGAGCCAGACACTGTCTCAAAAAACAAAACAAAACAAAACAAAAACAAACAAAAAAAGTTGAACCTAGATATCTATATACAGCCAGGATAATCCAGAATGAGGGAAAAAATATTTCAGAAAATTCATGACACATGTACCCTTCAGAAATCATTATTGGTATACAGGTCTATGAGAAGAGAAAAGTAAATTTAAGAGGAAGGAGGTGATTTCAATAAGCAATGATGAGAAGAAAACCAGTAAAATTTATTAAAAAGTGTAAACTTTTGATTGTAAACTTAAAAAATTATAGTCTTGAAATAAAATTCCAGGTATTATAAACATGGAAGATGGGAGGAGGGACAGGAAAAAAAAGAGAAGTTATTTCGGTGTTCAGGGAATGTATACAGATGTTTATGAATGATAGAACGGTAGAATGGTAAAAGGCACTAGCATTAAATTTTGTTTTATTTTAGACAGGGCCTCACTCTGGTGCCCAGGCTAGAGTTCCATAGCACAATCATGGCTCACTGCAACCCCAGCCTCCTCAGCTCAAGTGACCCTCCTGCCTCAGCCTCCCATGTAGCTGGGACTACAGGTGTGCACCACCATGCCTGGGTAACTAAAAAAAAATTTTTTTTTGGTAGAGACAGGGTCTTGCTATGTTGCCTAGGCTGACGTTGAACTCTGGACCTCGAGCAATCCTCCCACATCAGCCTCTCAAAGTGGTGAGATTATAGGAGTGAGTCACTGTGCCCACTTAACGCTAGTATTTTAGAGTACAAACTCTGGAGCCAGACAGCTTGGGTGCAGTTTCTGGCTTCTCAACTTATTAAGCTATGTGACCTTGTGTAAGTCATATAACCTTTCTGTGTCTCAGGCTACTCAAGAGTAAACTGGGGATAACCACACTAGCTCATTTGATTGCTATGATTAAATGGGCAAATACATGTAAAGCACTTAGAATAGCGCCTGTCATGTGGTTAAGTTAGTATATATCTTTTAGTTGTTGTTAGTAATGACTTCAAATTACTTTTAAAATGTAAAGGCATATCTGGTTCAAGAAGAAGATGGTGAACTAGCAATAGCTGCTGGCTTCCTTCCCAAACCCAACCCTGCAGATGTCAGATGCCACAGAAGAGGTGGGAAGTGGTTGGAGTTCAGAACAGTTCCCAATAACAAAACCCTTGATGGTTTAGCCCCACTGGAGGATGAGATGGCTTAGAGTGGGAAAAGGTCAGAGGCCACAGATGGAGGATCAGCCCAGGCGGAGCTTTCTAAGTTGCATTCTTTTTTTCTCCTTATTTTCTAGAAGGCTTATTACCTGTTCTGTAAACATACAGAGCAGAAACTTGGCAGGGCTGGCCCAGTGCTAGCCCAAAGTGGCCTGATAACATTAAAGAATAAGGGGCTTGGGAAGCTCCTAGAAAAAGTGCAGACTCATCAAAGCGGGCCAGTAACTGAATATTCCTTTCCTACCTGTCCCTCTGCCCTCTGAGCTGGGCGATTACAACCAATATCATCCACCTGTAGACTCCCTCCACACTATAAGGCAGAAATCCTGTAAGGGTCTCTGGGGGCTCATAGGCTAGGGACTGGAAGAAGAATTGGCTCAGCTCAGCTCTAGAGGCTCCGTATCCTACGATCTATCGATCCAGAAACCCTGAAACTCACGTGGAGTGTCTGGGCTGACACACCTTCCCAGGAAAAAAGAGTTATATAGAAAAACTATCGGATAGGCCAGACGCGGTGGCTCACACCTGTAATCCCACTACTTTGGAAGGCAGAGGCGGGAGGATAACCTGAGGTCAGGAGTTTGAAACCAGCCTGGCCAACATGGCGAAACCTCATCTCTACTAAAATTAGCTGTGTGTCGTGGTGCATGCCTGTAACCCCAGCTACTCAGGAGGCTGGGGCAGGAGACTCACTTGAACCTGGGAGGTGAAGGTTGCAGTGAGGTGAGACCACACCATTGCACTTCAGCCTGGGCAACAATAGTGAAACTGTAAAAAATAAAATAAAATAAAATAAAAGACCGGGCACAGTGGCTCACACCTGTAATCCCAGCATTTTGAGAGGCTGAGGCGGGCGGCTCACCTGAGGTCAGGATTTCGAGACCAGCCTGGTCAACATGGTGAAACCCCGTCTCTACTAAAAATGCAAAATTCACCTGGCATAGTGTCACACGCCTGTGGTCCCAGCTACTCAAGGGGCTGAGGCAGGAGAATTGCTTGGACTCAGGAGACAGAGCTGCAGTGAGCCAAGATGGAGTCACTGCACTCCAGCCTGGATGAAAGAACAAGACTCCATCTCAAATAAATAAATAAAAAGAAAACCTATTGGATAGATTGGATATGAAAACATTAATTGCTCGAATAAATAATTCAGTGAAATAGGTTGGATATTAAAATGGATATAGTTGAAAAAGCAATTACTGAGCTGAGGAAGTGAGTCTAAAGAATTCATAAAAGTAATCGGTAATGGATATAGATGAAGTAAATGAAAGGAAAGTTAATTAATAGGGAGGATAGAAGAATAAATGTTGAAACACATCTAATAGTAGCCTTATGGAAACAGAATATAGTCATTAAAAAGGAGAGTGTACTTAAAAAAGTAATGAATGAGAATTTCTCAGATTTAGACAAATGTCTTAAGATTTAAAGGGGTCATCGTACACACGCACATACACACACAGGAACTGTGAAATAAAAAATTGTGAAAGACAAAGAAAAAATATTTTTTAAATGATCTGAGAGAAATAGCAGGTTACATACAAAGGAAAAATATTTAAACCTTCATTGGGTCTCTCAAACACCACACTGGAGGCAAGGATACAATAGTGTAATAACTCCAAAGTGTTGAACGAAAGGATTTTTTTTTTTTTGAGACAGAGTCTTGCTTTGTCACTCAGGCTGGAGTGCAGTGGCATGATCTGCCTCCCAGTTACAAGCGATTATCCTCCTCAGCCTTCTGAGTAGCTGGGGCTACAGGCACACACCACCACACCCGGCTAATTTTTGTAGTTTTAGTAGAGAAGGGGTTTCACCATGTTGGCCAGGCTGATCTCGAACTCCTGACCTGAGGTGATCTGCCCACCTTGGCCTCCCAATATGCTGGGATTATAGGTGTAAGCCACTGCACCCAGCGAAAGAAGGGAATTTCTATATTTGGTGGAGTACGGCAATGTCAGGCATATAACACTTCAGGAGACTGAAGACACAGGGAAATGTTAAAGCAAACAAGTATTTATTGCACTTACTAAAGACTGTAAGGAAGGGCCAGCTGCAGTGGCTCATGCCTGTAATCCCAGCATGTTGGGAGCCCAAGGCAAGAGGATTGGTTGAGCCCAGGAATTCAAGACCAACCTGGGCAATGTGGCAAAATCCCCTCTCTACAAAAAATACAAAAATTAGACGGGCATATCAAGTTCCTGGGTCTGCAGAGAATTAAAAAAAAAGATAGCTGGATTTGGTGGTGCGTACCTCTAGTCCCAGCTACTCGGGAGGCTGGGGCAGGAAGATTGCTTGGGCCTTGGAGTTTGAGGCTACAGTGAGCTAGGATTGGGTCACTGCATTCTAGCCTGAGTTACAGAGTGAGACTTTGTCTCTGAAAATAAAAAAAAAGATCGTAAGGACGATTTTACTCAGAGCGGGGACTTCTGTGATAGGTATAGGGACCACCGCAATGGGGTCTTGCAGTGGGAGAGTGATATTGGGATCGACTTCAACTCCACCAAGGACAAGTGGGGATTTGTAGTCAGGGAGTAGGAGCCGGGGGTCAGAAGATGGGAAATTACTTAGAGGAAAACTCAGGTGCAGGGGGATTCTGGATAAACTGACTTGACAGGATTTTTGCTGAAACAGGCTAAATGGGCAGAGTTCCTGGATGAAAGACAGAGCCCGAGGTTGGGACCTAGTCAGAAACAGGACTCAGAGGAGCCCGACTCAAGTCTGGTCAAAGGACAGTGACTCTGTCTGAAAGCATAAGCAAGAAAGTCAACAGAAGTAAAATGAATGGATCACAAAGGAGAATTTTTGTGCATTGCTAAGCAGGACTCTGCTTTAACCATTGTGAAAGTTGATTACTTGAAGTGAGTCGTTCTTAGTTTTTTTTGAGTTCTTATTTGCAGAGGAAGCCTTCAGGTACTAGGCTTCAGAGAGAACAGGTTGTAACTTTTTTTTTTTTTGAGATGGAGTCTCTCTATGTCGCCAGGCTAGAGTGCAGTGGCTCCTTCTCCGCTCACTTCAACCTCCGGCTCCCAAGTTCAAGCGATTCTCTTGCCTGAGCCTCCTGAGTAGCTGAGACTACAGGCGCGTGCCACTACGCCCGGCTAATTTTTTTGTATTTTTAGTAGAGACGGGGTTTCACTGTGTTAGCCAGGATGGTGTTGATCTCCTGACCTCGTGATCTGCCCGCCTCCGCCCCCTAAAGTGCTGGGATTACAGGGGTGAGCCACCAAGTCCAGCCAGAACAATTTTCAATGTAGAACAGGGCGTTTTATTAACGGATCCAAATATCTTTTGTGTTTTATAAAACTTAAGGGCCAAGAACAAACTTGTATTTAAGTTTAGCGATTTGTTTCAGCTGTTTTCTTAGTTGGAAATGATCCCAATATTTAGTGAGTACCTATTACTTAATCTAACATAACACAACTTTAATATTTCATCTTCGTATGATAAGAGCAAGAAAAAAAGATTTCCAATTATATGAAAAGTTCATTTATAAACATGTATCTCACATTTACCTCGTTTATTCATTTTTAACAATTATACCTAGATTACTTATGAAAACTGACATATTAAACAAAGCCTGTTGGTCAGGTGAGGTGGCTCACACCTCCCCATCCAGGGACTCTGCCCATTAAGCCTGTTTCAGCAAAATTCCTGTCAAGTCTGTTTAGCCAGAATCCGCCTGCACCTGATGTCTCCTCCAAGTAATTTCCCATCTTCTGATCCCGCTCCCCCCAACCCTACTCTTGACTATAAATCCCCACTTGTCCTTGGTGGAGTCCAAGTCGATCCCAATATCTCTCCTACCACAAAAACCCATTGCAGTGGCCCGTGTACATCTCATAGTACTCCCCCTTCTGAGTAAAATCGTGCCTACGATCTTTTTTTTTTTAATTTTCAGAGACAAAGTCTCACTTTGTCACTCAGGCTAGAGTGCAGTGACCCAATCTTAGCTCACTGCAGCCTCAAACTCCAGGGCCCAAGCAATCTTCCTGCCCCAGCCTCCTGAGTGGCTGGGACTACAGGTACACACCACCAAATGCAGCTTTTTTTTTTTTTTAATTATCTACTGAGGCAGGAGAATTGCTTGAACTCGGGAGGCAAGGTGCATTGAGCCAAGATCACGCCACTGTACTCCAGCCTGGGCAACAGAGCAAGACTCCATCATAAATAAATAAAAAAATAAATAACCTATTGGATAGATTGGATATGAAAACATTAAATGCTCAAATAAATAATTCAGTGAAATAGGTTGGATATTAAAACTGATATAATTGAAAAGGCAATTGCTGACCTGAGGAAATGAGTCTAAAGAATTCATAAAACTAATCGGTAATGGATACAGATGAAGTAAATGAAATAAAAGTTAATTAATAGGGAGGATAAAAGAATAAATGTCAAAACACATCTAATAGTAGCCTTATAAGAAGAGAATACAGTCATTAAACAGGAGAGTGTACTTAAATAAGTAATGAAAGAGAATTTCTCAGATTTAGAAAAATAACTTAAGATTTAAAGGTATTGTAAGTACACACACACACAGGATCAGTGAAATGTAAAATTGTGAAAGAAAGAAAAAGTAGTTTTAAAACGATCAGAGAGAAATAGCAGGTTACTTACAGAGGAAAAATAATTAAACTGACATCGGGTCTCTCAAACACCACACTGGAGGCAAGGATACAATGGTGTAATAACTCCAAAGTGTTGAAAGAAAGGAATTTTTTTTTTGAGACAGAGTCTCACTTTGTCACTCAGGCTGGAGTGCAGTGGCATAATCCTGGCTCACTATAACCTCCGACTCTCGGGTTCAAACAATTCTACTGCCTCAGCCTCCCGAGTAGCTGGGGCTACCGTTGCACACCACCACACCGGGCTAATTTTTGTACTTTTGGAAGAGACAGAGTTTCACCGTGTTGGCCAGGCTGTTCTCGAACTCCTGACCTCAGGTTATCCCCCCACCTTGGCCTTCCAAAGTGCTGAGATTACAGGCATGAGCCACCGCGCCTGACCTATCTGATAGTTTTTCTATATAACTCTTTGTCCCTGGGAAAAATGTGTCACCCCAGACACTACATGTGAGTTTCAGGGTTTCTGGATTGATAGGTCATAGGATACACAGCCTCTAGAGCTGAGCTGAGCTGAGCCAATTCTTTCCAGTTCCTAGCCTATTAGCCCCCAGAGACACTTACAGGATTTCTGCCTTACAGAGTGGAGGGAGTCTACGGGTGGGTGATATTGGTTGTAATTGCCTAGCTCAGAGGGCAGAGGGAGAGGTAGGAAAGGAATGTTCAGTTACTGGCCAGCTTTGATGAGTCTGCACTTTTTTTTAGGAGCTTTCCAAGCCCCCTATTCCTTAATGTTATCACGCCACTTTGGGCTAGCACTAGGCCAGCCCTGCCAAGTGTCTGCTTTATATGTTTACACAACAGGTAATGAGCCATCCAGAAAACAAGGAGAAAACAAGAATGCAACTTAGAAAGCTCCACCTGGGCTGATCCTCCATCTGTGGCCTCTGACCTTTTCCCACTCTAAGCCGTCTCATCCCCCAGTGGGGCCAAACCATCAAGGGTTTTGTTACAGGAACTGTTCTGAACTCCAACCACTTCCCACCTCTTCTGTGGCATCTGCAGGGTTGGGTTTGGGAAGGAAGCCAGCAGCTATTGCTGGTTCACCATCTTCTTCTTGAACCAGATATGCTTTTACATTTTAAAAGTAATTTGAAGTCATTACTAACAACAACTAAAAGATATATACTAACTTAACCACATGACAGGCGCTATTCTAAGTGCTTTACACGTACTTACCCATTTAATCATAGCAATCAAATGAGCTAGATAGTGTGGCTATCCCCAGTTTACTCTTGAGTAGCCTGAGACACAGAAAGGTTATATGACTTACACAAGGTCACATAGCTTAATAAGTTGAGAAGCCAGAAACTGCACCCAAGCTGTCTGGCTCCAGAGTTTGTACTCTAAAATACTAGCATTAACTGGGCATAGTGACTCACTCCTGTAATCCCACCACTTTGAGAGGTAGAGGTGGGAGGATTACTTGAGGACAAGAGTTCAAGGTCAGCCTGGGCAACATAGCAAGACCCTGTCTCTACCAAAAAAAATTAATTAGCCAGGGGTGGTGGTTCATACCTGAAGCCCCAGCTACATGGGAGGCTGAGGCAGGAGGATCACTTGAGCAGAGGAGGCTGGGGCTGCAGTGAGCCACGATTGTGCTAAGGAACTCTAGCCTGGGCATCAGAGCGAGGCCCTGTCTAAAATAAAACAAAATAAAATGCTCGTGTTTTTAACCATTCTACCATTCTATCATTCATTAGTATCTGTATCCATTCGTTGAACACCAAAAGAACTTCTCTTTTCTTTTCTGTCCCTCCTCCCATCTTCCATGTTTATAATACCTGCAAATTTAGTTCAAGACTATAATTTTTTTAATTTACAATCTAAACTTTACACTTTTCAATAAATTCTAGTATTTTTCTCCTCACCATTGCTTATTGAAATCTTCTGCTTCCTCTTAAATTTACAACCTCTGCCTCCCGTGTTCAAGTGATTCTCCTGCCTCAGGTTCCCGAGTAGCTGAGACTACAGGCATGTGCTACCAGGCCTGGCTAATTTTTTGTATTTTTATTAGAGACGAGGTTTCATCATGGTAGCCAGGATGGTGTTGATCTCCTGACCTCGTGATCCGCCCTCCTCAGCCCCCTAAAGTGCTGGGATTACAGGCGTGAGCCACCTCGCCCAGCCTAAAATTTGCCTTTTTAAACAGTTGTTTATGGTGTCTTTTGACTTAGATGATACTTTAATTTTTACATCTTTAACTATGTCAGATTAATTGTTTATATCCTTGGTGTAATGTCAGGATTTGCTTATGCCAATTCAAGATCTCTTACACTATAATATTTTCCTGAATTTTCATCTAGTTCTTTATGACTTCACGTTTTCACATTTATGTCTCCGAACTTTTAGAATTTATTATTTTATGTGGTTCAGCATAAGGATTTCATCTTTATTTTTTCAAATGGATAGACACTTGTCAACAATCCTTTATTATACAACCCATCTTTTGCCCACTGTTTGTTTGGAAATGCATGCTGAAGTTGGTATATAAATTAGTCTGTTTCTTGACTTTCTATTTTGTTACACTAATCTGTTTCTAAGTATATTCATTTTTGATTGTTGCTGTAACAAATTGTCAATAGCTAAGACAATGCTGGGAGTGGTGTCTCACGCCTGTAATCCCAGCACTTTGGAAGGCGGAGATGGGCGGATCGCTTCAGGTAAGTTCGAGACCAGCCTGGCCAACATGACAAAACACCATCTCTACTAAAAATACAAAAATTAGCTGGGTGTGGTGGTGAGTGCCTGAAATCCCAGCTACTCGGGGCGCTGAGGCAGGAGAATCACTTGAACATGGGAGGTGGAGGCTGCAGTGAGCCAAGATCACCCCACTGATCTCCAGCTTGGGCGACACAAGTGAGACTCCATCTCAAAAAATATTTATATAGCTAAGACAATTTTTGAAAAAGAAGAATAAGATGGGAGGAATGGCTCTTTCATATTTCAATACTTCTTATATAGCTACAGGAATTAAGACTGTGTAGTACTGGGAGAAGAGTAGACACATAGATCACTGGAACAAAATAGAGAACCTAGAAATAGCCCCACACTGATTTTTTACCAAGAGACAAAAAGAAGGAAGGATTGTCTGCTTAACAAATGGTGCTGGAGATGTTGTAGACATAGGCCAAAAAAAAATGACCTAATTTTCTTACCTTTATACAAAAAAGTAACTCAAGTGCATCACAGATTTAAATCTAAACTATAAAACTAAAAGAAAACTTTTACAAGAAAATATAGGAGAAACGTCTGAGATCTAGGGCACAGTGAATGGTCCAAAAAGCATAATCAATAAGGAAAAAAATAAATTAGATTTCATCCAATTTAAAACTTGTGCTCTGCAAGAAATCTTGTTAAAAGGATGAAAAAACAGGGTATGATCTGGGAGAGAATGTTTGCAAACCACATATCCAAGAAAGGACTCACATCCAGAATATATAATGGATATGTATACTACTCTCAAAACTCAACGGTAGGCTGAGTTTGGTGGCTCACACTTGTAATCCTAGCACTTTGAAAGGTCGAGGTCGACGGAGGGCAGATCCCTTGAGGCCAGGAGTTCAAGACCAGCCTGGGCAACATGGCAAAAAACACATCTCTACTGAAATACAAAAATTAGACAGGCATGATGATGCGTGCCTGTAATCCCAGCTACTCGGGAGGCTGAGGCACGAGAATCGCTTGAACCTGGAAGGCGGAGGTTGGAGTGAGCCAAGATCATGCCACTGCACTCCAGCCTGGGTAACAGAGAGAGACTCTGCCTTAAAAAATAATAATAATAATAATAATAATAACTCAAAGGTAAAAAAAAAAACCCAAATAATCCAATTAGAAAATTATGAAAAGATATGAGCATACATTTCACTGAAGAGGAAATAAGCAAATAAGCACATGAAAAGATGTTCAACACTCATTTGCTTCACTAGATGCAGAATAACACCACGATGAGGCATCACTACACACTTATTACAATAGCTAAAATAAAAGACATAGTGACAACACCAAATGGTGATGAGGATGCAGAGAAACTGGACACCTCATTAAGTGCTGCTGGGAAGGTAAAATCTTACAGCCACTCTGGAAAGCAGTTTGGTAGTTTCTTATAAAACTAAACATGCAATGACCATACAATTCAACAATTACACTTCAGAGAAATTAAAATGTATGTCCATCCAGAAACTTGTACATAATTGTTCATAGCAGCTTTACTTGTAATAGCCAGTAGCTGGAAATAATCAATATGTCCTACAATAAGTGAATGGTCAAACTGTGGGACATCTATCCTATGGAATACTACTCAGTAATAAAAATGAACTACTGGCTTGGCACAGTGTCTCACCCTGTTACCCCAGCACTTTGGGAGGCTGAGGCGGGTGGATCATGACGTCAGGAGTTCAAGACCAGCCTTGCCAATATGTTGAAACCCCATCTCTGCTACTAATACAAAAATTACCCGGGCGTGGTGGCACGCACCTGTAGTCACAGCTACTTGGGAGGCTGAAGCTAGAAAACTGCTTGAACCTGGGTGGCAGAGGTTGCAGTGAGCCGAGACACTGCACTCCAGCCTGGGCGACAGAGTGAGACTCCGTCTCAACAACAACAACAACAATGAACTATTGATACACAAATATCAATATCTTGGATGAATCTCCAGGGAATTATGCTGAGTGAAATAAGTCCCTAAAACGTTATATACTATAAGATTTCATTTGTACAGCATTGTAGAAAAGAGAAAATTATAGAAATGAAAAACAGATTAGTGGTTGCCAGGGGTTAGGGATGGTGGATGGGATGAGAGTGAGTATTACTAAAAATGACTAGCACAAGGAATAGCATTATGATGATGGAAATGTTCTGTACCTTTTTCTTTTTTTCTGAGAGGGATTCTCACTCTGTCACCTAGGCTGTAGTACAGTGGCATGATCTTGGCTCACTGCAACCTCTGCCTCCCGGGTTCAAGAGATTCTCCTGTCTCAGCCACCCATGTAGCTGGGAATACAGGCGTGTGCCACCATGCCCGGCTAATTTTTGTATCTTTAGTAGAGACAGGGTTCTCCATGTTGGCCAGGCTGGTCTTGAACTCCTGATCTCAAGTAATCTGCCCACCTCGCCCTCCCAAAGTGCTGGGATTACAAGCGTGAACCACTGCACCCAGGCATGTTCTGTATCTTTTTTTTTTTCTGAAATACAAGCTTTATGTTAAATTTAAAGAAATATTAAACATTTTTAAACAAATTATAATCAAGCACTCAAAACAATTTAGGAATGTTAAACACTAATTCTTAATTGAAAATAATGACATCCATAGAATACATCCTGGTGTTGGCCAACATGAAGTTTACTTAATATTAGTATTTTATACATGCTTAACCATTCATCCTTCCTAAAATTTAATGATAACAATGATTTGACTTTATAAGGTGAAGTCTTTTATGTAATTCCCTAGAGAAAACTTTTTCAAATACAAAGCATTTATACCAGCAAGGAAATTATAAAAACATATATAAAGTACACTGAATGATGTAATTTAAACGCTGTCTGTATATATAGATACGTTTAACCTTAGAAAGTACACAACACATCAAAACACTTTCACAGAACATAGATGCCATTGCATGCTCTTACTTACGTTACAAAGCAAACAGCAGCTTCATAAATGTTGTTCTACTATGTATTAACTGAAAAAAATAGATACTCCACAAAAAGGTTTTGAAGACACACGGAGTGGAATGTGCCTGCATTAAAAGCAGAGCTTTTACAAGACCACCTGTCTCCAGCCGGCTCCTGGGGACCACTGAAAACAGCTGCTACCCTCAGAACGACAAGATGGCCTTGTTAATGATTTCACTGGACTTGAATCTCATCCCCCTTCACCACCAGCGGAGGCGAAACCTGATGATGTCGCCATGGGTTGGCTTGGCCAGAAGTGGATAATCTTGAAGTCGTAGACACACCTTCCAAGCATCACAATCTTTGGTTTCTTTAATAACAATAGAAATTAATAATTATTTTCCTCCCGGGCACAGTGGCTCACGTCTGTAATCCCAACATTTTGGGAGGCCGAGGTGGGTGCATCACCTGAGGTCAGGAGTTCAAGACCAGCGTAGCCAACATGGTGAAACCCAGTCTCTACTAAAAATATGAAAATTAGCTGGGCATAGTGGCACGTGCCTGTAATCCCAGCTACTCAGGAGGCTGAGGCAGGAGAATCGCTAGAACCCAGCAGGCAGAGGTTGCAGTGAGCCAAGATCGCACCATTGCATCCTGGGCAACCAGAGTGAACCTCTGACTCTAAATACATACATACATACACACATACACACAATAATTCTCTTCCTCTTACAGCAGTTACAGCATCAGAAGGTAGCTTCATGGGTTCATTTCTCAAGAGAATACCCATTTTGTTCTGTATTTTCAGCAAGATTTTCTTCTAAAACCTCAAGGGCTGCGATGGCCACTCAGCAGCCTAGTGGATTGCCACCGTATGTGGACCCATGGTCGCCTGGCTTAATGCTCAGCATTATGTCATCGTCCCACAGCACTGCAGACACAGAGTATCAGCCCTCAGAAAAGGCCTTTCCAAGGAGGACTATATCAGGTCTGACATTTTCATGATCAATAGCTAGCCATCTACCAGTTCTGGCCAATCCTATGTGTATTTCATCAGCAATGAACAGAACCAAGCTGGGAGCACGAGATGGGATGAGGGTAAGTTAATATACCACAAAGCTTACTGTTTTTACGGAGATTCAGCTGGTTTCTTTCTTTCTTTCTTTCTTTCTTTCTTTCTTTCTTTCTTTCTTTCTTTCTTTCTTTCTTTCTTTCCTTCCTTCCTTCCTTCCTTCCTTCCTTCCTTCCTTCTTTCTTTCTCTTTCTTTCTTTTCTTTCTTCTTTCTTTCATGTATGGATGTATTTATCTATTTGACAGTCTTGCTCTGTCGCCCAAGCTGGAGTGCAGTGGTGTGATCTCAGCTCAATGCAACCTCGGCTTCCCAGGTTCAAATCATTGAGTGAGCCCAGAAGGTCAAGACCAGCCTGGGAAAAATAGCAAAAGGCAGGGTGGTGCATGCCTGTAGTCCCAAGGCCGAAGCGGGAGCATCGCTTGAGCCCAGGAGGTAGGGACCAGCCAGGACAACATAGCAAAACTGTCTCTACTAGAAAAATTAAAAATATTAGTGGTGGTGGGGTGGTGTGAGCCTGTAGTCACCAGGCTGAGGCGGGAGGATTGCTTGAGCCTGGGAGGTCGAGGCCAGCCTGGCCAACATAGCGAAACCCCATTTCTACTAACAACAAGAACAACAAAAAAATTGCGTGGGTGGGATGGCTCACCCCTGTAGTTCCGAGGCCAAGGTGGGAGGACTGCTTGAGCCCAGGAGGTCAATACCAGCCTGGCCAACAAAGCGAAAGCCTGTCTTTCCTATAAATAAGTAAATAAAATTAAAATGAGCAGGAAGAATGGCACACTCCTGTATTCCTGAGGCCGAGGTGAAAGCATCATTTGAGCCCAGCAGATTGAGGCCAGCCTGGGCAACATAGCGAAACCCGGTTTCTACTAAAGAAAGAAACAAACAAAGAAGCAAAAAAAAAAAAAAAAAAAATAGGGTGGGCAGGGTGGTGCATGCTTGTAGTCCCCAGGCCAAGGCGGGAGGATCCCTTGAGCCCAGGCCAACATAGCGAAACCTGGTTTCCACTAAAAAATAAATAAATAAATAAAGCGTGGGCCGGGTGGTGCATGCCTGAAGTCCCGAGGCTGTGGTGGAAGGATCCCTTGAGCCCAGGAGGTTGAGGCCAGTCTGGTCAACATAGCGAAACATGGTTTCTACTTAAAAAAAAAAAAAGCCTGGGCAAGGTGGTGCATGCCTGTAGTCCCGAGGCTGAGGCGGGAGGATCGCTTGAGCCCAGGACGTGGAGACCAGCCTGACCAACATAGCGAAACTGTCTCTTTTAAAAAATCAAAAAACGAAAAATATGAGTGGGGGTGGGGTGGTTCCCGCCTGTAGTCACGAGACCGAGGCGGGAAGATTGGCCAAGGCGGATGTAACCAATACCACAATCACATCCCGTTAAGTAAATACATTTTCGTCTCTCCAGGGCTACAGGTAAGGATGCTAATTGTGCACACCACACTTAGATTCCCTTTCAAAAATGTAATCAGCGGTTGGAGGGCCTTGGACTGTTTTTTCAGTGGCAACAGATATAGAAGCCACTGAAGAATGAAAGCCACGACTAAGTACAGCAAAGCTCTGCAAATGTGCTAGTCTGGAAAACATTGTGTCTTTCAAGTAGAAAAATCACAGATCCGACTATTTTTTTCTTCTCGCTGTTCAGACTAGAATCCAGATTTTTAACCCGAGATCCAGGCATGGTCTTCAGAGAGTTCAAAATCTGACGGCGCCTGAGGACCACCCACTTTGTCCCAGTGGCAACAAAGTGTTGCTGGAGGAGGAGACAATATTGTGCAATGTCACTGCGCAAGGATGATGGACCAATCAGGGCAGTCGGTGAACTCCATCTGGCCAATCAGAAGTCAGAACAGTAGGCGGGATAAGCAAAGCTGATGTGGCGTCTATCAGTCCAGCCTCCAGGGACAGAACTTTCTAACTGGGGGTGGAGACCCTGATTTTCCCGCCTAAAGCATCCCCCGGGATTGGCTACTTTAAGTTCAGAGTATGCATGCTCTGACTTTCTCTCTCTTTCGATTCTTCCATACTCAGAGTACGCACGGTCTGATTTTCTCTTTCGATTCTTCCAAAATCAGAGTAAGCATGCGCTGATTTTCTTTTTCCATTCTTCCTACCCCTCCCCTCCTCCGCGGTGCATTTGTTATCTAGTTTTAATAAGGAGTGTATGTGAGGCAGGTCGCCATCTCAAATCCTTCCTGTCAGTTTCTAACTTTTTCAGGTATGGGATTTTTCCTGGGAACTCTAGTAACTTAACAAATTTGGGCCGGGTACGGTGGCTCACGCTTGTAACTCCAGTTTTGGAGGCCACAGCTGGTGGATCACTTGAACCCACGAGGCGGAGGTTGCAGTGAGCCATGATCACACCACTGCATCCCAGCCTGGGCAACAGAGAGAGACCATGACTCAAAACAAACAAACAAACAAACAAACAAAAAATCTCACTCAAATCTTTCCTCCTGGGCTCAAGTGATCCTCTCACGTAGGCCTTGGGACTACAGGCGCACACCACTCCGCTTCTGTTAATGTGTGTGTGTGTGTGTGTGTGTGTGTGTGTGTTTTGTTGTTGTTGTTGTTTTAGTAGAGATGGTTTCGGTATGTTGGCCAGGCTGGTCTCAAGCTCATGGACTCAAGCGACCCGCCCTCCTTGTCCTCCCAAAGTGCTGGGATTACAGGCATGAGCCACTGCGCCTGGCTGATTGCTGTACCTTGAAACTCCCTACATTCTCTTTAAGTGATGGCGGGCTCTTGTAGTCTCAGAAATTCTAGCTCTCTTCTTCTAATAATTTACAAATCACCCAGTAATAGCCTCTAAATCCGTTCATATTAGCCATGCTCATTTCTCTTCAACAGAACAGAACCCCCCATCCCTCTGCCTGATCAGATCCATCACCAGAGAGACCATGTTATCTCTGGGACTCATTTCCCTTCCTTTATTTATTGAGTGGGGGTGTCAGCATGCCCCCACTGAATAAAATTACACAGTCACATCTCTGCCTTCCCAACAAGGGTCTGTACATCTTTCAGGGTAAGCCTGGCCCCAGGGAAACTACTAACAACATTAGCCAACCCCCTCCCAAAGACTCAAGGCTGCTTTGCCCACAGGAAGCCTGTCATCCCAAATCAATACTTCTCCCAGAGACCCCTGGTTCCCTATTTTCATCTGACTTCGCCCCATGTCATTACTCAGGGACAGATAAGCCCCAGATGGAGAAATGAAGCACCTGATTCCAGGTGACTGAGGGTGGCCGGCCTTCACTGATTTCTCCCTCCACAAGACCAAAGCTGCTGTGGCTGGAAAGACTCGGTCTGTTTCTCTTGCAGGACAGACTGCTCCCGGTGCCATGAACGGAGACGATGCCTTTGCAAGGAGACCTAGGGCTGGTTCTCAAATACCAGAGAAGATCCAAAAGGTGAGGTGACCTGGAGGGGGCAAAGTAGTGGCCCAGGGGACAGTGTGGGGTGACCGGTTTCTGAGGAGGGGAGGATAGAGATACTGGAGACAAGGAGCAGGGTCTTGGGGGAGATCTGGACCCTTGAGAGCCTCCCATCCTCGCTCTATCATCAACTAGCATCCTTGGAGACAAGTCTGTGACCGTGCACTACATTTGGTGAATCTCAGTCCATTCTGGAAAGTGGGAAGAGAGCCAGCCAGCAGCATTAAAGCCCTACTGTGTGGCAGGGGTGAAGCTAGGAAAGGTCCCTCATGTTCTGTCAGTTAGCCATGGCATCAACCAGGACGGAATATCATCCCCACTTCCCAGATCCAGCACACAGGAGGCGGCTCCAGCTGAATGGCAGACGTGTCTAGCTGAGTCACTGACAAAATTCCTTTTTTATCTTTTCCTAGGCCTTCGATGATATTGCCAAATACTTCTCTAAGAAAGAGTGGGAAAAGATGAAATCCTCGGAGAAAATCATCTATGTGTATATGAAGAGAAAGTATGAGGCCATGACTAAACTAGGTAACAGAAAGTTCTAGGTACAGACAAGTCTGGGGACACATGAGCATCCCTTTTCCTGCTTTGGCTACTTCTTAGGCTGCAGAAAGTACCCCACATTTTCCTTTTGTGCAGGGAAAAATCGCAAGGCAGCTTCTGGGTGTTCTGCTCTTCTGTATCCTGTCAGGGCTGAGGGCAGGGACTGGCCACAGTGGAGCTCATACCTGGATCCTGCACGTTTCTCTCCCTTAGGCTTCTGTTCTGATGAGTCCAAGTGTCTCTGTGGCATCCCGGCACCTCCACACCGTCCCTACCTTCCTTCTCTCGGCTTGTATCTCTCTTTCTTTTTTTTTCTTTTTTTTTGAGTCAGAGTCTCAGTCTGTCACCTAGGCTAGAGTGCAGTAGTGCAATCATAGCTCACTGCAGCCTTGAACTCCTGGCCTCAAGCAATACTCCAGCCTCAGCCTCCCAAAGCGCTGGTACTACAGATATGAACCACCGTGGCAGGTCAAAGCTTGTCTCTTAGGAATAAACATTTTGCTTCTTTCTAGGTTTCAAGGCTACCCTCCCACCTTTCATGTGTAATACAGGGGCCACAGACCTCCAGGGGAATGATTTTGATAATGACCGTAACCACAGGAATCAGGGTGAGTAGATGGGAAGGGGCTGGAAAGGGTCTCATCAAGCCCAATTGCTTTTCAGCTCAGTTACCTGGGAAAGATCCTCAGGCATTTGTTCCCTCATACACATCAGGGCTGAGTGAAAAAAAATTGCATGCAGAAAGTTAACGACAGAGGCCATTCATGTAACATTTTAAAACATGAAAAACAAGTATATATATTTTTATAGATAATAAGTAAATGGTAAATGTATACAAACATGAATGTGAATAAAAAGCCATCAAATTGAGGTGACTGGCTGTAAGTGGAGGAGGGAGGGAGGGCAGGGATTGCTGAGTGCTGCACAGACAGGTTCAGCTGTGACTTGTTGATAGTGTGTTTTGTTTGTTTTTGTTTTTGAGATGGAGTTTCACTCTTCTCGGCCAGGGTGGAGTGCAATAAGGCAATCTCAGCTCACTCCAACTTTCAACTCCCGGGTTCAAGTGATTCTCCTGCCTCAGCCTCCGGAGTAGCTGGGGTTACAGTTGCCCGCCCCCACACCCAGCTCATTTTTTATTTTTGGTAGAGACGGGGTTTTACCATGTTGGCCAGGCTGGTCTCAAACTTCCTGACCTCAGGTGATCCACCCACCTCAGCCTCCCAAAGTGCTGGGATTACAAGTGTGAGCTACCACGCCCGGCCTGTTTGTAGTTTTTCTAATATTCTGAATAAATAAATCAGACCTAACATAGCTGTGGGGTAATGTTGAGATCCGACTGGACTCAATATTATTCCCCATACTTTTCTGTGTGTTTGAAATATTTCTTTTTTAAACGACATGTTGTTCTTCCTAAGCACTGTTAATGAATCAAAGGACTGTTAAAATAATGTTACAAGAGAAAAAAAAAGAAAGAAAATGTTACTAGTGTAGATCTGCCAAAAACTTCCAGAGTTTGTTTCATTAACAGCATGTAGGTATTGGATAGGTATCTTAGGAGTGAGGTTGATGAACACATTATGTAATAAAGATCGCTGTTTCTCTGTATTTTATCAAAACCAAATAGTCTTCTCATTCCCAAAGAACCCTGATTCTCTGTGATGAGCTCGGGAGTGAGTTTGAAAGAGTGATCCCTCATCCCACACACAGAGAGCTTTCCCACTTGTCAGAGAGCAGAGATAACACAGGGTGAAAAAAAGACAGGTTCTTGGGTAGAGATCTTTGTACATTTCAGTAATATAAAGGGGGCATATGTGTTTCCTTGCTCTTCTGCTCTGACAACACAATTATAAGACAAGGTCAGAATGTCCAAACTATCTCCAATAGACCTATTACTCCCCAACTAAAAAGGCCAGATTCTACAATCTCCCACGATCACTACAAGAGATCTGAAAATCCAGGGCTTGAGTGTCTGCCAAGATTTTGACATTAAAGAAGTGTCTTTATACTGAAAATATTTCAGAGCCACTGGACCAAATCATCCATGGTTCATCACACATTTAACAGCTTAATTCACATACCGTAAGATTCACCCATTTTAAGTGTACAGTGATTTTCAGTTATTGCACATCTTGAGTGGATACAGTTCAGATTCTTAACCAATCAATTTAATTATTTGGAAAAAAGTAAAAGATATGTAAAGTAATAAGATGAGACTGTGATGGGGTTTAGTCCACATTTGATAAACTATGAGATGGAAAATTCTGAATGGATGCCACAGATAAATGAATCAACCATTACTAAACATAATTCAGAAGCAAATCTGAAATAACTCCTCAACAATGAGTGGACTCATAAGCCTCTGCTGGAGAATACCCTGATGCTACAGAAGTCTCTATAGAGTTTGGAAATCTTTACCAACAAGGAAAAATTCTGATGTATTCTCTTGCAGTTGAACGTTCTCAGATGACTTTCGGCAGGCTCCAGGGAATCTTCCCGAAGGTGAGTATCTCTCAAATCTAAAGGACCAGAGAACCTTTGTCCCTCCACAGATGGGAACACTGGTAAGAGTGGGAGAATATAAAAAATGCCCTCACTGCCTTCTTCTCCCCATATCTATCACAACACCTGATGTAGCACCAACAGCTTGATAACACTAACAGTTGTGATCCTCAATACATCTTTTGTTTTCATAGTGATGCCAGATACTATTTTAAGCAGTTCACATGGATGAATTTATTTAATCCTTAAGAAGACCTCTATGATGTTGTTTCTATTATTATCTCCAAATAATAACGAGTCACACACTTCGGTTGTCATCCATATAAAAGCCATGTGACTTGGCACAAATCTTCTGAGTTCTCTGAGCTCCAGATTCCTGGTCCATGAAATGGAAGTAAAGAATCATAGTTCATGTTTTAGATCATAGTTATCAGCAACATAATAATAAAATGAGGCTATCATTGTACAGAGATGTTAAAGAATTTTCCTGGGGCACAGTGTCAGTGGTAGTCTAATCCAGAGCTCCAAGCCATTTAAAGCTCATTCACGTTTGCATTTGTTTATGAAGTTCAGATGTTGCTCACTAGGGCTTTACCCCATAGGGCCTCCTGGTGCTTCCATTGAGACACCCGCTCTCGCAACAGGAAGGACCAGCTGGCCTCTGCTCTGTTACTGGGACCACTTGCATGGCTTAGGAATCGCTTTGACTGTTGGCCCCTCCCTACTGTGAGCTCCTTGAGGACCTTGTCTGCACCTGGGGCGTCCCGGAAGCCCCCATTCCAGCCCAGGGGTTCCCTCAAAGACCCCTGAATGAGTCATCCCACAACTGCAGATCCAACTCTGGTTTAGAGGATAAAGGGATCTGGGAGTTGGGTTGCCAGTGTGGAGACCGAATTCAAAGATGGATCATGAAAGGTATTAATTGTTATTATTACTACATTTAAACAGTGTTTACAAGCTCAGAGAGGACTTTCCCATAGACTATTTTATGTGTATTGTTCACTATTTCATAAGTGAGGAAGCTGAATAAAAAGTAGATTAAGAGCGGGGCACGGTGGCTCGCGACTGTAATCTCAGCACTTTGGGAGGCTGGGGTGGATGGATCACTAGGTCAAGAGATCAACACCATCCTGCCCAACATGGTGAAACCTCGTCTCTACTAAAAATACAAAACTTAGCGGGGCGTGGTAGAACCTGCCTGTAGTCCCAGCTACTCTGGAGGCTGAGGAAGGAGAATCACTTGAACGCAGGAGTTGGATGTTGCAGTGAGCCAAGATGGCGCCAGTGCACTCCAGCCTGGCAAGAGAGCAAGACTGTGTCTCAAAAAAAAAAAAAAAAAAAGTAGCTTAAGATTGTTGGTCAGTGACACGTCCCAATGCAACCAGAATTGGTATGGGTACCACCTCACTGAATTCCACATTCAATTGGTGCCTCTGCTTTCTTTGCTGCCTAGATTAATTTCAGCAAACCATTTCTTTACCTCTCCTGTCCCTGTATTCATCTCCCCACAACATCTTTCCCAGCAGTGTTTTGTCCCCTCTCTATGTTTTTACATTTACTCTCCCAGCAGCTAAGAGCTAATATGAGATCCCTTGTATTTTACAGAAGCTCTTCCTTTTGTAGACCTTATGAATTCTTAGAATGCTATCCTCCTTCCAATCTTTTGTATACCAAACTCTCAATTACATGGAGATTTTTGCTGTTTGCAAGAATGTCAGTCTTAAAAGAGTGTGAAGATAAGCATTCTAGCCCTGGAAACCATATTCACATAGGCCATTCCTTTCCCATCTAACCTCCCAGGTTTCTCCTAATTTAGGCAAGTGTAACTCTCCCAGCATTGTTGAGAACATTGATTAAAGTAATGCATGTGAAGACCCTTTGTAAGCTCTAAAGCACTGTAGAAATGTCACCGATACTGTTTATCTGTGACCTTCACATTATAAAGATCATGCCCAAGAAGCCAGCAGAGGTAGGAAATGATTCGAAGGAAGTGCCAGAAGCATCTGGCTTACAGAACGATGGGAAACAGCTGTGCCCCCCGGGAAAACCAACTACCTCTGAGAAGATTAACAAGGCATCTGGGAAGAGGAAATAATTTGGGAACAACCCCTCTGGCTTCCCTGGCTATGTTCAGGTGTGTGGACTGGGTGTGTGGCATGGATCCCAGACAAGCCTGGGTGCAGACTGGGCTGAGGAGCTCACCCAGCTCCAGATGAGATGTTTGACTGGACTTCCAGAGATACAGACTGGAGTTGTCATCCATATAAAAAAACACGTGACTTGGGGCAAGTCTTCCAAATTTTCTCAGTTCCAGATTCCTAGTCCATAAGATGGAAATAAAGAATCATAGTTCATAAATTGTTTGGAAGTATTATATTTAATCTAGAAGGCCTGATGATATGAAAGGTGCTCAAGCGATTCTATCTTTGATAACCTGGGATCATATCTTACTTAGCTCAATGCCTGATACCCAGTACAGGTGTACTTCAGAGATATTGCAGATTCAGTCCCAGACCACTGCAATAATGTGAGTCACACACATTGTTTTTTTGGTTTGGCAGTGCATAAAAACATTATGTTTACACTATACTGCAGTCTACTAGGAGTGCAGTAGCGTTATGTCTAAAAATGTACATACCTTTATTTTAAAATAATTCATTGTTAAAAATGCTAATAATCTTCTGAGTCTTCAGTGACTCACTCTTTTTGCTGGTGGAGGGTCTTGCCTCGGTGTTGATGGCTGTTGGCTGATCAAGGTGGTGGTTGCTGAAGGTTGGAGTGGCTGTGGCAGTTTCTTAAAAGAACACAACAGTGAAATTTGCCACATCGATTAGCTCTCCATTTCATGAAGGATTTCTCTGTAGTGTGTGATGCTATTGGATAGCATTTTACCCACAGTAGAATTCTTTCAAAGTTCGAGTCAATTCTCTCTAGCTATGAAAGTCCTAGAAGGCATCTCCTTCCGATAGAAGGCTATTTTATCTACATTGAAAATCTGTTGCTTGGTGTAGCCACCTTCAACAGTGATCTTAGCTAGATCTTCTGGATAACTTGCTGCAGCTTCTCCATCGGGGTTTCCTGCTTCGCCTTGCACTTTTAAGTTATGGAGATGGCTTCTTTCCTTAAACCTCATGAACCAACCTCTGCTAGCTTCACACGTTTCTCCTGCAGCTTCTTCACCTCTCTCAGCTTTCATGGACTGGAAGAGAGTTCGGGTCTCTCTGTGAATTAGACTTTGGCTTAAGGGAATGTTGTGGCTGGTTTCGTCAAATATCCTGACCGCTCAAACTTTCTCTATTTGAGCAGTAAGGCAGTTTTGCTTTCTTATTCGTGTGTTCACTGGAGTGTTAATATTATTATTTCCTTCAAGGACTTTCCCTTTGCATTATATACTATTATTTCCTTCAAGAACTTTTCCTTTGCATTCACAGCTTGGCTGTTTGGTGCAAGAGGCCGAGCTTTCAGCCTGTCTTGGCTTTCAGCATGCTTCCTCACTAAGCTTAGCCATTTCTAGCTTGTGATTTAGAGTGAGAGGCATGCGACTCTTCCTTTCATTTGAACACTTAACGGCCATTGTAAGGTTGTTAATAATCCTCATTTCAGTGTTGCTGTGTCTCAGGAAATAGGGAGGCCCAAGAAAAGGAGGAGAGACGTGGAACAGCTCATCGGTGGAGCAGTCAGGACACACACAACATTGGTCGATTAAGTTTGTCAACTTCTATGGGTGCAGTTCATGGTACCCACCCCCCAAACAATTACACAGAACAGGGTGATTATTGTCAATAATAATTGTACATTTTTAAAAAACTAGAAGAGTGTAATTGGATTGTTTGTAACACAAGGATAAATGGTTGAGGGGATGGATACCCTATTTTCCATGATGTGATTATTACGCATAGCATGCGTGTATCAAAACATCTCACGTACCCCATAAGCACATACACCTACTGTGTACGCACAAAAATAAAACACACGGACGGGCAATGTGGCTCACGCCTGTAATCCCAGCACTTTGGGAGGCTGAAGCAGGCCGATCGTGAAGTTGGGAGATCGAGACCATCCTGGCTAATACAGTGAAACCCTGTCTCTACTAAAAATAGAAAATATTAGCCAGGCGTGGTGACATGCTCCTGTAGTCCCAGCTACTTGGGAGGCTGAGGCAGGAGAATTGCTTGAACTGGAGAGGCAGAGGTTGCAGTGAGCTGAGATTGCTCCACTGCACTCCAGTCTGGGTGACAGAGCGAGACTTCGTCTCAAATAAAATAAAATAAAATAAAAATTAAAAATTTAAAACTTAAAATTATTTTAAAAGCCTGAAAAACAACAAAAACAATTGCAGTAATAATATCAAAGCTCACTGATCACAGATCACTATAACAGATATAATAATAATGGAAAAGTGTAAAATTGATGAGAGTTTCCAAAAAAAACATTGCAGCATCTGTGAAGCACTATGAAAATGTTGTGCGATAAAAAAAAGTATGCCTCGGTGCCCTCAATAAAAACACGTGCTGAATGAAAGGAGGTAAGGGTGGATGTTCCCGTAAGTGAAGAGGTTGGGAATCTAAACCCCACAACAGAAGCAGCCAGAAGCTAAAACTTTAATTGGCATTTGGCCTGTATTGGTGTGGGTCTAAGGTCTCAGCCTCTCTAAGCCAGAGAATGTGAAAAACTGGATAAAGAAGGCCCATGGGCACTTGGGAGGGGGGAGGCATCTCCTTTTTTTGAGAAAACAGAGCCTAACACTCTCCAACCTACCCAACCCTCACTTTCCAACTATTCTCCATCACAGGACCCAAAAGGGGGAAACATGCCTGGACCCACAGACTGCGTGAGAGAAAGCAGCTGGTGATTTATGAAGAGATCAGCGACCCTGAAGAAGACGACGAGTAACTCCGTAAGTGAACCTTCGGCTCATCCCCCACATCCCTGCAGATGTGGTATTCTGTTATGGTACTGGTATCCCATCTGTCACTTGTTCCCCAAATCATTCCCTTCTCATAATTTTCTAGGGTACAGCATTGAGGCCGAATGATGAGAGATTTCCCACGTTTTTTTTTTTTTTTTTTGACGGATTCTCCCTTTGTGGCCCAGGCTGCAGTACAGCAGCATGATCTCCGCTTACTGCAAGCTCCGCCTCACGGGTTCATGCCATTCTCCTGCCTCAGCCTCTCCAGTAGCTGGGACTACAAGCGCCCGCCACCACGCCCGGGTAATTTTTTTTGTGTTTTTGGTAGAGACGGGGTTTCACCGTGTTAGCCAGGATGGTCTCGGTCTCCTGACCTTGTGATCCACCCGCCTCGGCCTCCCAAAGTTCTGGGATTACAGGCGTGAGCCACCGCGCCTGGTCTTCGCAAGCTCTTTTTACTCCCTGCCCTGTATATCCAGGGATGCTCCCTACCCAGGATGCTGTGTGTTTCCAAACTCCAGGTCAGCCCTGTATGTGGGCCACACCTTCCTCTAGCCTAGGAATGGATAACCCAGGCGAAGAAGTCACTGTGGCATGAGCAGATGGTTCACTTCGAGGAACCGTGGAAGGCGTGTACAGGTCCTGAGGTAGGACAGAATCAGAGTGTGCAAGGTCTGCAGGTCAGGAGGAGTTGAGATTGAGTTGTCACGTGGTGGGAACTCACTGCCACTTACTTTCCTTCTCTCTTCTTGCCTCAGCCTCGGGGATACGACACATGCCCATGATGAGAAGCAGAATGTGGTGACCTTTCACGAACGTGGGCATGGCTGCGGACCCCTCGTCATCAGGTGCATAGCAAGTGAAAGCAAGTGTTCACAACAGTGAAAAGTTGAGCTTCATTTTTTAGTGTGCCAAGAGTTCGATGTTAGTGTTTCCGTTGTATTTTCTTATAGTGTGCAATTCTGTTAGATATTAATGTTTTCATTGATGAGCAAGACATGCTTAATGTGTATTTCGGTTTGTGTATCCATGCACCTACCTCAGAAAACAAGTATAGTCAGGTATTCTCTCCATAGAACAGCACTACCTTCCTCTCTCCCCACATGTGACTACTGAGGGCAGTTCTGAGTGTTTAATTTCCGATTTTCTCCTCTGCATTTACACACACACACACACACACACACAGAGACACACACACACACCAAGTACCAGTATAAGCATCTCCCATCTGCTTTTCCCCATTGCCATGCGTCCTGGTCAAGCCCCCCTCACTCTGTTTCCTGTTCAGCATGTACTCCCCTCCTCTGATTCCCCGTATCAGTCACTGACAGTTAATACACCTTTGCAAACGTTCCCCAGTTGTTTGCTCCTCTCATTAATGTGCGCACAGGTCTCTGCACGTGTGTGAATATTTCTTTAGGAAAGATTCTTAGAAGTTGAATTGCTGTGTCAAAGGAGTCATTTATTCAACAAAACACTAATGAGTGTGTTCTCATGCTGGACGTTGTTCTAGGTGCTGGAGAGACATCAAGGAACAAGGCAGACAGATGTTCCTGACCCCCATTCCAGAGGAGGATGTTTCCAGTTGTTGGGTTTCTTTGTTTGTTTATTTTTGCTAGAGAAGCGATCTTGCACTTCCCAGGCTAGAGTGCAGTGGCATGATCATAGCTCAATGCAGCCTTGAACTCGTGGGCTCAAGTGATCCTCCCACCTCAGCCTCCAGAGAAGCTGTGACTACAGGAATGCACCATCATGACCCACTAATTTTTTTAAGGTTTTGTCAAGAAAATCTCTCTATGTTACCCAGGCTGGTGTTAACCTCCTGTGCCAAAGCGATCCTCCCACCTTGGTCTCCTAAAGTGTTGGGATTACAGGCCTGAGCCGCAGCACCTGGCCTCCAGTTTTTATTTTGATACAGACTATACACTTCAGTCCTGGAGCAGGATTCTGCAGCAGGTGGTTGGGCATCTTGGCCTTTTCTCTCTGAAAAATTTTAGGTTTCAAGGTCTGGAAGGGTCCATTTGGGTGGATGTGGGAGGAGACACAGATGAAATTGTCATCTGAGGAAAGTGGAGGAATCAGGCAGATGCGTGCACTGTAGACCCTGTGATGGACAGGAAATAGAGGAGTCCACTTAGTCTCCATGCAGGGGAGCAACTGGTGGGAAAGTCTCCTGGACAGAAGCATGAGAGCGCCCATCAAGGGTCTCACCACCCAAGGGCCTGGGGGCTGGGGTGGGGACGATGATTTGGGAATGGGACAGTTCTTTCTCACATGTACCATTGCATGGTGCAGAGGTGAAACAGTTGTGGGGAAGGGAAGGGCAGAGGGGAGTCTATTTTAGCACAAAGCATTGTGTGTGAATGGAGACATCAAAGCTCCATTCACACACCATGGACTTGAAACACCAGCCCCAGATGGAGGCAGGATTGGAGCTGTTTTGCCGGTTGGTGGCCCATCACCTTGGCCTCCTGGTTCTACCCAGCCTTAGAAGGAGGACACTATGATCATTATGCCTATAAGACAGATGAGAGACGGAGTCCCAGAGAGATGGCAGGCGTCTTGTCACAGGTCCTACAGCTGGCAGGTGCAGGAGGAGCTGAGTTTGGAGCTCACTGACTTCAGAAACATTAAGGAGGACAGGTGTGTGTGGTGGAGGGAGGGAGAATTGAACAAACTCCGGGTTCTGTCCCCAGTCACAAGGTAGAGGCTGTGGGTTCATTTTCCAAGACAAGGAGCCCTTAGAGATGGAGAGTGCAGGGAGGAAGAGGCAATCGTGGACATAGTGGGGACAGTGGGAGACAGAGATGTGCAGCCTGGGCAGAAGAAGGGCAGGCAAAGAAGCAGGGGATACCCAAGGCCAAGTGTGGGCTGTCACAGCCACCAGAGGGAGAGGGTGCCAGGAAGGAGGTTGTGGGGCTCCAGGAGCAAGAGGTTCCCCAGATCTGTGAGCATGCCCTGCCTGGCACTTCAGGAAGAGGTGGCTGCCACCCAGGTCAGTGTGGACCTGCCTCTACCTGTGTCTCAGAGGAAACAAATTCTGTTTTATCCCAATATAGTTCTGTATTACACAAATGTAACATTCAGCTATTAGATATTGAGTGCCTTAAACTCCATGCAACTAGAGGAGCGCATACCCCAAAAGAGATAATGAAGGATTTGATTTTTCTTTCTCCCTGGGATGATGGGATCCATAAGGTGGTTCCCGGAGCCCACAAGACAGATACAAGGAAGGGTGGCTGGAAGATTGTGAGTCATGAAAGGGAACATTTTTCCTTAGGTTCCATGGGTATATAAAGCTCCGGACTATCTGTCTATCATGGATAAAGAGTGAACATGGTCCCCTCTCCACAAATGTGTTTCCCTCCTTGTTTATTACTGTAAAGGGCTGAAGTTACACCAAGTCCTGATACATTACTTTTTTTTTTGAGACAGAATCGCAGTCTGTCGCCGAGGCTGGAACGCAGTGATGCAAGCACAGCTCACTGCAGCCCGGATCTCCCAGGCTCAAGGGATTCTCCCACTTCAGCTTCTGATCTAGCTGGGACTACAGGCACACGCCACCACACCCAGCTAGTTTTTGTATTTTTTTATAGAGACGGCATCCACTATGTTGCCCAGGCTGGTCTGGATACACTGGCCTCAGGCAATCCTCCTGCCTCAGCCTCCCAAAGTGCTGGGATGACAAGTGTGAGCCACCTCGCCAGGCCTTCACTTTCTTTAATGAACAATTATCAGAGTTTCATCTTAGAGACAAAAGTGGCTACTGCCAGCCAATCTGAGTGTGGTGTTGGAGCGGAATCTGGCTGATTCAGACGTTTCTAACGAACTTTTAAATTAACCTACCTGATGATTATCCTAAGGCCCTTTCCAGCTCCGTGTTTTTTTGATTTAGGGTTTGGGGATTTTCAGAGGCTTTGTTACAAAGAGCGTCTCCTGGGCAGGCGCGGTGACCCACTCTGTAATATCAGCCCTTTGGGAGGCCGAGGCAGGCAGATCACTTGAGGTCAGGAGTTGGAGACCAGCCTGGCCAACAGGGTGAAACCCCCATCTCTACTAAAAATACAAAAATCAGCTGGCGGTGGTGGCAGGCTCCTGTGAATTCCAGATACAGTGGGGAGTGAAGCAGGAGAATCCCTTGAACCTGGGAGATAGAGTGTGCAGTGAGCCGAGATCACGCCACTGCACTCCAGCCTGGGCGACAGAGTAAGTCTCTGTCTCAAACAGCATCTCTCGCCTACAGTGATTTGAGCTGTGGTCTTGTCTCCTTGGGTTTCTCTATCAGTCTGATCCCATCTACTCTATCTCCCAGGAATGCCTCAATATTTCTGGTGGACCACTGGCACGTTTTCCTATTTTCCTCTACTGTTAAGGATTGACCCTTGAAAACATTTTCATCCCAGTTCAATGGAATGTTGAGTGGGGCATGGGATCTATCTGCCATCTTGCTCCAATCATCTGGTTTTAGATATTTTATGTATATTTGTCACTATATAAGTGTATTTTTTCTCAATTTGGTTTTCTAAATGGTTAATATTGGTATGTAGAAAACCTATCTATATATATATAATGTTTTGTTACCTGTCTGGGTGCAGCTTCCCCTGCATTTTGGCAGAAGACTCAATATGTTTTATTCTCCAAAAGGAAAGTGACAGGCTGGGTGCGGTGGCTCACGCCTGTAATCCCAGCACTTTGGGAGACTGAGGCGGGTGGATCAACTGAGTTCGAGACCAGCCTGGGCGAGATGGTGAACCCCCTTCTGTACTAAAGATACAATAAAATTAAAAAATTAGCTGGGCATTGGTGGTGCGCGCCTGTAGTCCCAGCTACTAGGGCAGCTGAGGCGGGAGGATCATTTGAACTCGGGAGGCGGAGATTGCAGTGAGTCGAGATCGCACCACTGCACTCCAGCCCGGGCGACAGAGACTCTATCTCTAAATAAAAAAGATAAAGAAAAAAAGAAAATTCACTTCACAGGCAACAGATAGTTATAAAAGGATACTTTATGGATGATTTCATAGGGGAAAATGATGGAAAGAAAGGATATATATATATATATATATATATATATATATATATATATAACAGAGCTGAGCAATTCACTGGAACAATCACCAGAACTGCCTTTTTCTCCAAAAATAGTACCCCTAAGCTATACTACTACTGGTTCTTCTAGTCCTTCCCTCTATTCCACATCCTCAAATTGTCCATTTTCTTATTGGGATAATTTTCCTCTGCCCAGATCTGGGTCCTCCACAACACTTAGCACTCTCTTCGAGTGTTTGCATGCCCATTGTTTTAGCTCAGGTTCCCAAGGAAACAGAATTTGGGCCATACAGGACACCTCTAGACAGACTATACTGAGAAACAATGCCTCCTGGAATGGTGCATGGGGAGAGGAGAGGAGAGGGAATTACGTTCCTGACTCTCACTCCTGGTTCCTTTTCTTATTGGTCAAAATTTACCCCACAGGTGCGAACTCCCCTACACTTCTAGATTGCATCAACTGCCCCTTTGACAGCTGTCTAGGAAGCCAGATCCCACACTTGGAAGTGTAGTGTTTCATACAATCCAAAAGTGTTAGCAGAGGCCAGGCGTGGTGGCTCACACCTGTAATCCCAGCACTGTGGGAGGCCAAGACAGGCGGATTATGAGGTCAGGAGTTCGAGACCATCCTGGCCAGCATGGTGAAACCCCGTCTCTACTAAAAATACAGAAATTAGTTGGGCATGATGGTACATACATGTAATCCCAGCTACTCGGGAGGCTGAGGAAGGAGAATCGCTGGACCCTGGGGGGCAGAGGTTGCAATGAGCTGGGATTGCACCAATGCACTCCAGCCTGGGCAACAGAGGGAGACTCCCTCTCAAAAACAAACAAACAAGAAAAAGCCAAACAAACAATAAAAAGTCGTAGCAGAAACCAGAAATTTCAGGTGTGTGGCTAACTGGCCTGGTTGTACAGCAACAGCCAAGGATGAAAACTAAATATTCCCAGGCAAGTCCTAAGTTCACCAAGTATTTGGAGTACCCATCTGTGCTAGTTAACTGCCCTTATCTGAAGGAAAAATAAAACTCATATCTCTATGACAAGCAGGTGCTTACAGTTTGGAGCAAGTCACCTAGGCTAAACTCCCCTGGTGACAGGGAAACAAGGAAATCATCTTCCTCGATGTTCACATTTCAAAGAGATGGCTCCAAGGCCTTGAAGAAAGACATTTCTAGGGACTGGGCGTGGTGGCTCATGCCTGTAATCCCAACACTTTGGGAGGCTGAGGCTGGAGGATCACTTGAGGCCTGGAGTTCAAGTTCAAGACATTCCTGGGTTATAGGGTGGACAGAGGCTTACAGATCAAAGGAAGAATTTACAAATACAAATTTTCTCAAGGAAATGCTCTAAGGAAGGTGAAATGGAGAAAGGTTTCTTCTTCCCTTTAGGCAACAGGAAAAATTCAATTTTATGTTTCGTTACCCTTACAATTTCCCCCTTTTCTTATTCTTTTATAGTAACACTACAATTTTCTAATTATCTCCACTGCTGTTTCTAACTTTCTCTGCATAGTTTACAGCCACCTAAATATCCAACAAGTCCATAGTAAAATGCACAGCAAAGCAATTATCAAGATTATAATAGAATGCTTTTTTTTTTTCGGGACAGAGTTTCTCTCTTGTTGCCCAGGCTGGAGTGCAACGGTGCGATGTCGGCTCACTGCAACCTCTGTCTCCTGAGTTCAAGCGATTCTCCTGTCTCAGCCTCCCAAGTAGCTGGGATTACAGGCATGCGCCACCAGGCCCAGCTAATTTTGTATTTTTTGTAGATATGGGGTTTCACCATTTTAGCCAGGCTGGTTTTGAACTCCTCACCCCAGGTGATCCACCCACCTCGGCCTCCCAAAGTGTTAGGATTACAGACATGAGCCACCATGCCTGTTCTAGAATGAATTTTTAAATTCAGTATAATACTCACCTTGTCAGGGGACGGGGCGACCTTTAAACACATCATACTGGTTAATTGTGTTAAAGTCAAAATAAATTATAGAGACAAATCCTAAATCAAATGCTGTATTTGGGAATCACAAAATTGCAATCCAGGGCATATACAAGGACTGGGGTGGTCTTCAGTATGTCCAACGAACACAGAGAAGCTGGAAGTTTTATTAGAAAGAAAAGTGTTACATATTGTTTTGAAATGAGTCGCATTGGCACTGGAGAAGCTGGTTCATTTGCACAATCAGCTTTCACATTCCCTCTTTTCAACAACACCTTTCTTTCAAAACCTCACTGATCAACCATCTTAAAGTGAGGCTTCATTGTCACTCCATGCCAGGTTTGCCTGGAGTTCAGCATCAAGTTCCATGTTATTAGTCCCATCTGTATTAGCAATCATCTTGACTCACTGGGCTAACATTATCCTGTTAGGAGAACTGGCTTAACAAATATTAGACAGGCAACAAGAATGGAGCTCAAAGATCATAATATCAAAATAAGTAGCAATTGTTTTATTTTATTTTATTTTGATGGATTCTTGCTTTGTCTCCCAGGCTGAAGTGCAGTGGCGTGATCCCGGCTCAATGCAACCTCCATCTCCTGAGTTCAAGAGATTCTCCTGCCTCAGCCTCCCGAGTAGCTGGGATTACATTTGCTTACAACCATGCCTGGCTAATTTTTGTATTTTCAGTAGAGACAGGGTTTCACCATGTTGGCCAGGCTGGTCTCGCACTCCTGATCTCAAGTGATCCGCCCTCCTTGGCATCCCAAAGTGCTGGGATTACAGGCGTGAGCCACCGCACCCAGCTATAATTAGCAATAGTATAATAAATTTAGTTTGTACAATGGTTTTGAACCAAGATCCCAAGACTGAGGTAAACACCAGCTAAACAAATTAAAAGACTATGGGGGAAGTGAATGAGACCTCTTGTAGTCTTTGAGTAGCATTTTAGGACTGGGTTGAATTAAAGCAGAGTGCCAACTCTATAAAAGGGACCACTAGGTGAAGGAAAGGATTTGGGGGTTAGGTTCTGTCAAGGGAAAAATGTAGACATTAAGGGGATAAGAGTCTCATTATGATATGAAGACTTATTCTGATGTCTTCGGAAAATCTGTCTACAGTGTGGAAATATCATCTCCTCACCCTGATTTGTCTTTGGAATGTCTCTGGTTATGGCATTGGATAGTTTGGTGAACTTTTTGTGTGGTCCATACATCAGGCACGAGACTTGTTCCTTAAAATTTATGCACTTTTATCTTATAAGACTTATAAATCAAAAATAAAATCCTAAGCCCCCTGCCCCCCACCATCTGAATGGATGTCCTCCTAAGCCAGGGCTCTTTTAAAATTTAACCTGAGAGACGGTTTCAGGCCATGACAGGAAGTGTAGGTCAGGAATGCCTCATTATATCTCTCTGGCATCAACATCAACACAGACTTGTTGGATCACCAGGACTTGCGGATCACGAGGTCAGGAGATCCACACCATCCTGGCTAACACAGTGAAATCCGGTCTCTACTAAAAATGCAAAAAAGTAGCCCGGCATGGTGGCATGGGCCTGTAGTCTCAGCTACTCGGGAGGCTCAGTCAGGAGAATTGCTTGAACCCGGGAGCCGGAGGCTGCAGTGAGCGGAGAAGGAGCCACTGCACTCTAGCCTGGCAACATAGTGACTCTGTCTCAAAAAACACCAAACAAACAAAAAGTTACAACCTGTTCTCTCTGAAGCATAGTACCTGAAGGCTTCCTCTGCAAATAAGAACTTAAAAAACAACTAAGAATGACTCACTTCACATAATAAACTTTCACAATGGTTAAAGCAGAGTCCTGCTTAGCAATGCACAAAAATTCTCCTTTGTGATCCATTCATTTTACTTCTGTTGACTTTCTTGCTTATGCTTTCACACAGAGACACTCTCCTTTGACCAAACTTGAGTCAGGCTCCTCTGAGTCCTGTTTCTGACTAGGTCCCAACCTCGGGCTCTGTCCTTCATCCAGGGACTCTGCCCATTTAGCCTGTTTCACCAAAATCCTGTCAAATCAGTTTATCCAGAATCCCCCTGCACACCTGAGATTTCCTCCAAGTAATTTCCCATCTTCTGACCCCCGGCTCCTACTCCCTGACTACAAATCCCCACTTGTCCTTGGTGGAGTTGAAGTCGATCCCAATATCACTCTCCCACCGCAAGACCCCATTGCAGTTGTCCCTGTGCCTATCACAGTAGTTCCCGCTCTGAGTAAAGTCGTCCTTACGATCTTTTTTTTTTATTTTCAGAGACAAAGTCTCACTCTGTCTCTCAGGCTGGAGTGCAGTGACACAATCCTAGCTCACTGCAGCCTCAAACTCCAGGGCTCAAGCAATCTTCCTGTCCCAGCCTCCCAAGTAGCTGGGACTATAGGTACACACTACCAAATCCAGCTATTTTTAAAAAAAATTCTCTACAGACCCAGGAACTTGATGTGCCTGTCTAATTTTTGTATTTTTTTGTAGAGACGGGGTTTCGCCATGTTGCCCAGGCTGGTCTTGAATTCCTGGGCTCAACGAACCCTCTTGCCTTGGATTCCCAAAGTGCTGGGATTACAGGCATGAGCCACTGCAGATGGCCCTTCCTTACCGTCTTTAACAATTGCAATAAATACTTGTTTGCTTTAACATTTCCCTGTGTCTTCGATCTCCTGAAGTGTTATATGCCTGACATTGCCTTACTCCACCAAATATAAAAATTCCTTTCTTTCGCTGGGTGCAGTGGCTTACCCCTATAATCCCAGCACATTGGGAGGCCAAGGCAGGCAGATCACCTCAGGTCAGGAGTTCGAGATCAGCCTGGCCAACATGGCGAAACCCCATCTCTACTAACTTTGCACTAAAAGTACAAAAATTAGCCAGGTGTGGTGGTGTGTGCCTGTAGCCCCAGCTACTCAGGAGGCTGAGGAGAATCGCTTGAAACTGGGAGGCAGAGGTTACAGTGAGCCGAGATCATGCCACTGCACTTGAGCCTGGGTGACAAAGCTAGACTCTGTCTCAAAAAAAAAAGAAAACAAATTCCTTTCGTTCAACAGTTTGGAGTTATTACACTATTGTATCCTTGCCTCCAGTGTGGTGTTTGAGAGGCCTGATGAAGGTTTAAATATTTTTCCTTTGTAAGTAACCTGCTGTTTCTCTCAGATCATTTAAAAAATATTTTTTCTTTGTCTTTCACAATTTTTCATTTCACTGTTCCTGTGTGTGTGTATGTGTGTGTGTACGAAGATCCCTTTAAATCTTAAGACATTTGTCTAAATCTGAGAAATTCTCACTCATTACTTGTTTAAGTACACTCTCCTTTTTAATGACTATATTCTTCTCTTATAAGGCTACTATTAGATGTGTTTCGACTTCATTCTTTTTTTTTTTTATATGGAGACGGAGTCTTGCTCTTTCGCCCAGGCTGGAGTGCAGTGACTCGATCTTGACTCACTGCACCTCTGCCTCCTCCTGAGTCCAAGCAATTTTCCTGCCTCAGTCCCTTGAGTAGCTGGGACCACAGGCGTGTGACACTATGCCTGACTAATTTTTGTATTTTTGTAGAGACGAGGCTTCACCATGTTGGCCAGGCTGGTCTCCAACTCCTGATCACAGGTGAGCTGCCTGCATCAGCCTCCCAAGGTGCTGGGATTACAGGTGTGAGCCACCATGCCCGGCCTTTTATTTTTATTTATTTATTTATTTATTTTTAGACAGTTTCACTGTTGTTGCCCAGGCTGAAGTGCAATGGTGTGATCTCACCTCACTGCAACCTCCGCCTCCCAGGTTCAAGTGATTCTCCTGCCCCAACCTGCTGAGTAGCTGGGGTTACAGGTGTGCACAACCACACCGGGCTAATTTTTGTATTTGCAGTTGAGATGAGGTTTCACCATGTTGGCCAGGCTGGTCTCTAACTCCTGACCTCAGGTGATCTGCCTGCCTTGGCCTCCCAAAGTGCTGGGATTACAGGTGTGAGCCATGGCGCCCGACCCGGTCTTTCTATTTTCTATCTCTGGAACTTCTTTTTTTTTCTTTTCTTTTCCTTTCTTTTTTCTTTCTTTTCTTTTTTTTTTTTTTGAGTCAGAGTCTAGCGCTGTTGCCCAGGTTGGAGTACAGTGGCACGATCTCGGCTCACTGCAACCTCCGCCTCCCAAGTCCAAGTGATTCTCCTGCCTCAGCACCGCTAGTAGCTAGGATTACAGGCATGTGCCACCATGCCTGGCTAATTTTTGTATTTTTAGTGGAGATGGGGTTTCACCACATTGGCCAGGATGGCCTCAAGCTCGTGACCTCAGGTGATCCGCCCACCTCGGCCTCCCAAAGTGCTGGGATTACAGGCGTGAGCCACTGCGCCTGGCCTATCTCTGGAGCTTCTATTGGACGAATGTTGAAACTTTTGGGTTCTATTCTCCATTTCCTTTATTATTTTTCTTTCGTACTTTCTATTTCGTAATCCTTTTCTGCTATACGGTGAAGTAGTGCCATGCCTGAACACATTTTCTCATTGGGTTGTTCCAGTTTCTCTTATAGATAGGCAAAAGCTTTGTTGTATATTAGAGATGGTTACTCTTAATTTATTGGGGATGCTTCACCAATTTCCCCAACATTTGCCTTTTTAAACAGTTGTTTATGGTGTCTTTTGAATTAGATGATACTTTAATTTTTACATCTTTATGTCAGATTCATTGTTCATAGCCTTGGTGTAATGTCAGGAAGTTCCTATGCCAACTCAAGGTGTCTTACACTGTAATATTTTCCTAAATTTTCATCTAGTTCTTTATGATTTCAGGTTTTCACATTTAAGTCACTGAATTTTTAGAATTTATTATTTTATGTGCTTCAAAGTAAGGACTTAATCTTTATTTTTTCAAATGGATAGACGCTTGTCAAGCAGTCATATATTATACAACCCATCATCTTTTGCCCACTGTTTGGAAATGCATGCTGAAGTTTGCATACAGATTAGTCTGTTTCTTGACCTTCTATTTTGTTTCGCTATTAAATGTTTCTGTGTGTATTCATTCTTGATTGCTGCTGTAACAAATTTTCAATAGCTTAGACAATGCCGAGCATGGTTGCTCACGCCTGTAATCCCAGCACTTTGGGAAGCCGATACGGGTGGATTGCTTGAGGTCAGGAGTTAAAGACCAGCCTGGCCAACATGGCGAAACCCCCCCTCTACTAAAAATACAAAAATTAGCCAGGCGTGGTGGCACACAGCTGAAATCCCAGCTACTTGGGAGGCTGAGACAGGAGAATCACTTGAACCAGAGGTTGTAGTGAGCCGAGATCACCCCACTGCGCTCCAGCTTGGGCAACACAAGTGAGACTGCATCTCACAATATATATATGTAGCTAAGACAATTTTTGGAAAAGAAGAATAAGGTGGGAGGAATGGCTCTACCATATTTCAATACTTCTTATATAGCTACAGGAATCAAGACTGTGTAGTATTGAGAGAAGGATAGACACATAGATCACGGGAACAAAATAGAGAACCTAGAAATAGCCCCACACTGATTTTTTTTACGAAGAGACAAAATAAGGAAGTATTGTCTGCTTAACATATGGTGCTAGAGCAGTTTCATATCCACAGGCCAAAAAAAAAAAAAAAAAAAAAAAGGCCTAATCTTCTTACCTTTATACAAAAAAAAAAAAAAAAAAAACTCAAGTGGATCATAGACTTAAATCTAAAATATAAAACTAAAAAAAGACTTTTACAAGAAAGCATAGGAGAAACATCTGAGATCTAGGGCATAGTGAACAGTTCAAAAAGCATAATCCATAAGGAAAACAAATAAATTGGATTGCATCCCATTTAAAAGTTTTGCTCTACAAGAAATCTTGTTAAAATGATGAAAAAAAGGGTATGACCTGGGGGAAATGTTTGCAAACCACATATCTAAGAAAGGACTCACATCCAGAATATATAATGGATATGTATAGTACTCTCAAAACTCACCGGTAGGCTGAGCATGGTGGCTCAGGCTTGTAATCCCAGCACATTGAAAGGTCGAGGTCGACGGAGGGCAGATCCCTTGAGGCCAGGAGTTCGAGACCAGCCTGGGCAACATGGCAAAATACCATCTCTACTGAAAATAAAAAATTAGACAGGCATGATGATGCCTGCCTGTAATCCCAGCTACTCGGGAGGCTGAGGCATGAGAATCACTTGAACCTGGGAGGTGGAGGTTGGAGTGAGCCAAGATCATTCCCTGCACCCCAGCCTGGGTAACAGAGTGAGACTCTTTCTCAAGAAAAATAATAATAATAATAAGAAGAATAAACCTCAATGGTAAAAAATATAAACAAATAATCCAATTAGAAAATCATGAAAAGATGTGAACATTTCACTGAAGAAGGAATAAGCAAATAAGCACATGAAAAGATGTTCAACACTCATTTGCTTCATTGGATGCAAATTAAGACCACAATGAGGTATCACTACACACTTATTACAATAGCTAAAATAAAAGACATAGTGACAACATAGTCACCAAATGGTGACAAGGATGCAGAGAAACTGGACAGTTCATTTAGTGCTGCTGGGAAGGTAAAATCTTACAGCCACTCTGGAAAGCAGTTTGGTAGTTTCTTATAAGACTAAACATGCAATTACCATACAATTCAACAATTACACTTCAGAGAAATTAAAATGTATGTCCATCCAGAAACCTGTACATAATTGTTCATAGCAGCTTTACTTGTAATAGCCAAAAGCTGGAAATAATCAATATGTCCTGCAATAAGCGAATGGTAGAACTGTGGTACATCCATACCATGGAATACTACTCAGTAATAAAAATGAACTATTTACTGGCCCCAGTGTCTCCCATAGGTAATCCCAGCACTTTGGGAGGCCGAGGCGGGTGGATCACGACATCGGGAGTTCAAAACCAGACTTGCCAATATGTTGAAACCGCGTTTCTACGACTAATACAAAAATTACCAGGGTGTGGTGGCGCACGCCTGTAGTCACAGCTACTTGGGAGGCTGAGGCAGGAAAATCACTTGAACCCAGGAGGCAGAGGTTGCAGTGAGCCGAGATCATGCCACTGGACTCCAGCCTGGGCGACAGAGCGAGACTCTGTTTCAACAACAACAACAATGAACTATTGATACACAAATATTAATATCTTGGAGGAATCTCCATGGAATTATGCTGAGTGAAATAAGCCCCTAAAACGTTATATACTACAAGATTTCATTTGTACAACATTCTAGAAAAGACAAAATTGTGGAAATGAAAAACAGATTAGAGGTTGCCAGGGGTTAGGGGTGGTAGATGGGAGAAGAGTGAGTATTACTAAAAATGAGTAGCACAAGGGATAGCATTGTGGTGATGGAAATGTTCTGTACCTCGTTTTCCTTTTTTTTTTTTTCCTCCTAAGGGGATTCTCAGTCTGTCACCTAGGGTGGAGTGAAGTGGCACAATCTCAGCTCACTGCAACATCTGCCTCCCAGGTTCAAGTGATTCTCCTGTCTCGGCCTCCCATGTAGCTAGGACTACAGGCACCCACCAACTCGCCTAGCTAATTTTTGTATTTTTAGTAGAGACTGGGTTTCTCCATGTTGGCCAGGCTGGTCTCAAACTCCTGACCTCAAGTGATCTGCCCACCTCGCCCTCCCAAAATGCTGGGATTACAAGCATGAACCACTGCACCCAGCCATGTTCTGCACATCAAAATACTTTCACTGAATAGAGATGCCTTTACATTCTCTTACTTATGTTACAAAGCAAAAGGCAGGTTCAAAAATGTTGTTCTATTATATATCAACTGAGAAAAACATAGATTTTTGTATCAACTGAAAAACACATATATTCCAGAAAAAGGTTTTGAAGACACATGGGAGTGGAATGTGCCCGCATTAAGAGCAGAGCTTTTACAGGACCACCTGTCTCCAGCCGGCTCCCAGGGACCAGTGAAAACAGCTGCTACCCTCAGAATGACAAGATGGTCTTGTTATTGATTTCACTGGACTCTCGAATCTCATCCTCCTTGACCACCAGCAGAGGCGAAACCTGATGATGTCACCATGGGTTGGCTTGGCCAGAAGCCCATAATCTGGAAGTTGTAGACATACCTTCCAAGCATCACAATCTTTGGTTTCTTTAATAACAATAGAAATTAATAATTATTTTCCTCCTGGGTAGAGTGGATCACGCCTGTAATCCCAACATTTTGGGAGGCCGAGGCGGGTGCATCACCTGAGTTCTGGAGTTCGAGATCAGCCTGACCAACATGGTGAAACCCCATCTCTACTAAAAATTCAAAAATTAGCTGGGAATAGGGGCACGTGCCTGTAATCCCAGCTACTCAGGAGGCTGAGGCAGGAGAATGGCTTGAACCCAGGAGGCGGAGGTTGCAGTGAGCCAAGATCGTGGCATTGCACTGCAGCCTGGGCAACCAGAGTGAACCTCTGACTCAAAAAAATAAATAAATGAATACATAAAATAATCATTTTCCTCTTACCGCAGTCACAGCATCAGAAGGTAGCTTCATGGGTTCATTTCTCAAGATAATACCCTTGAGATAAAAACCTTGCATTTTCAGCAAGGTTTTCTTCTTCTAAAACCTCAAGGGCTGCGATGGTCACTCAGCAGCCTAGTGGATTGCCACCGTATGTGGACCCACGTTCCCCTGGCTTAATGGTCAGCATTATGTCATCATCCCACAGCACTGCAGACACAAGAGTGTCAGCCCCCAGAAAGGGCCTTTCCAAGCAGGTCTATATCAGGTCTGACATTTTCATGATCAACAGCCAGCCATCTACCAGTTCTGGCCAATCCTATCTGTATTTCATCAGCAATGAACAGAACCAAGCTAGGAGCACGAGACGGGACCAGGATAACTTAAAATACCACAAAGCTTACTGTTCTTATGGAGAGTCAGCTGGTCGCCCTTCCCTTCCCTTCCCTTCCCTTCCCTTCCCTTCCCTTCCCTTCCCTTCCCTTCCCTTCCCTTCCCTTCCCTTCCCTTCCCTTCCCTTCCCTTCCCTTCCCCTCCCCTCCCCTCCCCTCCCCTCCCCTCCCCTCCCCTCCCCTCCCCTCCCCTCCCCTCCCTTCCCTTCCCTTTTTCCTTTCCTTTCCTTTTTCCTTTCCTCCTCCTTTCCTTTTTCCTTTCCTTTCTTTCGTGTATTTATTTATTTGACAGTCTTGCTCTGTCGCCCAAGCTGGAGTGCAGTGGTGTGATCTCAGCTCAATGCAACCTCCGATTCCTGGGTTCAAATCATTGAGTGAGCCCAGGAGGTCAGGACCAGCCTGGGAAAAACAGCAAAAGGCAGGGTGGTGCATGCCTGTAGACCCAAGGCCGAGGCCGGAGGATCGCTTGAGCCCAGGAGGTAGAGAACAGCCTGGACAACATAGCAAAACTGTCTCTACTAGAAAAATTAAAAATATTAGTGGGGGCTAGGTGGTGTGAGCCTGTAGTCCCAAGGCCGATGGGGGAGGATTGCTTGAGTCCAGGAGGTCGAGGCCAGCCTGGGCAACATAGCGAAACCCCATTTCTAATAACAAGAACAACAAAAAAATAGCGTGGGCGGGGTGGCTCACCCCTGCAGGTCCCAGGCCAAAGTGGGAGGATTGCTTGAGCCCAGGAGGTCGATACCAGCCTGACCAACATAGCGAAAGCCTGCCTCTCCGAAAAAAAAATGAAAATAAAAAAATAAATAAATAAAATAAAAATGAGCAAGGCAGAATGGCACACGCCTGTAGTCCTGAGGCCGAGGTAAAAACATCACTTGAGTCCAGGAGATTGAGACCAGCCTGGGCAACATAGCAAAATCCGGTTTCTACTAAAAATGAAACAAACAAACAAACAAACAAACAAATAAAGCATGGGCCAGGTGGCACATACCAGTAGTCCTGAGGCAGTGGCAGAAGGAGCCCTTGAACCCAGGACGTTGAGGCCAGCCTGGTTAACATAGCGAAACATGGTTTCTATTAAAAAAAAAAAAATCATGGGCAGGTTGGTGCACGCCTGTAGTCCCAAGGCTGCAGCGGGAGGATCCCTTGAGCCCAGGACGTCGAGACCAGCCTGACCAACATAGTGAAACCGTCTCTATTAAAAAATCAAAAACCAAAAAATATGAGTGGGGGTGGGGTGGTTCGTGCCTGTAGTTGTGAGACCGAGGCGGGAGGATTGGCCAAGGTGGATGTAACCAATACCACAATCATATCCCATAAGTAAATACATTTTTGTCTCTCCAGGGCTACAGGTAAAGGATGGTAATTGTGCACACCACACTTAGATTCCCTTTCAAAAATGTAAGCAGAGGTTGGAGGGCCTTGGACTGTTTTTTCAGTTGCAACAGATATAGAAGCCACTGAAGAATGAAAGCCACGACTAAGTACAGCAAAGCTCTGCAAATGTGCTAGTTTGGAAAACATTGTGTCTTTCAAGTAGAAAAATCACAGATCCGACTATTTTTTTCTTCTCGCTGTTCAGACTAGAATCCAGATGTTTAACACAAGATCCAGGGGAGGTCTTTGGAGAGATCAAAATCTCCTGACTCTGTCGCAATGGCAACAAAGTGTGGCTGGAGGAGGAGACAATATTGTGCAATGTCACTGCTCAAGGATGATGGACCAATCAGGGCAGTTAGTGAACTTCATCTGGCCAATCAGAAGTCAGAACAGTAGGCGGGAGGAACGAAGCTGATGTGGCGTCTATCAGTCCCGCCTCCAGGGACAGAACCTTCTCAAACTGGGGGCGGAGACTCTGATTTTCCCGCCTAAAGCATCCCCAGGGATTGGCTACTTTAAGTGCAGAGTACGCATGCTCTGCCTTTCTCTCTCTTTCCATTCTTCTGCAGAGTACACACGCTCTGATTTTCTCTTTTGATTCTTCCAAAATCAGAGTAAGCATACACTGGTTTTCTTTTTCCATTCTTCCTACCCCTCCTCTCCTCTGCGGTGCATTTGTTATCTAGTTTTAATAAGGAGTGTATGTGAGGCAGGTCGCCATCTCAAATCCTTCTTGTCAGTTTCTAACTTTTTCAGGTATGGGATTTTTCCTGGGAACTCTGTAGTAACTTAAGAAATTTGGGCTGGGCACAGTGGCTCACGCTTGTAATCCCTGCACTTTTGGAGGCCACAGCTGGTGGATTGCTTGAACCCACGAGGCAAAGGTTGCAGTGAGCCAAGATCATGCCATTGCACCCCAGCCTGGGCAACAGAGCAAGACTATGTATCAGAAAAAAAAAAAGCTCACTCAAATCTTTCCTCCTGGGCTCAAGTGATCCTCTCACCTAGGCCTTGAGACTACAGGCACACGCCACCCCGCTTCTGCTAAGGTGTTTCTTCTTTTTTTTCTTTCTTTTTTTTGTTTTTTTTTTAGTAGAGATGGTTTCGCTATGTTGGCCAGGCTGGTCTCAAGCTCCTGGGCTCAAGCTATCTGCCCACCTTGGCCTCCCAAAGTGCTGGGATGGTACAGGCCTGCGCCACCACCCCCAGCTAATTTTTTGTAGACACGGGAGTTTTGCTCTGTTTCCCAGCCTGATCTCGACCTCCTGGGCTCAAGCGATCTGCACGCCTCGGCCTCCCAAAGTGCTGGGATTACAGGTGAGAGTCACTGCGCCTGGCTGAATGCTACATCTTGAAACGCCCCCACATTCTCTCTAAGTGTTGGTGGGCTCTTGTAGGCTCAGAAATTCTAGCTCTCTTCCTTCTAATAATTTAAAAATCACCCAGTAATAGCCTCTAAATTCATTCATAGTAGCAATGCTCATTTCTCTTCAAAAGAACAGAAACCCCCATCCTTCTGCCTGATCAGATCCATCACCAGAGAGACCACGTTATGTCTGGGACTCACATCCCTTCCTCTATTTATTGAGTGGGGGTGTCAGAACGCCCCCACTCAATAAAATTGCACAGTCAGGTCCCTGCCTTCCCAAACAAGGGTCTGTACATCTTTCAGGGTAAGCCTGGCCCCAGGGAAACTACTAACAACATTAGCCAACCCCCTCCCAAAGACTCAAGGCTGCTTTGCCCATAGGAAACCTGTCATCCCCGATCAATACTTCTCCCAGAGACCCCTGGTTCCCTGTTTTCATCTGATTTCTCCCCATGTCCTTACTCAGGGACAGATAAGCCCCGGATGGAGAAATGCAGCACCTGATTCGAGGTGACTGAGTGTGGCCGGACTTCACTGATTTCTCCCTCCACAGGACCAAAGGTCTTGAGCCTGGAAAGTCTCAGGCAGTTTCTCTTGCAGGTCAGACTGCTCCCGGTGCCATGAATGGAGACGACGCCTTTGCAAGGAGACCCAGGGTTGATGCTCAAATACCAGAGAAGATACAAAAGGTGAGGTGACCTGGAGGAGATACAGTAGTGGCCCAGGGACAGTGTGGGGTGACCCGGTTTCTGAGGAGGGGAGGACAGAGGTACTGGGGACAAGGAGCAGGGTCTCAGGGGAGATCTGGACCCTTGGGAGCCTCCCACCCTCGCTCTGTCATCATCTAGCATCCCTGGAGACAAGTCTCTGACCTTGCACTACATTTGGTGACTCTCAGTCCATTCTGGATGGTGGGAAGAGAGCCAGACAGCAGCATTAAAGCTCTACTGTGTGGCAGGGGAGAAGCTAGGGTAGGCCCCCCATGTTCTGTCAGTTAGCCATGGCATCAACCAGGACGGATTATCATCCCCAATTCCCAGATCCAGCACACAGGAAGTGGCTCCAGCTGAATGGCAGACATGCCTAGCTGAGTCCCTGCCATAATTCCTTTTTTTTTTGTAGGCCTTCGATGATATTGCCAAATACTTCTCTAAGGAAGAGTGGGAAAAGATGAAAGCCTCAGAGAAAATCCTCTATGTGTATATGAAGAGAAAGTATGAGGCCATGACTAAACTAGGTAACAGAAAGTTCTAGGAACAGACAAGTCTGGGGACACATGAGCATCCCTTTTCCAGCTCTGGCTACTTCTTAGGCTGCAGAAAGTATTACAGACATGAGCCACCATACCAGGCCCAAGCTTGTCTCTTAAGGAATAAACATTTTGCTTCTTTCTAGGTTTCAAGGCAACCCTCCCACCTTTCATGTGTAATAAACGGACCGCAGACTTCCAGGGGAATGATTTTGATAATGACTATAACCATGGGCATCAGGGTGAGTAGATGGGAAGGGGCTGGATAGGGTCTCATCAAGCCCAACTGCTTTTCAGCTCAGCTACCTGGGAAAGATCCTCAGGCGTTTGTTCCCTCATACACATCAGGGCTGAGTGAAAAAAAAGTTGCATACAGAAAGTTAACTACACTAATTAGGTTTCTTCTTGCTTAGGAAAACTGAGCTTTGAAAGGGTTAAGTTTTTAAGTCTGTGTAACTTTCTGTATTGCTTTTGAAGTCTGTTGACTATAACTCTGGTTAAATGAGTGACTATTATTTCACAGTGACCCGTGATCCTGTTTTGAACAAGTGTTTTGAGCCTTTTAACATCTTTGACAAACTTCCCCAAAATCCAATTCTTTTTTATTTATCTATTGCTGTCGAACAAACTAATCAAATTCTAATTTAAGTCTTTTTAACCTAAAATTGAGTGAGATTTACCAGTGAGGCCCCCGGAGAGCCTCAAAGAATGTGTCTCTCATTAGGCTTATTTGATATGTTAGATGATATGAAAAGCAATTTCAAATAATAAAATACACTAATTGCTGTTTACATTTATATAAATATGTTATTGATGTTAATGTTCTGAAGATCATATAAATTTTACAGAGCTCTGATGGTCCTGGTATGATGCTATCAGTCATGATTCTGGTTCTTATCTTAAAATGTTCTACATAATAGAAATAATTGAATTTTTTCTCAATTATGGACCTTTGATCAGATCTTAATCATTGCTATTCTAAGCTGTATCATCTACAGTGTTGATTCTTCTCTAAATGTATCCAGAATCAGATTCATAAAAAAGATTTTAACAAGTACTATTGAATATAGATTTGTAATAACTTTCAGATAAATGAACTAAATAATTCTTGAAAACTCTAATGAAAACTGATGGGTTCATGCACCTGATCATCAAGATCAAGCAGAACAAAATTACATGAGGCTAAATAACTGATGTTTTTATGACCTTTATTTAAAACTTTATTTATTCTTCAGCTAGGCACAGTGGCTCACACCTGTAATCCTAGCATTCTCAGAGGCCAAGACAGAAGGATCCCTTGAGTGCAGGACTTCAAGACAAACCTGGGCAACATAGGAGACCTGGTTTCTAAAAGAAATTAAGAAAAAAAGCTTTGTTTTTTACTTAAATGTTTGGTTTTGCACATTTAATAAAATTTTCTGGTGGGGTGTGGTGGCTCACTTTGGAAGCCAAGGCAGGAGGATTTCTTGAGCCCAGGAGTTCAAGACAAGTCTGGACAACATGGCAAAACCCTGTCTCAAAAAAAAAAAATTAGCTGGGCATGGTGGCATGCACCTGTGGTCCCAGCTACTTGGGAGGCCGAGGTGGGAGGATCACTTGAGTCAGGATGCAGAGGTTGCAGGGAGCCATGTTTGCACCACTGCACTCCAGCCTGTGCAACAGGGCACAAACCTTTCTCAAAAAATGAAAAAAAAAAGAGAAAATTTCCTCTGTTAAACTGTCTATAGTTTATAACAATTTGGTAAAGTGTACTTTTGTAAACTAAGATGGAAAGATTTGCTTTTTCTTTCTGCTCGATTCCTCCAGAATTTGAAACTATTTGGAAATATTCTTACGGCAGTATGGTTATTTACACAGGTCCAGTAAAAACCTGCTCTTGGTGTCTCATTCAACTCCAACATGGCAAAAATCTCCAGCCCTACAGAGAGTCCGATTGCTGTTTTCCAGAAATAGGCTGGAAAGGATGGTTACAATAGCATTCACTCCAAGACAGAGTTCCCAAGCTTCATGAATAGAGAACTAGATGCCTTCACGAAGAACCAGAGGCCCCAGTGTCTTTGACCACATGATGAAGAAACTGGACCTCACTAGTGATGGGCAGTTAGATTTCCAAGAATGTCTGCATCTGATGGATGGCATGACTGTGGCTTACCATGACTCTTTTCTCAAGGCTGCCCATTCCAAGAAGCAGATCTGAGGATCCCCTGGGCCTGGTTTCCAAGCCACCCCCTTTCCTTCCAGCCTCACCATCACCATCTGCTCACAGCCCACACATACCCTGGGCCCAGCACACCCACCACCTCATGCAGGCCCTGCCTGCAGGTAGTAATAAAACCATTCCTTCCTGCCTGCAGCTTCCCACTCAGTAATAAAACCATTCCTTCCTGCCTGCAGCTTCCCACTCCCTCTCCCCCCTTCTCCTCCTCCCCCTCCCCTCCTCTGCCCTGTCTTCTCCTCCCCTCCTTTCCTCTCTTCCCTTCTCTCAAGCACACCTACCACCTCATGCAGGTAGTAATAAAACCATACTTTACTTTTCTTTTCTCTTTATTTTCTTTTTCTTTTTTTTTTTTTTTCAGAGATGGGGGTCTAGTTATGTTTCCCAGGCTGATCTTGAACTCCTGGGCTCAAGTACTCTCCCAAAGTTCTGGGATTATAGGTGTGAGCCATTGCACCTGGCCCACTTTTTTTTTAACACACACAAAAAAATCTGCTCTCTCTTTATAGACGGATACAATTAAAAACATTGGTTATAGGGCCAGGCACGATGGCTCACACCTGTTATCCCAGCACTTTGGGAGGCTGAGGTGGGCAGATCACTTGAGATCAGGAGTTTGAGACCAGCCTGGCCAACACGGTGAAACCACATCTCTACTAAAAATACAAAAATATGTAGCAGGGCTTCGTGGCACACATCTTTAATCCTGGCTACTCAGGAGGCTGACACAGGAGAATTGCTTGAACCCAGGAGGTGGAGGTTGCGGTGAGCCGGGATCATGCCACTGCACTTCATCCTGGGCGACAGAGCAAGACTCCATTGCAATAAAATAAAACAAACAAAAAAAAAGATTGCTAATTATTTTTGTATTATGATCTTTGAGCTCTGTTCTTGTTGCCTGTCTAATATTTGTTCAGCCAGTTCTCCCAACAGGATAATGTTGGCCTAGTGCTTCAAGATGAATGCTAATATAGATGGAACTAATAAGATGCTGAACTCCAAACAAACATGCCTGATTTTTTTTTCCTTCTGGCCTCTTTGTGGCTCAAATGTGGCCCATGTTCCTGATATAGACTCCCTTACCTTTCCCTTGACATGGGACAAAGACAACCGGCACAGGTCCATCCTGGCATGGAGTGACAATGAAGCCTCACTTTAAGATGGCTGATCAGTGAGGTTTTGAAAGAAAGATCTTCATCAAAAGAGGGAATTTTAAAACTGATTGTGCAAATGAACCAGCTTCTCCAGGGCCAGTGAGCCTCATTTCAAAACAATATGTAACATTTTTCTTTCCGATAAAGCTTCCAACTTCTGTTTGTTCGTTGGACATACTGAAGACCACCCCAGTCCGTGTATATGCCCTGAATTGCAATTTTGTGATTCCCAAATACAGCATTTGATTTAGGAATTTGTCTCTATAATTTATTTTGTCTTTGACACAATTAACCACTATGATGTGTTGAATGGTCGCCCCGCCCCCTGACGAGGTGAGTATTACACTGAATTTAAAAATTCATTCTAGACCGGGCATGGTGGCTCACGTCTGTAATCCTCACACTTTGGGAGGCCGAGGTGGGCGGATCACCTGGGGTGAGGAGTTCATGTCCATCCTGGCTAACATGGTGAAACCCCATCTCTACAAAAAATACAAAGTTAGCTGGGCTTCATGGTGCATGCCTGTAATCCCAGCTACTTGGGAGGCTGAGGAAGGAAAATCGCTTGAACTCAGGAGACAGAGGTTGCAGCGAGCTGAGATCGCACCATTGCATTCCAGCCTGGGCAATGAGAGTGAAACTCTGTCCCGAAAAAAAAAAGTCATTCTATTATAATCCTGATAATTGCTTTGCTTTGCATCTTACTATGGACTTGTTGGATATCTATGTGGCTGTACACTACCCAGAGAAAGATAGAAACAGCAGTGGAGATAATTAGAAAATTGTAATGTTACTATAAAAGAATAACAAAAGGGGGAAATTGTAAGGTTAACTACACATAAAATTGAGATTTTCCTGTTGCCAAAAGGGAAGAAGAGACCTTTTCCCATTTCCCTTTCCCTAGAGCATTTCCTTCAGAAAATTTGTATTGGTAAATTCTTCCTTTGATATGTAAGCCTCTGGCCCCATATATCCCAGGAATGTCTTCGACTTGAACTCCAGGCCTCAAGTGATACTCCAGCCTCAGCCTCCCAAAGTGTTGGAATTACAGGTGTGAGCCACCATGACCAGTCCCTAGAAAGGTCTTTCTTCAGGGCCTTGAGCCATCTCTTTGAAACGTGAACATTGAGGAAGATGACGTCCCAGTCTCCCTGTCACCAGGGGAGTTTGCCTAGGTGCCTTTCTCCAAGCTCTAAGCACCTGCTTGTCATAGAGATATGAGTTTTATTTTTCCTTCAGATAAAGGCAATTAACTAGCACAGATGGGTACTCCAATTCCTTGGTGAACTTAGAACTTGTCTGGGAGTATTTAGTTTTCACCCTTGGCTGCTGCTATACAACCAGGCCAATTAGCTACATACATGGACTTTCTGGTTTCTGCTACCACTTTTTTGATTGTTTGTTTGTTTGTTTTGTTTTGTTTTTCAGATGGAGTCTTGCTCTGTCGCCCAGGCTGAAGTGCCGTGGTGCGATCTCAGCTCACTGCAACCTCTGCTTCCCAGGGTCAAGCGATTCTCCTGCCTCAGCCTCCCGAGTAGCTGAGATTACAGGTGTGTGCCACCATGCCGGGCTAATTTTTGTATTTTTAGTAGAGACTGGGTTTCACCATGCTCGCCAGGCTAGACTCAAACTCCTGACCTCATGAACTTCCTGCCTTGGCATCCCAAAGTGATGGGATTACAGGCGTGAGCCACCACACCTGGCCTCTAGGACCACTTTTGGTTTCTATGAAACACTACACTTCAAAGTGTGGGATCTGGCTTCCAAGACAGCTGTGAAAGGGGCAGATGATGCAATCTAGAAGTGTGGGGGAGTTCATGCCTATGGGGTAAATTTTGACCAATTAAAAAAAAAAAAACCATGAGTGAGAGCCAGGTACGTAAATTCCCTCTCCTCTCCCCATGCACCGTTCCAAGCATGGCTTCTCAGTATAGTCTGTCTAGAGGTGTCCTGTATGGCCCAAAGCCTGTTTCCTTGGGAACCTGAGCTAAAATAATGGGAATTCACACACTCGCAGACAGTGTTAAGTGTGGTGGAGGACCCAGATCTGGGCAGAGGAAAATTACCCCAATAAGGAAATGGACAATTTGAGGATTTGGAATAGAGAAAAGGACTAGAAGAACCAGTAGTAGAATAGCTTATGGGTAGCATTTTTGGAGAAAAAGGCAGTTCTGGTGATTTTTGCAGTGAACTGCTCAGCTCTGTAAAATGTATACTTCCTTTCTTTCCATCAGTCTCCCCTATGAAATCTTCCATAAATTATCCTTTTATAACTATCTATTGCCGGTGAAGTGAATTTTCTTTTTTTCTTTTTCTTTTTATTTAGAGATAGAGTTTCTGTCCACGAGGCTGGAGTGCAGTGGTGCCACCTTGGCTCACTGCGATCTCCGCCTCCCGAGTTCAAATGATCCTCCCGCCTCAGCTGCCCTAGTAGCTGGGACTACAGGCGTGCACCACCAATGCCCGGCTAATTTTTTTTTTTTTTTTGTATTTTTAGTAGAGATGGGGTTTTACCATCTTGGCCAGGCTGGTCTCGAAATCCTGACCTCAGTTGATCCACACACCTCGGCCTCCCTAAGTGCTGGGATTACAGGTGTGAGCCACCACACTCAGCCTGTCAGTTTTGTTTTGAAGAATAAAATAGATTGAGTCTTGTGCCAAAATACAGGGGAAGCTGTACCCAGACAGGTAACAAAATATTATTAACAATAATAGATAGGGTTTCTACATGCCAATAATAGCCATTTAGAAAACCAAATTGAGAAAAATTACACTTATATTGTGACAAAAAATACATGAAATATCTAATAACAGATGATTGGAGCAAGATGGCAGCTAGATCCCGTGCCCCACTCAACGTTCCATCAAACTAGGAAGAAAATGTTTTCAAGGGTCAATCCTTAACAGTAGAGGAAAATAGGAAAACGTGTCAGTGGTCCACCAGATATATTGAGGCATTCCTGGGAGATAGAGTAGATGGGATCAGACTGACAGAGAAACCCGAGGAGACAAGACCACAGCTCAAATCACTGTAGGCGAGAGATGCTGTTTGTTTTTTGAGACAGGGACTTACTCTGTCGCCCAGGCTGGAGTACAGTGGCGTGATCTCGGCTCACTGCACGGTGTATCTCCCGGGTTCAAGTGATTCTCATGCCTCAGCCCCCGCAGTAACTGGAATTCACCGGTGCCCACCACCATGGCCGGCTAATTTTTGTATTTGTGGTAGAGGCAGGGTTTTTGCAATGTAGGCCAGGTTGGTCTCGAACTCCTCACCTCAAGTGATCTGCCTGCCTCGGCCTCCCAAAGTGCTGGGAATACAGCGTGAGTCACTGCGCCCAGTCAGGAGATGTTCTTTGTAGGAAAGCTTCTGAAAAACTCCAAACCCATAATCAAAAAAACATGGAGCGAGAAAGGGCCTTAGGGTAATCATCAGGTAGGTTAATTTAAAAGTTCATTTGAAACGTCTGAACCAGCCAGATTCCCCTCCGACACAACACTCAGATTGGCTGGCAGTAGCCACTTTTGCCTCTAAGATGAAACTCTGATAATTGTTCATTAAAGAAAGCGAAGGCCTGGCGAGGTGGCTCACACTTGTCATCTTAACACTTTGGGAGGCTGAGGCAGGAGGATTGCCTGAAGCCAGTAGATAGAGACCAGCCTGGGCAATATAGTGGGATCCTGTCTCTACAGAAAATACAAAAATTAGCTGGGTGTGGTGGCAAGTGCCTGTAGTCCCAGGTAGTTCGTAAGCTGAAGTAGGAGAATCCCTTGAGCCTGGGAGATCGAAGCTGCAGTGAGCTGAAATTGCAGAACTGCACTCCAACCTGGGAGACAGAGTGCGATCCTGTCTCAAAAAAAATAAAAAAATAAAAAATAAAATATAAAAAAACACAGACATAAAAAAGTAATGCATCACTGGGCGCACTAGCTCACGCATGTAATCCCAGCACTTTGGGACGCTGAGGCCATCAGATCACGAGGCCAGAAGATCAACCTGGCTGACACAGTGAAACCCCGTTTCTACTAAAAATATAAAAAATTAGTTGGGAATGGTGGCACGCGCCTGTGTTCCCAGCGACTCTGGAGATTGAGGCAGGAGAATCGCTTGAACCTGGTAGGCAGAGGTTGCAGGGAGCCGACATCTCACCACTGCATTCCAGCCTGGACAACAGAGCGAGACTCTGTCTCAAAAAAAAAAAAAAGTAATGTATCAGGACTTGGTGTATCTTCGGCACTTCACAGTAATAATGAAGGAAAGAAACACATTTGTGGAGAGGGGACCATGTTCACTCTTTATCTATCCATGATAGACAGTCGGGAGCTTTATATACCCAAGAAACCTAAGGAAAAATGTTCCCTGTCATGACTCACACTCTTCCAGTCACCCTTCCTGGCACCTGTCTTGTGGGCTGGGGGACCCAACTTATGGATCCCATCATCCCAGGGAGAAAGAAAAACCAAATCCTTCAGTATCTCTTTTTGGGTATCCTCTCCTCTGTTTGCATGGAGGATAAGGCACCTGATATCTAGTAGCCGAATGTTACATTTGTGTAATACAGAACTATATTGGGATAAAATAGAATTTGTTTCCTCTGAGACACAGGTAGAGGCACGTCCACACTGACCTGGGGGGCAGCCACCTCTTCCTGCAGTGCCAGGCAGGGCGTGCTCACAGATCTGGGGAACCTCTGTTGCTCCTGGAGCCCCACAACCTCCTTCCTGGCACCCTCTCCCTCTGGTGGCTGTGACAGCCCACACTTGGTCTTGGGTATCCCCTGCTTCTTTGCCTGCCCCTCTTCTCCCTACGCTGCACATCTCTGTCTCCCACTGTCCCACTATGTCCACGATTGCCTCTTCCTCCCTGCACTCTCCATCTCTAAGGGTTCCTTGTCTTGGAAAATGAACCCACAGCCTCTACCTTGTGACGGGACAGAACCCGGGACTTGTTCAGTTCTCCCTTCCTCCACCACACACACCTGTCCTCCTTAATGTTTCTGAAGTCAGTGAGCTCCAAACTCAGCTCCTCCTGCACCTGCCAGCTGTAGGACCTGTGACAAGACGCCTACCATCTCTCTGGGACTCCGTCTCTCATCTGTCATATAGGCATAATGATCATAGTGTGCTCCTTCTAAGGCTGGGAGAACCAGGAGGCCAAGGTGATGGGCTATGGACGGTCAAAACAGCTCCAATCCTGCCTCCACCTGGGGCTGGTGTTTCAAGTCCATGGTGTGTGAATGGAGCTTTGATGTCTCCATTCACACACAATGCTTTGTGCTAAAATAGACTCCCCTCTGCCCTTCCCTTCCCCACAACTGTTTCCCCTCTGCACCGTGCATTGGTACCTGTGAGAAAGAACTGTCCCATTCCCAAATCATCGTCCCCACCCCAGCCCCCAGGCCCTTGGGTGGTGAGACCCTTGATGGGCAGTCTCATGCTTCTGTCCAGGGGACCTTCCCACCGTTGCTCCCCTGCATGGAGACTAAGTGGACTCTTCTATTCCCTGGCCATCACAGGGTCTACAGTGCACGCATCTTCCTCATTCCTCCATGTTCCCCAGATGACGATTTCATCTGTGTCTCTTCCCACATACTCCCAAATGGACCATCCCAGCCCTAGAACCCGAAAATTGTTCAGAGAGCGAAGGCCAAATTGCCCAACCACCTGCTGCAGAATCCTGCTCCAGGACTGAAGTGTATAGTCCCTATCAAAATAAAAACTGGAGGCCAGGCGCGGTGGCTCATGCCTGTAATCCTAGTACTTTAGGAGGCCAAGGTGGGAGGATCGCTTGAGCCCAGCAGTTCAAGGCTGCATTGAGCTATGATCGTGCCACTGCACTCCAGCCTGGACAGAGCAAGACCCCATCTCCAGAAGAAACAAACAAACAAAGAAACAAAGAAAGCCAACAACTGGAAACATCCTCCTCTAGAATGGTGGTCAGGAACATCTCCCCGTCTTGTTCCCTGATGTCTCTCCAGCACCTAGAACAGCGCTCAGCACGAGGACACACTCATTAGGGTTTTGTTGAATAAATGACTCCTTTGACATGGCAATTCCACTTCTAAGAATCTTTCTAAAGAAATATTCACACATGTGCACAAAGCTGTGTGCACAATAATGAGAGGAACAAACAACTGGGGAACGTTTGCAAAGGTTTATTAACTGTCAGTGACTGATACAGGGGAATCGGATGAGGGGAGTACATGCTGAACAGGAAACAGAGTGAGGGGGGCTTGACCAGGACGCATGGCAATGGGAAAAGCAGATGGGAGATGCTTATACTGGTACTTGGTGTGTGTGTGTGCGTGTGTGTGTGTGTGTGTGTGTAAATGCAGAGGAAAAAGTCTGAAATTAAACACTCAGAACTGCCCTCAGTAGTCACATCTGGGGAGAGATGAGGATAGTGCTGTTCTATGGAGAGAATACCTGACAATACTTGTTTTCTGACGTAGGTGCATGGATACACAAACCGAAATATGCATTCAGTATGTCTTGCTCATCAATTATAAGGATAGTATCTAACAGAATGGCACACTGTAAGAAAATACAATGGAAACACTAACATCGAACTCTTGGCACACTAAGAAAAATGACGCTCAAGTTTCACCGTTGTGAACACTTGCTTTCACTTGCTATGCACCTGATGACGAGGGAGCCGCAGCCATGCCCATGTTCGTGAAAGGTCACCACGTTCTGCTTCTCATCAAGGGCATGTGTCGTATCCCCCAGGCTGAGGCGAGAAGAGGGAAGGAAAGTAAGTGACAGCGAGTTCCCACTGCCCAATAACTCAACCTCAACTCCTCCTGACCTGCAGACCCTGCACACTCTGATTCTGCCCTACCCCAGGACCTGGACACGCCTTCCATGGTTCCTCGAAGTGAACCATCTGCTCATGCCACAGTGACTTCCTCGCCTGGTTTATGCATTCCTAGGCTAGAAGAAGGTGTGGCCACATATCAGGGCTGACCTGGGGTTTGGGAACCCACAGCATCCTGGGTGGTGAGGATCCCTGGATATACAGGGTAGGGAGTAGAAAGAGCATGGGAAATCTCATCATTCAGCCTCAATGCTGTACAGTAGAAAATTATGAGAAAGGAATGATTTGGGAAACAAATGACAAGATGGGATACCAGTACCATAACAGAATAGCACATCTGCAGGGATGTGGAGGGTGAGCCGAAGGTTCACTTACGGAGTTACTCGTCATCTTCCTCAGGGTCACTGATCTCTTCATAAATCACCAGCTGCTTTCTCTCACGCAGTCTGTGGGTCCAGGCATGTTTCCCCCTTTTGGGTCCTATGATGGAGAAGAGTTGGAAGATGAGGGTTGGGTACGTTGAAGAGTGTTAGGCTCTGTTTTCTCAAAAAAAGGAGATGCCTCCTCCCTCCCAAGTGCCCATGGGCCTTCTTTATCCAGTTTTTCACATTCTCTGGCTTAGAGAGGCTGAGGCCTTAGACCCACACCAATACACGACAAATACCAATTAATGTTTTAGCTTCTGGCTCCTTCTGTTGTGACGTTTAGATTACCAACCTCTTCACTTACGGGAACATTCACCGATACCTCCTTTCATTCAGCACGTATTTGTTAAGGGCACACAGGCATACCTTGTTTTATGGCACCTCATTTTTATAGTGCTATGCAGACACTGTAATTTTTTGGGGGGAATTCTCACCAATTTTACACTTTTCCATTATTATTATATCTGTTATGGTGATCTGTGATCAGTGAGCTTTGATGTTATTATTGCAATTGTTTTTGTTGTTTTTTAGTCTTTTAAAATAATTTATTTTTGTGGATACACAGTAGGTGTATATACTTATAGGGTACGTGAGATATTTTGATACACGTATGCAATGCGTAATAATCACATCATGGAAAATAGGGTATCCATCCCATCAAGCATTTATCCTTGTGTTACAAACAATCCAATTACACTCTTTTCGTTATTTTTAAATGTACGATTAAGTTATTATTGACTATAGTCACCCTGTTGTGTGTCAATGTTCTGGGGGTAACAGGAACTCCACCTAGAGAAGATAACGAACGTAATTGATCAATGTTGTGTGTATTCTGACTGCTCCACCAATGAGCTCTTCCCCATCTCTTTTCCTTTTCTTGGGCCTACCTATTCCCTGAGATACAGCGATACTGAAATTAGGACAGTTAACAATCCTAAAATGGCCACTAACTGTTCAAATGAAAGGAAGAGTCGCATTCTCTCACATTAAATCAGAATCTAGAAATGGCTAAGCTTAGTGAGGAAGGCATGCTGAAAGCCGAGACAGGATGAAAGCTAGGCCTCTTGCACCAAATAGCCAAGCTGTGCATGCAAAGGAGAAGTTCTTGAAAGAAAGAATAGTATATAATGCAAAGGAAAAGTTCTTGAAGGAAATAATAATACTAATACCCAGTGAACACAAGAATAAGAAAGCAAAACAGCCTTACTGCTGCAATAGAGAAAGTTTGAGTGATCAGGATAGAACATGAAACCAGCCACAACATTCCCTTAAGCCAAAGTCTAATTCAGAGCAAGACCTGAACTCTCTTCAAGCCCATGAAAGCTGAGAGAGGTGAAGAAACGTGTGAAACTAGCAGAGGTTGGTTTGTGAGGTTTAAGGAAAGAAGCTGTCCCCATAACATAAAAGTGCAAGGTGTAGCAGCAAACACTGATGGAGAAGCTGCAGCAAGTTATCCAGAAGATCTAGCTAAGATCACTGATGAACGTGGCTACACTAAACAACAGATTTTCAATATAGATTAAACAGCCTTTTATCGGAAGTAGATGCCATCTAAAACTTTCATAGCTAGAGATGATTGACTCCAACTTTGAAAGAAGTTCTAAAGTGGCTAAATGCTATCGAATAGCATCACATACTACAGAGAAATCTTTCATGAAAGGGAGAGCTAATCGATGTGGCAAATTTCATTGTTGTGTTCTTTTAAGAAACTGCCACAGCCACTCCACCCTTCAGCAACCACCACCTTGATCAGCCAGCAGCCATCAACACCGAGGCAAGACCCTCCACCAACAAGAAGAGTGTAACTCACTGAAGGCTCAGAAGATTGTTAGCATTTTTTAACAATAAATTATTTTAAAATTAAGGTATGTACATTTTTAGACATAATGCTATTGCACACTTAGTAGAGTACACTATAGTGTAAACATAATGTTTTTATGCACTGCGAAACAAACGAAAAACAATGTGTGTGACTCACTTTATTGCAGTGCTCTGGAACCCAACCTGCAATATCTCTGAAGTACACCTGTATTGGGTATCAGGCATTGAGCTGAGTAAGATATGATCCCAGGTTATCACAGATAGAATCGCTTGAGCACCTTTCATGTCATCAGGCCTTCAGGATTTAATTTAATGCCTCCAAACAATTTACGAACTATGATTCTTTATTTCCATCTTATGGACTAGGAATCTGGAGCTGAGAAAATTTGGAAGACTTGTCCCAAGTCACGTGGTTTTTTATATGGATGACAACTCCAGTCTGCATCTCTGGAAGTCATGTCTAACATCTCATCTGGAGCTGGGCGAGCTCTTCAGCCCAGCCTGGACCCAGGCTTGTCTGGGATCCATGCCACACACCCAGTCCACACACCTGAACATAGCCAGAAAAGCCAGAGAAGTTGTTCCCAAATCATTTCCTCTTACCAGATCTCTTATTAATCTTCTCAGAAATATTTGCTTTTCCTGGGGGGTGCAGTTGTTTCCCATCGTTTTGTGGGCCAGATGCTTCTGACACTCCCTTCGAATCATTTTCGTCCTCTGCTGGCTTCTTGGGCATGATCTTTATAATGTGAAGGTTACAGATAAACAGTATCAGTGACATTTCTATAGTGCTTTAGAGCTTACAAAGCGTCTTCACATGCATTACCTTAATGAATGTTCTCAACAACGCGGGGAGAGTTACACTTGCCTAAATGAGACAAACCTGGGAGATTAGAAGCAAAAGGAATGGCCTAAATGAATGCAGTTTCCAGGGCTAGAATGCTTATCTTCACACTCTTTTAAGACTGACATTCGTGGAAACAGCAGAAATCTCCATGTAGTTGAGAGTGTAGTACACAGAATATTTGGAGAAAAATAGCATTCTAAGAATTCACAAGGTCTACAAAAGGAAGAGCTTCTATAAAATACAAGGGATCCCATATAAGCTCGTAGACAGCTGCTGGGAGAGTAAATGTAAAAACATAGGGAGGGGACAAAACACTGCTGGGAAAGATGGTGTGGGGAGATGAATACAGGGAAGGGAGAGGTAAAGAAATGGTTTGCTGAAATTAATCTAGGCAGCAAAGAAAGCAGTACCAGATCTGGCATACCACCCTACCGAGGCACCAACATTGAATGTGGAATTCAGTGAGGTGGTACCCATACCAATTCTGGTTACACTGGGATGTGTCACTGACCAACAATATTAAGCTACTCTTTTTTTTTTTTTGACAAAGTCTCGCTCTGTCACCAGGCTAGAGTGCAGTGGTGCGATCTTGGCTCACTGCAATCTCCTCCTCCCCGGTTCAAGCGATTCCCCTGTCTCAGCCTCCTGAGTAGCTAGGATTACAGGCAGGCGCTACCACGCCCTGCTAAGTTTTGTATTTTTAGTAGAGATGAGGTTTCACCATGTTGGCCAGGACGGTCTCGATCTCTTGACCTCGTAATCTGCCCGCCTCAACCTCCTAAATTGCTGGGATTACAGTCGTGAGCCCCCGCGCCCGGCCCTTAAGCTACTTTTTACTCAGCTTCCTCACTTATGAAATAGTGAATAATACATGTAAAATAAGCTAAGGGAAAATCCTCTCTGAGCTTGTAAACATTGTTCAAATGTAATAATAATAACATTGAATACCTTTCTGGATCCTTCTTTGAATTCGTTCTCCATACTGGCAACCCAACTCCCAGATCCCTTTACCTTCTAAACCAGAGCTGAATCTGCACTTCCAGAATCACTCATTCAGGGGCCTCTGAGGGATCCCCTGGGCTGGGACTGGGGCTTCTCGGATGCCCCAGGTGCAGACAAAGCCCTCAAGGAGCTCAAGGAGGGGCCAACAGTCAAAGCGATTCCTAAGCCATGGGAGTGGCCCCGGTAACAGAGCAGAGGCCAGCTGGTCCTTCCTGTTGCGAGAGTGGGTGTCTCAATGGAAGCACCAGTAGGCCCTATGGGGTAAAGCCCTAGTGAGCAACATCTGAACTTCATAAACAAATACAAACGTGAATGAGCTTTAAATGGCTTGGAGCTCTGGATTAGACTACCACTGACACTGTGCCCCAGGAAAATTCTTTAACATCTCTGTACCCCGATAGCCTCATTTTATTATTATGTTGCTGATAACTATGGTCTATAACATGAACTATTATTCTTTACTTCCATTTCATGGACTAGGAATCTGGAGCTCCGATAACTTAGAAGATTTGTGCCAAGTCACATGGCTTTTATATGGATGACAACCGAAGTGTGTGACTCATTACTATTTGGAGATAATAAAAGAAACAATGTCATAGAGGTCTTCTTATGGATTAAATTAATTAATCCATGTGAACTGCTTAAAATAGTATCTGGCATCACTATGAAAACAAAAGAAGTATTAAGGATCACAACTGTTAGTATTATCAAGCCGTCGGTGCTACATAAGTTGTTGTGATAGACATGGGGAGAAAGAGGCAATGAGGGCGTTTTTGATATTCTCCCTGTCTTATCAGTGTTCACATCCATGAAAGGAAAAAGGTTCTCTGGTCCTTTAGATTTGAGAGATACTCACCTTCGGGATGATTCTGTGGAGCCTGCCGAAAGTCATCTGAGGATGTTCAACTGAAAGAGAACACATCAGAATTTTTCTTTGTTGGTAAAGATTTCCAAACTCTGGAGAGACTTCCGTTGCATGAGGGCATTCTGCAGCAGAGGTTATGAGTCCACTCATTGTTGAGGAGTTATTTGAGATTTGCTTCTGAATTATGTTTAGTCATGGTTGGTTCATTTATCTGTGGCATCAATTCAGAATTTTACATCACATGGTTTCTCAAATGGGGGTTAAATCCCATCACAGTCTCATCTTATTCCATTACATATCTTTTACTTTTTCCCAAATAATTAAATTGATTGGTTGGGAATGTAAACTGTAATCACTCAAGATGTGCAACAACTAAAAATCACTGTACACTTCAAATGGGTGGATCTTATGGTATGTGAATTAAGCTGTTAAATGTGTGATGAACCATGGATGATTTAGTCCAGTGGCTCTGAAATATTTTCAGTATAAAGACACTCCTTTAATGTCAAAACTTGGCAGATACTCAAGCACTGGAGTTTCAGATCTCTTATAGTGATTGTGGGAGATGGTTGATTCTGGCCTGTTTAGCTGGGGAGTAATAGAGATATTGAAGACAGTTTAGACACTCTGACCTTGTCTTATGATTGTATTGTCAGAGCAGAAGAGCAAGTAAACAAATATGTCCCCTTTCTATTCCTGAAATGCACAAAGATCTCTACCCAAGAACCTGTCTTTTTTTCATCCTATGTTATCTCCGCTCACTGACAATTGGGAAAGCTCTCTGTGTGTTGGATGAGGGGTCACTCTTTCAAACTCACTTCCAAGCTCATCATGGAGAATTGGGGTTGTTTGGGAATGTGAAGACTATTTGGTTTCAATAAAGTATGGAGAAACAGCAATCTTTATTACATGTGTTCATCACCCTCTCTCTTAAGATATTTATCCAATATCTACATGCTGTTAATGAAACAATGTCTGGAAGTTTTTGGTGGATCTATACTTTTAATAGTTTCTTTTTTTTTCACTTTTAAAATTGTCTTAACTGTCCTTTGATTCATTAACAGTGTTTAGCTATCTGTTTGTCTGTTGTTGGTGTATAAGAATGCTTGTGATTTTTGTACATTGATTTTGTATCCTGAGATTTTGCTGAAGTTGCTTATCAGCTTAAGGAGATTTTGGGCTGAGACAATGGGGTTTTCTAGGTATACGATCATGTCGTCTGCAAACAGGGACAATTTGACTTCCTCTTTTCCTAATTGAATACCCTTTATTTCCTTCTCCTGCCTAACTTCATGTCTAAAACACCAAAAGCAATGGCAACAAAAGCCAAAATTGACAAATGGGATCTAATTAAACTAAAGAGCTTCTGCACAGCAAAAGAAACTACCACCAGAGTGAACAGGCAACCTACAGAATGGGAGGAAATTTTTGCAACCTACTCATCTGACAAAGGGCTAATATCCAGAATCTACAATGAACTCAAACAAATTTACAAGAAAAAAACAAACAACCCCATCAAAAAGTGGGCAAAGGGCATGAACAGACACTTCTCAAAAGAAGACATTTATGCAGCTAAAAAACACATGAAAAAATGCTCACCATCACTGGCCATCAGAGAAATGCAAATCAAAACCACAATGAGATACCATCTCACACCAGTTAGAATGGCAATCATTAAAAAGTCAGGAAACAACAGGTGCTGGAGAGGATGTGGAGAAATAGGAACACTTTTACACTGTTGGTGGGACTGTAAACTAGTTCAACCATTGTGGAAGTCAGTGTGGAGATTCCTCAGGAATCTAGAACTAGAAATACCATTTGACCCAGCCATCCCATTACTGGGTATATACCCAAAGGACTATAAATCATGCTGCTATAAAGACACATGCACACATATGTTTATTGTGGCACTATTCACAATAGCAAAGACTTGGAACCAACCCAAATGTCCAACAATGATAGACTGGATTAAGAAAATGTGGCACATATACACCATGGAATACTATGCAGCCATAAAAAATGATGAGTTCATGTCCTTTGCAGGGACATGGATGAAATTGGAAATCATCATTCTCAGTAAACTATTGCAAGAACAAAAAACCAAACACCGCATATTCTCACTCATAGGTGGGAATTGAACAATGAGAACACAAGGACACGGGAAGGGGAACATCACACTCTGGGGACTGTTGTGGGGTGGGGAGAGGGGGAAGGGATGGCGTTGGGAGATATACCTAATGCTAGATGATGAGTTAATGGGTGCAGCGCACCAGCATGGCACATGTATACACATGTAACTAACCTGCACATTGTGCACATGTACCCTAAAACTTAAAGTATAATAAAAAAAAACAGTGTTTAGCAAGAACAACATGTCTTTTAAAAAAGAAATGTTTCAAACACACAGAATAGTATGGGGAATAATATTGAGTTCAGTCGCATCTCAACATTACCCCATGACTATGTTAGATCTGATTTATTTATTTAGAATGTTAGAAACACTAGAAACGGCCTGGGTGCAGTGGCTCACGCCTGTAATCCCAGCACTTTGGGAGGCTGAGGTGGGTGGATCACCTGAGGTCAGGAGTTTGAGACCAGCCTGGTCAACATGGTGAAACCCCATCTCTACTAAAAATACAAAAATTAGGTGGGCATGGTGGCGGGCGCCTGTAATCCCAGCTACTCAGGAGGCTGAGGCAGGAGAATCGTTTGAACCCGGGAGGCAGAGGTTGTAGTGGGCTGAGACTGTGCCATTGTACTCCAGCCTGGGCGACAAGAGCAAATCTCCAGTTCAAAACAAAAACAAAACAAAACGAAACAAAACAAAACACACTATCAACAAGTCATGACTGAAGCTGTCTGTGCAGCACTCACCAATCCCTGCCCCCGCCCCTTCTCCATTTACAGCCAGTCTCCTCAATCTGATGCCTTTTTATTCGCATTTATGTTTTTATGCATTTACCATTTACTTATTATCCATGAAAGTACATATTACTTTTGCATGTTTTAGAATTTTATGAATGGCCTCTGTAGTTAACTTTCTGTATGCAATTTTTTTTTTCACTCAACCCTGATGTGTATGAGGGAACAAATGCCAGAGGATCTTTCCCAGGTAGCTGAGCTGAAAAGCAATTGGGCTTCAGGAGACCTTTCCAGCCACTTCCCATCTACTCACCCTGAATCCTGCGGTTATGGTCATTATCAAAATCATTCCCCTGGAAGTCTGTGGCCTGTTTATTACACATGAAAGGTGGGAGGGTGACTTTGAAACCTAGAAAGAAGCAAAATGTTTATTCCTTAAGGGACAAACTTAGGCCTGGCATGGTGGCTCATGTCTGTAGTACCGGCACTTTGGGAGGCTGAGGCAGGAGGATTGTTTGAGGCCAGGATTTCAAGATGAGCCTGTGTAACATAGAGAGACCCCCATATCTACAAATTATAAAATAAAATTAGTTGGGCATGGAGGCATGTGCTCATATCCTCAGCTACTCCATCGGCTGGGCAGAAGGATTGCTTGAGCCCAGGAGTTCGAGGCTGCATTGAGCTATGATTGCACTACTACACTCTAGCCTAGGTGACAGAGTGAGACTCTGACTCAAAAAAAAAAAAAAAAAAAAAAAAGGGAGAGAGAGAGAAAGAGACAAGCTGAGAGGAGGAAGGTAGGGTGGGAGGTGTGCTGCAATGCCACAGAGACAGCTGGGCTGATCAGAACAGACGCCTAAGGGAGAGAAAAGTGCAAGGTCCAGGTACAAGCTCCACTATGGCCAGTCCCTGCCCTCAGCTCTGACAGGATACAGAAGAGCAGAACCCCCAGAAGCTGCCTTGCGATTTTTCCCTGCACAAAAGGAAAATGTGGGGTACTTTCTGCAGCCTAAGAAGTAGCCAAAGCAGGAAAAGGGATGCTCATGTATCCCCAGACTTGTCTGTTCCTAGAACTTTCTGTTACCTAGTTTAGTCATGGCCTTATAGTTTCTCTTCATATACACATAGCTGATTTTCTCCGAGTATTTCATCTTTTTCCACTCTTTCTTAGAGAAGTATGTGGCAATATCATCAAAGGCCTAAAAAAAATAAAATAAAATTTGTCAGTGACTCAGCTAGGTATGTCTGCCATTCAGCTGGAGCCGCTTCCTGTGTGCTGGATCTGGGAAGTGAGGATGATAATCCGTCCTGGTTGATGCCATGGCTAACTGAGAGACCATGGGGGACCTACCCTAGCTTCTCCCGTGGCACACATTAGGGCTTTAATGCTGCTGTCTGGCTCTCTTCCCACCTTCCAGAATGGACTGAGAGTTACCAAATGTAGAGCAAGGTCAGAGACTTGTCTCCAGGGATGCTAGGTGATGACAGAACACAGGTGGGAGGCTCCCAAGGGTCCAGATCTCCCCCGAGACCCTGCTCCTTGTCCCCAGTACCTCTGTCCTCCCCTCCTCAGAAACCTGGTCACCCTACTCTGTCCCCTGGACCACTGCTCTGCCCCCTCCAGGTCACGTCACCTTGCTTCTCTTCTCTGATGCTTTAGCATCATCCCTGGGTCTCTTTGCAAAGGTGTCGTCTCCGTTCATGGCACCAGGAGCAGTCTCACCTGCAAGAGAAACAGCCTGAGACTTTCTAGCTACAGGACCCTTGGTCCTATGGAGGGAGAAATCAGTGAAGCCCGGCCACACTCAGTCACCTGGAATTAGGGGTTGCATTTCTCCATTCGGGGCTTACCTGTCCATGGGTAAGGACATGGAGAGAAGTCAGATGAAAACAGGGAGCCTGGAGTCTCTGGGAGAAGTATTGCTTGGGGATGACAGGTTTCCTAGCAGCCTTGAGTCTTTGGGAGGGGGTTGGCTAGTGTTGTTAGTAGTTTCCCTGGGGCTAGGCTTACCCTGAAAGATGTACAGACCCTTGCTGGGGAGGCAGGGACGTGACTGTGTAATTTTATTGAATGGGGGCGTTCTGACACCCCCACTCAATAAATAAAGGGAGGGAAGTGAGTCCCAGACATAACGTGGTCTTTCTGGTGATGGATCTGATCAGGCAGAGGGATGGGGGGGTTCTGTTCTGTTGAAGAGAAATGACCTTCACTAATATGAACAGATTTAGAAGCTATTACTGGGTTATTTGTAAATTATTAGAAGGAAGAGAGCTAGAATCTCTGAGATTACAAGAGCCTGCCATCACTTAGAGAAAATGTGGGGTGTTTCAATTTGCAGCAATCGGCCAGGCGCAGTGGCTCATGCCTGTAATCCCAGCATTTTGGGAGGCCGAGGCGTGCAGATCTCTTGAGCCCAGGAGGTTGAGACCAGCCTGGGAAACATAGCAAACCCCTCATCTCTACAAAAAAAAAAAAAAAAAAAAAAAAACAACCACACAAAAAATTAGCTGGGGGCGGTGGCACAGGCCTATAACATCTCAGCTCTTTGGCCAAGGGGGGGCGGATCGCTTGAGCCCACGAGGTTGATACCAGCCTAGCCAACCTAGAAAAACCCTCTACTAAAAAAAATAAAATAAAATAAAAAGTATTAGTGGGGGCGGGGTGGTGCTCGCCTGTAGTTCCGAGGCCGAGGCAAGAGGATCTCTTGAGCCCAGGAGGTTGAGGCCAGCCTGGCCAACATAGCAAAACCCCATTTCTACTACTAATAATAACAACAAAAATAATAACATCAGCGAGGTGGTTCTTGCCTGTAGTTCCGAGGCCGAGGTGGGAGGATCACTTGAGCCGAGGAGGTCAAGCCCAGTTCGGCCAACATAAGGAAACCCTGTCTCTACTAAAAAGAACAACAACAACAAAACTAGCAGGGGCGGAATGGCACACATCTGTAGTCCTGAGGCCAAGGTGTGAGGATCGCTTGAGCCCAGGAGGTTGAGGCCAGCCTGGCCAACATAGTGAAACCTGGTTTCTACTAAAAAAAAAAAAAAAAAAAGCATGGGCAGGATGGTGCACTTCTGTAGTCCCAGGGCCGAGGCGGAAGGATTGCTTAAGCCCAGGCGGCAGAGGCCAGCCTGGCCAACATAGCAAAACCGTCTGTACTAAAAAAATAAAAAATAAAAAAAATTAGTGAGGGTGGGGTGGTTCGTGCCTGTAGTCCCGAGGCCAAGGCGGGAGGATTGCTTGAGCCCAGGCGGTTGAGGCCAGCCTGGTCAACATAACAAATCCCCGTCTCTACTAAAAAAAAAAAAAAAAAAACAGGGGTGGGATAATACAGGCCTGTAGACCCAAGGCCGAGGCGGGAGGATCCTCCATGATGATCGTCCTGAAAGGCATTAGTTGTCTTTCAGTCCTCAAGATTTTCGGAACCCCAAGCACTTGACGGCCCTACAGAGGCTTCCTCCTTTTCTATCTGCCCCGATTAGCCCATCTAGGGTGTCCCTTAAAGAGAACCTACTTCAGAGACAAAGCAGTGGTTGCGAGGTCGGCAGCAGTGGTGGCGAGTTGGCAGCAGTTGGTGACAAAGTGTGGCTGGAGGAGGAGAAAATATTCTGCAATGTCATTGCTCCAGGATGATGGACCAATCAGGGCAGTTAGTGAACTCCATCTGGCCAATCAGAAGTCAGAACAGTAGGCGGGACAAGCCAAGCTGATGTGGGGTCTATCAGTCTAGGCTCTAGGGACAGAACCTTCTCAAAATGGAGGCAGAAACTCTGACTTTCCCGCCTAAAGCATCCCCTGGGATTGGCTACTCCAAGTTCAGAGTACGCATGCTCTGATTTTCTCTTTGGAGTCTTCCCAAATCAGAGTACGCATGCGCTGATTTTCTCTTTTCATTTTTCCTATCCCTCCCCACCTCCTCGGTGGTGCATTGTTATCCAGTTTTAATAAGGAGTGTATATGAAGCAGGTCATCATCTCAAATCCTTCCTGTCAGTTTCTATCTTTTTCAGGTATGGGATTTTTTCCTAGGAACTCTGTAGTGACGTAAGAAATTTGGGCCGGTGCGGCGGCTCACGGTTGTAATCCCAGCACTTAGGGAGGCCACAGCTGGAGGATCACTTGAACCTGGGAGGCAGAGGTTGCAGTGAGCCATGATCATGCCACTGCACCCCACCCTGGGCAACAGAGCAATACCCTGTCTCTTTTCTCTACAAAAAAAATAAATAAAATTAGCGAGGTGGGGTGGTGTGCCTGTAGTCCGTTACTCAGGAGGCTGAGGTAGGAGGATAGCTTGAGCCCAGGAGTACGAGGTTGCAGTGAGCCATGATCTGGCTACTCCTGCCTACCTGGGCCACAGAGCGAGATCTTGTCTTTAAAAAGAGAGAGAGAGAGAAAGAGAAAGAAAGAAAAATTTCAATGAGCCAGTCCCAGTGGCTCATGCCTGTAATCCCAACACTTTGAGAGGCTGAGGCAGGAGGTGGAAGGATCACTTGAGGCCAGGAGTTCCAGAACAATCTGGGATACATAGTGAGACCCCCATCTCTATAAAAAATTTTTAAAAAAGAAATTTAAACAAAAAAAAACACTTCTACACTTCCATATATGTTTTTTTCTAAAAGACCAAAGAAGCAGAAATATATTTTACCCATTGATATTAATAATATTTATAATAATAGTATTAAAAAGAGTATGTAATTAGGGCCCACTGTGTTCATCAGGGAGCTCATAAGTCAATTTGTCTAAGAAGTTTCCCCTACCCCCATCCCTAGTACCTCCAACAAGTCCCCATTCCTCTCTGGGCTTTCCACCTACAGCCCTGATCTCTCTAAGATCCTCCCAGGATTACAGCAAGCTCTCTTAGGGCAGGAACAGAGCAATGGCCCTTGAGCCCAGCACAAAGCCTTTTATGTGCATCTTCCCATTAATTTTCACAACCTTCTCTGGAGTTAAATACTATTATCATCCCCAGTATGCAGATGTTGAGACTGAGGCTCAAGAGAATTAAGCAGTCTGCTCAAAGTCACATAGTCAGTGGGTGACAGAGCTGGGATTCACCCCCAAGATAGAATTGAGTCCAAAGTCTGTGCTTTTATTTATGTATTTATTTATTTTTAATTAAAATAATTTTTTTTTAGAGATGGGGTCTTGCTATGTTGTCCCTGCTGATCTGGAAGGAACTGCTGGCCTCAAGCAATCCTCCTGCCTTGGCTTCCCAAAGCACTGGGATTACAGGAGTGAACCATCCCACGCCCGGCCTCAAAGTCGGTGCTTTTAATTACTCTTCTATATTGCCTCGACTACTTGTTGAATGAATGAATGCATCTTACAACTGCAAAGGTTCTTTAACATAATTTACATAACTCCTTACAATCACCCCATATTCCCTCTGACTGCTGTAACAAATTACCGCAAACTTTGTGGCATAAACAACATCAATTTATTCTCTCACAATTCTGGAGCCCAGAAATCTGAAATCAGTTTCACTGAGTTGAAATCAAGTTGTCAGCAGGGCTGTAGTCCTCCAGAGGCTCTAGGAGAGAACCTGTTCCTTGCCTCTTCCAGCTTCCCGTGATTGCCAGCATTTCTTGGCTTGTGGCTTGATATGGATTGGCTCTGTGTCCCCACCCAAATCTCATCTCGAATTGTAATCCCCACAGATTACAAATCCCCACGGGGGTGGTTTTCCCCATGCTGTTTTTGTGACAGTGAGTTCTCATGAGGTCTGATGGTTTTACAAGCGTCTGGCATTTCCCCTGCTTGCATTTCTGTCTCCTGCTACCATGCGAAGAAAGTCTTTGCTTCCTCTTCACCTTTGGCCATGATTGTTTCCTGAGGCCTCCCCAGCCATGCAGAACTGTGAGTCAGTTAAATCTCTTTCTTTTATAAATTACCCAGTCTCGGGCAGCTCTTTATAGCAGTGTGAGAAGGGACTAATATATGGCTGCATCACTCTAATCTCTACCTCCATGGTCATTGCCTTCGTTTGTTTTCTGTTACTATAATGGAATACCACAAACTGGGTAATTTATAAAGGATAGAAGTTCATTTGGTATACAGTTCTAGAGGCTAGGAGTCCAAGAACATGGCGCTGGCATCTGGTGAGGGTTGTGTCATGATGGAAGGATGAAAGGCAAAAGCAAGTGCAGGAGACAGACAGAGAAAATGTGACTAAGCTCCCTTTTATAACAAACCCAATCTCGTGATAACTAATCCACTCTTATGATAATGGCATTAATCACTTCCTAACAGCCCCACCTCTTAATATTGTTAACAATGGCAATTAAATTTCAACACAAGTTTTGGTGGGGACGTTCAAACCATGGCAGGCTTACTGCCTTCTTCTCTTCTGTCTGTGTCAGATCTCCCTGCCTTAATCTGATAAGGACACTCATTATTACATTTAGGGCCCACCCAGATAATCCAGACAATCCAGGAGAATCTCCCCATCTCAAGAGCTTTAACATAATTACTTTTTTTTTTTCGAGACGGAGTCTCACTCTGTTGACCAGGCGAGAGTACAGTGGCATGATCTTGGCTCACTGCAACTTCTGCCTCCCGGGTTCAAGCAATTCTTTGCCTCAGGCTCCTGCATAGCTGGGATTACAGGTGCCCGCCACCATACCCAGCTAATTTTTATATTTTTTTTAGCAGAGACGGGGTTTCACCATCTTGGCCAGGCTGGTCTTGAACTCCTGACCTCGTGACCCACCCGCCTCGGCCTCCCAAAGTGCTGGGATTATAGGCGTGAGCCACCACACCTGGCCAACATAATTACTTTTTTTGTTGTAAGCTAACACTCACAGGTTCCAGGTGTTACTATGTTGCTATCTTTTGGAGGGGCGTTGTTCAGTCTACCACAGCCTGCCCTCTGGCCCCCAAGTATTCACATCTCTCCCACATGCAAAATACATGCACCCCATCCCCAAATCCTCAAATGTCTCAAACCGTGCAACATTAGCTGAAGTCCAACATCTTATCCATATAAGATCAGCTCAAAAGTACCAAATCTCCTCATCTAAAACAGATATGGATGAGACTCTGGTTATGAAACATCCTGGGGCAAAATTCTCCTGCCGTGAATTTGTGACACTAGAAAGCAAGTTATTTATTCCAAAAATAAAGTGGCGAGACAGATGTAGGATAATAGTTACAGATATTTCTATTTCAAATGGGAGAAAATGGAAGGAAGGAGTTGCCACTTCCAACCATTTTGAAATCTAGCAGGACAAATTCCATTTGGTTTCAAGGACTCAGAATAATCCTCTGTAGCTTGAAGCTCTCCCCTCTCCCATCGCCCTCCTCTCAGAATGTATGTCATAGTGATTCACACCTTTAGACCAGCAGGTCCTATGTGTATCTTCCCAGATAATATCATTTCTAGACTGGCTATGGCTGAGCATAGTGGAAGAGCTCCTTGAGTCACGTGCCTAATCTCTTCAGCACTAGCAAACATGGCCACATTCTTGACTTTCTCTCTAGAGGATACCTTCCTGACAGTGCCTCTCCTAATTTTAGTGTCTTTTGCAATCTTGATAGGCTTAGAATTTCCCTGGATCCTTTTTGTTTAACAGTCCTTTCCTCAGTTTATCCTTTTCCTCTAACATTTTACTAGAACTTGAATTGGAGTCCAATATAAAAATGAAAAATTATGGGACTAAGACTGGGGATAAAAAATGATGGAATCTCTAGGCAAGTTGCTGAGGGTTTATGAAGGATGAGCCTTGGGAATGGAGTCTTATATATGATCAGATTGGTTGTGATTGAAAAGAAATTGTTCATCCGTTTATCTAAAAATCGACCATTAGTGTCAAGGGTGCAATGAAGCAGGGCGAGTCTACTCCTCTCGTTTTGAATTAGGTTTTCTTAACATGTTGATCTGTTTTTTCTTTATCTTTTAAACAATCAGTCTAAAAAAAGGGGATTTTGTGTTTTAAGATAGTTTCCTAACTGCATTTATTAGGTTTTGGTTTTTGTTTTTGTTTTCTGAGATGGAGTCTTCCTCTGTCGCCCAGGCTGGAGTGCAGTGGTGGGATCCAGCCACCGTAGTAAGCAAGGTTGCTTACTGCAACCTCCACCTCCCAGGTTCAAGTGATTCTTGTGCTTCAGCCTCCTGAGTAGCTGGGATTACAGGTGCCCACCACCACGCCCGGCTAATTTTTGTCTTTTTAGTAGAGACGGGGCTTCACCATGTTGGCCAGGCTGGTCTCGAACTCCTGACCTCAGGTGAGCCGCCTGCCTCAGCCTCCCAAGGTGCTGGAATTACAGGCGTGAGCCACCATGCCCGGCCTTTTGCTGTTGTTGCTGTTAAGACAGTTTCACTATTGTTGCCCAGGCTGAAGTGCAATGGTGTGGTCTCACCTCACTGCAACCTCTGCTTCCCAGGTTCAAGTGATTCTCCTGCCCCAACCTCCTGAGTAGCTGGGCTTACAGGTGTGCACCACCACGCACAGCTAATTTTGTATTTTTAGTAGAGATGGGGTTTCGCCATGTTGGCCAGGCTGGTCTCAAACTCCTGACCTCAGGTGATCGTCCCACCTCGGCCTTCCAAAGTACTGGGATTACAGGCGTGAGCCACCGCACCAGGCCTATCTGATAGTTTTTCTATATAACTCTTTGTTCCTGGGAAGATGTGTCAGCCCAGACACTCCATATGAGTTTCAGGGTTTCTGGATTGATAGGTCATAGGATACAGAGCCTCTGGAGCTGAGCTGAGCCAATTCTTTTCAGTTCCTAGCCTATTAGCCCCCAGAGACGCTTACAGGATTTCTGCCTTACAGAGTGGAGGGAGTCTATGGGTGGGTGATATTGGTTGTAATTGCCTAGCTCAGAGGGCAGAGGAAGAGGTAGGAAAGGAATGCTCAGTTACTGGGCAGCTTTGATGAGTCTGCACTTTTTCTAGATTTCCAAGCCCCCTATTCCTTAATGTTATCACGCCACTTTTGGCTGCCACTGGGCCAGCCCTGCCAAGTGTCTGCTCTATATGTTTACAGAACAGGTAATAAGCCATCCAGAAAACAAGGAGAAAACAAGAATGCAACTTAGAAAGCTCCACCTGGGCTGATGCTCCATCTGTGGCCTCTGACCTTTTCCCATTCGAAGACATCTCATTCCCCAGTGGGGCCAAACCATCAAGGGTTTTGTTACTGGGAACTGTTCTGAACTCCCAAATAGCTGGGATTTCAGGCACCCACCACCAAACCCTAGTAGAGATGGGGTTTCACCTTGTTAATCAGGCTGGTCTCAAACTCCTGAGCTCAGGTGATTTGCCTGCCTCGGCCTCCCAAAATGCTGGGATTACAGGCATGAGCCATGGCGCCTGGCCCAGTCTTTCTATTCTCTACCTCTGGAACTTTTTTGTTTGTTTGTTTGTTTTTTTAGACGGAGTCTTGCTCTGTTGCCCAGGTTGGAGTGCAGTGGCACGATCTCAGCTCACTGCAACCTCTGCCTCCCAGGTCCAAGTGATCCTCCTGCCTCAGCACTGCTAGCAGCTAGGATTACAGGCATGTGCCACCATGCCCGGCTAATTTTTGTATTTTTAGTAGAGATGGAGTTTCTCCATGTTGGCCAGGCTGGTCTCAAACTTGCGACCTCAGGTGATCCGCCCACCTCGGCCTCCCAAAGTGTTGGGATTACAGGCGTGAGCCACTACACCTGGCCTATCTTTGGAACTTCTATTGGATGAATGTTGAAACTTCTGGGATCTATTCTCCATTTTCTTTATTATTTTTCTTCCATACTTTCTATTTCATAATCCTTTTCTGCTATACAGTGAAGTAGTGCCATGCCTGAACACATTTTTTCATTGAGTTGTTCCAGTTTCTCTTATTGATATGCAAAAGCTTTGTTGTATGTTAGAGATAGTTACTGTTAGTTTATTGGGGATGCTTCACCAATTTCCCCAACATTTGCCTTTTTAAACAGTTGTTTATGGTGTCTTTTGAATTAGATGATACTTTAATTTTTACATCTTTATGTCAGATTCATTGTGTATAGCCTTGGAGTAATGTCACGAAGTGCCTATGCCAACTCAAGATGTCTTACGCTGTAATATTTTCCTAAATTGTCATCTAGTTCTTTATGATTTCAGGTTTTCACATTTAAGTCACTGAATTTTTAGAATTTATTATTTTATGTGCTTCAAAGTAAGGATTTAATCTTTAGTTTTTGAAATGGATAGACACTTGTCAAGCAATCATTTATTTTACAACCCATCGTCTGTTGCCCACTGTTTGGAAATGCATGCTGAAGTTTACATATAGATTAGTCTGTTTCTTGACTTTCTATTTTGTTTCACTAATAAATGTTTCCATGTGTTTTCATTTTTGACTGCTGCTGTAACAAATTTTCAATAGCTTAAACAACCCTGGGCGCAGTGGCTCAGGCCTGTAATCACAGCACTTTGGGAGGCCGAGACAGGCAGATCACTTGAGGTCAGGAGTTCAAGACCAGCCTGGTCAACATGGCGAAACCCCCTATCTACTAAAAAATTAGCTGTGTGTGGTGGCGCATGCCTGTAATCCCAGCTACTCGGGAAGGTGAGACAGGAGAATCACTTGAACCCGGGAGAAGGAGGTTGCAGTGAGCCGAGATCACCCCACCGCACTCCAGCTTGGGCAACACGAGTCAGACTGCATCTCAAAATATATATATGTAGCTCAGACAATTTTTGGAAAAGAAGAATAAGGTGGGAGGAATGGCTCTACCATATTTCAATACTTCTTATATAGCTACAGGAATCAAGACTGTGTAGTATTGGGAGAAGGATAGACACATAGATCACGGGAACAAAATAGAGAACCTAGAAATAGCCCCACACTGATTTTTTACCGAGACAAAAAGAAGGAAGGATCGTCTGCTTAACAAATGGTGCTGGAGCAGTTGCAGAGCCATAGGCTAAAAAAAAAAAAAAGACCTAATCTTCATATTTTTATACAAAAAATAACTCAAGTGGATCATAGATTTAAATCTAAAATATAAAACTAAAAAAATCTTTTAGAAGAAAGCATAGGACAAACGTCTGAGATCTAGGGCATAGTGAAGGGTTCAAAAAGCATAATCCATAAGGAAAACAAATAAATCAGATTTCATCCAATTTAAAACTTGTGCTCTGCAAGAGACCCTGTTAAAAGGATGAAAAAACAGGATCTTGACTAGGAGAAAATATTTGCAAACCACATATCCAAGAAAGGACTCACATCCAGAATATATAATGGATATGTATAGTACTCTCAAAACTCAATGGTAGGCTGAGCATGGTGGCTCACGCTTGTAATCCCAGCACTTTGAAAGGTCGAGGTGGATGGAGGGCAAATCCCTTGAGGCCTGGAGTTTGAGACCAGTCTGGGCAACTGGCAAAAACCCACCTCTACTAAAAATACAAAAATTAGACAGGCATGATGATGCGTGCCCGTAATCCCAGCTACTCAGGAGGCTGAGACATGAGAATCGCTAGAACCTGGGAGGCGGAGGTTGGAGTGAGCCAAGATCGTGCCACTGCACTCCAGCCTGGGTGACAGAGCGAGACTCTGTCTCAAGAATAATAATAATAATAATAATAATAATAATAATAATAATAATAAACCTCAATGGTAAAAAATACAAATAAATAATCCAATTAGAAAATCATGAAAAGATGTGAATATATATTTCACTGAAGAGGAAATAAGCAAATAAGCACATGAAAAGATGTTCAGCCCTCATTTCCTTCACTAGATGCAAGTTAAGGCCATGATGAGGTATCACTACACACTTATTACAATAGATGAAATAAAAGACATAGTGACAACACCAAATGGTGACAAGGATGCAGAGAAACTGGACACCTCATTAAGTGCTGCTGGGAAGGTAAAATCTTACAGCCACTCTGGAAAGCAGTTTGGTAGTTTCTTATAAAACTAAACATGCAATTGCCATACATTTCAACAATTACACTTCAGAGAAGTTAAAATGTATGCCCATCCAGAAACTTGTACATAATTGTTCATAGCAGCTTTACTTGTAATAGCCAAAAGCTGGAAATAATCAATATGTTCTACAATAAGCGAATGGTTGAACTGAGGTACATCCATACCATGGAATACTACTCAGTAATAAAAATGAACTATTGGCCAGGCACAGTGACTTACCTTGTTATCCCAGCACTTTGGGAGGTTGCGGCGGGCAGATCATGACGTCAAGAGTTCAAGACCAGCCTTGCCAATACGTTGAAACCCCGTCTCTATGACTAATACAAAAATTACCAGGGTGTGGTGGCACACACCTATAGTCACAGCTACTCAGGAGGTTGAGGTAGGAAAATCACTTGAACCAGGGAGGCGGAGGTTGCAGTGAGCCGAGATCATGCCACTGCACTCCAGCCTGAGTGACAGAGTGAGACTCTGTCTCAACAACAACAGCAACAATGAACTATTGATACACAGATATTACTATCTTGGATGAATCTCCAGGGAATTATGCTGAGTGGAATAAGCCCTTAAAACGTGATATACTATAAGATTTCATTTGTACAGCATTCTAGAAAAGACAAAATTGTAGAAGTGGAAAACAGATTAGTGGTTGCCAGGGGTTAGGAGTGGTGGGTGGGAGGAGAGTGAGTATTACTAAAAATGAGTAGCACAAGGAATAGCATTGTGGTGATGGAAATGTTCTGTACCTTTTTTTTGTCTGTTTTCCAAAGGGATTCTCACTCTGTGACCTAGGCTTGAGTGCAGTGGCACGATCTCGGCTCACTGCAACATCTGCCTCTCGGGTTCAAGGGATTCTCCTGTCTCAGCCTCCCATGTAGCTAGGACTACAGGCACCCACCACCTCACCTAGCTAATTTTTGTATTTTTAGTAGAGACGGGGTTTCTCTGTTTTGGCCAGGCTGGTCTCAAACTCCTGACCTCAAGTGATCTGCCCACCTCGCCCTCCCAAAATGCTGGGATTACACGCATGAACCACTGCACCTCGCCATGTTCTGCACATCAAAACACTTTCACTGAATATAGATGCCATTACATTCTCTTATTTATGTTACAAAGCAAAAGGCAGCTTCATAAACACTATTCTATTATGTATCAACTGAAAAAAAAATATATTCCAGAAAAAGGTTTTGAAGACACATGGGAGTGGAATGTGCCCGCATTAAGAGCAGAGCTTTTACAGGACCACCTGTCTCTAGTCGGCTCCCAGGGACCACTGAAAACGGCTGCTACCCTCAGAACAACAAGATGGTCTTGTTATTGATTTCACTGGGCTCTCTAATCTCATCCTCCTTGACCACCAGCAGAGGCAAAAACTGATGATGTCACCATGGATTGGCTCGGCCAGAAATCCATAATCTCGAAGTCGCAGACACACCTTCCAAGCATCACAATCTTTGTTGTCTTGAATAACAATAGCATTTAATAATTCTTTTCCTCCTGGGCAGAGTGGCTCACGCCTGTAACCCGAATATTTTGGGAGGCCGAGGCAGGAGCATCACCTGAGGTCAGGAGATCAATACCAGCTTGGCCAACATGGCAAAACCCCATCTCTACTAAAAATACATAAATTAGCTGGGCATAGGGGCACATGCCTGTAATCCCAGCTACTCAGGAGGCTGAGGCAGGAGAATCCTTTTAACCCAGGAGGCAGAGGTTGCAGTGAGCCAAGATCGTGGCATTGTACTCCAGCCTGGGTAACCAGAGTGAACCTCTGACTCAAAAAAATAACTAAATGAATAAATAAAACAATCATTTTCCTCTTACGGCAGTTACAACATCAGAAGGTAGCTTCATGGGTTCATTTCTCAAGATAATACCCATTTTTTTTCTGCATTTTCAGCAAGGTTTTCTTCTTCTAAAACCTCAAGGGCTGTGATGGTCACTCAGCAGCCTAGTGGATTGCCACCGTATGTGGACCCACGTTCCCCTGGCTTAATGGTCAGCATTATGTCATCGTCCCACAGCATCGCAGACAGAGTATCAGCCCCCAGAAAGGGCCTTTCCAAGGAGGACTATATCAGGACTGACATTTTCATGATCAACAGCCAGCCCTCTACCAGTTCTGGCCAATCCTATGTGTATTTCATCAGCAATGAACAGAACCAAGCTGGGAGCATGAGATGGGACGAGGGTAAGTTAAAATACCAAAAAGCTTACTGTTCTTATGGAGAGTCAGCTGGTCTTTCTCTCTCTTTCTTCCTTCCTTTCTCTTTCTTTCTTTCTTTCTTTCTTTCTTTCTTTCTTTCTTTCTTTCTTTCTTTCTTTTCTTTCTTTCTTTCTTTCTTACTTTCTTTCTTTCTTTTTATTTATCTATTTATTTGACAATCTTGCTCTGTCTACCAAGCTGGAGTGCAGTGGTGTGATGTCAGCTCAATGCAACCTCTGCTTCCCGGGTTCAAATCATTGAGTGAGCCCAGGAGGTCAAGACCAGCCTGGGAAAAATAGCAAAAGGCAGGGTGGTGCCTGCCTGTAGTCCCGAAGCTGAGGCGGGAGTATCGCTTGAGCCCAAGAGGTCAAGACCAACTTGGTCAACATAGCAAAACCGTCTCTACTAAAAAAACAAAAATAAAAATATTAGTGGGGGCTGGGTGGTGCACGCCTGTACTGTAGTCCCAAGATTGAGGCAGGAGGATTGGCCAATGTGCTGGGATTACAGGCGTGAACCACCGCTCCTGGCTGATTGCTGCATCTTGAAACGCCCCATATTCTCTCTAAGTGTTGATGGACTCTTGTAGTCTCAGAAATTCTAGCTCACTTCCTTCTAATGATTTACAAATCATCCAGTAATAGCCTCTAAATCCGTTCACAGTAGCCATGCACATTTCTCTTCAACAGAGCAGAATCCCCCAACCCTCTGCCTGATCAGATCCATCACCGGAGAGACCATGTTATCTCTGGGACTCACTTCCCTTCCTTTTTTTATTGAGTGAGGGTGTCAGAATGCCCTCACTCAATACAATTACATAGTCATGTCCCTGCCTCCCCAACAAGGGTCTGTACATCTTTCAGGGTAAGCCTAGCTCCAGGGAAACTACTAACAAGAGTAGCCAACCCCCTCCCAAAGACTCAAGGCTGCTTTGCCCATAGGAAACCTGTTATCCCCTATCAATACTTCTCCCAGAGATCCCTGGTTCCCTGTTTTCATCTGATTTCTCCCCATATCTTTACTCAGGGACAGATAAGCCCCGGATGGAGAAATGCAGCACCTGATTCCAGGTGACTGAGTGTAGCCGGCCTTCACTGATTTCTCCCTCCACAAGACCAAAGGTCCTGCGGCTGGAAAGTCTCAATCTGTTTCACTTGCAGGTCAGACTACTCCCGGTGCCATGAACGGAGACAACAACTGTGCAAAGAGAGCTGGGGATGATGCTCAAATACCAGAGAAGATACAAAAGGTGAGGTGAGGAGAAACTCTGTCTGTACTAAAATACAAAAATTAGCTAGGTGAGGTGGTGGGTGCCTGTAGTCCTAGCTACATGGGAGGCTGAGACAGGAGAATCACTTGAACCTGGGAGGCAGAGGTTGCAGTGAGCCGAGATCGTGTCACTGCATTCCAGCCTAGATGACAGACTGAGAATTCCTCTTGGGAAAAAAAAAAGGTACAGAACCTTTCCATCACCACAATGCTATCCCTTGTGCTAGTCATTTTTAGTAATACTCTCCTCCCATCCACCATCCCTAACCCCTGGCAACCACTAATCTGTTTTTCATTTCCACAATTTTGTCTTTTCTAGAATGCTGTACAAATGAAATCTTATAGTATATAACATTTTAAGGGCTTATTTCACTCAGCATAATTCCCTGGAGATTTACCCAAGATATTAATATTTGTGGATCAATAGTTCATTGTTGCTGTTGTTGTTGTTGTGACAGCGTCTCGCTCTGTCGCCCAGGCTGGAGTGCGGTGGCAGATCTCGGCTCACTGCAACCTCTGCCTCTCGGGTTCAAGTGATTTTCCTACCTCAGCCTCCCAAGTAGCTGTGACTACAGGCACGCATCACCACTCCCAGGTAATTTTTGTATTAGTAGTAGAGATGGGGTTTCAACATATTGGCAAGGCTGGTCTCGAACTCCTGACGTTGTGATCCGCCCTCCTTGACCTCCCAAAGTGTTGGGATTACATGCATGAGCCACTGGGCCCAGTCAATAGTTCATTTTTATTACTGAGTAGTATTCCATGGTATGGATGTACCTCAGTTCGACCATTCACTTATTGTAGGACATATTGATTATTTCCAGCTTTTGGCTATTACAAGTAAAGCTGCTATGAACAATTATGTACAAGTTTCTGGATGGGCATACATTTTGATTTCTCTGAAGTGTAATTGTTGAATTGTATGGTAATTGCATGTTTAGCTTTATAAGAAACTACCAAACTGCTTTCCAGAGTGGCTTTAAGATTTTACCTTCCCAGCAGCACTTAATGAGGTGTCCAGTTTCTCTGTATCCTTGTCACCATTTGGTGTTGTCACTATGTCTTTTATTTTAGCTATTGTAATAAGTGTATAGTGATACCTCTTCGTGGTCTTAATTTGCATCTAGTGAAGCAAATTAGTGTCGAACATCTTTTCATGTGCTTATTTGCTTATTTGCTCTTCAGTGAAATGTATGTTCATATCTTTTCATGATTTTCTAATTGGATTATTTGTATTTTTTACCATTGAGGTTTTTTTAATTATTTTTTTTGAGACAGAGTCTCGCTCTGTTACCCAGGCTGGAGTGCAGTGGCACGATCTTGGCTCACTCCAACCTCCGCCTCCCAGGTTCAAGCAATTCTCATGCCTCAGCCCCCTGAGTAGCTGGGATTACGGGCATGCATCATCATGCCTGTCTAATTTTTGTATTTTTAGTAGAGATGGGTTTTTGTCACATTTCCCAGGCTGTTCTTGAACTCCTGGCCTCAAGGGATCTGCCTTCCGTCCACCTCAACCTTTCAAAGTGCTTGGGTTACAAGCATGAGCCACCATGCTCAGCCTACCATTGAGTTTTGAGAGTACTATACATATCCATTATATATTCTGGATGTGAGTCCTTTCTTGGATATGTGGTTTGCAAATATTTTCTCCTAGTCAAGATCCTGTTTTTTCATCCTTTTAACAGGGATTCTTGCAGAGCACAAGTTTTAAATTGGGTGAAATCTAATTTATTTGTTTTCCTTATTGATTATGCTTTTTGAACCGTTCACTATGCCCTAGATCCCAGATGTTTCTCCTATGCTTTCTTGTAAAAGCTTTTTCTTAGTTTTATATTTTAGATTGAAATCTATTATCCACTTGAGTTGTTTTTTTGTATAAAGGTATGAAGATTAGGTCATGTTTTTACTGGCCTATGGCTCTGCAACTGCTCCAGCACCATTTGTTAAACAGATAATCCTTCCTTCTTTTTGTCTCTTGGTAAAAAATCAGTGTGGGGCTATTTCTAGGTTCTCTATTTTGTTCCAGTGATCTGTGTGTTTATTTTTCTCCCAGTACTACACAGTCTTGATTCCTGTAGCTATATAAGAAGTATTGAAATATGGTAGAGCCATTCCTCCCACCTTATTCTTATATTCCAAAAATTGTCTGAGCTACATATATATATTTTGAGATGCAGTCTGACTTGTGTTGCCCAGGCTGGAGTGCGGTGGGGTGATCTCGGCTCACTGCAACCTCCTTCTCCCGGGTTCAAGTGATTCTCCTGCCTCAGCCTCCTGAATAGCTGGGATTTCAGCTGTGTGCCACCACACCTGGCTAATTTTTGTATTTTAAGTAGAGATGGGGTTTCGTCATGTTGGCCAGGCTGGTCTCAACTCCTGTCCTCAAGTGATCTGCCTGTCTCAGCCTCTGAAAGTGCTGGGATTACAGGAGTGAGCAACCGCACCCAGTGTTGTCTAAGCTATTGAAAATTTGTTACAGCAGCAATCAAAAATGAATAGACACAGAAACATTTATTAGTGAAACAAAATAGAAAGTCAAGAAACAGACTAATCTATATGTAAACTTCAGCATGCATTTCCAAACAGTGGGCAACAGATGAGTTGTATAATAAATGATTGCTTGATAAGTGTGTATCCATTTCAAAAAATAAAGATTAAATCCTTACTTTAAACCACTTAAAATAATAAATTCTAAAAATTCGGTGACTTAAATGTGAAAACATGAAGTCATAAAGAACTAGATGACAATTTAGGAAAATATTACAGTGTAAGACATCTTGAGTTGGCATAGGCACTTCCTGACATTACACCAAGGCTATGAACAATGAATCTGACATAGTTAAAGACGTAGAAATTAAAGTATCATCTAAGTCAAAAGACACCATAAACAGCTGTTTAAAAAGGCAAATTTTGGGGAAAATGGTGAAGCATCCGCAATAAGTTAACAGTAACCATCTCTAATATACAACAAAGCTTTTGCATATCAGTAAGAGAAACTGGAACAACCCATTGAAAAAATGTGTTCAGGCATGGCACTACTTCACCGTATAGCAGACAAGGATTACAAAATAGAAAGTATGAAACGAAAATAATAAAGGAAATGGAGAATAGATCCCAGAAGTTTCAACGTTCATCCAATAGAAGTTCCAAAGATAGGCCAGGCGCAGTGGCTCACGCCTGTAATCCCAGCACTTTGAGAGGCCGAGGTGGGCAGATCACCTGAGGTCACGAGTCTGAGACCAGCCAGGCCAATGTGGTGAAACCCCGTCTCTACTAAAAATACAAAAATTAGCCGGGCAGGATTGTGCATGTCTGTAATCCTAGCTACTAGTGGTGCTGAGGCAGGAGGATCACTAGGACCTGGGAGGCAGAGGTTGCAGTGAGCCGAGATCGTACCACTGCACTCCATCCTGGGCAACAGAGCGAGACTCCATCTCAAAAAAATAAATAAATTAATTAATTAATTAAAAAAGGAAGTTCCAGAGGTAGAGAATAGAAAGAATGGGCCTGGTGCCATGGCTCATGCCTTTAATCCCAGCACTTTGGGAGGCCAAGGCAGGCAGATCACCCGAGGTGAGGAGTTTGAGACCAGCCTGGCCAACATGGTGAAACCCCATCTCTACTAAAAATACAAAAATTAGCCCAGTGTGGTGGTGCACGCCTGTAACCCCAGCTACTCAGGAGGCTGGGGCAGGAGAATCACTTGAACCTGGGAGGCAGAGGTTGCAGTGAGGTGAGATCACACTATTCTACTTCACCCTGGGCAACAATAGTGAAACTGGCTTTAAAAAAAATGGCTGGGCACTGTGGCTCAAACCTGTAATCCCAGCACTTTGAGAGGCTGAGGCGGGCAGCTCACATGAGGTCAGGAGTTCAAGACCAGCCTGGCCAACATGGTGAAACCCCGTCTCTACTAAAAATACAAAAATTGGCCTGGCAAAGTGTCACATGCCTGTGGTCCCAGCTACTCAAGGGGCTGAGGCAGTAGAATTGATTGGACTTAGGAGGCAGAGCTGCAGTGAGCCAAGATCGAGTCACTGCACTCCAGCCTGGGCGAAAGAGCAGGACTCTGTCTCAAATAAATAAATAAAAAGAAAACCTATTGGATAGATAGGATATGAAGACATTAACTGCTCAAATAAATAATTCAGTGGAATAGGTTGGGTATTAAAACAGATATAGTTGAAAAAGCAATTACTGAGCTGAGGAAATGAGCGTATAGAATTCATAAAAGTAATTGGTAATGGATAGAGATAAAGTAAATGAAAAAAAGTTAATTAATAGGGAGGATAGTAGAATACATGTGAAAACACATCTAATAGTAGCCTTATAAGAAGAGAATATAGTCATTAAAAAGGAAAGTGTACGTAAAAAAGTAACGAATGAGAATTTCTCAGATTTAGATGAATGCCTTAAGATTTAAAGGGATCATCATACACACACACATACACACAAACGGGAGCAGTGAAATGAAAAATTGTGAAAGACAAAGAAAAAATATTTTTAAAATGATCAGAGAGAAATAGCAGGTTACATGAAAAGGAAAAATATTTAAACCTTTATCGGATCTCTCAAACACCACACTGGAGGCAAGGATACAATGGTGTAATAACTCCAAAGTGTTGAACGAAAGGAATTTTTTTTCTTTTTTTTTGAGACAGAGTCTCGCTTTGTTACTCAGGCTGGAGTGCAATGGCATGATCTCGGCTCACTGCAACTTCTGCCACCCAGTTTCAAGTGATTCTCCTCCTCAGCCACCTGAGTAGCTGGGGCTTCAGGCACACGGTACCACACCCGGCTAATTTTTGTACTTCTAGTAGAGATGGGGTTTTGCCATGTTGGCCGGGCAGATCTGGAACTCCTGACCTGAAGTGATCTGCCTGCTTTGGCCTCCCAATGTGCTGGGATTGTAAGGGTAAGCCACTGCACCCAGCAAAAGAAAGGATTTTTTTATATCAGGTGGAGTAAGGAAATGTCAGGCATATAACACTTCAGGAGACTGAAGACACAGGGAAATGTTAAAGCAAACAAGTATTTATTGCACTTATTAGAGACTGTAAGGAAGGGCCAGCTGCAGTGGCTCAGGCCTGTAATCCCAGCACTTTGGGAGACAGAGGCAAGAGGATTGGTTGAGCCCAGGAATTCAAGACCAGCCTGGGCAACATGGCGAAACACCGTCTCTACAAAAAATACAAAAATTAGACGGGCATATCAAGTTCCTGGGTCTGCAGAGAATTAAAAAAAAGATAGCTGGATTTGGTGGTGCGTACCTCTAGTCCCAGCTACTCGGGAGGCTGGGGCAGGAAGATTACTTGGGCCTTGGAGTTTGAGGCTACAGTGAGCTAGGATTGGGTCACTGCACTCTAGCCTGAGTTACAGAGTGAGACTTTGTCTCTGAAAATAAAAAAAAAGATCGTAAAGACGATTTTACTCAGAGCGGGGACTTCTGTGATAGGTATAGGGACCACCGCAATGGGGTCTTGCAGTGGGAGAGTGATATTGGGATCGACTTCAACTCCACCAAGGACAAGTGGGGATTTGTAGTCAGGGAGTAGGAGCCAGGGGTCAGAAGATGGGAAATTACTTAGAGGAAAACTCAGGTGCAGGGGGATTCTGGATAAACTGACTTGACAGGATTTTTGCTGAAACAGGCTAAATGGGCAGAGTTCCTGGATGAAAGACAGAGCCCGAGGTTGGGACCTAGTCAGAAACAGGACTCAGAGGAGCCCGACTCAAGTTTGGTCAAAGGAGAGTGACTCTGTCTGAAAGCATAAGCAAGAAAGTCAACAGCAGTAAAATGAATGGGTCACAAAGGAGAATTTTTGTGCATTGCTAAGCAGGACTCTGCTTTAACCATTGTGAAAGCTGATTATGTGACTTGAGTCATTCTTTTTTTCTTTTTTTTTTTTCCCTGTGTCACCTAGGCTGGAGTGCAGTGCATGATCTCAGCTCACTGAAACCTCAGCTTCCTGGATTGAAACTATTCTCCTGCCTCAGCCTCCCGAGTAGGTGGGACTACAGCCATGTGCCACCACACCCGACTAATTTTGTATTTTTACTAGAGTAAGGGTTTTGCCATGTTGACCAGGCTGGTCTCGAACTCCTGACCTCAAGCCAACTGTCTGCTTTGGCCTCCCAAAGTGCTGGGATTACAGGTGTGCTCCACCACAACCCACCCAAATTGAGTCATTTTCGACATCCGCAACTATGTCAGAGTTGAGTGGCCAGGAGAAAAAGCACTCAGGGCACATTGCACCTGCCCCAATAATTGAATTTTCCACAAGGCTGGTGGCTGAAATGGCCTGCTGCCACCCTAAGACCACTTTTACCTAGTAACTGCTGAAACAACCTGCAATGACTCTAAGGCTTATTTTACCTATTGTCTGCACTCACCAATCAGAGCTTCCAGCTCCTGAAAGCTTCTCTGGTGCCAATGGACTTGCTTTGAAAAATATAGGTAACATTTCTGTTTCTAATAAAACTCTCAACTTTCTCCTTGTTCTTTGGACAAATCAAAGACCAGCCAGTTTGGGTGTATGCCTCAGATTACAATTCTATGATTCTCAAATAAAATGTTTAGAGATTCATGGCCAAGCATGGTGGCTCACACCTGTAATCCCAGCCGTTTGGGAGGCTAAGGCCGGCGGATCGCTTCAGCCCAGGGGTTCGTGACCAGTCTGGAAAATGTGGTGAAACCCTGTCTCTACAAAAAATACAAAAAGTTAGCTGGATGTGGTGCATGCCTGTAATCCCAGCTATTCCAGAGGCTGAGTCGGGGAGGTAGAGGTTGCAGTGAGGCGAGATTGTGCCACTGCACTCCGGGGTAGGCGACAGAGCAATACCCTGTCTTAAAACAAAAACAAACATAATATAACATCCTTAATATTGTAGTTAAAAAAGTGACTCGTCTCCATAGTCTTTGACTTTGATATTTGTGGTGTCAGAAATGGGGTCCGAAGCTGACTCACCTTGGAGATATCAATGACCTCTGGAACTATGGTGTGAGGTCTGCACACTTGGCCCCCTTGAGCCTTTTGTTTTTCTGGTTGCCAGTTTTCCCCCTGGTGAATCTGTCTTGGATCAAACTGCCATTTGCTGGGGAGTTGAGTTCAGTTTTATTTGGGAATTTGTTAGGAAGGGTCTTTCTCTCTCTCCTGGTTATGAAACCTCCTCTTTTCTTTTCTTTTCCTTTCTTTTCTTGTCTTGTCTTTTTTATCTTGTCTTTTTTCTTCTTTTTTTGAGACAGTGTTTCGCTCTGTCACCCAGGCTGCAGTGCAGTGGTGTGACCTGGGCTCACTGCAACCTTCACCTCCCAGGCTCAACTGATTCTCATGCATCGTCCTCCCAAGTAACTGGGATTACAGGCGTGCGCCACTACGCCTGGATAATTTTTGTAGTTTTTAGTAGACATGGGGTTCATCCTGTTAGCCAGGCTGGTCTTGAACTCCTGAGCTCAAGTGATCTGCCCACCTCGGCCTCCCAAAGTGCTGGGATTACAGGTGTGAGCCACTGCGCCTGGCCAACTGGCTTTGTTTAATATGTCAGTTTTCATATGTAATCTAGGTATAATTGTTAAAATGAATAAATGAGGTAAATGTGAGATACATGTTTATAAGTGAACTTTTCATGTAATTTGAAATATTTTTTTCTCTTGCTCTTACCATATGAAGATGAAATATTAAAGTTATGTTATGTTAGATTAGGTAATAGGTACTCACTAAATGCTGGGATCATTTCCAACTAAGAAAACACGGGATACAAATTGCTGAACATAAATACAAGTTTGTTCTTGCCCCTTACGTTTTATAAAAGACAAAAAGTATTCGAATCTGTTAATAAAATGCCCTGTTCCACAATGAGAATTGTTCTATAAAAATATTTTTAAAGATTATAAAATATATATTCATGAGATGTTAATATATAACAATTCCAAACTTCTTCCTAGGTTTTTACTAAAAATTAAGGTTACTAAAAATTAAAAGTTCTTTGTATATGTAATTCTATATACAAAATGTACAAAAAATAATTTTTATATGACAAAATTTTGTGTGGTCTGAGTGACAATACATTTTTATCCTAAAATAAAATGATTGGTTGTTTTAATATAAAAAATAGTCTATGGCCATACCACCCAGAATGCGCCAAATCTTGTCTAATCTCAGAAGTTAAACAGGAGTTAAACAGGGTTGGGCTTGGTTAGTACTTGGAATGGAATCCAATATAAAAATAAAAATTTATACAGCTAAGACTGGGGGTAAAAAAATGATGGAGTGTCTAGGCAAGCTGCTGAGGGTTTATGAAGGATGAACCTTGGGGAGGGAGTCTTATATATCATCAGATAGGTTGGGATTGAAAAGAAATTGTTTATCAGTTTTTCTAAAAATTGAACATTAGTGTCAAGGGTGCACTGAAGCAGAGCGAGTCTGCTTCTCTAAGTTTGAAATAGGTTTTCTTAATATGTTGATCTGTTTTTCTTTACCTTTTAAGTAATCAGTCTATAAAAATGGAGATTTTGCATTTTAAGAAAGTTTCTTAACTGTATTTATTAAGTTTTTGTTTTTGTTTTTGTTTTCTGAGACGGAGTCTCGCTCTGTCACCCAGGCTGGAGTGCAGTGGTGTGATCCAGCCAGTGCAGTGAGCAAGGTTGCTTGATGCAACCTCCACCTCCCGGGTTCAAGTGATTCTCCTGTCTCAGCCTCCCCAGTAGCTGGGATTACAGGGACCCACCACCACGCCCTGCTAATTTTTGTCTTTTTAGTAGAGACAGGGTTTCACCATGTTGGCCAGGCTGGTCTTGAACTCCTGACCTCAAGTGATCCACCCTCCTTGGCATCCCAAAGTGCTGGGATTACAGGCGTGAGCCACTGCACCCAGCTATAATTAGCAATAGTATAATAAATTTAGTTTGTACAATGGTTTTGAACCAAGATCCCAAGCCTAGGGGCCACCAGCCAAACAAATCAAAAGACTATGGGGGAAGTGAATGAGACCTCTTGTAGTCTTTGAGTAGCATTTTAGGACTGGGTTGTATTGGGGGAACCCACCCCCAATAGTTCTTTGTGGGTCCTTTTCTATTTTCCCTAAGTGTCGGCCAGTCTGAGAAATAAAGGGAAAGAGTACAAAAGAGAGAAATTTTAAAGCTGGGTGTCTGGGGGAGACATCACATGTCAGCAGGTTCCGTGATGCCCCTGCAAGCCACAAAACCAGCAAGTTTTTATTAGTGATTTTCAAAAGGGGAGGGAGTGTACAAATAGGGTGTGGTTCACAGAGATCACATGCTTCACAAGTTAATAAAATACTACAAGGCAAATAGAGGCAGGGCGAGATCACAAGACTGGGGTGAAATTAAAATTGCTAATGAAGTTTCGGGCACACATTGTCGTTGGTAACATCTTATCAGCAGACAGGGTTTAAGAGCAGGCAACCGGTCTGACCAAAATTTATTAGGTGGGAATTTCCTCTTCCTAATAGGCCTGGGAGTGCTGTGGGAGACCAGGGCTTATTTCATCCCTTATCTACAACTGTAAAAGACAGATGTTCCCAGAGCAGCCATTTCAGAGACCTGCCCCTAGGAACGCATTCTCTTTCTCAGGGCTGTTCCTTGCTGAGAAAAAGAATTCAGCGATATTTCTCCTATTTGCTTTTGAAAGAAGAGAAATATGGCTCTGTTCCACCCGACTCTCAGGTAGCCAGACCTAATGGTTATCTCCCTTGTTCACTGAACATCGCTGTTATCCTGTTCTTTTTTCAAGGTGCCCAGATTTCATATTGTTTAAACAATGTGCAATCATCACAGGGTCCTGAGGTGACGTACATCCTCAGCTTATGAAGATGATGGGATTAAGAGATGAAAGTAAAGACAGGCATAGGAAATCACAAAAGTATTGATTGGGGAAGTGATGAATGTCCATGAAATCTTCACAATTTAAGTTCAGAGATTGCAGTAAAGACAGGCATAAAAAATTATAAAAGTATTAATTTGGGGAACTAATAAATGTCCATGAAATCTTCACAATTTGTAAATTTGTTTGAGTTCATTGTAGATTCTGGATATTAGCCCTTTGTCAGATGAGTAGGTTGCGAAAATTTTCTCCCATGTTGTAGGTTGCCTGTTCACTCTGATGGTAGTTTCTTTTGCTGTGCAGAAGCTCTTTAGTTTAATTAGATCCCATTTGTCAATTTTGGCTTTTGTTGCCATTGCTTTTGGTGTTTTGGACATGAAGTCCTTGCCCACGCCTATGTCCTGAATGGTAATGCCTAGGTTTTCTTCTAGGGTTTTTATGGTTTTAGGTCTAACGTTTAAATCTTTAATCCATCTTGAATTGATTTTTGTATAAGGTGTAAGGAAGGGATCCAGTTTCAGCTTTCAAACAAATTTACAAGAAAAAAACAAACAACCCCATCAAAAAGTGGGCGAAGGACATGAACAGACACTTCTCAAAAGAAGACATTTATGCAGCCAAAAAACACATGAAGAAATGCTCATCATCACTGGCCATCAGAGAAATGCAAATCAAAACCACTATGAGATATCATCTCACACCAGTTAGAATGGCAATCATTAAAAAGTCAGGAAACAACAGGTGCTGGAGAGGATGTGGAGAAATAGGAACACTTTTACACTGTTGGTGGGACTGTAAACTAGTTCAACCATTGTGGAAGTCAGTGTGGCGATTCCTCAGGGATCTAGAACTAGAAATACCATTTGACCCAGCCATCCCATTACTGGGTATATACCCAAAGGACTATAAATCATGCTGCTATAAAGACACATGCACACGTATGTTTATTGCGGCACTATTCACAATAGCAAAGACTTGGAACCAACCCAAATGTCCAACAATGATAGACTGGATTAAGAAAATGTGGCACATATACACCATGGAATACTATGCAGCCATAAAAAATGATGAGCTCATGTCCTTTGTAGGGACATGGATGAAATTGGAAACCATCATTCTCAGTAAACTATCGCAAGAACAAAAAACCAAACACCGCATATTCTCACTCATAGGTGGGAATTGAACAATGAGATCACATGGACACAGGAAGGGGAATATCACACTCTGGGGACTGTGGTGGGGTCGGGGGAGGGGGGAGGGATAGCATTGGGAGATATACCTAATGCTAGATGACACATTAGTGGGTGCAGCACACCAGCATGTCACATGTATACATATGTAACTAACCTGCACATGGTGCACATGTACCCTAAAACTTAGAGTATAATAAAAAAAATAAAATAAAAAAAAAAAATAAAAAAAAAAAAAAGATGAAAAAAAAAAAAAAGAAATCTTCACAATTTATGTTCTTCTGCCATGGCTTCAGCCAGTCCCTCCATTCAGGGTCCCTGACTTCCTGCAACTGGGTTGAATTAAAGCAGAGTGCCAACTCTATAAAAGGGACCACTAGGTGAAGGAAAGCATTTGGGGGTCAGGTTCTGTCAAGTGAAAAATGTAGACACTAAGTGGGTAAGAGTCTCATTATGATATGAAGACATTCTGACATCTTGGGAAAAGCTGTTTACAGTGTGGAAACATGAACTTCTCATCCTAATTTGTTGTTCGAATGTCTCTGGTTATGGCATGGGACAGTTTGGTGAACCTTTTGTGTGGTCCATACATCGGGCATGAGACTTGTTCTTTAAAATTTATGCAGTTTCACCTTACAGGATTTGTAAATCAAAAATAAAATCCTAAGCCCCCTGCCCCCAACCATCTGAATGAACGTCCTCCTCAGCCAGGGCTCTTTTAAAATTTAACCTTAGAGACAGTTTCAGGCCATGACAGGAAGTGGGGGTCAGACATGCCTCATTATACCTCTCTGGCATCAACATTAACACAGACTTGAAGTCTGATAAGAAACATGTTATGGCCGGGCGTGGTGGCTCACAACTGTAATCCTAGCACTTTGGGAGTCTGAGGCAGGTGGATCACCTGAGGTCAGGAGTTTGAGACCAGCCTGACCAATATGGTGACACCCCATCCCTACTGAAAATACAAAAATTAGCCAGGCATGGTGGCAGGCGCTTGTAATTCCAGCTACTTAGGAGGCTGAGACAGGAGAATCACTTGAACCCGGGAGGCAGAGGTTGCAGTGAGCTGAGGTGGCACCACTGCACTCTGGCCTGGGCAACAAAGTGAGACTCCAGGTGAAGAAGAAAAAAAAAAAGAAACATGTTACAACCTATTCTTTCTGTAGCCTAGTACCTGAAGGCTTCCTCTGGAAATAACAACTTGGGTCTCTACCATCCTTTTTCTTAACCCTGGCATTCCTTTCTGTTGATCCTAGGGTTTTGTTTTCTTTTTGTTTTGAGACAGAGTCTCTCTTTGTCACCCAGGCTGGAGTGCAATGGTGTGATCTCGGCTCACTGTGATCTCCATCTCCCGGGTTCAAGCAATTCTCCTGCCTCGGAGTAGCTGGGACCACAGGTGCAGGCCATGGCACACAGATAATTTTTTGTCCTTTTAATAGAGATGGGGTTTTACCATGTTGCTCAGGCTGGTCTTGAGCTCCTGGCCTCAAGTTATCCACCTGCCTCGGCCTCACAAAGTGCTGGGATTCCAGATGTGAGCTGACATGCCCAGCCTATTAATTAGGTTTCTGATTGCTTAGGAAAACTGAGCTTTGGAAGGGTTATGTTTTTAAGTAACTTCCTGTATTGCTGTTGAAGTCTGTTGACTATCAATCTGGTTAAATGAGTGACTATTTTCTTTTTTCCCTTTTTCTTTTCTTTTTTTTTTAGAATTTATTTTTGGCCTGTGACACAGCCCTCAGGAGGTCCTGAGAACATGCGCCCCTAAATGAGTGACTATTATTTCACAGTGACCCGTGATCCTGTTTTGAGCAAATGTTTTGAGCTTTTTAAACTCTTTGACAAACTTCCCCAATATCCAATTATGTTTCATCCGTTGCTGTTGAACAAACTAATCAAATTCTAATTTAGGTATTTTTTTTTTTGAGACAGAGTCTCGCTCTGTCACCCTGGCTGGAGTGCAGTGGCATGAGCTCCACTCACTGTAAGCTCCACCTCCCGGGTTCACACCATTCTCCTGCCTCAGCCTCCCGAGTAGCTGGGACTACAGGTGCCTGCCACCATGCCTGGCTAATTTTTTTTTTGTATTTTTAGTAGAAATGGGTTTTCACCATGTTGGCCAAGATGGTCTCGATCTCCTGAACTCGTGATCCACCTGCCTCGGCCTCCCAAAGTGCTGGGATTACAGGTGTGAGCCACCATGCCCGGCCCTTAAATCTTTTTAACCTGAAATTGACTTTGAGCTTTACCAGTGAGGCCCCTGTAGAGCCTCAAAGAATGTGTCTCTCATTAGGCTTATTTGATATGTTAGATTATATGAAAAGCAATGTCAAATAATAAAATAATACTAATTGCTGTTTACATTTATATAGATATGATATTGATGTTAATATTATATGTTTACACTTACGTAGATATGTTATTGATGTTAATGTTTATAGATCTGAAGATCATACAAAATTTACAGTGGTCTGATGGTCCTGGTGTGATGCTATCAGTCATGATTCTGGTTGTTATCTTAAAATGCTCTATATAATAGAAATAGCTGAACTTTCTTGTCAGATATTGAACTTTCATCAGATTTTAATCATCACTATTCTAAGTTTTTTCACCTGCAGTGCTGATTCTTCTCTAAAGGCAGCTAGAATCAGATTCATAAAAAAGATTCTAACAAGTACTGTTGAATATAGATTTCTAATAACTTTCAGATTAATGAACTGAATAATTTTTTTTTCAAAACTCTAACAGAAACTGATGGGTTCATGCAACTGATCATCAAGATCAAGCAGAACAAAAATTAATTACATGAGGCTAAATAACTGATAAAGTTAATGTATTTTTGACCTTTATTTAAAACTTTATTTGTTCTTGGGCTGGGTGCGGTGGCTCACACCTGTAATCCCAGCAATTTGGGAGGCCAAGACAGGAGGATCCCTTGAGTGCAGGAGTTCAAAACCAACCTGGGAAACATAGGAGACCTGGATTCTTAAAAAAAATTAAGAAAATAAAAACTTTGTTTTTTACCTAAATGTTTTGTTTTCCACATATAAGAAAATTTTCTGGTGGGGTGTGGTGGCTCACTTTGGAAGGCCAAGGTGGGAAGATCGCTTGAGCCCCGGAGTTCAAGACGAGTCTGGGCAACATGGCAAAACCCTGTCTCTACAAAAAAATGCAAAAAAATTAGCTGGGCATGGTGGCATGGTGGTCCCAGCTATTTGGGAGGCCGAGGTGGGAGGAACACTTGATCCAAAAGGCAGAGGTTGCAGGGAGCTGTGTTTGCACCACTGCACTCAGCCTGTGCAACAGAGTGCAACCCTTTCTCAAAAAAATGAAGAAAAAAAAGAGAAAATGTTCTCTGTTAAATTATCTATAGTTTATAACAATTTTGTAAAGTATACTTTTGTAAACTAAGATGGAAATGTTTGCTTTTTCTTTCTACTCGATTCCTCCAGAATTTGAAAACTATTTGGAAATATTCTTATGCCAATATGGTTATTTACACAGGTCCAGTAAAAACCTGCTCTTGGTGCCTCATTCAACTCCAACATGGCAAAAATCTCCAGCCCTACAGAGAGTCCCTGATTGCTGTTTTCCAGAAATAGACTGGAAAGGATGGTTACAATAGCATTCACTCCAAGATGGAGTTCCCAGGCTTCATGAATAGAGAACTGGATGCCTTCACGAAGAACCAGAGGGCCCCAGTGTCTTTGACCATATGATGAAGAAACTGGACCTCACTAGTGATGGGCAGTTAGATTTCCAAGAATGTCTGCATCTGATGGATGGCATGACTGTGGCTTACCATGACTCTTTTTTAAAGGCTTCCCATTCCAAGAAGCGGATCTGAGGATCCCTTGGGCCTGGTTTCCAAGCCACCCCCTTTCCTTCCAGCCTCACCATCACCATCTCCTTACAGCCCACACGTCCCCTGAGCCCAGCACACCTACCACCTCATGCAGGCCCTGCCTGCAGGTAGTAATAAAACCATACTTCTCTTCTTTTCTCTTTTCCTTTTTTTTTTGTCTCATTATGTTGGCCAAGTTGGTCTTGAACTCCTGGGCTAAAGTGGCCTCCAAAAGTTCTGGGAATACAGGTGTGAGGCATTGAACCTAGCCCACTTTTTTTTTTCAGCACAAACAAACAAACAAAAACCCAAACAAAAAAATCTCTGCTCTCTTTTTTTTATAGAGGGATACAATTAAAAACATTGGTTATAGGGCAGGGCACAGTAGCTTGCGCCTATAATCCCAGCATTGTGGGAGGCTGAGGCAGGTGGATCACCCGAGGTCAGGAGTTTGAGATCAACCTGGCCAACATGGTGAAATCACATATCTACTAAAAATACAAAAATATTTAGCCAGGCATGGTGTCACACGCCTGTAATCCCAGCTACTCAGGAGGCTGAGGCAGGAGAACTGGTTGAGCCCAGGAGGTGCAGGCTGCAGTGAGCTGAGATCTCATCACTGCACACCAGCCTGGGTGACAGAGCAAGACCCTGTCTCAAAAAGAAAAAAAAAAAATAAAACATTGGCTATATTACCAAGGCTTTCATCAAAATGCATGGAATGCCTGACTTCAAGTGTTTTTAGCTTTAGAGTGGGTGAATAAAAACGGTCACTTTCTGTCAGCCCCAGGAACCTTAAAAAGGTAGGTGAAATCTAAGGTCTGCCTTGGTTTGACTTTCTATCCTCAAGAGGTTTTTAAATCTGAGATTCCTAAGCGATCAATATATAGAGAAAAATTATGTTGCTAAAGAAAAGTTCTAATAGATCAGTTATTAGATTGTAGCTCTGTGCATTGTTTCGAGGTCTTGGTGTTTTGTTTGTTTTTATTTGAGACGGAATCTCACTCTGTCACCAGGCTGGAGTGCAGTGGCACGATCTTGGCTCACTGCAACCTGCGCCTCGCCTGTTCAAGTGATTCTCCTGCCTCAGCCTCCCGAATAGCTGAGACTACAGGTGCATGCCACCATGCCCAGCTAATTTTTGTATTTTTAGTAGAAATGGGGTTTCACCATGTTAGCCAGGATGGTCTTGATCTCTTGACCTCGTGGTCCACTCACCTCAGCCTCCCAAAGTACTGCAATTACAGGTGTGAGCCACTGCGCCCGGCCGAGTTCTTGTTATCTACATATAGAATAGACTAGTTCCAACTTTTTCCCATAAAATTACTAAAAACAGATTCTGCTCTGTTCCTGAAGTCTGCTGATGAAAAGAGTCAAACTCTGGAAAACACTTGAAGAGACTTAATCTGAGCCAAATAGGAGTGACCATGGCCCATGACACAGCCTCAGGAGGTCCTGAGTTCCCCAAGGAGGTTGGGGTGCAGCTTGGTTTTATAGATTTTATGGAGACTCAGTCAAATACATTTAAGAAGTACATTGGTTTGGTCCAGAAAGGCAGGACAACTCGAAGCAGGGGCTTCCAGCTTATGGGTAGATTTAAAAATTTTCTGGTTGGCAATTGGTTGGGTTTATCTAAAAACCTAGGTTGAGCCGGGCTGGTGGCTCACACCTGTAATCCCAGCACTTTGGGAGGCCAAGGCAGGTAGATCACCTGAGGTCAGGAGTTCAAGACAAGCCTCGCCAACATGGTGAAACCTGGTGTCTATGAAAATTAACAAAAAAATTAGCCAGGTGTGGTGGCGGGTGCCTGTAATCCCAGCTACTCAGGTGGCTGAGACACGAGAATTGCTTGAACCCAGGAGACAAAGGTTGCAGTGAGTGCCAACGTGGTAAAATCCTGTCTCTACTGAAAACACAAAAATTAGCCTGGAGTGGTGGGGGGCACCTGTAATCCCAGCTACTCGGGAGGCTGAGGCAGGAGAATCGCTTAAACCCAGGAGGTGGAGGTTTCTGTGAGCCGGGATTGTGCCACCTCCAGCCTGGGTGACAGAGCAAGATTCTATCTCAATACAATACAATGCAATGCAATACAATACAATACAATACAATACAATACAATACAATACAATACAATACAATACAATACAACACAATACAATACAACACAACACAATACAATACAACAATTGCTAAGTAGTTTTGTATTATGATCTCCGAGCTCCATTATTTTGTCTGTGTAATATTTGTTAAGCCAGTTCTCCCAACAGGATAATGTTGGCCTAGTGCTTCAAGATGATTGCTAATGCAGATGGTACTAATAAAATGGAACTTGTTGCTGAACTCCAGACAAATCTGCCTGAATTTTTTTTTCCTTCTGACCTCTTTTTTGCTCAAATGTGGCCCATGTCCCTGATATAGACTCCCTTACCTTTCCCTTGACATGGGACAAAGACAACTGGCACAGGTCCATCCTGGCATGCAGTGACAATGAAGCCTCACTTTAAGATGGCTGATCAGTGAGGTTTTCAAAGAAAGATCTTGATCAAAAGAGGGAATGTGAAAGCTGATTGTGCGAACGAACCAGCTTCTCCAGTGCCAATAAGCCTCATGCCAATGAGTCTCATTTCAAAACAATATGTAACATTTTTCATTCTGATAAAGCTTCCAACTTCTGTTTGTTCATTGGACATACTGAAGACCACCGCAGTCCGTGTGTATGCCCTGAATTGCAACTTTGTGATTCCCAAATACAGCATTTGATTTAGGGATTTGTCTCTATAATTTATTTTGACTTTGATGCATTTAACCAGTATGATGTGTTTAAAGGTCCCCCGCCCCGAGAAGGTGAGTATTATACTGAATTTAAAAACTCTTTCTAGGCTGGGAGTGGTGGCTCATGTCTGTAATCCCAACACCTTGGGAGACCAAGGTGGGCTGATCACCTGGGGTGAGGAGTTCAAGACCAACCTGGCTGACATGGTGAAACCCCATCTCCACAAAAAATACAAAATTAGCTGGGCGTGGTGGCACATGCCTGTAATCTCAGCTACTCGGGAGGCTGAGGCAGGAGAATAGCTTGAACTCAGGAGATGGAGGTTGCAGTGAGCTGACATCGCACCATTGCACTCCAGCCTGGGCAACAAGAGTGAAACTCTGTCCTGAAAAAAAAAAAAACATTCTATTATAATCCTGATAATTGCTTTGCTTTGCATCTTATTATGGATTTGTTGGATATCTAGGTGGCCATAAACTACCCAGAGAAAGATAGAAACAGCAGTGGAGATAATTAGAAAATTGTAGTGTTACTATAAAAGAATAACAAAAGTGGGAAATTTTAAGGGTAACTAAACATAAATTGAGTTTTTCCTGTTGCCAAAAGGGCAAGAAGAGACCTTTCCCCATTTCACTTTCCTTAGAGCATTTTCTTGAGAAAATTTGTATTTGTAAATTATTCCTTTGATCTGTAAGCCTCTGGCCATCCTAGAACCCAGGAATGTCTTGAACTTGAACTCCAGGCCTCAAGTGATCCTCCAGCCTCAGCCTCCCAAAGTGTTGGGATTACAGGCATGAGCCACCACGCCCATTCCCTAGGAATGTCTTTCTTCAGGGCCTTGGAGCCATCTCTTTGAAATGTGAACTTTGAGGAACATGATGTCCTTGTCTCCTTGTCAGCAGGCGAGTTTAGCCTAGGTGCCTTGCTCCAAGCTGTAAGCACCTGCTTGTCATAGATAAATGAGTTTTATTTTTCTTTCAGATAAAAGCAATTAATTAACACAGATGGGTACTCCAATTACTCGGTGAACTTAGGATTTGACTGGGAGTATTCAGTTTTCACCCTTAGCTGCTGCTGTACTAGCAGGCCAATTAGCTACATACCTGGACTTTCTGACTTCTGCTACCACTTTTGTTTGTTTGTTTGTTTTTGAGACAGAGTCTTGCTCTGTCACCCGGGCTGAAGGGCAGCAGTGGGATCTCAGCTCACTGCAAACTCAGCCCCCCAGGGTCAAGCGATTCTCCTACCTCAGCCTGCAGAGTAGCTGGGATTACAGGTGTGCACCACCATGCCCGGCTAATTTTTGTATTTTTAGTAGAGATGGGCTTTCACCATGCTGGCCAGGATGGTCTCGAACTCCTGACTTCATGATCTGCCTGCCTCGGCCTCCCAAAGTGCTGGGACTATAGGCGTGAGCCACTGCACCTGGTCTCTGCTACCATTTTTGTATTGTATGAAACACTACACTTCAAAGTGTGGGATCTGGCTTTCCAGACAGCTGTGAAAGGGGCAGATGATGCAATCTAGAAGTGTAGGAGAGTGCCTGACTGTGGGGTAAATTTTGACCAATAAGAAAAGGAACCAGGAGTGAGAGCCAGGTATGTAAATTCCCTCTCCTCTCCTCTCCCCCTGCACCATTCCAGGCATGGTTTCTCAGTATAGTCTGTCTAGAGGTGTCCGGAATGGCCCAAATTCTGTTTCCTTGGGAACCTGACCTAAAACAATGGACATTCAAACACCGAAGACAGTGTTACATGTGGAGGACCCAGATCTGGGCAGAGGAAAATTATCCCAATAAGGAAATGGACAATTTGAGGATTTGGAATAGAGGGAAGGACTAGAAGAACCAGTAGTAGAATAGCTTAGGGGTAAAATTTTTGGAGAAAAAGGCAGCTCTGTTGATTTTTGCAGTGAACTGCTCAGCTCTGTAAAATATATACTTCCTTTATTTCCATCAGTCTCCCCTATGAAATCATCCACAAAGTATCCTTTTATAACTGTCTATTGCCTGTGAAGTGAATTTTCTTTTTTTCTTTTTCTTTTTTTATTTAGAGATAGAATCCCTGTCTCCCGGGCTGGAGTGCACTGGGGCGATCTCGGCTCGCTTCAATCTCCACCTCCCGAGTTCAAGTGATCCTCCCACCTCAGCTGCCCTAGTAGCTGAGAATACAGGCATGCACCACCAACGCCTGGCTAATTTTTTTTTTGTATTTTTAGTACAGATGGGGTTTCACCATCTTGGCCAGGCTGGTCTTGAACTCCTGTCCTAAGGGGATCCACCCGCCTTGGCCTACCAAAGTGCTGGGATTACAGGCATAAGCCACTGCTGTCAGTTTTCTTTTGCAGAATAAAACAGATTGAGTCTTGTGCCAAAATGCAGGGGAAGCTGCACCCAAACAGGTAACAAAATATTATATACAATCAGACGAGATCGGGCATGTTCAGGGTGGTATGGCCGTAGACAAATATTATATACAATCATAGATAGGTTTTCTACATACCTGTAATAACCAATTACAAAACCAAATTGAGAAAAACTACACTTATATAGTGACAAATATACATAAAATATCTAAAACAAGATGAATGGAGCAAGATGGCAGATAGATCCCGTGCCCCACTCAACATTCCATTGAACTGGGGAGAAAATGTTTTCAAGGGTCAATTCTTTTTTTTTTTTTTTTTTTCTTTTTCTTATTTCTTTTTTTTTTTTATTGATCATTCTTGGGTGTTTCTCGCAGAGGGGGATTTGGCAGGGTCATAGGACAATAGTGGAGGGAAGGTCAGCAGATAAACAAGTGAACAAAGGTCTCTGGTTTTCCTAGGCAGAGGACCCTGCAGCCTTCCGCAGTGTTTGTGTCCCTGGGTACTTGAGATTAGGGAGTGGCGATGACTCTTAACGAGCGTGCTGCCTTCAAGCATCTGTTTAACAAAGCACATCTTGCACCGCCCTTAATCCATTTAACCCTGAGTGGACACAGCACATGTTTCAGAGAGCACAGGGTTGGGGGTAAGGTCACAGGTCAACAGGATCCCAAGGCAGAAGAATTTTTCTTAGTACAGAACAAAATGAAAAGTCTCCCATGTCTACTTCCTTCTACACAGACACGGCAACCATCTGATTTCTCAATCTTTTCCCCACCTTCCCCCCCTTTCTATTCCACAAAACCGCCATTGTCATCATGGCCCGTTCTCAATGAGCTGCTGGGTACACCTCCCAGACGGGGTGGTGGCCGGGCAGAGGGGCTCCTCACTTCCCAGTAGGGGCGGCCGGGCAGAGGTGCCCCACACCTCCCGGACGGGGCGGCTGGCCGGGCGGGGGGCTGACCCCCCCACCTCCCTCCCGGACGGGGCGGCTGCCGGGCGGAGACGCTCCTCACTTCCCAGATGGGGTGGCTGCCGGGCGGAGGGGCTCCTCACTTCTCAGACAGGGTGGCTGCCAGGCGGAGGGGCTCCTCACTTCTCAGACGGGGCAGTTGCCAGGCAGAGGGTCTCCTCACATCCCAGACGGGGCGGCGGGGCAGAGGCGCTCCCCACATCTCAGACGATGGGTGGCCGGGCAGAGGCGCTCCTCACTTCCTAGATGGGATGGAGGCCGGGCAGAGACGCTCCTCACTTTCCAGACTGGGCAGCCAGGCAGAGGGGCTCCTCACATCCCAGACGATGAGCGGCCAGGCAGAGACGCTCCCCACTTCCCAGATGGGGTGGCGGCCGGGCAGAGGCTGGAATCTCGGCACTTTGGGGGGCCAAGGCAGGCGGCTGGGAGGTGGAGGTTGTAGCGAGCCGAGATCACGCCACTGCACTCCAGCCTGGGCAACATTGAGCACTGAGTGAACGAGACTCCATCTGCAATCCCGGCACCTCGGGAGGCCGAGGCTGGCGGATCACTTGAGGCTAGGAGCTGGAGACCAGCCCGGCCAACACAGCGAAACCCCGTCTCCACCAAAAAAATACGAAAACCAGTCAGGCGTGGCGGCGCGAGCCTGCAATCACAGGCACTCGGCAGGCTGAGGCAGGAGAATCAGGCAGGGAGGTTGCAGTGAGCCGAGATGGCAGCAGTACAGTCCAGCTTCGGCTCGGCATCAGAGGGAGACCATGGAAAGAGAGGGAGAGGGAGACCGTGGGGAGAGGGAGAGGGGGAGGGGGGGGAGGGGAGGGGGAGGGAGAGGGAGAGGGAGAGGGAGAGCTCTTTTTTTTTTTTTTTTTTTTTTTGAGACAGAGTCTTGCTCTGTCATCCAGGCTGGAGAGCAGTGGTGCAATCCCGGCTCACTGCAAGCTCCGCCTCCTGGGTTCATGCCATTGTCCTGCCTCAGCCTCCTCAGTAGCTAGGATTACAGGTGCCCGCCACCACACCCGGCTAATTTTTTTTTGTATTTTTTAGTAGAGACAGGGTTTCACTGTGTTAGCCAGGATGATCTCGATCTCCTGACCTTGTGATCCGCCCACCTCAGCCTCCCAAAGTGCAGGAATTACAGATATGAGCCACTGCGCCTGGCCGTCAATTCTTAACAGTAGAGGGAAATAGGAAAACGTGTCCACCAGAAATATTGAGGCATTCCTGGGAGATAGAGTAGTTGGGATCAGACTGATAGAGAAACCCAAGGAGACAAGACCACAGCTCAAATCACTGTAATAAAGAGATGCTGTTTGCTTTTTGAGACAGAGACTTACTCTGTTGCTCAGGCTGGAGTGCAGTGGCTTGATCTCAGCTCACTGCAGGGTCTGTCTCCCAGGTTCAAGTGATTCTCTTGCCTCAGTCCTCACAGTAACTGGGATTCACAGGCGCCCGCCACTACGGCCGGCTAATTTTTATATTTTTAGTAGAGACGGGGGTTTTGCCATGTAGGCCAGGCTGTTCTCGAACTCCTGACCTCAAGTGATCTGCCTGCCTTGGCCTCCCAAAGTGCTGGGATTACAACATGGGTCACTGCGCCCAGTCAGGAGATGCTCTTTGTAACAAAGCCTCTGAAAAACTCCAAACTCTGAATCAATAAAACACGGAGCTGGAAAGGGCCTTAGGATAATCATCAGGTATTTAAAAGTTCATTAGAAACATCTGAATCAGCGAGATTCCACTCCAACACCACACTCAGATTGGCTGGCAGTAGCCACTTTTGCCTCTAAGATGAAACTCTGATAATTGTTCATTAAAGAAAGTGAAGGCCTGGCGAGGTGGCTCACACTTGTCATCCCAGCACTTTGGGAGGCTGAGGCAGGAGGATTGCTGAGGCCAGGAGATCGAGACAAGCCTGGGCAACATAGTGGGATCCCATCTCCACAAAAAATACAAAAATTAGCTGGGTGTGGTGGCCTGTGCCTGTAATCCCAGCTAGTTAGGAAGCAGAAGTGGGAGAATCCCTTGAGCTTTGGAGATCCAGGCTGCAGTGAGCTGTAATTGCACCACTGCATTCCGGCCTGGGCAACAGAGCACTATCTTGTCTCACAAAAACCCAAAAAATTAATTGCCGAGAACAGCTCGGTTGGGGAGACCATAACTAACCCAGCAGCGCTAGAGGAATTAAAGACACACACACAGAAATATAGAGGTGTGAAGTGGGAAATCAGGGATCTTACAGCTTTAAGAGCTGAGAGCCTGGAACAGAGATTTACCCACCTATTTATTAACAGCAAAGCACTCATTAGCATTGTTTCTATAGATATACGATTAACTAAAAATATCACTTATGGGAAATGAAGGGATGGGCCGAATGAAAGGAATAGATTTGGCTAGTTAACTGCAGCAGGAGCATGTCCTTAAGGCACAGATCACTCATGCTATTGTTTGTGGCTTAAGAACGCCTTTAAGCGTTTTTCCGTCCTGGGCAGGCCAGGTGTTCCTTGCTCTCATTCCAGTAAATCCACAACCTTCCAGCTTGGGCGTTAGGGCCATTATGAACATGTTACAGTGATGCAGAGATTTTCTATATGGCCAGTTTTGGGGCCAGTTTATGGCCAGATTTTGGGGGGCTTGCTCCCAAAAAGTAATGTATCAAAACTTGGTGTAACTTCAGCCCTTTACAGTAGTAATGAAGGAGAGAAACACATTTGTGGAGAGGGGACCATGTTCACTCTTCATCTATCCATGACAGACAGATAGTCTGGAGCTTTATATACCCATGGAACCTAAGGAAAAATGTTCCCTGTCATAACTCACAATCTTCCAGCTACCCTTCCTGGCACCTGTCTTGTGGGCTGGGGGACCCAACTTATGGATCCCATCTTCCCAGGGAGAAAGAAAAATCAAAACCTTCAGTATCTCTTTTAGGGTATCCTCTGCTGTATTTACATGGAGGATAAGGCACTCGATATCTAGTAGCTGAATGCTACATTTGTGTCATATAGAACTACATTGGGATAAAATAGAATTTGTTTCCTCTGAGACACAGGTAGAGGTACATCCACACTGACCTGGGTGGAAGCCACCTCTTCCTGAAGTGCCAGGTAGGGCATGCTCACAGATCTGGGGAACCTCTGTTGCTCCTGGAGCCCCACAACTTCCTTCCTGGCACCCTCTCCCTCTGGTGGCTGTGACAGCCCACACGTGGCCTTGGGTATCCCCTGCTTCTTTGCCTGCCTCTCTTCTGCCCACGCTGCATATCTCTGTCTCCCACTGTCCCCACTATGACCACGATTGCCTCTCCCTCCCTGCTCTCTCTCTCTCCTAGGGCTCCTTGTCTTGGGTAAAGGAACCCACAGCCTTTACATTGTGATTGGGGACAGAGCCCGGGGCTTGTTCAATTCCTCCTCCCTCCACCACACACACCTGTCCTCCTTAATGTTTCTGAAGTCAGTGAGATCCAAACTCAGCTCCTCCTGCACCTGCCAGCTGTAGGACCTGTGACAAGATGCCTACCATCTGTCTGGACTCTGTCTCTCATCTATCATATAGGCATAATGATGATAGTGTCCTCCTTCCAAGGCTGGGGAGAACCAGGAGGCCAAGGTGATGGGGTATGAATGGTCAAAACAGCTCCAATCCTGCCTCCACCTGGGGCTGGTGTTTCAAGTCTGTTGTGTGTGAATGGAGCTTTAATGTCTTCATTCACACACACTGGTTTGTTCTAAAATGGACTCCCCTCTGCTCTTCCTTCCCCACAACTGTTTCACCTCTGCACCATGCAATGGTACATGTCAGGAAGAACTGTCCCATTCCCAAATCATCGTCCCCACCCCAGCCCCCAGGCCCTTGGGTGGTGAGACTCTTGATGGGCAGTCTCATGCTTCTGTCAAGGGGACTTTCCCACCGTTGCTCCTTTGCAGGGAGACTAAGTGGACTCTTCTATTCCCTGGCCATCACAGGGTCTACAGTGCATGCATATTCCTCATTCCTCCACGTTCCCCAGATGACGATTTCATCTGTGTCTCCTCCCACATACTCCCAAATGGACTGTCCCAGCCCTAGAATGCAAAAATCGTTCAGAGAGAGAAGGCCAAGATTCCCAACCACCTGCTGCAGAATCCTGCTCCAGGACTGAAGTGTATCGTCTCTATCAAAATAAAAACTGGAGGCCAGGTGCAGTGGCTCATGCCTGTAATCACAGCACTTTAGGAGGCCAAGGTGGGAGGATCACTTGATCCCAGGAGTTCAAGGTTGCATTGAGCTATGATCATCCCCCTGCACTTCAGCCTGGACAGAGCAAGACCCTGTCTCTAGAAACAAACAAACAAACAACTGGAGACATCCTCCTCTAGAATGGTGGTCAGGAACATCTGTCTGCCTTGTTCCCCAAGGTCTCTCCAGCACCTAGAACAGCGCTCAGCACGAGGACACACTCATTAGGGTTTTGTTGAATAAATGACTCCTTTGACACAGCAATTCCACTTCTAAGAATCTTTCCTAAAGAAGTATTCACACACATGCTCAGAGCTGTGTGCACAACAATGAGAGGAGCAAACAACTGGGGAACGTTTGCAAAGGTTTATTAACTGGCAGTGACTGATAGAGGGGAATCGGATGAGGGGAGTACATGCTGAACAGGAAACAGAGTGAGGGGGGCTTGACCAGGATGCATGGCAATGGAGAAAAGCAGATGGGAGATCCTTATACTGGTACTTGGTGTGTGTGTGTGTGTGTGTGTGGTGTGTAAATGCAGAGGAAAAAATCTGAAATTAAACACTCAGACCTCCCCTCAGTAGTCACATCTGGGGAGAGAGGAGGGTAGTGCTGTTCTATGGAGAGAATACCTGACAATACTTCTTTTCTGAGATAGGTGCATGGATACACAGACCGAAATATGCATTACGTCTTGCTCATCAATGAAAACACTAATAGCTAGCAGAATGGCACACTGCAAGAAAATACAGCGGAAATGCTAACATCGAACTCTTGGCACACTAAGAAAAATGACGCTCAACTTTTCACTGTTGTGAACACTTGCTTTCACTTGCTATGCACCTGATGATGAGGGGTCCGCAGCCATGCCCATGTTCGTGAAAGGTCACCACATTCTGCTTCTCATCATGGGCATGTGTCATATCCCCGAGGCTGAGGCAAGAAGAGAGAAGGAAATAAGTGGCAGTGAGTTCCCACCACGTGACAACTCAATCTCAACTCCTCCTGTCCTGCAGACCCTGCACACTCTGATTCTGTCCTACCCCAGGACCTGCACATGGCTTCCACGGTTCCTCGAAGTGAACCATCTGCTCATGCCACAGTGACTTCCTTGCCTGGGTTATCTATTCCTAGGCTAGAGGAAGGTGTGGCCCGCATATCAGTGCTGACCTGGGGTTTGGGAACCCACAGCATCCGGGGTAGGGAGGATCCCTGGATATATAGGGCAGGGAGTAGAAAGAGCATGGAAAATCTCGTCATTCAACCTCAATGCTGTACCCTAGAAAATTATGAGAAGGGAATGATTTGGGGAATAAGTGACAAGATTGGATACCAGTACCATAACAGAATAGCTAGCACATCTGCAGGGATGTGGAGGGTGAGCCGAATGTTCACTTATGGAGTTACTTGTCGTCTTCCTCAGGGTCGCTGATCTCTTCATAAATCACCAGTTGCTTTCTCTCACGCAGTCTGTGGATCCAGGCATGTTTCCCTCTTTTGGTTCCTATGATGGAGAAGAGTTGGAAGATAAGAGTTGGGTAGGTTGGAGAGTGTTAGGCTCTGTTTTCTTAAAAAAAGGAGATGCCTCCCCATCCCAAGTGCCCATGGGCCTTCTTTATCCAGTTTTTCACATTCTCTGGCTTAGAGAGGCTGAGACCTTAACCCATTATTATTATTATTTTTAATTTTACTATTTTAATAAATTTGTATATAACTCCAGTCCAAATTTGTATGAAGTTCTGAATGTATATAATTAGGTTCAAATATATTTATTTGTTTTTAATTTTATTATTATTATATTTTAAGTTTTAGGGTACATGTGCACAACGTGCAGGTTTGTTACATATGGAGGCATGTGCCATGTTGGTGTGCTGCACCCATTAACGATTATATCTCTTATAGTGATCTGTGATCAGTGAGTTTCGATGTTATTATTGTAGTTGTTTTTTAGTCTTTTAAAATACTTTCTGTTTTTTGTTTGTATACACAATAGGTGTATCTACTTATGGGGTACATGAGATGTTTTGATACATGCATGCAATGTGTAATAATCACATCATGGAAAATAGGGTATCCATCCCCTCAACCATTTATCCTTGCATTACAAATAATCCATTTACACTCTTTTAGTTTTTTAAAATGTACAGTTAAGTTATTATTGACTGTAATCACCCTGTTGTGGGTAATTATTTTGGGGGTAACAGGAACTGCACCCACAGAAGATGACAAACTTAATCGATCAATGTTGTGTGTGTTCTGACTGCTCCATCGATGAGCTCTTCCCCATCTCTCCTCCTTTTCTTGGGCCTCCCTATTTCCTGAGACACAGCAACACTGAAATTAGGACAATGAACAACTCTACAATGGCCGCTAAGTGTTCAAATGAAAGGAAGAGTCGCATGTCTCTCACTTTAAATCAGAAGCTAGAAATGCCTAAGCTTAGTGAGGAAGCATGCTGAAAGCCAAGACAGGCTGAAAGCTCGGCCTCTTGCACCAGCCAAGCTGTGAATGCAAAGGAAAAGTTCTTGAAGGAAATAATAGTATATAATGCAAAGGAAAAGTTCTTGAAGGAAATAATAATACTAATATTCCAGTGAACACACAAATAAGAAAGCAAAACAGACTTACTGCTCAAATAGAGAAAGTTTGAGTGGTCTGGACAGAAGATGAAACCAGCCACAACATTGACTTAAGCCAAAGTCTAATTCAGAGCAAGACCCGAACTCTCTTCAAGTCCATGAAAGCTGAGAGAGGTGAAGAAGCTGCAGGAGAAACGTGTGAAGCTAGCAGAGGTTGGTTCATGAGGTTTAAGGAAAGAAGCTGTCTCCATAACATAAAAGTTCAAGGTGAAGCAGCAAACCCTGATGGAGAAGCTGCAGCAAGTTATCCAGAAGATCTAGCTAAGGTCACTGATGAAGGTGGCTACACTAAAGAACAGATTTTCAATACGGATAAAATAGCCTTCTATATTGAAGAAGATGCCATCTAGGACTTTCATAGCAAGAGAGGATTGACTCCAACTTTGAAAGAAACTCTACTATGGATAAAATGCTATCCGATAGCATCACATACTACAGAGAAATCTTTCATGAAAGGAAGAGCTAACTGATTTGGCAAATTTCATTGTTGTGTTCTTTTAAGAAACTGCCACAGCCACTCCACCCTTCAGGAACCACCACCTAGATCAGCCAGCAGCCATCAACACCGAGGCAAGATCCTCCACCAGCAAAAGGAGTGTGACTCACTGAAGGCTCCGAAGATTGTTAGCATTTTTATACAATGAATTATTTTAAAATTAGGGTATGTACATTTTTAGACATAATGCTATTGCAAACTTAGTAGATTATAGCATAGTGTAAACATAATGTTTTTATGCACTGCGAAACAAACGAAACACAATGTGTGTGACTCACTTTATTGTAGTGGTCTGGAACTGAACCTGCAATATCTCTGAAGTACACCTGTATTGGGTATCAGGCATTGAGCTGAGTATGATATGATCCCAGGTTATCACAGATAGAATTGCTTGAGCACATTTATATGGATGACAACTCAAATGTGTGTCTCTGGTAGTCATGCCTAACATCTCATCTGAAGCTGGGTGAGCTCCTCAGGCCAGTCTGGACCCAGGCTTGTCTGGGATCCATGCCACACACCCAGTCCACACACCTGAACATAGCCAGGGAAGCCAGAGGGGTTGTTCCCAAATCGTTTCCTCTTACCAGATCTCTCGTGAATCTTCTCAGAGCTACTTGCTTTTCCCGGGGGGCACAGCTGTTTCCCATCGTTCTGTGGGCCAGATGCTTCTAGCACTTCCTTTGAATCATTTCCTTCCTCTGCTGGCTTCTCAGGCATGATCTGTATAATGTGAAGATGACAGATAAACTGTATCAGTGACATTTCTACAGTGCTTTAGAGCTTACAAAGAATCTTCACATGCATTACCTTAATCAATGTTCTCAACAATGCTGGGATTGTTACACAGGCCTAAATTAGGAGAAACCTGGGAGGTTAGAAGGGAAAGGAATGGCCTAAATGACTGGGGTTTCCAGGGTTAGAATGTTTATCTTCAAACTGTTTTAAGACTGACATTCTTGCAAACAGCAAAAATCTCCATGTAATTGAGAGTTTGGTATACAGAAGATTTGGAGCATAGCATTCTAAGAATTCACAAGGTCTACAAAAGGAAGAGCTTCTATAAAATACAAGGGATCCCATATAAGCTTGTAGACAGCTGCTCGGAGAGTAAATATAAAAACATAGAGAGGGGACAAAACACTGCTGGGAAAGATGGTGTGGAGAGATGAATACAGGGAAGGGAGAGGGAAAGAAATGGTTTGCTGAAATTAATCTAGGCAGCAAAGAAAGCAGTACCAGATCTGGCATACCAGCCTACCGAGGCACCAACATTGAATGTGGAATTCAGTGAGGTGGTACCCATACCAATTCTGGTTGCATTGGGATGTGTCACTGACCAACATTGTTAAACTACATTTATACAGCTTTTTCACTTATGAAATAGTGAAAAATACATGTAAAATGGGCTAAAGGAATGTCCTCTCTGAGCTTGCAAACACTGTTTAAATGTAGTAATAATAAAAAACAATACTTTTCATGATCCTTCTTTGAATTTGGTCTCCACAATGGCAACCCAACTCCAAGATCCCTTTACCCTCTAAACCAGAGTTGAATCTGCACTTTTGGGATCACTCATTCAGGGGAATCCGAGGGATCCCCTGGGCTGGGACGGGGGCTTCCCGGATGCCCCACTTGTAGACAAGGCCCTCAAGGAGCTCACAGTAGGGAGGGACCGTGAAGAGTCAAACCGATTCCTAAGCCATGCGAGTGGCCCTGGTAACAGAGCAGAGGCCAGCTGGTCCTTCCTGTTGTGAGAGTGGGTGTCTCAATGGAAGCACCAGCAGGCCCTATGGGGTAAAGCCTTAGTGAGCAACATCTGAACTTCATAAACAAATGCAAACGTGAATGAGCTTCAAATGGCTTGGAGCTCTGGATTAGACTACCACTGCCACTGCGCCTCAGGAAAATTCTTTAACATCTCTGTACAAGGAGAGCCTCATTTCATTATTATTTTACTGATAACTATGATCTATAACATGAACTATTATTCTTTACTGCCATTTCATTGACCAGAAGTCTGGATCTCAGAGAACTTAGAAGATTTGCGCCAACTCACATGGCTTTTATATGGATGATAACTGAAGTGTGTGACTCATTATTATTTGGAGATAGTAATAGAAACGTCGTCGTAGAGGTATTCTTAAGGATTAAATAAATTAATCCATGTAAACTGTTTAGAATATATGGCATCTCTATGAAAACAAAAGAAATATTAAGGATCACAACTGTTAGCATTATCAAGCCATTGATGCTACATCAGGTGTTGTGATAGACATGGGGAGGAGGCAGTGAGGGTATTTTTGATATTCTTCCACTCTTACCAGTGTTCATATCCGTGGAGGGACAAAGGTTCTCTGGTCCTTTAGATTTGAGAGACACTCACCTTCGGGAAGATTCTATGGAGCCTGCCGAAAGTCATCTGAGGATGTTCAACTGAAAGAGAATACATCAGAATTTTTCTTTGTTGGTGAAGATTTCCAAACTCTAGAGAGACTTCTGTTGCATGAGGGCATTCTGCAGCAGAGGTTATGAGTCCACTGATTGTTGAGGAGTTATTTGAGATTTGCTTCTAAATTATGTTTAGTCATGGTTGGTTCATTTATCTGTGGCTTCAATTCAGAATTTTCCATCTCATGGTTTATCACATGGGGACTAAACCCCATCACAGTCTCATCTTATTCCATTACATATCTTTTACTTTTTCCCAAATAATTAAATTGATTGGTTGGGAATCTGAACTGTATCCACTCAAGATGTGCAACAACTGAAAATCATTGTACACTTCAAATGGGTGAATCTTATGGTATGTGAATTAAGCTGTTAAATGTGTGATGAACCATGGATGATTTGGTCCAGTGGCTCTGAAATATTTTCAGTATAAAAACAGTCCTTTAACGTCAAAAACTTGGCAGATACTCAAGCACTGGCTTTTCAGGTCCCTTATAGTGATTGTGGGAGATTGTAGAATCTGGCCTGTTTAGTTGGCGAGTAATAGGTCTATTGGAGACAGTTTGGACTTTCTGACCTTGTCTTATAATTGTGTTGTCAGAGCAGAAGAGCAAGTAAATACATATGTCCCATTAATAGTCCTGAAATGCCCAAAAATCTCTTCGCAAGAACTTGTCTTTTTTTCACTCTATGTTATCTCTGCTCACTGACAAGTGGGAAAGCTCTCTGTGTTTTGGATCAGGGATCACTCTTTCAAAATCCCTTCCAAGCTCATCACGGAGAATTGGGGTTATTTGGGAATGAGAAGACTATTTGGTTTTGATAAAATACAGAGAAACATCCATCTTTATTACATAATGTGTTCATTATCCTCTCTCATAAGATACTTATCCAATACTTACATGCTGTTAATTATAGAAACTCTGGATTTTTTTTGCAGATCTTTGCTTTTAATATTTTCTTTTTTTATATTTTCACTTGTAACATTTTCTTAACTGTCCTTTGATTCATTAACAGTGCTTAGCAAGAACAACATGTCCTTTAAAAATGAAATATTTCAAACACGTGGAAAAGTATGTGGAATACTATTGAGTCCAGTCGGATCTCAACATTACCCCACAGCTATGTTAGATCTGATTTATTTATTCAGAGTATTAGAAATACTATAAACGCGCTGGGTGTGGTAGCTCATGCCTGTAATCTGAGCACTTTGGGAGGCTGAGGCAGGTGGATCATCTGAGATGAGGAAGTTTGAGACCTGCCTGGCAAACATGGTGAAACCTTGTTGCTACCAAAAATAAAAAAAATAGCTGGGTGTGGGTCGGGCGCCTGTAATTCCAGCTACTCGGGAGGCGTGGGCAGCAGAATGATTTGAACCCGGGAGTTGAAGGTTGCAGTGAGCTGATATTATGCTATTGCACTCCAGCCTGGGCGACAAGAGCGAAACTCCATCAAAAACAAACAAACAAACAAACAAACAAACAAACAAACAAAGAAAACCACTATCAACAAGTCACCTTGAAGCTTTCTGTGCAATCCCTGCCCTCCCTCCTTCTCCACTTACAGCCATTCTTCTCAATTTGATGGTTTTTTATTCTCATTCATGTTTTTATACTTTACCATTTACTTATTATCCATAAAAATATATACTCTTGTTTTGCATGTTTTAGCATTTTATATGAATGGCCTCTGTAGTTAACTTTTTGTGTGCAATTTGTTTTTTCACTCAGCCCTGGTGTGTATGAGGGAATAATGTTAGTGGGAACTGTTCTGAACTCCCAAATAGCTGCGATTTCAGGCGCCCATCACCAACCCCTAGTAGAGATGGGGTTTCACCTTGTTGGCCAGGCTGGTCTTGAACTCCTTGAGCGATCCACTTGTCTCGGCCTCCCAAAGTGCTGGAATTACAGGCGTGAGCCACCGCGCCTAGCAGTGTCTAAGCTATTCAAAATTTGTTACAGCAGCAATAAAAAATGAATACGCATAGAAACATTTATTAGTGAAACAAAATAGAAGTCAAGAAACAGACTAATCTATATGAAAACATCAGCATGCATTTCCAAACAGTGGGCAAAAGATGATGGGTTGCATAATAAATGATTGCTTGACAAGTGTCTATCCATTTAAACCACATAAAATAACAAATTCTAAAAAATCAGTGACTTAAATGTGAAAACGTGAAGTCATAAAGAACTAGATGACAATTTAGGAAAATATTACAGTGTAAGACATCTTGAGTTGGCATAGGCATTTCCTGACATTACACCAAGGCTATGAGCAATGAATCTGACAAATTTAAAGATGTAAAAATTAAAGTATCATCTAATTCAAAAGACACCATAAACAACTGTTTAAAAAGGCAAATGTTGGGGAAATTGGTGAAGCATCCACAATAAATTAACAGCAACCATCTCTAATATACAACGAAGCTTTTGCATATCAATAAGAGAAACTGGAACAACCCAATGAAAAAATGTGTTCAGGCATGGCACTACTTCACCGTATAGCAGAAAAGGATCATGAAATAGAAAATATGAAAGGAAAATAATAAAGGAAATGGAGAATAGATCCCAGAAGTTTCAACGTTCATCCAATAGAAGTTCCAGAGATAGGCCAGGCGCGGTGGCTCATGCCTGTAATCCCAGCACTTTGACAGACTGAGGCAGACGGCTCGCCTGTGGTCAGGAGTTCGAGACCAGCCTGGCCAACATGGTGAAGCCCCGTCTCTACAAAAATACAAAAATTAGTCAGGCATAGTGTCACATGCCTGTGGTCCCAGCTACTCAAGGGACTGAGGCAGGAAAATTGCTTGGACTCAGGAGGAGGCAGAGGTGCAGTGAGCCAAGATCGAGTCACTGCACTCCAGCCTAGGCGAAAGAGCAAGACTCTGTCTCAAATAAATAAATAAAAATAAAACCTATTGGATAGATTGGATATGAAGACATTAACTGCTCAAATACATAATTCATTGGGATAGATTGGATATTAAGACGGATATAGTTGAAAAAGCAATTACTGACCTGAGGAAATTAGTCTAAAGAATTCATAAAAGTAATCGGTAATGGATAGAGATGAAGTAAACGAAAGAAAAGTTAATTAATAGGGAGCATAGAAGAATAAATGTCAAAACACATCTAATAGTAGCCTTATAAGAAGAGAACATAGTCATTAAAAAGGAGAGTGTACTTAAACAAGTAATGAGTGAGAATTTCTCAGATTTAGAGGAATATCTTAAGATTTAAAGGGATCATCGTACACACACACATACACACACAGGAACAGTGAAATGAAAAATTATGAAAGACAAAAATTTTTTTTAAATGATCAGAGGAAAATAGCAGGTTACTTACAAAGGAAAAATATTTCAGCCTTCATCAGATCTCTCAAACACCACACTGGAGGCAAGGATACAATGGTGTAATAACTCCAAAGTGTTGAACGAAAGGAATTTTTTTTTCTTTTTTTGGAGACAGAGTCTCGCTTTGTCACCCAGGCTGGAGTGCAGTGGCATGATCTCAGCTCACTGCAACCTCTACCTCCCAGTTTCAAGTGATTCTCCTCCTCAGCCTCCTGAGTAGCTGGGGCTACAGGTGCACACTATCACACCCAGCTAATTTTTGTACTTTTAGTACAAAATTAGTAGAGATGGGGTTTCGCCATGTTGGCCAGGCTGATCTCCAACTCCTGACCTGAGGTTATCTGTCCGCCTTGGCCTCCCAATATGCTGGGATTATAGGGGTAAGCCACTGCGCCCGTGAAAGAAAGGAATTTTTATATTTTTGGTGGAGTATGGCAATGTCAGGCATATAACACTTGAGGAGATTGAAGACACAGGGAAATGTTAAAGCAAACAAGTATTTATTGCACTTATTAAAGACTGTAAGGAAGGGCCAGCTGCAGTGGCTCATGCCTGTAATCCCAGCACTTTGGGAGCCTGAGGCAAGAGGATTGGTTGAGCCCAGGAATTCAAGACCAGCCTGGGCAACATGGTGAAACCCCATCTCTACAAAAAACAAAAACAAAAACAAAAACAAAAACAAAAACAAAAAAAACCACAAGAATTAGATGGGCATATCAAGTTCCTGGGTTCATACAGAATTAAAAAAAAAATAGCTGGATTTGGTAGTGCGTATCTGTAGTCCCAGCTACTCAGGAGGCTGGGGCAGGAAGATTGCTTGGGCCCTGGAGTTTGAGGCTGCAGTGAGCTAGGATTGGGTCACTGCACTCCAGCCTGAGTGACAGAGTGAGACTTTGTCTCTGAAAATAACAAAAAGATCGTAAGGATGATTTTACTCAGAGGGGGGACTCCTGTGATAGGCACAGGGACCACTGCAATGGGGTCTTGCAGTGGGAGAGTGATATTGGGATCGACTTCATCTCCACCAAGGACAAGTGGGGATTTGTAGTCAAGGAGTAGGGTCGGGGGGTCAGAAGATGGGAAATTACTTGGAGGAAACCTCAGGTGCAGGGGGATTCTGGCTAAACTGACTTGACAGGATTTTTGCTGAAACAGGCTAAATGGGCAGAGTCCCTGGATGAAGGACAGAGCCCGAGGTTGGGGCCTAGTCAGAAACAGGACTCAGAGGAGCCCCACTCAAGTTTGGTCAAAGAAGAGTGTCTCTGTCTGAAAGGATAAGCAAGAAAGTCAACAGCAGTAAAATGAATGGGTCACAAAGGAGAATTTTTGTGCATTGCTAAGCAGGACTCTGCTTTAACCATTGTGAAAGTTGATTACGTGAAGTGAGTCGCTCTTAGTTTTTTTTGAGTTCTTATTTGCAGAGGAAGCCTTCAGGTACTATGCTTCAGAGAGAATAGGTTGTAACATTTTTTTTTTTCTTTTTGAGACAGAGTCTCACTATATCGCCAGGCTAGAGTGCAGTGGCTCCTTCTCTGCTCACTGCAGCCTCTGGCTCTCGGGTTCGAGCGATTCTCTTGCCTGAGCCTCCTGAGTAGCTGAGACTACAGGCATGTGCCACCACGCCCGGCTAATTTTTTGTATTTTTAGTAGATACCGGATTTCACTATGTTAGCTAGGATGGTGTTGATCTCCTGACCTCATGATCCGCCCTCCTCAGCCCCCTAAAGTGCTGGGATTACAGGCGTGAGCCACCGCGCCCGGCCAACATGTTTCTTATCAGACTTCAAGTCTGTGTTGATGTTGATGCCAGAGAAGTATAATGAGGCATGTCTGACCCCCACTTCCTGTCATGGCCTGAAACCGTCTCTCAGGTTAAATTTTAAAAGAGCCCTGGCTTAGGAGGAAGTCTTTTCAGATGGTTGGGGGCAGGGGGCTTAGGATTTTATTTTTGATTTACAAGTCCTACAAGGTGAAACTGCACAAATTTTAAAGAACAAGTCTCATGCCTGATGTATGGACCACATAAAAAGTTCACCAAACTGTCCAATGCCATAACCAGAGACATTTGCTCGACAAGTCAGGATGAGAAGTTGATGTTTCCACACTGTAGACAGCTTTTCTCAAGATGCCAGAATAAGTCTTCATATCATAATGAGAATCTTACCCCCTGAATGTCTACATTTTTCACTTGACAGAACCTGACCCCAAATCTTTTCCTTCACCTAGTGGTCCCTTTTATAGAGTCGGCACTCTGCTTTAATTCAACCCAGTCCCAAAATACTACTCAAAGACTATAAGAGGTCTCACTCAATTGCCCCGTAGTCTTCTGATTTGTTTAGCTGGTGGCCCCTAGGCTTGGGATCTTCATTCAAAACCATTGTACAAACTAAATTTATTATATTATTGCTAATTATAGCTGGGTGTGGGGGCTTACACCTGTAATCTCAGCACTTTGGGATGCCAAGGCAGGCAGATCACTTGAGGTCGGGAGTTGGAGACCAGCCTGGCCAACATGGTGAAACCCCATCTCTACTAAAAAGACAAAAATTAGCCGGCCGTGGTGGTGGGCACCTGTAATCCAAGCTACTCGGGAGGCTGAAGCAGTAGAATCACTTGAACCTGGGAGATGGAGGTTGCAGTGAGCAACCTTGCTTACTACAGTGGCTGGATCACACCACTGCACTCCAGCCTGGGTGACAGAGCGAGACTCCATCTCAGAAAACAAAACAAAAACAAAAACCTAATAAATGCAGTTAAGAAACTATCTTAAAACAAAATCCCTGTTTTTTTAGACTGATTATTTAAAAGATAAAGAAAAACAGATCAACATGTTAAGAAAACCTGTTTCAAACCTAGAGGAGCAGACTCACCCTGCTTCAGTGCACCCTTGATACTAATGTTCAATTTTTAGAAAAACTGATAAACAATTTCTTTTCAATCCCAACCAACCAGATGATATATAAGACTCCCTTCCCAAGGCTCATCCTTCATAAACCCTCAGCAACTTGCGTAGACATTCCATCATTTTTTTACCCCCAGTCTTAGTCCTACAATTTTTCATTTTTATATTGGACTGCAATCCAAGTACCAACCAAGTCTGACCCTGTTTAACTTCTGAGATCATGCAATATTTGGTGCATTCAGGTGGTATGGCCATAGACTATTTTTCTTTTTTTTTTTTTTTTGAGACAGAGTCTTGCTCTGTCACCCAGGTTGGAGGGCAGTGTCGCAATCTCAGCTCACTGCAACCTCCACCTCCCGGGTTCCAGTGATTCTCCTGCCTCAGGCTCCTGAGTAGCTGGGATTACAGGCATGGGCCAACACATCTGGCTAACTTTTTTACTTTTAGTAGAGACGGGGTTTCGCCATGTTGGCTCACGAACTCCTGACCTCGTGATCCACCTGCCTCAGCCTCCCAAAGTGCTGAGATTACAGGCATGAGCCACCACGCCCGGCCATAACCTTAATTTTTAGTAAAAATCTAGAAAGTAGTTTGGAATTGTTATATATTAACATATCATGAATATATATTTTATAATCTTTAAAAATTTTTTTTTTTTTTTTTTTTTTTTTTTTTTTTTTTGAGACGGAGTCTCGCTCTGTCACCAGGCAGGAGTGCAGTGGCTCAATCTAGGCTCACAGAAACTTCTGCTCCTGGGTTCAAGCGATTCTCCTGCCTCAGCCTCCCAAGTAGTTGGGACTACAGGTGCCCACCACCACACCCAGCTAATTTTTGTATTTTTAGTAGAGACGGGGGTTCATCATGTTGGCCAGGATGGTCTTGATCTCTTGACCTCGTGATCCACCCACCTCAGCCTCCCAAAGTGCTAGGATTACAGGCGTGAGCCACCTCCCCCGGCCAGAACAATTTTCTACATTTTCAATGTAGAACAGGGCATTTTATTAACAGATCCAAATATCTTTTCTCTTTTATAAAACTTAAGGGCCAAGAACAAACTTGTATTTATGTTTAGCGATTTGTATCAGTTATTTTCTTAGATGGAAGTGATCCCGACATTTAACGAGTACCTATTACTAAATCTAACATAACATAACTTTAATATTTCATCTTCCTATGATAAGAGCAAGAGAAAAAAGATTTCAAATTACATGAAAAGTTCATTTATAAACATGTATCTCACATTTACCTCTTTTATTCATTTTTAACAATTATACCTAGATTACTTATGAAAACTGACATATTAAACAAAGCTAGTTGGCCGGATGAGGTGGCTCATGCCTCTCCATCCAGGGACTCTGCCCATTTAGCCTGTTTCAGCAAAATTCCTGTCAAGTCTGTTTAGCCAGAATCTGCCTGCACCTGATGTCTCCTCCAAGTAATTTCCCATCTTCTGACCCCCTGACCCTACTCCTTGACTATAAATCCCCACTTGCCCTTGGTGGAGTTGAAGTTGATCCCGATATCACTCTCCTAACCCAAAACCCCGTTGCAGTGGCCCGTGTACATATCATAGTACTCCCCACTCTGAGTAAAATCGTCCCTACAATCTTTTTTCTTATTTTTCAGAGACAGAGACTTTGTCTCACTCTGTCACTTAGGCTAGAGTGCAGTGACCCAATCCTAGCTCACTGCAGCCTCAAACTCCAGGGCCAAAGCAATCCTCCTGCCCCAGCCTCCCGAGTGGCTGGGACTACAGGTACGCACCACGAAATGCAGCTATTTTTTTTTTTAATTCTCTACTGAGGCAGGAGAATTGCTTGGACTCAGGAGGCGAGGTGCAGTGAGCCAAGATCGCGCCACTGCACTCCAGCCTGGGTGACAGAGCAAGACTCCATCATAAATAAATAAATAAATAACCTATTGGATAGATTGGATATGAAAACATTAAATGCTCAAATAAATAATTCAGTGGAATAGGTTGGATATTAAAACGGATATAGTTGAAAAAGCAATTACTGAACTGAGAAAATGTGTCTAAAGAATTCATAAAAGTAATCGGTAATGGATAGAGATAAAGTAAATGAAAGAAAAGTTAATTAATAGGAAGGATAGAATAAATGTCAAAACACATCTAATAGTAGCCTTATAAGAAGAGAATATAGTCATTAAAAAGGAGAGTGTACCCCAAATAAATAATGAAAGAGAATTTCTCAGATTAAAAAAAATGACTTAAGATTTAAAGGTATTATAGTACACACACACAGGAACAGTGAAATGTAAAATTGTGAAAGAAAGAAAAAATATTTTTAAAATGATCAGAGAGAAATAGCAGGTTACTTACAGAGGAAAAATAATTGAACTGACATCAGATCTCTCAAACACCACACTGGAGGCAAGGATACAATGGTGTAATAACTCCAAAGTGCTGAAAGCAAGGAATTTTTTTTTTTTTTTTTTGAGACAGAGTCTTGCTTTGTTACTCAGGCTGGAGTGCAGTGGCATAATCTCAGCTCACTGCAACCTCCACCTCTTGGGTTCAAGCGATTCTCCTGCCTCAGTCTCCCGAGTAGCTGGGGCTACCTGTGCACACCACCACACCCGACTCATTTTGTATTTTTAGTAGAGATGGGGTTTCGCCATGTTGGCCAGGCTGCTCTTAGACTGCGGACCTCAGGGGATCCTCCCGCCTCTGCCTTCCAAAGTGCTGGGATTACAGGCGTGAGCCACCCCGCCTGGCCTAACCGATAGTTTTTCTACATAACTCTTTGTTCCTGGGAAGGTGTGTCAGCCCAAACACCCCACACGAGTTTCAAGGTTTCTGGATTGATAGGTTGTAGGATACGGAGCCTCTAGAGCTGAGCTGAGCCAATTCTTCTTTCCAGTCCCTAGCCTATGAGCCCCCAGAGACGCTTACGGGATTTCTGCCTTACAGCGTGGAGGGAGTCTACGGGTGGGTGATATTGGTTGTAATTGCCTAGCTCAGAGGGCAGAGGGAGAGGTAGAAAAGGAATGCTCAGTTACTGGCCAGCTTTGATGAGACTGCACTTTTTCTAGGAGCTTTCCAAGCCCCCTATTCCTTAATGTTATCAGGCCACTTTGGGCTAGCACTAGGCCAGCCCTGCCAAGTGTCTGCTCTATATGTTTACACAACAGGTAATAAGGCTTCCAGAAAACAAGGAGAAAACAAGAATGCAACTTAGAAAGCTCCACCTGGGCTGATCCTCCATCTGTGGCCTCTGACCTTTTCCCCCAGTGGGGCTAAACCATCAAGGGTTTTGTTACAGGAACTGTTCTGAACTCCAACCACTTCCCACCTCTTCTGTGGCATCTGCAGGGTTGGGTTTGGGAAGGAAGCCAGCAGCTATTGCTGGTTCACCATCTTCTTCTGGAACCAGATATGCCTTTATGCCTTTACATTTTAAAAGTAATTTGAAGTCATTACTAACAACTAAACTAAACTATATCTATATATATATATATAAACAGCTAAAAGATATATACCACTTAACCACATGACAGGCACTATTCTAAGTGCTTTACATGTATTTGCCCATTTAATCACAGCAATCAAATGAGCTAGTGTGGTTATCCCCAGTTTACTTTTGAGTAGCCTGAGACACAGAAAGGTTATATGACTTACACAAGGTCACACAGCTTAAAAAGTTGAGAAGCCAGAAACTGAACCCAAGCTGTCTGGCTCCAGAGTTTGTACTATAAAATGCTAGTGTTAACTGGGCACAGTGGGTCATGGCTGTAATCCCACCACTTTGAGAAGCAGAAGTGGGAGGATTGCTTGAGGACAATAGTTCAAGATCAGCCTGGGCAACATAGCAAGACCCTGTCTCTACTAAAAAATAAAAAAATTTAATTAACCAGGGGTGGTGGTGCACGCCTGTAGTCCCAGCTACATGGGAGGCTGAGGCAGGAGGATCACTTGAGCTGAGGAGGCTGGGGCTACAGTGAGCCACGATTGTGCTATGGAACTCTAGCCTGGGCAACAGAGTGAGGCCGTCTCTAAAATAAAACAAAATGAAATGCTAGTGTTTTTAATCATTCTACCATTCTATCATTCATTAGAATCTGTATCCATTCCTTGAACAACAAAAGAACTTCTCTTTTCTTTCCTGTCCCTCCTCCCATCTGCAATTTTAGTTCAAGACTATAATTTTTTAAATTTACAATCTAAACTTTATACTTTTCAATAAATTGTACTATTTTTCTCCTCACCATTGCTTATTGAAATCACCTCCTTCCTCTTAAATTTACAACCTCTGCCTCCTGTGTTCAAGCAATTCTCCTACTTCAGCTTTCCAAGTAGCTGAGACTACAGGTGTGTGCCAGCATGCCCGGCTAATTTTTTGTATTTTTAGTAGAGACAGGGTTTCGCGGTGGTAGCCAGGATGGTGTTGATCTCCTGACTTTGTGATCTGCCCTCCTTAGCCCCCTAAAGTGCTGGGATTACAGGCGTGAGCCCCCGCGCCTGGCCTAAAATTTGCCTTTTTAAATAGTTGTTTATGGTGTCTTTTGACTTACATGATACTTTAATTTTTACATCCTATGTCAGATTAATTGTTTATAGCCTTGGTGTAATGTCAGGAAGTGCCTATGCCAACTCAAGATGTCTTACACTGTAATATTTTCCTAAATTGTCATCTAGTTCTTTATGACTTCACTTTTTCATATTTAAGTCTCTGAATTTTTAGAATTTATTATTTTATGTGGTTGAAAGTAAGGATTTAATGTTTATTTTTCCAAATGGATAGACAACAATCCTTTATTATACAATCCTTTATTATACACCCCATCTTTTGCCCACTGTTTGGAAATGCATGCTGAAGTTGGTATATAAATTAGTCTGTTTCTTGACTTTCTATTTTGTTTCACTGATCTGTTTCTATGTATATTCATTTTTGATTGTTGCTGTAACAAATTGTCAATAGCTAAGACAACGCTGGGAGTGGTGGCTCACGCCTGTAATCCCAGCACTTTGGAAGGCGGAGATGGGCGGATCGCTTCAGGTCAGGAGTTTGAGACCGGCCTGGCCAACATGGCAAAATCCCGTCCCTACTAAAAATAGCAAAATTAGCCAGGTGTGGCGGTGCGTGCCTGAAATCCCAGCTACTCGGGAAGCTGAGGCAGGAGAATCACTTGAACCTGGGAGGCAGAGGTTGCAGTGAGCCGAGATCACCCCACTGAGCTCCAGCTTGGGTGACACAAGTAAGACTCCATCTCAAAAAATATTTATATAGCTAAGACAATTTTTGAAAAAGAAGAATAAGGTGGGAGGAATGGCTCTACCATATTTCAATACTTCTTATATGGCTACAGGAATCAAGACTGTGTAGTACTGGGAGAAGAATAGACACATAGATCACTGGAACAAAATAGAGAACCTAGAAATAGCCCCACACTGATTTTTTACCAAGAGACAAAAAGAAGGAAGGATAGTCTGCTTAACAAATGGTGCTGGAGCAGTTGCAGAGCCACAGGCCAAAAAAAAAAAAAAGCCCTAATCTTCAAACCTTTATACAAAAAAGTAACTGAAGTCGATCATAGATTTAAATCTAAAATATAAAACTAAAAGAAAACTTTTACAAGAAAATATAAGAGAAACGTCTGAGATCTAGGGCATAGTCAATGGTTCAAAAAGCATAATCCATAAGGAAAAAAATAAATTAGATTTCATCCAATTTAAAACTTTTGCTCTGCAAGAAATCTTGTTAAAAGGATGAAAAAACAGGGTATGACCTGGGAGAAAATGTTTGCAAACCACATATCCAAGAAAGGACTCACATCCAGAATATATAATGGATATATATACTACTCTCAAAACTCAATGGTTGGCTGAGCATGGTGGCTCACACTTGTAATCCCAGCACTTTGAAAGGTCAAGGTGGACGGAGGGCAGATCCCTTGAGGTCAGGAGTTCGAGACCAGCCTGGGAAACATAGCAAAAACCCATTTCTACTAAACTACAAAAATTAGACAGGCACGATGTTGCGACCCTGTAATCCCAGCTACTCGGGAGGCTGAGACACGAGAATTGCTAGAACCTGGGAGGCGGAGGTTGGAGTGAGCCAAGATCGTGCCACTGCACTCCAGCCTGGGTAACAGAGAGAGACTCTGTCTCAAGAAAAATAATAATAATAAAAGAAACCTCAATGGTAAAAAATACAAACAAATAATCCAATTAGAAAATCATGAAAAGATATGAGCATACATTTCACTGAAGAGGAAATAAGCAAATAAGCACATGAAAAGATGTTCAGCCCTCATTTGCTTCACTAGATGCAGAATAACACCACGATGAGGTATCACTACACACTTATTACAATAGCTAAAATAAAAGACATAGTGACAACACCAAATGGTGACAAGGATGCAGAGAAAATGGACACCTCATTAAGTGCTGCTGGGAAGGTAAAATCTTACAGCCACTCTGGAAAGCAGTTTGGTAGTTTCTTATAAAACTAAACATGCAATGACCATACAATTCAACAATTACACTTCAGAGAAATTAAAATGTATGCCCATCCAGAAACTTGTACATAATTGTTCATAGCAGCTTTACTTGTAATAGTCAATAGCTGGAAATAATCAATATATCCTACAATAAGTGAATGGTCAAACTGTGGTACATCCATACCATGGAATACTACTCAGTAATAAAAATGAACTATTGGCCAGGCACAGTGGCTCATCCTGTTATCCCAGCACTTTGGGAGGTTGAGGTGGGCGGATCATGACGTCAGGAGTTCAAGACCAGCCTTGCCAATATGTTGAAACCCCATCTCTACTACTAATACAAAAATTACCTGGGCGTAGCGGTGCGCACGTGTAGTCACAGCTACTCGGGAGGCTGAGGCTGGAAAATCGCTTGAACCCGGGAGACGGAGGTTGCTGTAAGCCGAGACACTGCACTCTAGCCTGGGCGACAGAGTGAGACTCTGTCTCAGCAACAGCAATAGCAACAATGGACTCCTGACCTCAAGTGATCTGTCCACCTCGCCCTCCCAAAGTGCTGGGATTACAAGTGTGAACTGCTGTACCCGGCCATGTTCAATAATCTCGAAGTCGTAGACACACCTTCCAAACATCACAATCTTTGGTTTCTTTAATAACAATAGCATTTAATAATTATTTTCCTCCCGGGCACAGTGGCTCACGTCTGTAATCCCAACATTTTGGGAGGCCGAGGTGGGTGCATCACCTGAGGTCAGGAGTTCAAGACCAGCGTAGCCAACATGGTGAAACCCAGTCTCTACTAAAAATATGAAAATTAGCTGGGCATAGTGGCACGTGCCTGTAATCCCAGCTACTCAGGAGGCTGAGGCAGGAGAATCGCTAGAACCCAGCAGGCAGAGGTTGCAGTGAGCCAAGATCGCACCATTGCATCCTGGGCAACCAGAGTGAACCTCTGACTCTAAATACATACATACATACACACATACACACAATAATTCTCTTCCTCTTACAGCAGTTACAGCATCAGAAGGTAGCTTCATGGGTTCATTTCTCAAGAGAATACCCATTTTGTTCTGTATTTTCAGCAAGATTTTCTTCTAAAACCTCAAGGGCTGCGATGGCCACTCAGCAGCCTAGTGGATTGCCACCGTATGTGGACCCATGGTCGCCTGGCTTAATGGTCAGCATTATGTCATCGTCCCACAGCGCCACCGACACAGAGTGTCAGCCCCCAGAAAGGGCCTTTCCAAGGAGGACTATATCAGGTCTGACATTTTCATGATCAACAGCCAGCCATCTACCAGTTCTGGCCAATCCTATGTGTATTTCATCAGCAATGAACAGAACCAAGCTGGGAGCACGAGATGGGATGAGGGTAAGTTAATATACCACAAAGCTTACTGTTTTTACGGAGATTCAGCTGGTTTCTTTCTTTCTTTCTTTCTTTCTTTCTTTCTTTCTTTCTTTCTTTCTTTCTTTCTTTCTTTCTTTCCTTCCTTCCTTCCTTCCTTCTTTCTTTTTCTTTCTTTCTTTTCTTTCTTCTTTCTTTCATGTATGGATGTATTTATCTATTTGACAGTCTTGCTCTGTCGCCCAAGCTGGAGTGCAGTGGTGTGATCTCAGCTCAATGCAACCTCTGCTTCCCAGGTTCAAATAATTGAGCGAGCCCAGGATGTCAAGACCAGCCTGGAAAACATAGCAAAAGGCAGGGTGGTGCATGCCTGTAGTCCCAAGGCCAAGGCAGGAGAATCGCTTGAGCCCAGGAGGTAGAGACCAACCTGGACAACATAGCAGAACTGTTTCTACTAGAAAAATTAAAAATATTAGTGGGGGCTGGGTGGTGTGATCCTGTAGTCCCGAGGCCGAGGCGGGAGGATTGTTTGAGCCCAGGTGGTCGAAGCCAGCCTGGCCAACATAGCGAAAACCCATTTCTACTAACAACACAGAACAACAAAAAAATAGCACGGGCAGAGTGGCTCACCCCTGTAGTTCCGAGGCCAAGGTGGGAGGATTGTTTGAGCCCAGGAGGTCGATACCAGCCTGGCCAACATAGCGAAAGCCTGTCTCTCCTAAAAAAATAAATAAACAAAAATAAAAATAAATAAATAAATAAAATAAAAATGAGCCGGGCAGAAAGGCACATGCCTGTAGTCCTGAGGCCGAGGTGAAAGCATCACTTGAGTCCAGGAGATTGAAGCCAGCCTGGGCAACATATCGACACCTGGTTCCTACTAAAAAAAAAAAAAGGAAAAAAAATAGTGTGGGCAGGGTGGTGCATGCCTGTAGTCCCGAGGCCGAGGTGGGAGGATCCCTTCAGCCCAGCAGCTTGACGCCGGCCTGGCCAACATAACAAAACCTGGTTTCCACTAAAAAATAAAAATAAAAAAAAATTTAAAAAAGCGTCGGCAGGGTGGTGCATGCCTGTAGTCCCAGGGCTGCGGCGGGAGGATCGCTTGAGCCCAGGATGATGAGACCAGCCTGGCCAATACAGCAAAACCGTCTCTATTAAAAAATCAAAAAACAAAAAATATGAGTGGGGGTGGGGTGGTTCCTGCCTGTAGTCCCGAGACTGAGGCGGAAGGATTGGCTAAGGTGGATGTAACCAATACCACAATCACATCCCATAAGTAAATACATTTTCGTCTCTCCAGGGCTACAGGTAAAGGATGGTAATTGTGCACACCACACTTAGATTCCCTTTCAAAACTGTAATCAGAGGTTGGAGGGCCTTGGACTGTTTATTCAGTTGCAACAGATATAGAAGCCACTGAAGAATGAAAGCCACGACTAAGTACAGCAAAGCTCTGCAAATGTGCTAGTTTGGAAAACATTGTGTCTTTCAAGTGGAAAAATCACAGATCAACTATTTTTTTCTTCTCGCTGTTCAGACTAGAATACAGATGTTTAACCCAAGATCCAGGGACAGTCTTCAGAGAGTTCAACATCTCCTGACGGCGCCTGAGGACCACCCACTTTTTGGGTGTTGCAGTGGCAACAAAGTGTGGCTGGAGGAGGAGACAATATTGTGCAATGTCACTGCCCAAGGAGATGGACCAATCAGAGCAGTTAGTGAACTCCATCTGGCCAATCAGAAGTCAGAACAGTAGGCGGAACAAGCGAAGCTGATGTGGCGTCTGTCAGTCCAACCTCCAGGGACAGCACCTTCTCAAAGTGGGGGTGGAGACTCTAATTTTCCCGCCTAAAGCATACCCTGGGATTGGCTACTTTAAGTTCAGAGTACGCATGCTCTGACTTTCTCTCTCTCTCGATTTTTCCACAGAGTACGCACGCTCTGATTGTTTCGATTCTTCCAAAATCAGAGTAAGCATTTGCTGATTTTCTTTTTCCATTCTTCCTACCCCTCCCCTCCTCCGTGGTGCATTTGTTATCTAGTTTTAATAAGGAGTGTATATGAGGCAGGTCGCCATCTCAAATCTTTCCTGTCAGTTTCTAACTTTTTCAAGTATGGGATTTTTCCTGGGAACTCTGCAGTAACTTAAGAAATTTGGGCGGGGCGCGGTGGCTCACACTTGTAATCCCAGCAGTTTTGGAGGCCACAGCTGGTGGATCACTTGAACCTATGAGGCGGAGGTTGCAGTGACCATGATCACGCCAGTGCACCCCAGCCTGGGCAACAGAGCAAGACCTTGTCTGACCAAAAAAAAAAAAAAAAACTCACTCAAATCTTTCCTCCTGGGCTCAAGTGATCCTGTTGCCTAGGCCTTGGGACTACAGGTGCACACCATCCCACTTCTGCTAAGGGCTAAGGTGTTTTTATTTTGTTTTGTTTTAGTAGAAATTGTTTCGCTATGTTGACCAGGCTGGTCTCAAGCTCCTGGGCTCAAGTGATCCGCCCACCTTGGCCTCCCAAAGTGCTGGGATGGTACAGGCCTGCTACACCACCCCCAGCTAACTTTTTGTATTTTTTGTAGACACGAGAGTTTTGCTATTTTTCCCAGCCTGGTCTTGACCTCCTGGGCTCAAGCGATCTGCACGCCTTGGCCTCCCAATGTGCTGGGATTACAGGAGTGAGCCACCGAGCCTGGCTGATTGTGCATGTTGAAACACCCCACATTCTCTCTAAGTGTTCCCGGGCTCTTGTAGTCTCAGAAATTCTAGCTCTCTTCCTTCTAATAATTTACAAATCACCCAGTAATAGCTTCTAAATCCGTTCATAGTAGCGATGCTCATTTCTCTTCAACAGAACAGAACCCCCATCCCTCTGCCTGATCAGATCCATCACCAGAGAGACCATGTTATCTCTGGGACTCACTTCCCTTCCTTTATTCATTGAGTGAGGGTGTCAGAACGCCCCCACTGAATAAAATTACACAGTCACATCTCTGCCTTCCCAACAAGGGTCTGTACATCTTTCAGGGTAAGCCTGGCCTCAGGGAAACTACTAACAACATTAGCCAACCCCCTCCAAAGACTCAAGGCTGCTTTGCCCATAGGAAACATGTCATCCCCAATCAATACTTCTCCCAGAGACCCCTGGCTCCCTGTTTTCATCTGACTTCTCCCCATGGCCTTACTCAGGGACAGATAAGCCACGGATGGAGAAATGCAACTCCTGATTCCAGGTGACTGAGTGTGGCCAGACTTCACTGATTTCTCCCTCCATGGGACCAAAGGTCCTGCAGCTGGAAAGACTCAGACTGTTTCTCTTGTAGGACAGAGTGCTCCCGGTGCCATGAACGGAGACGATGCCTTTGTACGGAGACCTAGGGTTGGTTCTCAAATACCAGAGAAGATGCAAAAGGTGAGGTGACCTGCAGGGGGCATAGTAGTGGCCCAGGGGACAGTGTGGGGTGATCAGTTTTCTGAGGAGGGGAGGACAGAGGTACTGGGGACAAGGACCAGGGTCTCCGGGGACATCTGGAACCTTGGGAGCCTCTCACTCTCGCTCTGTCATCACCTAGCATCCCTGGAGACAAGTCTGTGACCGTGGAATACATTTGGTGAATCTCAGTCCGTTCTGGAAGGTGGGAAGAGAGCCAGCCAGCAGCATTAAAGCTCTACTGTGTGGCAGGGGAGAAGCTAGGGTAGGTGCCCCATGTTCTGTCAGTTAGCCATGGCATCAACCAGGACGGATTATCATCCCTACTTCCCAGATCCAGCACACAGGAAGCGGCTCCAGCTGAATGGCAGACATGCCTAGCTGAGTCACTATCAGAAATCCTTTTTTTTTTTCTAGGCCTTCGATGATATTGCCAAATACTTCTCTGAGAAAGAGTGGGAAAAGATGAAAGCCTCGGAGAAAATCATCTATGTGTATATGAAGAGAAAGTATGAGGCCATGACTAAACTAGGTAACAGAAAGTTCTAGGTACAGACAGTCTGGGGATACATGAGCATCCCTTTTCCAGCTTTGGCTATTTCTTAGGCTGCAGAAAGTACCCCACGTTTTCCTTTTGTGCAGGGAAAAATGGCAAGGCAGCTTCTGGGTGCTCTGCTCTTCTGTATCTTGTCAGGGCTGAGGGCAGGGACTGGCCACAGTGGAGCTCATACCTGGATCCTGCACGTTTCTCTCCCTTAGGAGTCTGTTCTGATGAGCCCAACTGTCTCTGTGGCATCTGGCACCCCCCCATCGTCCCTACCTTCCTTCTCTCGGCTTGTCTCTTTCTTTTTTTTTTTTGACTTAGAGTCTCAGTCTGTCACCTAGGCTAGAGTGCAGTAGTGCAATCATAGCTCACTGCAGCCTCAAACTCCTGGCCTCAAGCAATCCTCCAGCTTCAGCCTCCCAAAGAGCTGCTACTACAGACATGAGCCACCATACCAGGCCTAAGCTTGTCTCTTAAGGAATAAACATTTTGCTTCTTTCTAGGTTTCAAGGCCACCCTCCCACCTTTCATGCGTAATAAACGGGTCGCAGACTTCCAGGGGAATGATTTTGATAATGACCCTAACCGTGGGAATCAGGGTGAGTAGATGGGAAGGGGCTGGAAAGGGTCTCCTCAAGCGCAACTGCTTTTCAGCTCAGCTACCTGGGAAAGATCCTCAGGCATTTGTTCCCTCATACACATCAGGGCTGAGTGAAAAAAAAAAAATTGCATGCAGAAAGTTAACTACAGAGGCCATTCATATAAAATTTTAAAACATGCAAAACAAGAATATGTATTTTTATAGATAATAAGTAAGTGGTAAATGTATACAAACATGAATGTGAATAAAAAGCCATCAAATTAAGGTGACTGGCTGTAAGTGGAGGAGGGAGGGAGGGCGGGCAGGGATTGCTGAGTGCGGCACAGACAGCTTCAGCTGTGACTTGTTGATAGTGTGTTTTGTGTGTTTTTGTTTTTGAGATGGAGTTTCACTCTTCTCGGCCAGGGTGGAGTGCAGTAAGGCAATCTCAGCTCACTCCAACTTTCACCTCCTGGGTTCAAGTGATTCTCCTGTCTCAGCCTCCAGAGTAGCTGGGGTTACAGGCGCCCACCCAAACGCCCAGCTAATTTTTTAATTTTTGGTAGAGATGGGGTTTCACCATGTTGGCCAGGCTGGTCTCAAACTTCCTGACCTCAGGTGATCCACCCGCCGCAGCCTCCCAAAGTGCTGGGATTACAACTGTGAGTTACCACGCCCAGCCTGTTTGTAGTATTTCTAATATTCTGAATAAATAAATCAGATCTAAAATAGCTGTGGGGTAATGTTGAGATCCGACTGGACTCAATATTATTCCCCATACTTTTCTGTGTGTTTGAAATATTTCTTTTTTAAACGACATGTTGTTCTTCCTAAGCACTGTTAATGAATCAAAGGACAGTTAAGAAAATGTTACAAGTGAAAAAAAAAAAAGAAAATGTTACAACTGTAGATCCGCCAAAAACTTCCAGAGTTTGTTTCATTAACAGCATGTGGGTTTGAATAACTATCTTAGGAGTGAAGGTGATGAACACATTATGTAATAAGCACTGCTGTTTCCCTGTATTTTATCAAAACCAAATAGTCCTCTAATTCCCAAAGAACCCTGATTCTCTGTGATGAGCTCGGGAGTGAGTTTGAAAGAGTGATCCCTCATCCAACACACAGAGAGCTTTCCCACTTGTCAGTGAGGAGAGATAACATGGGGTGAAAAAAAGACAGGTTCTTCGGTAGAGATCTTTGTACATTTCAGGGATATAAAGGGGACATATGTGTTTACTTGCTCTTCTGCTCTGACAACACAATTATAAGACAAGGTCAGAAAGTCCAAACTGTCTCCAATAGACCTATTACTCGCCAACTAAACAGGCCAGACTCTACAATCTCCCACAATCACTATAAGAGATCTGAAAAGCCAGTGCTTGAGTATCTGCCAAGTTTTTGACGTTAAAGGACTGTCTTTGTACTGAAAATATTTCAGAGCCACTGGACTAAATCATCCATGGTTCATCACACATTTAACAGCTTAATTCACATACCATAAGATTCACCCATTTGAAGTGTAAAATGATTTTCAGTTGTTGTACATCTTGAGTGGATACAGTTCAGATTCCCAACCAATCAATTTAATTATTTGAGAATAAGTAAAAGATATGTAATGGAAAAAGATGAGACTGTGATGGGGTTTAGTCCCCATGTGATAAACCATGAGATGGAAAATTCTGAATTGATGCCACAGATAAATGCACCAACCATGACTAAACATAATTCAGAAGCAAATCTCAAATAACTCCTCAACAATCAGTGGACTCATAACCTCTGCTGCAGAATGCCCTCATGCAACTGAAGTCTCTCTAGAGTTTGGAAATCTTTACCAACAAAGAAAAATTCTGATGTATTCTCTTTCAGTTGAACATCCTCAGATGACTTTCGGCAGGCTCCAGGGAATCTTCCCGAAGGTGAGTGTCTCTCAAATCTAAAGGACCAGAGAACCTTTGTCCCTTCACGAATGTGAACCCTGTAAGAGTGGGAGAATATCAACAATGCCCTCACTGCCTTCTTCTCCCTATGTCTATCACAACACCTGATGTAGCACCGACGGCTTGCTAATACTAACAGTTGTGATCCTTAATACTTCTTTTGTTTTCATAGTGATGCCAAATACTATTTTAAGCAGTTCACATGGATGAATTTATTTAATCCTTAAGAAGACATTGTTTCTATTATCTCCAAATAATAATGAGTCACACACTTCAGTTGTCACCCATATAAAAGGCAGGCGACTTGGCACAAATCTTCTAAGTCCTCTGAGCTCCGGATTCCTGGTTCATGAAATGGAAGTAAAGAATCATAGTTCATGTTTTAGATCATAGTTATCAGCAGCATAATAATAAAATGAGGCTATCCGGGTATAGAGATGTTAAAGAATTTTCCTGAGGCGCAGTGGCAGTGGTAGTCTAATCCAGAGCTCCAAGCCATTTAAAGCTCATTCACATTTGCATTTGTTATGAAGTTCAGATGTTGCTCACTAGGGCTTCACCCCCGTAGGGCCTCCTGGTGCTTCCATTGAGAGACCCACTCTCACAACAGGAAGGACCATCTGGTCTCTGATCTGTTACTGGGGCCACTTGCATGGCTTAGGAATCGCTTTGACTGTTGGCCCCTCCCTACTGTGAGCTCCTTGAGGGCCTTGTCTGCACCTGGGGCATCCGGGAAGTCCCAGTCCCAGCCCAGGGGATCCCTCGGAGGCCCCTGAATTAGTGACCCTACAAGTGCAGATTCAACTCTGGTTTAGAGGGTAAAGGGATCTGGGAGTTGGGTTGCCAGTGTGGAGACCGAATTCAAAGAAGGATCATGAAAGGTATTAATTGTTATTATTACTACATTTAAACAGTGTTTACAAGCTCAGAGAGGCCTTCCCTTAGCCTATTTTACATGTATTGTTCACTATTTCATAAGTGAGGAAGCTGAATAAAAAGTAGCCTAAGGACTGGGCGTGGTGGCTCACGACTGTAATCCCAGCACTTTGGGAGGCTGAGGCGGGCAGATCATGAGGTCAAGCGATCGAGATCATCCTGCCCACCATGGTGAAACCTCGTCTCTACTAAAAATACAAAACTTAGCGGGGCGTGGTAGTGCCTGCCTGTAGTCCCAGATACTCTGGAGGCTAAGGAAGGAGAATCGCTTAAACATGGGAGTTGGATGTTGCAGTGAGCCGAGATCCTGCCACTGCACTCCAGCCTGGCAAAAGAACGAGACTCCATCCAAAAAAAAAAAAAAGTAGCTTAAGAGTGTTGGTCAGTGATACATCCCAATGCAACCAGAATTGTTATGGGTACCACCTCACTGAATTCCACATTCAATGTTGGTGCCTCGGTAGGCTGGTATGCCAGATCTGGTACTGCTTTCTTTGCTGCCTGGATTAATTTCAGCAAACCATTTCTTTCCCTCTCCCTTCCCTGTATACATCTCCCCACACCATCTTGTTCAGCAGTGTTTTGTCCCCTCTGTATGTCTTTACATTTACTCTCCCAGCAGCTGTCTACGAGCTTATATGGGATCCCTTGTATTTTACGGAAACTCTTCCCTTTGTAGACCTTGTGAATTCTTAGAATGCTATGCTCCAAATCTTCTGTATACCAAACTCTCAATTACATGGAGATATTTGCTGTTTGCAAGAATGTCAGTCTTAAAACAGTGTGAAGATAAGAAGAATTCTATCCCTGGAAACCATATTCAGTTAGGCCATTCCTTTCCCATCTAACCTCCCCTCCCAGGTTTCTCCTAATTTAGGCAAGTGTAACTCTCCTAGCATTGTTGAGAACATTGATTAAGGTAATGCATGTGAAGATTCTTTGTAAGCTCTAAAGCACTAAAGAAATGTCACTGATACTGTTTATCTGTGACCTTCACATTATAAAGATCACGCCCGAGAAGCCAGCAGAGGAAGGAAATGATTCGAAGGGAGTGCCAGAAGCATCTGGCCCACAGAACAATGGGAAACAGCTGCGCCCCTCAGGAAAACTAAATACCTCTGAGAAGGTTAACAAGACATCTGGTAAGAGAAAAGAATTTGGGAACAACCACTCTGGCTTTTCTCGCTAAGTTCAGGTGTGTGGACTGGGTGTGTGGCATGGACCCCAGACAAGCCTGGGTCCAGGCTGGGCTGAGGAGCTCGCCCAGCTCCAGATGAGATGTTACACATGACTTCCAGAGACACAGACTGGAGTTGTCATTCATATAAAAAAACCACGTGACTTGGGGCAAGTCTTCCAAATTTTCTTAGCTCCAGTTTCCTAGTTTATAAGTTGGAAATAAAGAATCTCAGTTCATAAATTGTTTGGAGGCATTAAATTAAGTCTAGAAGGCCTGATGACATGAAAGGTGCTGAAGCAATTCCATCTGTGATTACCTGGGATCATATCTTACTCAGCTCAATGCCTGTTACCCGATATAGGTGTACTTCAGAGATATTGCATGTTCAGTTCCAGACCACTGCGATAAAGTGAGTCACACACATTTTTTTCTTGGTTTGGCAGTGCATAAAAACATTATGTTTACAATATACTGAAGTCTACTAAGTTTGCACTAGCATTGTGTCTCAAAATGTATATATCTTAATTTTAAAATAATTCATTGTATAAAATGCTAATAATCTTCTGCGACTTCAGTGAGTCACACTCTTTTTGCTGGTGGAGGATCCTGCCTGGGTGTTGATGGCTGCTGGCTGATCAAGGTGGTGGTTGCTGAAGGGTGGAGTGGCTGTGGCAGTTTCATAAAAGAAGACAACAATGAAATTTGCCACATCGATTAGCTCTTCCGTTCATGAATGCTTTCTCTGTAGTATGTGATGCTTTTGGATAGCATTTTACCCACAGTAGAACTTCTTTCAAAGTTGAAGTCAATGCTCTCTAGCTATGAAAGTCCTAGATGGCATCTCCTTCCAATAGAAGGCTATTTTATCTACATTGAAAATCTGTTGTTTAGTGTAGCCACCTTCATCAGTGATCTTAGCTAGATCTTCCGGATAACTTGCTGCAGCTTCTCCATCAGGGTTTGCTGCTTCACCTTGCACTTTTATGTTATGGAGACGGCTTCTTTCCTTAAACCTCATGAACCAACCTCTGCTAGCTTCACACGTTTCTCCTGCAGCTTCTTCACCTCTCTCAGAATTCATGGACTTGAAGAGAGTTTGGGTCTTGCCCTGAATTAGACTTTGGCTTAAGGGAATGTTGTGGCTGGTTTCGTCTTCTATCCTGACCACTTTCTCATTTAAGCAGTAAGGCAGTTTTGCTTTCTTATTCTTGTGTTCACTGGAGTATTAGTATTATTATTTTCTTCAAGAACTTTTCCTTTGCATTATATACTATTACTTCCTTCAAGAACTTTTCCTTTGCATTCACAGCTTGGCTGTTTGGTGCAAGAGGCTTAGCTTTCAGCCTGTCTTGGCTTTCAGCATGCTTCCTCACTAAGCTTAGCCATTTCTAGCTTCTGATTTAAAGTGAGAGACATGCGACTCTTCCTTTCATTTCAACACTTAGCGGCCATTGTAGGGTTGTTAATCTTCCTAATTTCGGTGTTGATATGTCTCAGGAAATACAGATGCCCAAGAAAAGGAAGAGAGGCAGGGAAGAGCTCATCGGTGGAGCAGTCAGAACACACACAATATTTGTCGATTAAGTTTGTCAACTTCTATGAGTGCAGTTCCTGTTACCCCCAGAATAATTACATACAACAGGGTGATTATAGTCAATAATAACTTAATTGTGCAGTATGAAAACTAAAAGAGTGTAAATGGATTGATTGTAACCAAGGATAAATGTTTGAGGGGATAGATCCCTTATTTTCCATGATGTGATTTTTACGCATTTGCATGCCTGTATCAAAACGTCTCATGTATCCCATAAGTATATACACCTACTGTGTACCCACAAAAATAAAAAACAGAAATTATTTTAAAAGACTAAAAAACAATAAAAACAATTGCAGTAATAATATCAAAGCTCACTGATCACAAATCACCATAACAGATATAATAATAATGGAAAAGTGTAAAATTGGTGAGAATTTCCAAAAAAAAAATTGCAACATCTGTGAAGCAGTATGAAAATGAGGTGCAATAAAACAAGGTACGCCTGTGTGGCCTTAATAAATACGTGCTGAATGAAAGGAGGTAAGGGTGAATGTTCCCGTAAGTGAAGAGGTTGGGAATCTAAACCTGACAACGGAAGGAGCCAGAAGCTAAAACTTTAATTTGCATTTGGCCTGTATTGGTGTGGGTCTAAGGTCTCAGCCTCTCTAAGCCAGAGAATGTGAAAAACTGGATAAAGAAGACCCATGGGCACTTGGTGGTGGGGAGGCATCTCCTTTTTTGGAGAAAACAGAGCCTAACACTCTCCAATCAACCCAACCCTCTCCAATCTACCCAACCCTCATCTTCCAACTCTTCTCCATCATAGGACCCAAAAGGGGGAAACATGCCTGGACCCACAGAGTGCGTGAGAGAAAGCAACTGGTGATTTATGAAGAGATCAGCGACCCTCAGGAAGATGACGAGTAACTCCGTAAGTGAACCTTTGGCTCATCTCCCACATCCTTGCAGATGTGCTATTCTGTTATGGTACTGGTATCCCATCTTATCAGTTGTTCCCCAAATCATTCCCTTCTCATAATTTTCTAGGGTACAGCATTGAGGCTGAATGATGAAATTTCCCATGTTTTTTTTTGTGGGTGGGGGAGTCTCCTTTTGTTCCCCCAGGCTGGAGTGCAGTGGCATGATCTCGGCTCACTGCAAGCTCCGCCTCCCGTGTTCACGCCATTCTCCTGCCTCAGCCTCCCCAGTAGCTGGGGCTACAAGCACCCGCCACCACGACCGGGTAATTTTTTTTCTTGTATTTTTAGTAGAGACAGGGTTTCGCCATGTCAGCCAGAATGGTCTCAATCTCCTGACCTCGTGATCCATCTGCCTCCGCCTCCCAAAGTGTTGTGACTACAGGCGTGAGCCTCTGCGCCTGCCTAACCATGCTCTTTCTACTCCCTGCCCTCTATATCCAGGGATCCTCCCTACCCAGGATGCTGTGGGTTCCCAAACCCCAGGTCAGCACTGATATGCGGGCCACACCTTCCTCTAGCCTAGGAATTGATAACCCAGGCGAGGAAGTCACTGTGGTATGAGCAGATGGTTCACTTCAAGGAACCATGGAAGGCGTGTACAGGTCCTGAGGTAGGGCAGAATCGGAGTGGGCAGGGTCTGCAGGTCAGGAGGAGTTGAGATTGAGTTGTCATGTGGTGGGAACTCACTGCCACTTACTTTCCTTCTCGCTTCTTGCCTCAGCCTCGGGGATATGACACATGCCCATGATGAGAAGCAGAACGTGGTGACCTTTCACGAACATGGGCATGGCTGCGGATCCCTCGTCATCAGGTGTATAGCAAGTGAAAGCAAGTGTTCACAACAGTGAAAAGTTGAGCGTCATTTTTCTTAGTGTGCCAAGAGTTCGATGTTAGTGTTTCTGTTGTATTTTGTTACAGTGTGCCATTCTGTTAGATATTAGCGTTTTCACTGATGAGCAAGACATACTTAATGCATATTTCAGTTTGTGTATCCATGCACCTACCTCAGAAAACAAGTATCGTCAGGTATTCTCTGCATAGAACAACACTACCCTCCTCTCTTCCCAGATGTGACCACTGAGGGCAGTTCTGAGTGTTTAATTTCAGATTTTTTCCTCTGCATTTACACAAACACACACACATGCCACACAGACACACATGCGCGCGCGCGCGCACACACACACACACACACACACACACACACACACACACCAAGTACCAGTATAGGCATCTCCCAACTGCTTTTCCCCATGTGTCCTGGTCAAGCCCCCCTCACTCTGTTTCCTGTTCAGCATGTACTCCCCTCATCCGATTCCCCTCTATCAGTCACTGCCAGTTAATAAACCTTTGCAAACGTTCCCCAGTTGTTTGCTCCTCTCATTATTGTGCACACAGCTCTGTGCACTTGTGTGAATATTTCTTTAGGAAAGATTCTTAGAAGTGGAATTGCTGTGTCAAAGGAGTCATTTATTCAACAAAACCCTAATGAGTGCGTCCTCGTGCTGAGCGCTGTTATAGGTGCTGAAGAGACATCAGGGAACAGGGCAGACAGATGTTCCTGACCACCATTCTAGAGGAGGATGTTTCCAGTTGTTGGGTTTTTTTTGCTTTTTTCTAGAGACAGGGTCTTACTCTGTCCAAGCTGGAGTGCAGTGGCATGATCATAGCTCAATGCAGCCTTGATCTCCTGGGCTCAAGCGATTCTCCCACCTCAGCCTCCAGCGAAGCTGTGACTACAGGCACACACCATCATGACCCACTAATTTTTTCAGGTTTTGTCAAGAAAGTCTCCCTATATTACCCAGGCTGGTCTCGAACTCCTGGGCCAAAGCGATCCTCCCATCTTGGCCTCCTAAAATGTTGGGATTACAGGCATGAGCCACCGCAACTGGCCTCCAGTTTTTATTTTGATAGAGACTATACACTTCAGTCCTGGAGCAGTATTCTGCAGCAGGTGGTTGGGAATCTTGGCCTTTGCTCTCTGAACGATTTTCGGGTTCTAGGGCTGGGACGGTCCATTTGGGAGTATGTGGTAGGAGACACAGATGAAATCATCATCTGGGGAATGCAGAGGGATGGGGAAGATGCGTGCACTGTAGACCCTGTGATGGCCAGGGAATAGAAGAGTTCACTTAGTCTCCATGCGGGGGAGCAACGGTGGGAAAGTCCCCTGGACAGAAGCATGAGACTGCCCATCAAGGGTCTCACCACCCAAGGGCCTGGGGGCTGGGGTGGAGACGATGATTTGGGAATGGGACAGTTCTTTCTCACAGGTACCACTGCACGGTGCAGAGGTGAAACAGTTGTGGGGAAGGGAAGGGCAGAGGGGAGTCTGTTTTAGAACAAACCATTGTGTGTGAATGGAGACATTAATGCTTGAAACACAACGGACTTGAAACAGCAGCCCCAGGTGGAGGCAGGATTGGAGCTGTTTTGACCATTCATACCCCATCACCTTGGCCTCCTGGTTCTCCCCAGCCTTGGAAGGAGAACACTATGATCATTATGCCTATATGATAGATGAGAGATAGAGTCCCAGACAGATGGTAGGTGTCTTGTCACAGGTCCTACAGCTGGCAGGTGCAGGAGGAGCTGAGTTTGGAGCTCACTGACTTCAGAAACATTAAGGAGGACAGGTGTGTGTGGTGGAGGGAGGGAGAATTGAACAAACTCCGGGTTCTGTCCCCAGTTGCAAGGTAGAGGCTGTGGGTTCATTTTCCCAAGACAAGGAGCCCTAGGAGAGAGAGAGTGCGGGGAGGGAGAGGCGGTCATGGTCACAGCAGGGACAGTGGGAGACAGAGATATGCAGGGTGGGCAGAAGAGGGGCAGGCAAAGAAGCAGGGGATACCCAAGGCCAAGTGTGGGCTGTCACAGCCACCAGAGGGAGAGGGTGCCAGGAAGGAGGTTGTGGGGCTCCAGGAGCAACAGAGGTTCCCCAGATCTGTGAGCATGCCCTGCCTGGCACTTCAGGAAGAGATGGCTTCCACCCAGGTCAGTGTGGACGTGCCTCTACCTGTGTCTCAGAAGAAACAAATTCTATTTTATCCCAATATAGTTCTGTATTACACAAATGTAACATTCCGATACTAGATATTGAGTGCCTTATCCTCCATGCAAAGAGGAGAGAATACCCTAAAAGAGATACTGAAGGATTTGACTTTTCTTTCTCCCTGGGATGATGGGATCCATAAGTTGGGTCCCCCAGCCCACAAGACAGGTGCAAGGAAGGGTGGCTGGAAGATTGTGAGTCATGACAGGGAACATTTTTCCTTAGGTTCCTTGGGTATATAAAGCTCCCGACTATCTGTCTATCATGGATAAAGAGTGAACATGGTCCCCTCTCCACAAATGTGTTTCTCTACTTCATTATTACTGTGAAGGGCTGAAGTTACACCAAGTCCTGATACATTTCTTTTTCGTGTTTTTTTTTTTTGAGACAGTATCGCAGTCTGTCGCCCAGGCTGGAGTGCAGTGATGCAGTGATCGAGGCTGCTCACTGCAGCCTCGATCTCCCAGGCTCAAGGGATTCACCCACTTCAGCTTCCGATCTAGCTGGGACTACAGGCACACACCACCACACTCAGCTGGTTTTTGTATTTTTTTGTAGAGACGGCATCCACTATGTTGCCCAGGGTGTTCTGGATCCCCTGGCCTCAGGCAATCTTCCTGCCTCAGCCTCCCAAAGTGCTGGGATGACAAGTGTGAGCCACCTCGCCAGGCCTTCAGTTTCTTTAATGAATAATTATCAGAGTTTCATCTTAGAGGCAAAAGTGGCTACTGCCAGCCAATCTGTCTGTGGTGTTGGAGGGGAATCTGGCTGATTCAGACGTTTCTGATGAACTTTTAAATTAACTTACATGATGATTTTCCTAAGGCCCTTTCCAGCTCCGTGTTTTCTTTGATTCAGGGTTTGGAGATTTTCAGAGGCTTTGTTACAAAGAGCGTCTCCTGGGCGGTCGCGGTGACCCACACTGTAATATCAGCACTTCGGGAGGCCGAGGCAGGCAGATCACTTGAGATCAAGAGTTTGAGACCAGCCTGGCCAACAGGGTGAAACCCCCGTCTCTACTAAAAATACAAAAATTAGCCGGTAGTGGTGGCTGGCCTGTGAATTCCAGTTACTGCAGGGAGTGAGGCGGGAGAATCCCTTGAACCTGGGAGACGGAGGGTGCAGTGAGCCGAGATCATGCCACTGCACTCCAGCCTGGGCGACAGAGTAAGTCTCTGTCTCAGACAGCATCTCTCGCCTATAGTGATTTGAGCTGTGGTCTTGTCTCCTTGGGTTTCTCTATCAGTCTGATCCCATCTACTCTGTCTCCCAGGTATGCCTCAGTATTCCTGGTGGACCACTGACACGCTTTCCTATTTTCCTCTACTGTTAAGAATTGACCCTTGAAAACATTTTCATCCCAGTTCAATGGAATGTTGAGTGGGGCATGGGATCTATCTGCCATCTTGCTCCAATCATCTGGTTTTAGATATTTATGTACTTTTGTCACTATAGACGTGTCTTTTTTCTCAATTTGATTTTCTAAATGGTTATTATTGATATGTAGAAAACCTATCTATTACCGTATATAATATTTTGTTACCTGTCTGGGTGCATCTTCCCCTGCATTTTGGCACAAGACTCAATTTGTTTTATTCTCCAAAAGAAAAGTGACAGGCTGGGTGTGGTGGCTCACACCTATAATCCCAGCACTTTGGGAGACGGAGGCAGGTGGATCACGTGAGGTCAGGAGTTTGAGACCAGTCTGACCAAGATGGTGAACCACCTTCTCTACTAAAAATACAAATAAAAAATTAGCTGGGCATTGGTGGTGTGCACCTGTATTCCCAGCTACTAGGGCAGCTGAGGCGGGAGGATCACTTGAACTCGGGAGGCGGAGATTGCAGTGAGTCGAGATCGCCCCACTGCACTCCAGCCTGGGCGACAGAGATTCTATCTCTAAATAAAAAAAGAAAAAGGAAAAAAGAAAATTCACTTCACAGGCAATAGATAGTTATAAAAGGATATTTTATGGACGATTTCATAGGGGAGACTGATGGAAAGAAAGGAAGTATATATTTTACAGAGCTGAGCAGTTCACTGCAACAATCACCAGAACTGCCTTTTTCTCCAAAAATATTACCCCTCAGCTATACTACTATTAGTTCTTCTAGTCCTTCCCTCTATTCCAAATCCTCAAATTGTCCATTTTCTTATTGGGATAATTTTCCTCTGCCCAGATCTGGGTCCTCCACAACACTTAACACTGTCTTCGGGTGTTTGAATGCCCATTGCTTTAGCTCAGGTTCCCAAGGAAACAGGCTTTGGGCCATACAGGACACCTTTAGACAGACTATACTGAGAAACAATGCCTCCTGGAATGGTGCATGGGGAGAGGAGAGGAGAGGGAATTACGTTCCTGACTCTCACTCCTGGTTCCTTTTCTTATTGGTCAAAATTTACCCCACAGGCACGAACACCCCCACACTTCTAGATTGCATCATCTGCCCCTTTCACAGCTCTCTGGGAAGCCAGATCCCACACTTTGAAGTGTAGTGTTTCATATAATCCAAAGTGTAGTGTTTCATACAATCCAAATCCAAAAGTGGAGGCAGACGCCAGGTGTGGTGGCTCACGCCTGTAATCCCAGCACTTTGGAGGCTGTGGCAGGCGGATCATGAGGTCAGGAGCTTGAAACCAGCCTGGCCAGCATGGGGAAACCCTGTCTCTACCAAAAATACAACGATGAGCCAGGCATGATGAAAAGGGGAAAGGGCTCTTTTTCCTTTTTCCCTTTTGGCAATGGGAAAAATTCAATTTTATGTTTAGTTACCCTTACAATTTCCCCCTTTTGTTATTGTTTTATAGGAACACTACAATTTTCTGATTATCTCCACTGCTGTTTCTATTTTTCTCTGCATAGTTTACAGCCACCTAGATATCCAACAAGTCCATAGTAAGATGCAAAGCAAAGCAAAGCAATTATTAGGATTACAGACTTGAGCCCTGCCTAGAATGAATTTTTAAATTCAGTATAATACTCACCTTGTTGGGGGGCGAGTTGACCTTTCAACACATCATACTGGTTAATTGTGTCAAAGTCAAAATGAGTTATAGAGACAAATCCCTAAATCAAATGCTCTATTTGGGAACCACAAAATTGCAGTTCAGGGCATACACACGGACTGGGGTGGTCTTCAGTATGTCCAACGAACAAAGAGAAGTTGGAAGTTTTATTAGAAATAAAAATGTTACGTATTGTTTTGAAATGAGGCTCATTGGCACTGGAGAAGCTGGTTCGTTTGCACAATCAGCTTTCACATTCCCTCTTTTGATGAAGATCTTTCTTTGAAAACCTCACTGATCAGCCATCTTAAAGTGAGGCTTCATTGTCACTCCATGCCAGGATGGACCTGTGCCGGCTGTCTTTGTCCCATGTCAAGAGAAAGGTAAGGGAGTCTATATCAGAGACATGGGCAACATTTGAGCCACAAAGAGGCCAGAAGGAAAAAAAAATCAGGCATGTTTGTCTGGAGTTCAGCATCAAGTTCCATCTTGTTAGTTCCATCTACATTAGCAATCATCTGGACGCACTGGGCTAACATCCTGTTGGGAGAACTGGCTGAACAAATATTACACAGGCAACAAGAACAGAGCTCAAAGATCATAATACCAAAATGAGCAGCAATTGTTTTATTTTATTTTATTGCAATGGACTTTTGCTCTGTTGCCCAGGCCGAAGTGCAGCAGCATGATCCTGGCTCACTCCATCTCCCGGGTTCAAGCGATTCTCCTGCCTCACCTTCTTGAGTAGCTGGGATTACAGGTGCCCACCAGCATGACTGGCTTATTTTTGTCTTTTCAGTAGAGACGGGGTTTCACCATGTTGGCCAGGCTGCTCTTGAACTCCTGACCTCAAGTGATCCGCCCTCCTTGGCATCCCAAAGTGCTGGGATTACAGGCGTGAGCCACCGCACCCAGCTATAATTAGCAATAGTATAATAAATTTAGTTTGTACAATGGTTTTGAACCAAGATCCCAAGACTAAGGTAAACACCAGCTAAACAAATAAAAAACTATGGGGGAAATGAGACCTCTTGTAGTCTGAGTAGCATTTTAGGACTGGGTTGAATTAAAGCAGAGTGCCAACTCTATAAAAGGGACCACTAGGTGAAGGAAAGAATTTGTGGGTCAGGTTCTGTCAAGTGAAAAATATAGACATTAAGGGGGTAAGAGTCTCATTATGATATGAAGACTTATTCTGACATCTTGGGAAAAGCTGTCTATAGCGTGGAAACGTCAACTTCTCATCTTGATTTTTCGTTCAAATGTCTCTGGTTATGGCATTGGACAGTTTGGTGAACTTTTTGTGTGGTCCATACATCAAGCACAAGACTTGTTCCTTAAGATGTATGCACTTTTGTCCTATAGGACTTGTAAATCAAAAATAAAATCCTAACCCCCGCCACCCCGCAACCATCTGAATGGACTTCTTCCTCAGCCAGGGCACTTTTAAAATTTAACCTGAGAGACGGTTTCAGGCCATGACAGGAAGCATGGGTCAGACATGCCTTATTATACCTCTCTGGCATCAACATCAACACAGACTTTCAGTCTAATAACAAACATGTTACAACCTATTATCTCTGAAGGCTAGTACCTGAAGGCTTCCTCTGCAAGTAATAACTTGGGTTTCCACAATCCTTTATCTTAACCCAACATTCCTTTCTGTTGATCCTATGGTTTTGTTTTGAGACAGAGTCTCTCTCTGTAGCCCAGGCTGGAGTGCAATGGGCGAGATCTTGGCTCACTGCAACCTTTGTCTCCTGGGTTCAAGCAATTCTTTTGCCTCCAGTAGTTGGGACCACAGGCGTGGGCCACCACGCCCAGCTAATATTTTGTCCTTTCAGTAGAAAAGGGGTTTTGCCATGTCGCTCAGCCTGGTCTTGAACTCCTGGCCTCAAGTAATCTGTCTGCCTCGGCCTCCCAAAGTGCTGGGATTCCAGGCATGAGCCAACATGCCTGGCCTACTAATTATGTTTATGATTGCTTAGGAAAACTGAGCTTTGAAAGGGTAAGTTTTTAAGTCCATGTAACTTTCTGTATTGCTTTTGAAGTCTGTTGACTATGACTCCTGCTAAATGAGTGACTATTATTTCACAGTGACCCGTGATCCTGTTTTGCACAAGTGTTTTGAGCCTTTTAACATCTTTGACAAACTTCCCCAAAATGCAATTCTTTTTTAATTTATCCATTGCTGTTGAACAAACTAATCAAATTCTAATTTAAGTCTTTTTAACCTAAAATTGACTTTGAGATTTACCAGTGAGGCCCCTGGAGAGCCTTAAAGAATGTGTCTCTCATTAGGCTTATTTGATATGTTAGATTATATGAAAAGCAATGTCAAATAATAAAAAATACTAATCACTATTTACATTTATATAGATATGTTATGGACTTTAATGTTCAGAAGATCATGTAAAATTTACAGAGGTCTGATGGTCCTGGTGTGATGCTATTAGTCATGATTCTGGTTGTTATCTTAAAATGCTCTCTATAATAGAAATAACTGAATTTTCTTGTCAATTATTGAACTTTCGTCAGATTTTAATCGTTACTATTCTAAGCTTTATCATCTACAGTACTGATTCTTCTCTAAAGGCATCCAGAATCAGATTCATAAAAAATATTTTAACAAGTACTGTTGAATATAGATTTGTAATAACTTTCAGATCAATGAACTAAATAAATTATTTTTGAAAACTCTAATGAAAATTGATGGGTTCATGCAACTGATTATCAAGATCAAGCAGAACAAACATCAATTATATGAGGCTAAATAACCAATAATGTTTTTATGAACTTTATTTAAAACTTTATTTATTCTTGGACTGGGTGCAGTGGCTCACACCTCTGATCCCAGCACTTTTGGAGGCCAGAACAGGAGGATCCCTTGAGTGCAGGAGTTCAAGACCAACCTGAAAAATATAGGAGACCTGGTTTCTGAAAGAAATTAAGAAAATACAAACTTCATTTGTTTTTTACCTAAATGTTTTGTTTTCCACCTTTAAGAAAATTTTCTGGTGGGATGTGGTTGCTCACTTTGGAAGCCAAGGCAGGAAGATCACTTGAGCCCAGGAGTTCAAGACCAGATTGGGCAACATGGCAAAAACCCTGTCTCTACAAAAACAAAAACATTAGCTGGGCATGGTGGCACGCGCCTGTGGTCCCAGCTACTTGCAAGGCTGAGGTGGGAGGAACACTTGAGTTGGGAGGCAGAGGTTGCAGGGAGCCGTGTTTGCACCACTGCACTCCAGCCTGGGTGACGGGGCACAATCCTTTCTCAAAAAAATGAAAACAAAGAGAAAATTTTCTCTGTTAAACTGTCTATAGTTTATAACAATTTTGTGAAGTATACTTTTGTTAACTAAGATGGAAATGTTTGCTTTTTCTTTCTACTCGATTCCTCCAGAATTTGAAACTATTTGGAAATATTCTTATGCCAATATGGTTATTTACACAGGTCCAGTAAAAACCTGCTCTTGGTGCCTCATTCAACTCCAACATGGCAAAAATCTCCAGCCCTACAGAGAGTCCCTGATTGCTGTTTTCCAGAAATAGACTGGAAAGGATGGTTACAATAGCATTCACTCCAAGACGGAGTTCCCAAGCTTCATGAATAGAGAACTGGATGCCTTCACGAAGAACCAGAAGGCCCCAGTGTCCTTGACCACATGATGAAGAAACTGGACCTCACCAGTGATGGGCAGCTAGATTTCCAAGAATTTCTGCATCTGATGGATGGTGTGACTGTGGCTTACCATGACTCTTTTTCAAAGGCTGCCCATTCCAAGAAGCAGATGTGAGGATCCCTTGGGCCTGGTTGCCAAGCCACCCTGTTTCCTTCCAGCCCCGCCATCACCATCTCCTCACAGCCCACAGGTCCCCTGAGCCCAGCACACCCACCACCTCACGCAGGCCCTATCTGCAGGTAGTAATAAAACCATTCCGTCCCCGGTGCTCTTCCACCCCTCCCCCTTCACCCCCTCCCCTCTCCCTTCTCCCCCTCCCCCTCCCCTCCTCTCCTGTCCCCTCCCCTCCTCTCCCTCTCCTCTCCTTTCCTCTTTTCTTCTCTCAACTACACCCACCTTCTCGTGCAGGCCCTACCTGCAGGTAGTTATAAAACCATACTTCTTTCACTTCTCTTTCTTCTCTTTCCTTTCTTTCTTTCTCGCTTGCTTGCTTTTTTCTTTTCTTTCTTTCTTTCTTTCTTTCTTCTTTCCTTTCTCTCTTTCTTTCTTCTTTCCTTTCTTTCTTTCCTTCTTTCTTTTCTTTTTTCTTTCTTTCTTTCCCTTTCTTTCTTTTCTTTTTTCCTTCCTTCCTTCCTTCCTTCCTTCCTTCCTTCCTTCTTTCTTTCTTTCTTTTTTAGAAATGGGGGCTAGTTATGTTGCCCAGGTTGATCTTGAACTTCTGGGCTCAAGTGGCCCCCCAAAGCTCTGGGATTTTAGGTGTGAGCCATTGCACCTGACACACTTTTTTTTTAAACACACACAAAAAAATCTGCTCTCTCTTTACAGACGGATACAATTTAAAACATTGTTTATAGGGCCGGGCACGGTGGCTCGCACCTGTAATCCTAGCACTTTGGGAGGCTGAGGCGGGTGGATCACCTGTGGTCAGGAGTTTGAGACCAGCCTGGCCAACATGGTGAAACCACATCTCTACTAAAAATTTAAAAAAAAAAAGTAGCAGGGCGTGGTGGCGCACATGTGTAATCCTAGCTACTCAGGAGGCTGAGGCAGGAGAATTCTTGAACCCAGGAGGTGGGGGCTGCAGTGAGCTGAGATCTCACCACTGCATACCAACCTAGGTGACAGAGTAAGACCCTGTCTCAAAAAGAAAAAAAAATGGTTATATTACCAAGGCTTTCATCAAAATGCATGGAACACTTGACTTCAAGTGTGTTTAGCTTTACAGTGGGTAAATAAAAATGGTCACTTTCTGGCAGGCCCAGGAACCTTAAGAATGTAGGTGAAATCTAAAGTCAGCCTTGGTTTCACTTTCTATCCTTAAAAGGTTTTTAAATCTGAGATTCCTAAGTGATCAATGTATAGAGAAAAATTATGTGTTGCTAAAGAAAAGCTCTAACAGACCAGTTATTAGATTGTAGCTTTCTGCATTGCTTCGAGTTCTTGTGCTTTTTTCTTATTTATTTATTGTGTGTGTGTGTGTGTGTGTTTGTTGTTGTTATTGTTGTTTTTGAGACAGAGTCTCGCTCTGTCACCAGGAGGGAGTGTGGTGGCGGGATCTCGGCTCACTGCAACCTCCACCTCCTGTGTTCAAGTGATTCTCCTGCCTCAGCTGTCCGAGTAGCTGGGACTACAGGCACACGCCACCACACCCAGCTAATTTTTGTATTTTTAGTAGAGACGGTGTTTCACCGTGTTGGCCAAGATGGTCTCCATCTCTTGACCTCGTGATCTGCCCGTCTCAGCCTCCCAAAGTGGTGGTTTAATGGACATGAGCCACTGCGCCCAGCACAGTTCTTGTTATCTATATATAGACTAGACTAGATTCAACTTTTTCCCATAAAATTACTAAAAACAGAAACTGCTCTGTTCCTGAAGTCTCCTGATGAAAAAAGTGAAACTCTGGAAAACATTTGAAGAGATTTATTCTGAGCCAAATAGGAGTGACCATGACCCATGACACAGCCTCAGGAGGTCCTGAGTTGCCCAAGGAGGTTGGGGTGCAGCTTGGTTTTATAGATTTTATGGAGACTCAGTCACATACTTTTAAGAAATACATTGGTTTGGTCCAGAAAGGCAGGACAACTCGCAGCAGGAGCTTCCAGCTTATAGGTAGATTTAAAAATTTTCTGGCTGACAATTGGTTGGGTTTTTCTAAAAACGTAGGATCAGCTGGGTGCAGTGGCTCATGCCTATAATCCCAGCACTTTGGGAGGCTGAGGCAGATGAATCACCTGAGGTCAGGAGTTGGAGACGAGCCTGGCCAACATGGTGAAACCCCGTCTCTACTAAAAATACAAAAAAATTAGCTGGATGTGATAGCAGGTGCCTGTAATCCCAACTACTGGGTAGGCTGAGACAGGAAAATTCCTTGAATCCGGGTGGCAGAGGTTACAGTGAGCCGAGAACGCACCATTGCTCTCCAGCCTGGGCAACAGATCTAGACTCTGTCTCAAAACAAAAACAAACAAAAATGCCTAGAATCAACAGAAAGGAATGCCTGGGTTAAGATAAAGGATTGTGGTAACCTAAGTTCTTATTTGCAGAGGAAGCCTTCAGGTACTAGGCTTCAGAGAGACTAGGTTGTAACATGTTTCTTATGAGATTTAAGTCTGTGTTGATGTTGATGCCAGAGAGGTATAATGAGGCATGTCTGACCCACACGTCCTGTCATGGCCTAAAACAGTCTCCCAGGTTAATTTTAAAAGCGCCCTGGCTGAGGGGGACGTCCATTCAGATGGTTAAGGGCAGGGGTGCTTAGGATGCTATTTTTGGTTTACAAATCCTATAAGCTAAAACTGCATAGATGCATAGATTTTTGTTTTTTTTTGTTTTGTTTTGTTTTTTGAGACGGAGTCTCACACTGTCGCCAAGGCTGGAGTGCAGTGGTGAGATCTCGGCTCACTGCAACCTCCGCTTCCCGGGTTCAAACGATTCTCCTGCCTAACCTCCTGAGTAGCTGGGACTACAGGCACATGACACCATCCCCGGCTGATTTTTTGTATTTTTAGTAGAGGCGGGGTTTCACCGAGTTACCCAGGATGGTCTCGATCTCCTGACCTCGTGATCTGCCCACCTTGGCCTCCCAAAGTGCTAGGATTACAGGTGTGAACCACTGCACCCAGCCAAACTGCATAAATTTTAAGGAACAAGTCTTGTGTCTGATGTATGGACCACACAAAGAGTTCACCAAACTGGTTGTCTCATTCAATTCCCCCATAGTCTTTTGATTTGTTTAGCTGGTGGCCCTTAGGCTTGGGATCTTAGTTCAAAATCATTGTACAAACTAAATTTATTATATTATTGCTAATTATAGCTGGGTGCGGTGGCTCCCGCCTGTAATCCCAGCACTTTGGGATGCCAAGGAGGGCGGATGACTTGAGGTCAGGAGTTCGAGACCAGCCTGGCCAACATGTTGAAACCTCCTCTCTACTGAAAAGACAAAAATTAGCCGGGCATGGTGATGAGCACTTGTAATCCAAGCTACTCGAGAGGCTGAGAAAGGAGATTCACTTGAACCCAGGAGATGGAGGTTGTAGTGAGCCGGAATCACGCCCCTGCACTCTGGCCTGGGCAACAGAGCAAGACTGCATCGCAATAAAATAAAATAAAATAAAACGATTGCTAATTATTTTTGTATTATAATCTTTGAGCTCCGTTCTTGTTGCCTGTGTAATATTTGTTCAGCCAGTTCTCCCAACAGGATAATGTTGGCCTAGTGCTTCAAGATGATTGCTAATATAGATGGGACTAATAAGATGGAATTTGATGCTGAACTCCAGACAAACATGCCTGATTTTTTTTTTCCTTCTGACCTCTTTTTTGCTCAAATGTGGCCCATGTTCCTGATATAGACTCCCTTACCTTTCCCATGACATGGGACAAAGACAACCGGCACGGGTCCATCCTGGCATGGAGTGACAATGAAGCCTCACTTTAAGACGGCTGATCAGTGAGGTTTTCAAAGAAAGATCTTCATCAAAAGAGGGAATGTGAAAGCTGATTGTGCAAACAAACCAGCTTCTCCAGTGCCAATGAGCCTCATTTCAAAACAATACGTAACATTTTTATTTCTAATAAAACTTCCAACTTCTGTTTGTTCGTTGGACATACTGAAGACCACTCCAGTCTGTGTGTATGTCCTGAATTGCAATTTTGTGGTTCCCAAATACAGCATTTGATTTAGGGATTTCTCTCTGCAATTTATTTTGACTTTGACACAATTAACCACTATGATGTGTTTAAAGGTCCCCCAGCCCTGACAAGGTGAGTATTATACTGAATTTAAGAATTCTTTCTAGGCAGGGCACGGTGGCTCACGTTTGTAATCCTACCACTTTGGGAAGCTGAGGTGGGGGGATCACCTGTGGTAAGGAGTTCAAGACCAGCCTGGCTAAAATGGTGAAATCCCATCTCTAATGCTCATCATCACCGGCCATCAGAGAAATGCAAATCAAAACCATAATGAGATACCATCTCACACCAGTTAGAATGGCAATCATTAAAAAGTCAGGAAACAACAGGTGCTGGAGAGGATGTGGAGAAATAGGAACACTTTTACACTGTTGGTGGGACTGTAAACTAGTTCAACCATTGTGGAAGTCAGTGTGGCGATTCCTCAGGGATCTAGAACTAGAAATACCATTTGACCCAGCCATCCCATTACTGGGTATATACCCAAATGACTATAAATCATGCTGCTATAAAGACACATGCACACGTATGTTTACTGCGGCATTATTCACAATAGCAAAGACTTGGAACCAACCCAAATGTCCAACAATGATAGACTGGATTAAGAAAATGTGGCACATATAAACCATGGAATACTATGCAGCCATAAAATATGATGAGTTCATGTCCTTTGTAGGGACATGGATGAAATTGGAAATCATCATTCTCAGTAAACTATCGCAAGAACAAAAAACCAAACACCGCATATTCTCACTCATAGGTGGGAATTGAACAATGAGATCACATGGACACAGGAAGGGGAACATCACACTCTGGGGACTGTGGTGGGGTCGGGGGAGGGGGGAGGGATAGCATTGGGAGATATACCTAATGCTAGATGACGAGTTAGTGGGTGCAGCACACCAGCATGGCACATGTATACATATGTAACTAACCTGCACAATGTGCACATGTACCCTAAAACTTAAAGTATAATAGAAAAAAAAAAGAAAAAAAAAGTAATTTTATAAATAGAAGGATGACACAAAGATAAGTAAATGAATAATATTTCAGGAAGAAAAAAAAAAAAAACAATTATTCTGGCCAGGTGCGGTGGCTCATGCTTGTAATCCCCGCACTTTGGGAGGCCGAGGAGGGCAGATCACCTGAGGTCAGGAGTTTGAGACCAGCCTGGCCAACATGGTGAAACCCCATCTCTACTAAAAATACAAAAAATTAGCCAGGCGTAGTGGTGCACACATGTAATCCCAGCTACTCCAGAGGCTGAGGCAGGAGAATCGCTTGAACCCGGGAGGCAGAGGTTGCCGTGAGCTGAGATTGCGCCATTGTAATCCCTGTTTGGGCAACAGAGCAAAACTCTATCTCAAACAAAACAGAACAAAAATTATTCTTTTCATACTTGACAAAACAAAGATATATCTCTTATCCATTCTGAATCTTACCAATGCACTTTGGAAAAAAATCTCCAGACAATTGGTAAAGGGACATTTAAAAATATTGGTGAGAAAGAGATGACACTGAGTTAAAAAACTTTTTTTGTGATTTAGCTGGTTTCTAATATTTTGCTTTCAACAAAATTGAAAGATGATCCAACTGAGTCATCAATTGATAGAATTCTGGTACATAATTCTAAAGGTATTAAAAAATTAACAGTAAAAAAAAAAATACAAAATTAGCTGGGTGTGGTGGTACATGCCTGTAATCCCAGCTACTCAGGAGGCTGAGGCAGGAGAATCTCTTGAACTTAGGAGACAGAGGTTGCAGTGAGCCGACATCACACCATTGTACTCTATCCCGGGCAATGAGAGTGAAACTCCGTCTCGAAAAAAAAAATCATTCAATTATTATCTTGATAATTGCTTAGCTTTGCATCTTACTATGGACTTGTTGGATATCTAGGTGGCTGTAAACTACACAGAGAAAGATAGAAACAGCAGTGGAGATAATTAGAATATTGCAGTGTTCCTATAAAACAATAACAAAAGGGGGAAATTGTAAGGGTAACTAAACATAAAAATGAATTTTTCCTGTTGCCAAAAGGGAAGAAGAAACCTTTCTCCATTTCACCTTCCTTAGAGCATTTCCTTGAGAAAATTTGTGTTTGTAAATTCTTCCTTTGATACGTAAGCCTCTGGCCATCCTAGAACCCAGGAATGTCTTGAACTTGAACTCCAGGCCTCAAGTGATCCTCCAGCCTCAGCCTCCAAAAGTGTTGGGATTACAGGCATGAGCCACCATGCCCGGCCCCTAGGAATGTCTTTCTTCAGGGCCTTGGTGCCATCTCTTTGAAATGTGAACATCGAGGAAGATGATGTCCGTGTCTCCCTGTCACCAAGGGAGTTTAGCCTAGGTGACTTCTTCCAAGCTGTAAGCACCTGGTTGTCATAGAGATATGAGATTTGTTTTTCCTTCAGATAAAGGCAGTTAACTAACACAGATGGGTACTCCAGTTACTCGGTGAACTTAGGACTTGCCTGGGAGTATTTAGTTTTCACCCTTGGCTGCTGATGTACAACCAGGACAATTAGCTACATACCTGGACTTTCTGACTTCTGCTACCACTTTTGTGTTTGTTTGTTTGTTTTGTTTTGTTTTTGAGATTGAGTCTTGCTCTGTCGTCCAGGCTGGAGTGTAATGGTGCAATCTCAGCTCAGTGCAACCTCTGCCTCTCGGGGTCAAGTGATTCTCCTACCTCAGTCTCCCGAGCAGCTGGGATTACAGGTGCACGCCACCCTGCCCAGCTAAATTTGTATTTTTAGAAGAGACAGAGTTTCACCATGCTAGCCAGGCTGGTCTCGAACTCGTGACCTCATGATCCACCTTCCTCGACCTCCCAAAGTACTGGAATTACTGGCGTGAGCCACCACGCCTGGCCTCTGCTACCACTTTTGGAGTGTATGAAACACTACACTTCAAAGTGTGGGATCTGGCTTCCCAGACAGCTGCCAAGGGGGCAGATGATGCAATCTAGAAGTGTAGGGGAGCTCGTGCCTGTGGGATAAATTTTGACCATTAAGAAAAGGAACCAGGAGTGAGAGCCAGGTATGTAAATTCCCTCTACTCTCCTCTCCTCATGCACCGTTCCAGGCATGGTTTCTCAGTATAGTCTGTCTAGAGGTGTCCGGAATGGCCCAAATTCTGTTTCCTTGGGAACCTGAGCTAAAACAACGGGCATGCAAACACTCGAAGAGAGTGCTAAGTGTTGTGGAGGACCTAGATCTGCACAGAGGAAAATTATTGCAATAAGAAAATGGACAATTTGAGGATTTGGAATAGAGAGAAGGACTAGAAGAACCAGTAGTAGAATAGCTTATGGGTAATAATTTTGGAGAAAAAGGCAGTTCTGGTGATTTTTGCAGTGAATTGCTCAGCTCTGTAAAATATATACTTCTTTCTTTCCATCAGTCTCCCCTATGAAATCTTCCATAAAATATCCTTTTATAACTATCTATTGCCTGTGAAGTGAATTTTCTTTTTTTCTTTTTCTTTTTCTTTAGAGATAGAATCTCTGTCGCCCAGGCTGGAGTGCAGTGGTGCCACCTCGGCTCACTACAATGTCCGCCTCCTGAGTTCAAGTGATCCTCCTGCCTCAGCTGTCCGAGTAGCTAGAAATATAGGACTGCGCCACCAGGCCCGGCTATTTTTTTTTTTTGTATTTTTTTAGAGATAGGGTTTCACCATCTTGGCCAGGCTGGTCTCGAACTCCTGACCTCAGGTGATCTACACACCTTGGCCTACCAAAGTTCTGGGATTACAGGCATGAGCCACCACACCCAGGCTATCAGTTTTTTTTTTTTTTTTTTTTTGAGAATAAAACAGATTGAGTCCTGTGCCAAAATGCAGGGGAAGATGCACCCAGACAGGTAACAAAATATTATATACGGTAATAGATAGGTTTTCTACATATCAGTAATAACCATTTAGAAAATCAAATTGAGAAAAAAGACACGTCTATAGTGACAAAAGTACATAAATATCTAAAACCAGATGATTGGAGCAAGATGGCAGATAGATCCCGTGCCCCACTCACATTCCATTGAACTGGGATGAAAATGTTTTCAAGGGTCAATTCTTAACAGTAGAGGAAAATAGGAAAGCGTGTAAGTGGTCCACCAGGAATACTGAGGCATTCCTGGGAGACAGAGTAGATGAGATCAGACTGATAGAGAAACCCAAGGAGACAAGACCACAGCTCAAATCACTGTAGGCGAGAGATGCTGTTTGAGACAGAGACTTACTCTGTCGCCCAGGCTGGAGTGCAGTGGCATGATCTCGGCTCACCGCACCCTCTGTTTCCCGTGTTCAAGTGATTCTCCTGCCTCAGCCCCTGCAGTACCTGGGATTCACAGGCGCCTGCCACCAAGGCCGGCAAATTTTTGTGTTTTTACTAGAGTCAGGTGTTTCGCCATGTTGGTCAGGCTGGTCTCCAACTCCTGACCTCAAGTGATCTGCCTGCTTCGGCCTCCCAAAGTGCTGGGATTACAGCGTGAGTCACTGCGCCTGAGCAAGAGATGCTCTTTATAACAAAGCCTCCAAAAAAACTCCAAACCCTGAACGAAAATACACGGAGCTGGAAAGGGCCTTAGGATAGTCATCAGGTAGGCTAATTTAAAAGTTCATTAAAAACGTCTGAATCACCCAGATTCCCCTCCAACACCACACTCAGATTGGCCGGCAGTAGCCACTTTTGCCTCTAAGATGAAACTCTGATAATTGTTCGTTAAAGAAAGTGAAGGCCTGGCGAGGTGGCTCACACCTGTCATCCCAGCACTTTGGGAGGCTGAGGCAGGAGGATTGCCTGAGGCCAGGAAGTCGAGACCAGCCTGGGCAATGTAGTGGGATCCCATCTCCACAGAACATACAAAAATTAGCTGTGTGTGGTGGTGTGTACTTGTAGTCCCAGCTAGTTCGGAAGCAGAAGTGGGAGAATCCCTTGAGCCTGGGTGATTGAGGTTGCAGTGAGCTGTAATTGCAACACTGCACTCCAGCATGGGCAACAGAGTGTGATCCTGTCTCAAAAAAACACAAAAAATGGAAGTATTGTTTGGTGTGGTGGCTCACGCCTGTATTCCCAACACTTTGGGAGGCCTAGGCCAGTGGACCACGAGGTCAGGAGATTGAGAACATCCTGACTAACACAGCGAAACCCCGTCACTACTAAAAATACAAAAAATTAGCTGGGCTTGGTGGCATGTGCCTGGATTTCCAGCTACCTGAGAGGCTGAGGTGGGAGAATCACTTGAACCTGGTAGGCGGAGTTTGCAGTGAGCCGAGATCTCACCACTGGACTCCAGCCTGGGCGACAGAGTGTCATTCTGTCTCACAATAATAATAATAGTGATAATAATAATAAAGTAATGTATCAGAACTTGATGGAACTCCAGCCCTTCACAGTAATAATCAAGGAGAGAAACACATTTGTGGAGAGGGGACCATGTTCACTCTTTATCTGTCCATGATAGACAGATAGTTGGGAATCTTATATACCCAAGGAACCTAAGGAAAAATGTTCCCTGTCATGACTCACAATCTTCCAGCCACCCTTTCTTGCACCTGTCTTGTGGACTGGGGGACCCAACTTATGGACTCAATCTTCCCAGGGAGAAAGAAAAATCAAATCCTTCAGTATCTCTTTTAGGGTATCCTCTGCTGTATTTACATGGAGGATAAGGCACTCGATATCTAGTAGCTGAATGCTACATTTGTGTAATACAGAACTATATTGGGATAAAATAGAATTTGTTTCCTCTGAGACACAGGTAGAGGTACGTCCACACTGACCTGGGTGGCAGCCACCCCTTCCTGAAGTGCCAGGTAGGGCATGCTCACAGATCTGGGGAACCTCTGTTGCTCCTGGAGAGACTTCCTGACACCTTCCTGGCACCTTCTCCCTCTGGTGGCTGTGACAGCCCACACTTGGCCTTGGGTATCCCCTGCTTCTTTGCCTGCCACCTCTTCTGCCCACCCTGTATATCTCTGTCTCCCACTGTCCCCACTATGGCCACGATTGCCTCTCCCTCCCTGCACTCTCTCTGTCCAAGTGATCCTTGTCTTGGGAAAACGAACTGACAGCCTCTACCTTGTGACTGGGGACAGAACCCTGGGGTTGTTCAAGTCTCCCTCCCTCCACCCCACACTCCTGTCCTCCTTAATGTTTCGAGTCAATGAACTCCAAACTCAGCTCCTCCTGCACTTGCCAGCTGTAGGACCTGTGATAAGATGCCTACCATCTCTCTGGGATTCTGTCTCTCATCTGTCGTATAGGCATAATGATGATAGTGTCCTCCTTCCAAGGCTGGGGAGAACCAGGAGGCCAAGGTGATGGGCCATGAACGGTCAAAACAGCTCCAATCCTGCCTCCACCTGGGGCTGGTGTTTCAAGTCCATCGCTTGTGAATGGAGCTTTAATGTCTCCATTCACACACAAATGTTTTATTCTAAAATAGACTCCCCTCTGCCCTTCCCTTCCCCACAACTCTTTTCCCTCTGCACCGTGCAGTGGTACCTGTGAGAAAGAACTGTCCCATTCCCAAATCATGGTCCCCACCCCAGCCCCCAGGCCCTTGGGTGGTGAGACCCTTGATGGGCAGTCTCATGCTTCTGTCCAGAGGACTTTCCCACTACTGATCCCCTGCATGGAGACTAAGTGAACTCTTCCATTCCCTGGCCATCACAGGGTCTACAGTGCACGCATCTTCCTCATCCCTCCATGTTCCCCAGATGACGATTTTATCTGTGTCTCCTCCCACATACTCCCAAATGGACCGTCCCAGCCCTAGAAAGTGAAAATTGTTCAGAGAGCGAAGGCCAAATTGCCCAACCACCTGCTGCAGAATCCTGCTCCAGGACTGAAGTGTATAGTCTCTATCAAAATAAAAACTGAAGGCCAGGTGTGGTGGCTCATGCCTGTAATGCCAACAATTTAGGAGGCCAAGGTGGGAGGATCACTTGAGCCCAGGAGTTCAAGGCTACATTGAGCTATGATCATGCCACTGCACTCCAGCCTGGACAGAGCAAGACCCTATCTCCAGAAGAAACAAACAAACAAACAAACAAACAAACAACTGGAAACACCCTCCTCCGGAATGGTGGTCAGGAACATCAGCCTGCCTTGTTCGCTGATGTCTCTCCAGCACCTAGAACAGCGCTCAGCACGAGAACACACTCATTAGTGTTTTGTTGAATAAATGACTCCTTTGACACAGCAATTCAACTTCTAAGAATCTTTCCTAAAGAAATATTCACACACGTGCAGAGACCTGTGCGCACATTAATGAGAGGAGCAAACAACTGGGGAACGTTTGCAAAGGTGTATTAACTGTCAGTGACTGATATGGGGAATCAGAGGAGGGGAGTACATGCTGAACAGGAAACAAATTGAGGGGGGGCTTGACCAGGATGCATGGCAATGGGGAAAAGCAGATGGGAGATGCTTATACTGGTACTTGGTGTGTGTGTGTGTGTGTGTGTGTGTGTGGTGTGTAAATGCAGAGGAGAAAATCTGAAATTAAACACTCAGATCTGCCCTCAGTAGTCACATCTGGGGAGAGAGGAAGGTAGTGCTGTTCTATGGAGAGAATACCTGACAATACTTCTTTTCTAAGTAGGTGCATGGATACACAAACCAAAAATGCATTAAGTATGTCTTGCTCATCAATGAAAAGGATAATATCTAACAGAATGGCACACTGTAAGAAAATACAATGGAAACGCTAACATCGAACTCTTGGCACACTAAGAAAAATGATGCTCAACTTTTCACTGTTGTGAACACTTGCTTTCACTTGCTATACACCTGATGACGAGGGTCTGCAGCCATGCCCATGTTCGTGAAAGGTCACCACATTCTGCTTCTCATCATGGGCATGTGTCATATCCCTGAGGCTGAGGCAAGAGGAGAGAAGGAAAGTAAGTGGCAGTGAGTTCCCACCACGTGACAACTCAATCTCAACTCCTCCTGACCTGCAGACCCTGCACATTCCGATTCTGCCCTACCTCAGGACCTGCACACGCCTTTCACGGTTCCTCGAAGTAAACCATCTGCTCATGCATCAGTGACTTCCTCGCCTGGGTTATCAATTCCTATGTGTGGCCTGCATATCAGGGCTGACCTGGGGTTTGGGAACCCACAGCATCCTGGGTAGGGAGGATCCCTGTATATACAGGGCAGGGAGTAGAAAGAGCATGGAAAATCGCCCGGGCGTGGTGACTCATGCCTATAAAGCCAGCACTTTGGGAGGCCAAGGTGTGCGGATCACGAAGTCATAAGTTTAAGAACAGACTGACTAACATTGTGAAACCCCGTCTCTACCAAATATATAAAAATTAGCTGGGCATAGTGGCACGCAACTGTAATCCCAGCTACTCAGGAGGCTGAGGCAGGAGAATTGCTTGAACCCGGGAGCTGGTGGTTGCAGTGAGCCGAGATCATGCCACTACACCCCAGGCTAGGTGACAGAGCAAGACTCCCTTGAAAAACAAAAGAAAAAGAAAGAAAGAGCATGGGAAATCTCTTCCATCAGCCTGATTGCTGTACCCTAGAAAATTATGAGAAGGGAATGATTTGGGGAACAAGTGACAAGATGGGATACCAGTACCATAACAGAATAGTACATCTGCAGGGATGTGGGGGGTGAGCCGAAGGTTCACTTATGGAGTTACTCGTCATCTTCCTCAGGGTCGCTGATCTCTTCATAAATCACCAGCTGCTTTCTATCACACAGTCTTTGGGTCCAGGCATGTTTCCCCCTTTTGGGTCCTATGATGGGGAAAAGTTGGAAGATGAGGGTTGGGTAGGTTGGAGAGTGTTAGGCTCTGTTTTCTCACAAAAAGGAGATGCCTCCCCCCTCCCAAGTGCCCGTGGGCCTTCTTCATCCAGTTTTTCACATTTGCTGGCTTACAGAGGCTGACAACTTTGACCCATACCAATACAGGCCAAATGCCAATGAAAGTTTGAGCTTCTGGCTCCTACCGTTGAGAGGTTTAGATTCCCAACCTCTTCACTTACGGGAACATTCACCCATACCTCCTTTTGTGCTGCAGGTATTTGTTAAGGGCACAAGGCATACCTTGTTTTATGGCACCTCATTTTTATACTGCTTCACAGATACTGCAATTTTTTTTTGAAATTCTCACCAATTTTACACTTTTCCATTATTATTATATCTGTTGTATTGATCTGTGATCGGTGAGCTTTGATATTATGATTGCAATTGTTTTGTTGTTCTTTAATCTTTTAAAATAATTTTTATTTTGATTTTGTGGGTACACAGGTGTATATACTTATGGGGTACATGAGATATTTTGATACAGGCATGCAATGCGTAGTAATCACTTCATGGAAAATAAGGTATCCACCCCCTCAAACATTTATCCTTGTGTTACAAACAATCCATTTACACTCTTTCTGTTTTTTTAAAGTACGATTAAGTTATTATTGACTATAATCACCCTGTTGTGGGTAATTGTTTTGGAGGTAGCAGGAACTGCACCCACAGGAGATGACGAACGTAATCGATTAATGTTGTGTGTGTTCTGACTGCTCCACCGATGAGCTGTTCCCTGTTTCGCCTCCTTTTCTTGGGCCTCCCTATTTCCTGACACACAGCAACACTGAAATTAGGACAATGAACGACCCTACAATGGCTGCTAAGTGTTCAAATGAAACGAACAGTCACATGTCTCTCACATTAAATCAGAAGCTAGAAATGGCTAAGCTTAGTGAGGAAGCATGCTGAAAGCCAAGATAGGCTGAAAGCTCGGCCTCTTGCACCAAACAGCCAAGCTGTGAATGCAAAGGAAAAGTTCTTGAAGGAAATAATACTATATAATGCAAAGGAAAAGTTCTTGAAGGAAATAATAATACTAATACTCCAGTGAACACACCAATAAGAAAGCAAAACAGAATTACTGCTCAAATAGAGACAGTTGGAGTGGTCAGGATAAAACAAGAAACCAGCCACAACATTCCCTTAAGCCAAAGTCTAATTCAGAGCACGACCCATACTCTTTTCAAGTCCATGAAAGTTGGGAGAGGTGAAGAAGCTGCAGGAGAAACGTGTGAAGCTAGCAAAGGTTGGTTCGTGAGGTTTAAGGAAAGAAGCCATCTCCATAAAATAAAAGTGCAAGGTGAAGCAGCAAACCCTGATGGAGAAGCTGCAAGTTATTTGGAAGATTTAGCTAAGATCACTGATGAAGGTGGCTACACTAAGCAGCAGATTTTCAATATGGATAAACTAGCCTTGTAATGGAAGGAGATGCCATCTAAGACTTTCATAGCTAGAGAGTATTGACTCCAACTTTGAAAGAAGTTCTACTGTGGGTAAAATGCTATCCAATAGCGTCACATACTACAGAGAAATCTTTCATGAAAGGGAGAGCTAATCAATGTGGCAAATTTCATTGTTGTGTTCTTTTAAGGAACTGCCACAGCCACTCCACCCTTCAGCAACCACCACCTTGATCAGCCAGCAGCCATCAACACTGAGGCAAGACCCTCCACCAGTAAAAAGAGTGTGACTTACTGAAAGCTCAGCAGATTGTTAGCATTTTTTATCACTGCATTATTTTAAAATTAAGGTGTGTACATTTTTAGACATAATGCTATTGCACACTTAATAGACTACAGTATAGTGTAAACAAAGTTTTTATGCACTGCAAAACAAATGAAAAACAATGTGTGTGACTCACTTTATTGCAGTGGTCTGGAACCGAACCTGCAATATCACTGAAGTACACCTGTATTGGGTATCAGGCATTGAGCTGAGTAAGATATGATCCCAGGTAATCACAGATAGAATTGCTTGAGCACCTTTCATGTCATCAGGCCTTCAGGATTTAATTTAATGCCTCCAAACAATTTATGAACTATGATTCTTTATTTCCATCTTATGGACTAGGAATCTGGAGCTGAGAAAATTTGGAAGACTTGCCCCCAAGTCACGTGGTTTTTTATATGGATGACAACTCCAGTCTATGTCTCTGGAAGTCATCTCCAACATCTCATCTGGAGCTGGGTGAGCTCCTCAGCCCAGCCTGGGCCCAGGCTTGTCTGGGATCCATGCCACACACCCAGTCCATACACCTGAACATCACCAGGGAAGCCAGAGGGGTTGTTCCCGAATTGTTTCCTCTTACCAGATCTCTTGTTAATCTTCTAAGAGGTACTTGGTAGTGAATGGGGTTTCCAGGGATAGAATGATTATCTTCACACTCTTTTAAGACTGACATTCTTGCAAACAGCAAAAGTCTCCATGTAATTGAGAGTGTGGTATACAGAAGATTTGGAGAATAGCATTCTGAGAATTCACAAGGTCTACAAAAGGAAGAGCTTCTATAAAATTCAAGGGATCCCATATAAACTTGTAGACAGCTGCTAGGAGAGTAAAGGTGGAAACATAAAGAGGGGACAAAGCACTGCTGGAAAAGATGGTGTGGGGAGATGAATACAGGGAAGGGAGAGGGAATGAAATGGTTTGCTGAGATTAATCTAGGCAGCAAAGAAAGCAGTACCAGATATGGCATAACACCCTACCAACGCACCAAAATTGAACATGGAATTAAGTGAGGTGGTATCCACACCAATTCTTGTTGTATTCGGATGTGTCACTGACCAACAGTCTTAAGCTACATTTATTCAGCTTCCTCACCTATGAAATAGTGAACAATACATGTAAAATAGACTAAGGGAAAGTCCTCTCTGAGCTTGCAAACACTGTTTAAATGTAGTAATAGTAAGAACTTATACCTTTCATGATCCTTTGAATTTGGTCTCCACACAGGCAACCCAACTCCCAGATCCCCTTACCCTCTAAACCAGAGTTGAATCTGCAGTTGTGGGGTCACTCATTCAGGGGCCTCCAATGGATCCCCTGGGCTGGGACTGGGGCTTCCCAGATGCCCCAGGTGCACACAAGTCCATCTAGGACCTCACAGTAGGGAGGGGCCAACATTCAAAGCGATTCTTAAGCCATGCAAGTGGCCCCAGTAACACAGCAGAGGCCAGCTGGTCCTTCCTGTTGGGAGAGTGGGTGTCTCAACGGAAGCACCAGGAGGCCCTATGGGGTGAAGCCCTAGTGAGCAACATCTGAACTTCATAAATACATGCAAACGTGAATGAGCTTTAAATGGCTTGGAGCTCTGGATTAGACTACCACTGCCACTGCGCCTCAGGAAAATTCTGTAACACCTCTATACCACGATAGCCTCATTTTATTATTATGCTGCTGATAACTATGATCTAAAACATGAACTATGATTCTTTACTTCCATTTCATGGACCAGGAATCTGGATCTCAGAGACCTTAGAAGATTTGTGCCAAGTCACATGGCTCTTGTGTGGATGACAACTGAAGTGTATGACACGTTATTATTTGGAGATAATAATAGAAACAATGTCATAGAGGTCTTCTTAAGGATTAAATAAATTAATCCATGTAAACTGCTTAGAATATCTGGCATCACTGTGAAAACAAAAGAAGTATTAAGGATCACAACTGTTAGTATTATCAAGCTGTTGATGCTGCATCTGGTGTTGTGATAGACATGGGGAGAAGGAGGCAGTGAGGGCATTTTTGATATTCTCCCACTCTTACCAGTGTTCGCATCCATGGAGGGACAAAGGTTCTCTGGTCCTTTAGATTTGAGAGATTTGAATCCTTTAGATTTGAAGATTCCCTGGAGCCTGCCAAAAGTCATCTGAGGACGTTCAACTGAAAGAGAATACATTAGAATTTTTCTTTGTTGGTAAAGATTTCCAAACTCCAGAGATACTTCTGTTGCATGAGGGTATTCTGCAGCAGAGTGTTATGAGTCCACTCATTGTTGAGGAGTTATTTCAGTTTTGCTTCTGAATTATGTTTAGTCATGGTTGGTTCATTTATCTGTGGCATCAATTCAGAATTTTCCATCTCATGGTTTACCAAATGGGGACTAAACCCCATCACAGTCTCATCTTATTCCATTACGTATCTTTTACTTTTTCCCAAAAAATTAAATCGATTGGTTGGGAACCTGAACTGTATCCACCCAAGATGTGAACAACTAAAAATCACTGTACACTTCAAATGGGTGGATCTTATGGTATGTGAATTAAGCTGTTAAATGTGTGATGAACCATCGATGATTTAGTCCAGTGGCTCTGAAATTTTTTCGGTATGAAGACACTCCTTTAACGTCAAAAACTTGGCAGATACTCAAGCACTGGAGTTTCAGATCTCTTATAGTGACTGTGGGAGATTGTAGAATCTGGCCTGTTTGGTTGGGGAGTAATAGGTCTATTGAAGACAGTTTAGACACTCTGACTTTGTTTTATAATTGTGTTGTCAGAGCAGAAGAACCAGCAAACACATATGTCCCCTTTATATCCCTGAAATGTACAAAGATCTCTACCGAAGAACCTGTCTTTTTTTCACCCTGTGTTATCTCTGCTCACTGAGAAGTGGGAAAGCTCTCTGTGTGTTGGATGGGGGATCACACTTTCAAACTCACTTCCAAGCTCATCACGGAGAATCAGGGTTGTTTGAAAATGAGAAGACTATTTGGTTTTGATAAAATACAGAGAAACAGCGATCCTCCTTACATAATGTGTTCATCATCCTCTCTCTTAAGATACTTATCCAATACCTACATGCTGTTAATGAAACAAACTCAGGAAGTTTTTTACGGATCTGCACTTTTAATATTTTCTTTTTTTTTTTTTTGCACTTGTAACATTTTAACTGTCCTTTGATTCATTAACAGTGCTTAGCAAGAACAACATGTCCTTTAAAAAAGAAATATTTCAAACACACAGAAAAGTACAGGGAATAATATTGATTCCAGTCAGATCTCAACATTACCCCACAGCTATGTTAGACCTGATTTATTTATTCAGAATATTAGAAATACTACAAACAGGTAGGGAGTGGGAGCTCACGCCTGTAATCCTAGCACTTTGGGAGGCTGAGGCAGGTGGATCACCTCAGGTCAGGAAGTTTGAGACCAGCCTGGCCAACATGGTGAAACCCCATCTCTACCAAAAATACAAAAATTAGCTGGGAGTGGGAGCAGGCGCCAGTAATCCCAGCTACTCGGGAGGCTGAGGCAGAAGAATCGCTTGACCATGGGAGGTGAAAGTTGCATTGAGGTGAGATTGAGCTATTGCACAGCAGCCTGGGCGATGAGAGGAAAACTGCAACTTAAAAAAAAAAAAAAAAAAAGGTCTTTCCCAGGTAGCTGAGCTGAGCTGAAAAGCAGTTGGGCTTGAGGAGACTCTTTACAGCCCCTTCCTATCTACTTGCCCTGATTCCCATGGTTACGGTCATTATCAGAATCATTCCCCTGGAAGTCTGCAGCCCGTTTATTACGCATGAAAGGTGAGAGGGTGACGTTGAAACCTAGAAAGAAAGAAAATGTTTATTCCTTAAGAGGCAAGCTTAGGCCTGGCACATTGGCTCATTTCTGTAGTACCAGCACTTTGGCACGCTGAGGATGGAGGAAAACTTGAGGCCAGGAGCTCAAGAGGAGCCTGTGCAACATAGAGAGACCCCCGTATTTACAAAATATAAAATAACATTAGTTGGGCATGGTGGCACCTGCCTGTAGCCTCAGCTACTCCAGAGGCTGGGCAGGAGGATTGCTTGAACCCAGGACTTCGAGGCTGCAGTGAGGTATGATTGCACTACTGCACTCTAGCCTAGGTGACAGAGTGAGACTCAGACACACACACAAAAAAAAAAGAAAGAAAGAAAGAAAGAAAGAAAGAAAGAAAGAAAGAAAGAAAGAAAGAAAGAAAGACAAGCCAAGAGAAGGAAGGTAGGGTTGGTGGGGGTGTGCTGGGATGCCACAGAGAGAGCTGGACTCGTCAGAACAGACATCTAAGGGAGGGAAACGAGCAGGATCCAGGTATGAGCTCCACTGTGGCTAGTCCCTGCCCTCAGCCCTGGCAGGATACAGAAGAGCAGAACACCCAGAAGCTGCCTTGAGATTTTTCCCTGCACAAAAGGAAAATATGGGGTGCTTTCAGCAGCCTAAGAAGTAGCCAAAGCAGAAAAAGGGATGCTCATGTGTCCCCAGACTTCTCTGTACCAAGAATTTTCTGTTACCTAGTTTAGTCATGACCTCATAGTTTATCTTCATATACACCTAGATGATTTTCTCCCAGGCTTTCGTCTTTTCGCATTCTTTCTTAGAGAAATATTTGGCAATATCATCGAAGACCTAGAAAAAAAAAAGGAATTCTGGCAGGGACTCAGCTAGGCATGTCTGCCATTTAGCTGGAGCCATTTCCTGTGTGCTGGATCTGGGAATTGGGGATGATAATCCGTCCTGGTTGATGCCATGGCTAACTGACAGAACATGGGGACCTTCCCTAGCTTCTCCCCTGCCACACAGTAGGGCTTCAATGCTGCTGGCTGGCTCTCTTCTCACCTTGCAGAATGGAGTGAGAGTTACCAAATGTAGAGCAAGGTCACAGACTTGTCTCCAGGGATGCTAGGTGATGACAGAGCGAGGGTGGGAGGCTCCCAAGGGTCCAGATCTCCCCCGAGACCCTGCTCCTTGTCCCCAGTACCTCTGTCCTCCCCTCCTCAGAAATCTGATCACCCCACACTGTCCCCTGGGCCACTGCTCTGCCCCCTCCAGGTCTCCTCACCTTTTGCATGTTCTCTGGTATTTGAGAACCAACCCTGGGTCTCCTTGCAAAGGCGTCGTCTCCATTCGTGGCACTGGGAGCAATCTGACCTGCAAGAGAAACAGCCTGAGTCTTTCCAGCTGCAGGACCTTTGGTCCTGTGGAGGGAGAAATCAGTGAAGTCCGGCCACACTCAGTCACCTGGAATCAGGTGTTGCATTTCTCCATCCAGGGCTTATCTGTCCGTGAGTAGGGACATGGAGAGAAGTCAGATGAAAACAGGGAACCAGGGGTCTCTGGGAGAAGTATCGAATGGGGATGATAGGTTCCCTATGGGCAAAGCAGCCTTGAGTCTTTGGGAGGGGGTTGGCTAATGTCGTTAGTAGTTTCCCTGGAGCTAGGCTTACCCTGAAAGACGTACAGACCCTTGTTGGGGAGGCCGAGATGTGACTGTGTAATTTTATTGAGTGGGGGCGTTCTGACACCCCCACTCAATAAATAAAGGAAGGGAAGTGAGTCCCAGAGATAACATGGTCTCTCTGGTGATGGATCTGATCAGGCAGAGGGATGGGGGGTTCTGTTCTGTTGAAGAGAAATGAGCATGGCTAATATAAATGGGTTTAGAGGCTATTACTGGGTGATTTGTAAATTATTAGAACGAAGAGAGCTAGAATTTCTGAGACTACAAGAGCCCGCCATCACTTAGAGAGAATGTGGAGCATTTCAAGATGCAGCAATCAGCCAGGTGTAGTGACTCACGCCTGTAATCCCAGCACTTTGGGAGGCCAAGTGGGGCAGATTGCTTGAGCCCGAGACGAGCATGGGAAACACAGCAAAACCCCCGTGTCTAACAAAAATACAAAAAATTAGCTGGGGATGTAGGCGCAGGCCTGTGACATTGCAGCACTTTGGGAGGACAAGGTGGGCAGATCGCTTGAGCCCAGGAGGTCGAAACTAGCTTGGTCAATATAGCGAAACCGTCTTTATTGAAAGAAAGAAAGAAAGGAAGAAAGAAAGAAAGAAAGACAGACAGAAAGAAAGAGAAAAGAAAAGAAAGAGAGAACGAGAGAGAGAGAAAGAAAAAGAAAGAAAGAAAGAAAGAAAGAAAGAAAGAAAGAAAGAAAGAAAGAAAGAAAGAAAGAAAGAAAGAAACAACAACAAAAAAACATTAGCAGGGGCCGGTGGTCGGCGCCTGTAGTCCTGAGGCCGAAGCGAGAGGATCGCTTGAGCCCAGGAGGAATGATTTGAGTGAGCTTTTTGTTTTGTTTTGTTTTGTTTTGAGACAGGGTCTCACTCTGTGGCCCAGGCTGGGGTGCAGTGGTGTGATCTTGGCTCACTGCAACCTCTGTCTCCTGGGTTCAAGCGATCCGCCACCTGTGGCCTCCAAAAGAGCAGGGATTACAAGCGTGAGCCACCGCGCCTGGCCCAATTTTCTTAGGTTACTACAGAGTTGCTAGTAAAAATCCCGTACCTGAAAAAGTGAGAAACTGACAGGAAGGATTTGAGGTGGCGACCTGCCTCATATACACTACTTATTAAAACTGGATAACAAATGCACTGTGGGGGGGTGGGTGGGGAGGGATAGGAAAAAAATGGAAAGAGAAAATCAGCACATGCGTACTCTGATTTTGGAAGAATCCAAAGAGAATATCAGAGCATGCGTACTCTGAACTTGAAGTAGCCAATCCCAGGGGATGCTTTAGGTGGGAAAATCAAGTCTTCGCCCTGCGCCCGCCCCCGCTCCCCACCCCCACGCCTCCTTTGGGAAAGTTCTGTCCCTGGAGCCTGAACTGATAGACACCACTTCAGCTTCGCTTTTCCCGCCTACTCTTCTGACTTCTGATTGGCCAGATGGAGTTCACTAACTGCCCTGATTAGTCCATCATCCTTGGGCAGTGAAATTGCAGAACATTGTCTCCTCCTCCAGCCACACTTTGTTGCCATTGCGACAAAGTGGGTGGTCCTCGGGCACCGTCAGGAGATTTTGATCTCTCTCAAGACCGTCCCTGGATCTTGGGTTAAAAATCTGTATTCTAGTCTGAACCGTGGGAAGAAAAAAATAGTCGATCTGTGGTTTTTCTACTTGAAGGACACAATGTTTTCTAAACTAGCACATTTGTGGAGCTTTGCTGTACTTAGTCGTGGAGTTCATACTTCACTGGCTTCTACATCTCTTGGAACTAAAAATACCGTCCAAGGCCCTCCAACCTCTGATTACATTTTTGAAAGGGAATCTAAGCATGGTGCGCACAATTACCATCCTTTACCTGTAGCCCTGGAGAGAGGAAAAGGTATTTACTTATGGGATGTGATTGTGGTGTTGGTTAAATCCTCCTTGGCCAATCCTCCCGCCTCGGTCTCTGGACTACAGCCATGCACCACCCAGCCCCCACTAATATTTTTATTTTTGTTTTATTAGTAGAAACAGTTTTGCTGTGTTGACCAGGTTTGTCTCGACCTCCTGTGCTCAGGCGATCCTCCCACCTCGGCCTTGGGAATACAGGCATGCACCGCCCTGCCCAGGCTCTTTTTTTTTTTTTTTTTTTTTTTTTTTTTTTAGTAAAAACCAGGTTTCGCTATGTTGGCCAGGCTGGCCTTAACCTCCTAGGCTCAAGCAATCCTCCCGCCTCGGCCTCGGGACTACAGGCTCACACCAACCCGCCCCCACTAAAATTTTAATTTTTCTAGTAAAGACAGTTTCGCTATGTTGTCTAGGCTGGTCTCGACCTCCTGGGCTCAAGTCATCCTCCTGCCTCAGCCTCGGGACTATAGGCCTGCACCACCCTGCCTTTTGCTATGTTTCCCAGGCTGGTCTCTACCTCCTGGGCTCACTCAATGATTTGAACCCGGGAAGCAGAGGTTGCATTGAGCTGAGATTACACCACTGCACTCCAGCCTGGGCAACAGAGTAAGACTGCCTGGAAAGAAAAAAAGAGAAAGGAAAGAAAGAAGAGAAAAGAGAAAGAAAGAAAGAAACAAAGAAAGAAAGAGAGAGAAGAAGGAAAGAAAGAGAGAGGAGAAGGAAAGAAAGAAAGAAAAGAGAAAGAGAGAGAAAGGAAGGAAGGAAGGAAAGAAAAAGAAAGCAAGTCAGCAAGAAAGAAAGAAAGAAAGAGAGAAAAACCAGCTGAATCTCTGTAAGAACAGTAAGCTTTGCGGAATTTTAACTTAGCCTCATCCCATCTCATGCTCCCAGCCTGGTTCTGTTTATTGCCACTGAAATACAGATAAGATTGGCCAGAACTAGTAGATGGCTGGCTGTTGATCATGAAAATGTCAGACCTGATATAGTCCTCCTTGGAAAGGCCCTTTCTGGGGGCTGATACTCTGTCTGCGATGCTGTGGGATGATGACGTAATGCTGACCATTAAGCCAGGGGAACGTGGGTCCACATACGGTGGCAATCCACTAGGCTGCTGAGTGACCATCGCAGCCCTTGAGGTTTTAGAAGAAGAAAACCTTGCTGAAAATGCAGAAAAAAATGGGTATTCTCTTGAGAAATGAACGCATGAAGCTACCTTCCGATGTTGTGACTACCATAAGAGGAAAAGAATTATTTATTTATTTGTTTGTTTATTTATTTATTTTGAGTCAGAGGTTCATTCTGGTTGCCCAGGCTGGAGTGCAATGGCGCGATCTTGGCTCACTGCAACCTCCATCTCTTCGGTTCAAGCAATTCTCCTGCCTCAGCCTCCTGAGTAGCTGGGTTTACAAGCACGGGCCACTATGCCTGGCTAATTTTTGTATTTTTAGTAGAGATGGGGTTTCACCATTTTGGCCAGGCTGGTCTCGAACCCCTGACCTCAGGTGATCCACCTGCCTAGGCTTCCCAAAGTGCTGGGATTACAGGTGTGAGCCACCAAGCCCAGCGAGGAAAGGAATTATTAAACGCTATTGTTATTAAAGGAACCAAAGATTGTGATGCTTGGAAGGTGTGTGTAAGACTTCAAGATAATGGACTTCTAGTGCCCGCTTCAGCAGCACATATACTAAAACTGGAACGATACAGAGAAGATTAGCATGGCCCCTGCGCAAGGATGACACGAGATAATGAACTTCTGGCCAAGCCAACGCATGGTGACATCATCAGGTTTGCGCCTCCACTGGTGATCAAGGAGGATGAGATTCGAGAGTCCATTGAAATCATTAACAAGACCATCTTGTCTTTCTGAGGGTAGCAGCTGTTTTCAGTGGTCTCTGCTGGAGACAGGTGGTCCTGTAGAAGCTCGACTCTTAATGTGGGCACATTCCACTCCCACGTGTCTTCAAAACCTTTTTGTGGAATGTATGCTTTTTTTCAGTTAATACGTAATAAAACGTTTATGAACGTGCCTTTTGCTTCGTAATGTAAGTAAGAGAATGTAATGGCATCTATATTCAGTGAAAGTGTTTTGATGTGCATTTGTACTTTCTAAGGTGAAACACATCTATATATACAGACAACCTTTAAATCACGTCCTTCAGCATACTTTATATATGTTTTTATAATTTCCTTGCTGGTATAAAGGTTTTGTATTTGAAAAAGTTATCTCTGTGGTATTACATAAAAGGCTTCATTTTGTAAAGTCAAATCACTGTTATCATTGACTTTTAGGAAGGATGAATGGTTAATCATATGTAAAATACCAATATATTTTTTAATTTTTATTTTTTTTTAACTTTATTATTATTATACTTTAAGTTTTAGGGTACATGTGCACAATGTGCAGGTATGTTACATATGTATACATGTGCCATGTTGGTGTGCTGCACCCAGTAACACGTCATTTAGCATTAGGTATAACTCCTAATGCTATCCCTCCCCCCTCCCCCCACCCCACAACAGTCCCTTGTGTGTGATGTTCCCCTTCCTGTGTCCGTAAAATACCAATATTAAGTAAACTTCATATTGGCCAATGCCAGATGTATTCTATGGATGTCATTACTTTGAATTAAGAATTAGTGTTTAAAATTCCTAAACTGTTTTGAGTGCTTGATTATAATTTGTAAAAAAAAAAAAAGTTTATTTTTAATATTTCTTTAAATTTAAAATAAAGCTTATATTTCAGAAAAAAAAGATGCAGAATATGGCCAGGTGCAGTGGTTCATGCCTGTAATCGCAGCACATTGGTAGGCCAAGGTAGGCAGATCACCTGAGGTCAGGAGTTCGAGACAAGCCTGGCCAACATGGTGAAACCCCGTCTCCACTAAAAATACAAAAATTAGCCAGGCGTGGTGGCACGTGCCTGTAGTCCCAGCTACATGGGAGTCTGAGACAGGAGAAAGGCTCAAACCTGGGAGGCAGAGGTTGCAGTGAGCTGAGATCCTGCCACTGCACTCCAGCCTGGGTGACAAAGTGAGACACCATCTTGGAATTAAAAAAAAAAAAAGTACACACCATTTCCATCACCACAATGCTATCCCTTATGCTCTCACTTTTAGTAATACCCAGTCTCTTCCCATCCACCATCCCCAACCCCTGGCAACCACTAATCTGTTTTTCGTTTCTATAATTTTGTCTTTTCTAGAATGCCGTACAAATGAAATCTTATAGTATATAACATTTTAGAGGCTTGTTTCACCCAGCATAATTCCCTAGAGATTCATCCAAGATATTAACATTTGTGTAACAATAGTTCATATTTTTGTTGTTGTTGAGACAGAATCTCACTATGTCGCCCAAGCTGGAGTGCAGTCGTGTGATCTTGGCTCATTGCAAACTCCACCTCCCGGATTCAAGCCATTCAGGTGCCTCAGCCTCTCGATTAGCTGGGACTACAGGTGCATGCCACTACGCCCAGCTAATTTTTGTATTATTGGTAGAGATGGGGATGGGGTTTCACCATATTGGCCATGCTGGTCTCGAACTCCTGACCTCATGATCTACCTGCCTCAACCTCCCAAAGTGCTGGGATTACAGGTGTGAGCCACCACACACAGCCAATATTTCATTTTTATTACTGAGTAGTATTCCAGGGGATGAATGTATCACAGCTTGACCATTCAGTTATTGTAGGACATATTGATTATTTCCAGCTTTTGGCTATTACAAGTAAAGCTGCTATGAACAATTATGTACAAGTTTCTGGATGAGCATAAATTTTAATTTCTCTGAAGTGTAATTGATGAATTGTATGGTCACTGCATGTTTAGTTTTATAAGAAACTACCAAACTGCTTTCCAGAGTGGCTGTAAGATTTTACCTTCCCAGCAGCACTTAATGAGATGTCCATTTTCTCTACATCCTTGTCAACATTTGGTGTTGTCACTATGCCTTTTATTTTAGCTGTTGTAATAAGTGTGTTGTGATACCTCATCATGGTCTTAATTTGTATCTAGTGAAGCAAATTAGTGTTGAACATCTTTTCATGTACTTATTTGCTTATTTCCCCTTCAGTGAAATGTATGTTCATATCTTTTCATAATTTTCTAATTGGATTATTTGTTTGTTTGTTTTTCCCGCTGTTTTGTTTTTGAGACAGAGTCTTGCTCTGTTACCCAGGCTGGAATGCAGTGGCATGATCTTGGCTCACTCCAATCTCCGCTTCCCAGGTTCAAGCGATTCTCGTGTCTCAGCCTCCCGCATAGCTGGGATTACAGGAGCGAGCCACCATGCCTGTCTAATGTTGGTATTTTTAGTAGAGATGGGTTTTGTTGCCCAGGCTGGTCTCGAACTCCTGGCCTCAAGGGATCTACCCTCCATCCACCTCCACCTCCAAAGTGCTGGGATTACAAGTGTGAGCTACCACGCCCGGCCTACCATTGAATTTTGAGAGTAGTATACATATCCATTATATATTCTGGATGTAAGCCCTCTGTTGGAAACATGGTTTGCAAACATTTTCTCCCAGTTTATACCCTGTTTTTTCATCCTTTTAACATGGTTTCTTGCAGAGCAAAAGTTTTAAATTGGATGAAATCTAATTTATATTTTCCTTATGGATTATGTTTTTTGAACCGTTCGCTATGCCCTAGATCTCAGACATTTCTCCTATGTTTTCTTGTGAAAGTTTTTTTTTAGTTTTATATTTTACATTTAAATCTATGATTCACTTGAGGTTTTTTTTTTTTTTTGTATAAAGGTCTTTTTTTTTTTTTTGGCCTATGAATATGCAACTGCTCCAGCACCATTTGTTAAGCAGACGATCCTTCCTTCTTTTTGTCTCTTTGTAAAAAATCAGTGTGGGGCTATTTCTACGTTCTTATATAGGTTCTCTATTTTGTTCCAGTGATCTACGTGTCTATTCTTCTCCTAATACTACAGTCTTGATTCCTGTAGCTATATAAGAAGTATTCAAATATGGTAGAGCCATTCCTCCCACCTTATTCTTCTTTTTCAAAACTTGTCTTAGCTACATATATATTTTTTGAGACGGAGTCTCACTTTAGTGGCCCAAGTTGGAGTGCAGTGGGGTGATCTCGGCTCAGTTCTATCTCTGCTTCCCATGTTCAAGGGATTCTCCTTTCTCAGCCTCCCGAGTAGCTGGGATTACAGGCAGGTGCCACCACACCCGGCTGATTTTTGTATTTTTAGTAGAGACGGGGTTTTGCCGTGTTGGCCAGGCTGGTCTTGAACTCCTGACCTCAAGGGATCCGCCCACCTAGGCCACCCAAAGTGCTGGGATTACAGGCATGAGCCCCCAGGCCCAGCATTGTATTAGCTATTGCCAATTTGTTGCAGCAACAATAAAAAATGAATACACATAGAAACAGATTTATTAGTGAAACAAAATAGAAAATCAAGAAACAGACTAATTTATGTGCAGACTTCAGCATGCATTTCCAAACACTGGGCAAAAGATGGGTTGTATAATAAATGATTGCTTGACAAGTGTCTATCCATTTGAAAAAATAAAGATTAAATCCTTACTTTAAACCACATAAAATAATAAATTCTATAAATTCAGCGACTTAAATGTGAAAACGTGAAGTCATAAAGAACTAGATGAAAATTTAGGAAAATATTACAGTGTAAGACATCTTGAGTTGGCATAGGCACTTCCTGACATTACTCCAAGGCTATGAACAATGAATCTGACATAGTTAAAGACGTAGAAATTAAAGTATCATCTAAGTCAAAAGACACCATAAACAACTGTTTTAAAAGGCAAATTTTGGGAAAAATGGTGAAGGATCCGCAATAAATTAAAAGTAACCATCTCTAATATATAACAAAGCTTTCGCATATCAGTAAAAGAAACTGGAACAACCCAATGAAAAAACGTGTTCAGGCACGGCACTACATCACCTTATAGCGGAGAAGGATTACAAAATAGAAAGTATGAAATGAAAATAATAAAGGAAATGGAGAATAGATCCCAGAAGTTTCAACATTCATCCAATAGAAGTTCCAAAGGTAGAGAACAAAAAGACTGGACTGGGCGCCGTGGCTCACGCCTGTAATCCCAGCACTTTGAGAGGTCGAAGCAGGCAGATCACCTGAGGTGAGGATTAGAGACCAGCCTGGCCAACATGGTGAAACCCCGTCTCTACTAAAAATACAAAAATTGGCCCAGTGCGGTGGTGGGCTCCTGAAATCCCAGCTACTTGGGGGGCTGAGGCAGGAGAATCACTTGAACCCAGGAGGCAGAGATTGCAGTGAGCTGCAGTTGTGCCACTGCACTCCAGCCTGGGTGACAGAGCAAAACTCCGTCTAAAAAAAAAAAAAAAAAAAAAAAAATATATATATATATATATATATATATACACACACACATAAAGACTGGAGAGAAGGCAGTACTTGAAGAAATAATGTTCTAGAATTTTCTCAACTAAACAAAGACATGAATCTTGACCTGAAAAGAGCCACCTAGTTCTCAGCTTGATTAACACACATGTGCACACACACACATGCATGCACCCCCCCTCTGCCCCCCCCCACACCCTAGGAGTAAAATTTCTAGGATAAAGATAAAATCCTGAAAGGTCCCAGAGAGAAAGGGAGAAGAGAAAATGCAATGAAGAAGTTTTTCAAGGAGCTGATTAAAGATAACTTTGGGCCAGGTGCGTTGGCTCACGCCTGTAGTCCCAGCATTTGGGAGGCCGAGAGAGGAGGATTGCCTGAGCTCAGGAGTTTGAGACCAGCCTGGCCAACAAGGCAAAACCCATCTCTACAAAAAATACAACAATTAGCCAGGTGTGGTGCCACGTGCCTGTAGTCCCAGCTACTTGGGAGGCTGAGGCAGGAGAATCGCTTGAGTCCAGGAGGTGGAGATTGCTGTGAGCCGAGATGGTGCCAGTGCATTCCAGCCTGGGTGACAGAGTCAGACACTGTCTCAAAAAAAACAAAACGAGAACAAAAACAAGCAAACAAAAATGCTGAACCTAGATATCTATATACAGCCAGGATAATCCAGAATAAGGGAAAAAATATTTCAGAAAACTCACCACACATATACCCTCCAGAAAAAATTATTGGTATACAGTTCTATGAGAAGGGAAAACTAAATTTAGGAGGAAGGAGGTGATTTCAGTAAGCAATGGTGAGGAGAAAAATAGTAAAATGTATTGAAAAGTGTAAACTTTAGATTGTAAATTTAAAAAATTACAGTCTTGAACCAAAATTCCCGGTACTATAAACTTGGAAGATGGGAGGAGGGACAGGAAAGAAAAGAGAAGTTCTTTTGGTGTTCAAGGAAGGGATACAGATGCTAATGAATGATAGAATGTGGTGGTGCATGCCTATAACCCGAGCTACTCAGGAGGCTGGGGCAGGAGAATCACTCGAACCTAGGAGGCGGAGGTTGCACTGAGGTGAGATCACACCATTGCACTCCAGCCTGGGAAACAAGAGTGAAACTCTGTCTTAAAAAAGAAAATAAATGAAAAGAAAAAAAGGACAGGCACTGTGGCTCACGCCTGTAATCCCAGCACTTTGTGAGGCTGAGGCAGGCGGATCACCTGAGGTCAGGAATTTGAGACCAGCCTGGCCAACAAGGTGAAACCACGTCTATACTAAAAATACAAAAATTAGCCTGGCATAGTGTCGCATGCCTGTGGTTCCAGCTACCCAAGAGGCTGAGGCAGGAGAATTGCTTGGACTCGGGAGGCAGAGGTTCAGTGAGCCAACATCGCGCCACTGCACTCCAGCCTGGGCGACAGAGCAAGACTCCGTCTCAAATGAATAAATGAATAAATAAATAAATAAAAAGAAAAACCTATTGGATAGATTGGATATGAAAACATTAACTACTCAAATAAATAATTCAGCGGAATAGATTGGATGTTAAAACTGATATAGTTGAAAAAGCAATTACTGAGCTGAGGAAATGCGTCTAAAGAATTCATGAAAGTAATCGGTAATGGATAGAGAAGAAGTAAATGAAAGAAAAGTTAATTAATAGGGAGGATAGAAGAATAAATGTCAAAACACATCTAATAGTAGCCTTATAAGAAGAGAATATAGTCACTAAAAAGGAGAGTGTACTTAAATAAGTAATGAATGAGAATTTCTCAGATTTAGAAAAATGATTTAAGATTTAAAAGTATTATAGTACACACACAGGAACAGTGAAATGTAAAATTGTGAAAGACAAGGAAAAAATATTTTAAAAACTATCAGAGAGAAATAACAGGTTACTTACAGAGGAAAAATAATTAAACTGACATCGGGTCTCTCAAACACCACACTGGAGGCAAGGAAACAATGGTGTAATAACGCCAAAGTGTTGAAAGAAGGATTTTTTTTTTTTTGAGACAGAGTCTCACTTTGTTACTCAGGCTGGAGTGCAGTGGCATGATCTCAGCTCACTGCAACCTCTGCCTCCTGGGTTCAAGCAAATCTCCTCCTCAGCCTCCTGGGTAGCTGGGGCTACAGGTGCACACCACCACACCCGGCTAATTTTTGTACTTTTAGTAGAGATGTAGTTTCCCCATGTTGGCCAGGCTGGGCTTGAACTCCTGACCTCAGGTTATCTGCCCACCTTGGCCTCCCAAAGTGCTGGAATAACAGGTGTAAGCCACTGCACCCGATGAAAGAAAGGAATTTTTATATCGGGTGGAGTAAGGAAATGTGAGGCATATAACACTTCAGGAGACTGAAGACACAGGGAAATGTTAAAGCAAACAAGTATTTATTGCACTTATTAAAGACTGTAAGGAAGGGCCAGCTGCAGTGGCTCATGCCTGTAATCCCAGGACTTTGGGAGCCTGAGGCAAGAGGATTGGTTGAGCCCAGGAGTTCAAGACCAGTCTGGGCAACATGGGGAAACCCTGTCTCTACAAAAAGTAGAAAAATCTGCCGGGCACATCAAGTTCCTGGGTCTGTAGAGAATTAAAAAAAAAGATAGCTGCATTTAGTGGTGCATACCTGTAGTCCCAGCTACTCAGAAGGCTGGGTCAGGAAGATTGCTTGGGCCCTGGAGTTTGAGGCTGCAGTGAGCTAGGATTGGGTCACTGCACTCCAGCCTGAGTGACAGAGTGAGACTTTGTCTCTGAAAATTAAAAAAAAGATCGTAAGGATGACTTTACTCAGAGGCAGGACTACTGTGATAGGTACAGGGACCACCGCAATGGGGTCTTGCGGTGGGAGAGTGATATTGGGATCGACTTCAACTCCACCAAGGACAAGTGGGGATTTGTAGTCAAGGAGTAGGGTCGGGGGGTCAGAAGATGGGAAATTACTTGGAGGAAACCTCAGGTGCAGGGGGATTCTGGCTAAACAGACTTGATAGGACTTTTGCTGAAACAGGCTAAATGGGCAGAGTCCCTGGATGAAGGACAGAGCCCGAGGTTGGGACCTAGTCAGAAACAGGACTCAGAGGAGCCCGACTCAAGTCTGGTCAAAGGACAGTGACTCTGTCTGAAAGCATAAGCAAGAAAGTCAACAGCAGTAAAATGAATGGGTCACAAAGGAGAATTTTTGTGCATTGCTAAGCAGGACTCTGCTTTAACCATTGTGAAAGCTGATTATGTGAAGTGAGTCATTCTTAATTGTTTTTAAGTTCTTATTTGTGGAGGAAGCCTTCAGGTACTATGCTCCAGAGAGAATAGGTTGTAACATGTAACCTGTTTTTTTTTTTGTTTTTTGGTTTTTTGGTTTTTTTTTTGAGATGGAGTCTCACTATGTTGCCAGGCTACAGTGAAGTGGCTCCTTCTCTGCTCATTGCAACCTCCGGCTCCCGGGTTCAAGTGATTCTCCTGACTGAGCCTCCCGAGTAGCTGAGACTACAGGTGCATGCCACCATGCCCAGCTAATTTTTTTGTATTTTTAGTAGAGATGGGGTTTCACTGTGTTAGCCAGGATGGTGTGGATCTCCTGACCTCGTGATCCGCCCTCCTCAGCCCCCTAAAGTGCTGGGATTACAGTCGTGAGCCACCGCGCCCGGACAACATGTTTCTTATCAGACTTCAAGTCTGTGTTGATGTTGATGCCAGAGACGTATAATGAGGCATGCCTGACCCCCACTTCCTGTCATGGCCTGAAACCGTCTCTCAGGTTAAATTTTAAAAGATCCCTGGCTTAGGAGGGAGTCTATTCAGATGGTTGGGGGCAGGGGGCTTAGGATTTTATTTTTGATTTACAAGTCCTATAAGATAAAAGTGCATAAATTTTAAGGAACAAGTCTTGTGCCTGATGTATGGACCAAACGAAAAGTTCACCAAACTGTCCAATGCCATAACCAGAGACATTCGAACAACAAATCAGGATGAGAAATTGATGTTTCCACACTGTAGACAGCTTTCCCAAGATGTCAGAATTACTCTTCATATCATAATAAGACTCTTATCCCCTTAATGTCTACATTTTTCACTTGACAGAACCTGACCCCCAAATCCTTTCCTTCACCTAGTGGTCCCTTTTATAGAGTCGGCACTCTACTTTAATTCAACCCAGTCCTAAAATGCTACTCAAAGACTGCAAGAGGTCTCATTCAATTGCCCCATAGTCTTGTGATTTGTTTAGCTGGTGGCCCCTAGGCTTGGGATCTTGGTTCAAAACCATTGTACAAACTAAATTTATTATATTATTGCTAATTATAGCTGGGTGCAGTGGCTTATGCCTGTAATCCCAGCACTTTGGGATGCCAAGGCAGGCAGATCACTTGAGGTCAGGAGTTGGACACCAGCCTGGCCAACATGGTGAAACTCCATCTCTACTAAAAAGACAAAAATTAGCCGGGTGTGGTGGTGGGCACCTGTAATCCCAGCTACTCGAGAGGCTGAGCCACAAGAATCACTTGAACCTGAGAGGTGGAGGTTGCAGTGAGCAACCTTGCTTACTACAGTGGCTGGATCGCACCACTGCACTCCAGCCTGGGCAACAGAGTGAGACTCCATCTCAGAAAACAAAAACAAAAACAAAAACAAAAACCTAATAAATGCAGTTAGGAAACTATCTTAAAACACAAAATCCCTGTTTTTTCAGACAGGTTATTTAAAAGATAAAGAAAAACAGATCAACATGTTAAGAAAACCTATTTCAAACCTAGAGGAGTAGACTCGCCCTGCTTCAGTGCACACTTGACACTAATGTTGGATTTTTAGAAAAACTGATAAAAAATTTCTTTTTAATCCCACCAATCTGATCATATATAAGACTCCCTTCCCAAGGCTCATCCTTCAGAAAACCTCAACAACTTGCCTAGAAAGTCCATCATTTTTTTACCTCCCATCTTAGTCCTATATTTTTCATTTTTATATTGGACTCCAATCCAAGCACTAGTAAAATGTTAGAGGAAAGGGATAAACTGAGGAAAGGACTGTTAAGCAAAAAAGGTCCAGGGAAATTCTCAGCCTATCAAGATTGCAAAAGACACTAAAATTAGGAGAGGCACTGTCAGGAAGGTATGCTCTAGAGACAATGTCAAGAATGTGTCTATGTTTGCTAGTGCTGAAGAGATCAGGCACGTGACTCAAGGAGCTCTTCCACTATGCTCAGCCATAGCTGCTAATAGAAATGATATTATCTGGGAAAGATACAAAAGGACCTGCTGATCTAAGGGTGTGAATCACTATGACATACATTCTGAGAGGAGGGCTATGGGACCAGAGGGGAGAGCTTCAAGCTACAGAGGATTATTCTGAACCCTTGAAACCAAATGGAATTTGTCCTGCTAGATTTCAAAATGGTTGGGAGCAGTGACTCCTTCCTTTCTTCCAGTTTCTCCCATTTGAAATGGAAATATCCGTAACTATTTTCCTACACCTGTCTCGCCACAGTATTTTTGGAACAGATAGCTTGCTTTCTAGTGTCACAAATTCATGGCAGGAGAATTTTGCCCCAGGATGTTTCACAACCAGAGTCTCATCCATATCTGTTTTAGATGAGGAGACTTGGTACTTTTGAGCTGATCTTATATGGATAAGATGTTGGACTTCAGCTAACGTTGCACGGTTTGAGACATTTGAGGATTTGGGGATGGGGCGCATGTATTTTGCATGTGGGAGAGATGTGAATACTTGGGGGCCAGAGGGCAGGCTGTGGTAGACTGAACAACGCCCCTCCAAAAGATAGCGACATATAACCCCTGGAACCTGTGAGTGTTAACTTACAACAAAAAATGTGATTATGTTGGCCAGGTATGGTGGCTCACGCCTATAATCCCAGCACTTTGGGAGGCCGAGGTGGGTGGGTCACTAGGTCAGGAGTTCAAGACCAGCCTGGCCAATATGGTGAAACCCCCGTCTCTACTAAAAATACAAAAATTAGCTGGGCATGGTGGTGGACACCTGTAATCCCAGCTACTCAGGAGGCTGAGGCAGAGAATTGCTTGAACCTGGTAGGCAGAGGTTGCAGTGAGCCGAGATCATGCCACTGCACTGCAGCCTGCGTGACAGAGTGAGACTCCATCTCAAAAAAAAAAATAAAAAGTAATTATGTTAAAGATCCTGAGAAGGGGATATTCTCCTGGATTATCTGGGTGGGCCCTAAATGTAATAATGAGTGTCCTTATCAGATTGAGGCAGGGAGATCTGACACAGACAGAAGAGAAGAAGGCAGTATGACTGCCATGGTTTGAATGTCCTCACCAAAACACGTGTTGAAATTTAATTGCCATTGTAACAATATTGAGAGGTGGGGCTGTTAGGAAGTGATTAATGCCATTATCATAAGAAAGAAACTTTGGCTGCTAGTGCCGACGGCTTTGGGAACGGTACTGCGCATGAGCAAGTATAGTGACTGGCAGTACCTAATGCAGGATAAAGGTCGGAAAAAGGTGGCTGTCAGAGGAAGTTGTGACTGATTTTGGAAACACAAGGGGACCTTGCCTGAATAAGCATTCGGATCTTAACATCAGAGCAGGGTATGAGGCAGGGCAGAGAGTTTACATCGAACGGAAGTGAGAGGGCTGGTGGTCTGCGGACAGAGTCGTCATTTAACCTCTTTGTGCCTTAGTTTCTCTAACTGTAAAATAGGGATGATGATGTTAATGATAATAATAATAATACCTGCCTTGTATGGTTGTTGTGTAGATCAATTGAGTCAATATAAGTGTTTACAACAATGCCTGGCACACACGTAAGTCTTATATATGAGTTTAATATTATTATTATATTATTATTAATACCATAAAATGGATACATATAAACACATAAAAAGGAATAGGGAAGTAGAGCAAAACCAAGGCCAGGTTGAAATGTCTATATGTAGATCATAGGATTCTACATAATTATGTTGAGCTACAGTTATTTTTCTGAGCTTCCTAGAAGCCACAACATAGAGGGGGAAAAAAGCTCATTTGCTTTATTTATCTCACCCATACAGAGAAAGTAAGCCACTTCCTCAGAAGCAAAGATTTCTTTGATAAGACAGTTCTCTGATGCGTCAGCCAAGTCCCTTATCAGCAATCTTGTGATAAATACAGAGATAGGATTGCTCTGCTGTGACTTAAAATATGTCTGCATGTCAACCAAAGGTGTCCTGCTAAAGCAGAACTAAAAATATGTGACTCTTCAGGAAATCAAAGCCATGTCTGCACAAATAGCTCTTATGTTCTGGCTCAATATATGGACCTTGATCATCAGGAAGAATCAGTAAACCTCATGCCCTTCAAATTCTTTTCTGATCTATATGTAGTTTTTCCACATCTGGGGTTTCAGAACAGCCTGAGCAACCCAAAGGTCTGCCCTTTTCCTTTTTAGGCTCAGAATTCATGATGTCCCTAAGCGTGTTCAGTACTTTCCCTTCTGCCCTTTTTAAGAAAGTCTATATTATTTTGTCATTTTTTTCTCTTCCTACAGAAGTGATTTAGAAGTAGCACACCAAAAATCCAAACTCTTGAGGAATATACAATCTGAAAGGGGAAATTCACTTATAATCTCATATCACCACTCATTCCAAATAACCAATTTCTGATGAATTTGGTTAATTTCCACCTATACACCTCTCTCTCCCCCTTGTTCTTTCTCTTTATATTTACATACACATATAAATATATACGTATGTAAATGTCTTCGTTTTGCTAAAATCTGCTCATTATGTAAAACTGTTTTGCCATTCCATTTGCCCTTTCCAGAATAGTATTAATAATGGTCATAGTGGTAATGATAATGATAATACAAATGATAACGATAACAAAAGTGACACAACAAGAGCCGACATGTAGTGAGCTCACACTGCACCTGACACCATACTAAGCATTATATATGCATGATCACTTTTAATTCTCACAATGACCTTAGGAAGTAGGTACCATTTTTATCTACCTCTTACAGCTAAGGAAGCTGAGTACCAGAGTGGATAAGCAGATTGCATGGGCTTGCACAGCTGCTCACTGGCATAGCTGGAATAGCCCCTACTTAATGAACACTTGTTGATGGAAGGTATTTCAGTATCAGGACATAGAGATATTTTTAAGAGATGCTTTTTTTTCTTGTATGCATGTACTACGATTTATTAATCAGCCCCATATTGAAGGACTTCTGTGTAATTTCTGCTACAGTGTGGCAGTGATCTCTCTTGTCGTCTTTTTCTTTAACTTTTATTTTAGGTTCAGGGGTACATGTGCAAGTTGGTTATATAGGTAAACTCATGTCACGGGGGTTTGTTGCACAGATTATTTCATCACCAAGGTACTAAACCCAATGGTTATTTTTTTTTTCATCGTCTCCCTCCTCCCACCCTCCACCTTCAAGTAGGCCCCAGTGTCTGTTGTTCCTCTCTTTGTGTCCATTAGTTCTCATCATTTAGCTCCCACTTATAAGTGAGAACATGCAGTATTTAGTTTTCTGTTCCTGTGTTAGTGTGTTAAGGATAATGGCCTCCAGCTCTATTCATGTTGCTGGCCTCCAGCTCTATTCATGTTGCTGCAAAGGACATGATCTTGTTCTTTTTAAAATTGTTATTATTATTTTTTTGTAGAGACGAGGTCTACAGATGAGGTCTTGTTATGTTGTCCAGGCTGGTCTTGAACTCCTGGGCTCACATGATCCTCCCACCTTGGCCTCTCAAAGTGCTGGGATTACAGGCATGAGCCACTGCACCTGGCCTGATCTCATTCTTTTTGATGGCTGCATAGTATTCCATGGTGTATATGTACCACATTTTCTTTGTCCAGACTACCATTGATGGGCATTTAGGCTGATTCCATGTCTTTGCTATTGTGAATAGTGCTGCAGTGAACATATGCATGCATGCGTCTTTGTGGTAGAACAATTTATATTCCTTTGGCTGTATACCCAGTGATGAGATTGCTGGGTTGAATGGTAATTCTCTCTTTAGCTCTTTGAGGAATTGCCACGCTGCTTTTCACAATGGTTGAGTTAATTTACATTCCCACCAACAGTGTATAAGCATTCCCTTTTCTCTACAACCTCAGCAGTACCTGGTTTTTTTTTTTATCTTGTCATCTATCTTTGTACACAGTGGTGAGCATTTCTAGAGTGTCTGGTTCAAAAGGTGGGCACGTTTTGAACTTTCATAGACATTGCCAAATTGCCTTTTGAAAAGTTAGTACAAGTTGACACCCCCCACTAATAATGAATGAAAATACCCTTTCTAATCTTCTTGTCATGGTTTTAATCCTTGCCATTTTTTTTTTAATTTTTTTAGTATTTATTGATCATTCTTGGGTGTTTCTCGGAGAGGGGGATTTGGCAGGGTCATAGGACAATAGTGGAGGGAAGGTCAGCAGATAAACATGTGAACAAAGGTCTCTGGTTTTCCTAGGCAGAGGGCCCTGCCACCTTCCGCAGTGTTTGTGTCCCTGGGTACTTGAGATTGGGGAGTGGTGATGACTCTTAACGAGTATGCTGCCTTCAAGCATCTGTTTAACAAAGCACATCTTGCACCGCCCTTAATCCATTTAACCGTTTCTGGACATAGCACATGTTTCAGAGAGCACGGGGCTGGGGGTAAGGTTATAGATTAACAGCATCCCAAGGCAGAAGAATTTTTCTTAGTACAGAACAAAATGGAGTCTCCTATGTCTACTTCTTTCTACACAGACACAGTAACAATCTGATCTCTCTTTCTTTTCCCCACATTTCCCCCTTTTCTATTCGACAAAACCGCCATCGTCATCATGGCCCGTTCTCAATGAGCTCTTGGGTACACCTCCCAGACGGGGTGGCGGCTGGGCAGAGGGGCTCCTCACTTCCCAGATGGGGTGGCCGGGCAGAGGCGCCCCCCACCTCCCAGACGGGGCGGCGGCCTGGTGGGGGCTGCCCCCCACCTCCCTGATGGGGCTGCTGGCCGGGCGGGGGCTGCCCCCCACTTCCCGGATGGGGCGGCTGGCCGGGCGGGGGCTGCCCCCCACCTCCCAGACAGGGCGGCTGGCCGGGCGGGGGCTGACCCCCCCACCTCCCTCCCGGATGGGGCGGCTGCCAGGCGGAGATGCTCCTCACTTCCCAGACGGGGCGGCTGCCGGGCGGAGGGGCTCCTCACTTCTCATACGGGGTCGAGGCGGGGCAGAGGCGCTCTTCACATCTCAGACGGGGCGGTGGGGCAGAGGCGCTCCCCACATCCCAGACGATGGGCGGCCGGGCAGAGACGCTCCTCACTTCCTAGACGGGATGACGGCCGGGAAGAGGCGCTCCTCACTTCCCAGACTGGGCGGCCAGGCAGAGGGGCTCCTCACATCCCAGACGATGGGCGGCCAGGCAGAGACCCTCCTCACTTCCTAGACGGGGTGGCAGCCAGGCAGAGGCTGGAATCTCGGCACTTTGGGGGGCCAAGGCAGGCAGCTGGGAGGTGGAGTTTGTAGCAAGCTGAGATCACGCCACTGCACTCCAGCCTGGGCAACATTGAGCACTGAGTGAGCGAGACTCCGTCTGCAATCCCGGCACCTCGGGAGGCCGAGGCTGGCAGATCACTCGCGGTTAGGAGCTGGAGACCAGCCCGGCCAACACGGCGAAACCCCGTCTCCACCAAAAAATACGAAAACCAGTCAGGCGTGGCGGCGCGCGCCTGCAATCCCAGGCACTCGGCAGGCTGAGGCAGGAGAATCAGGCAGGGAGGTTGCAGTGAGCCGAGATGGCGGCAGTACAGTCCAGCCTCGGCTCTGCACCAGAGGGAGACCGTGCAAAGGGGAGAGGGAGAGGGAGAGGGAGGGGGAGGGGGAGATGGAGAGGGAGAGGGAGAGGGATGAGGGAGAGGGATGAGGGAGAGGGAGATGGAGAGGGAGAGGGAGAGCTAATCCTTGCCATTTGATAGTTGAAAATATCTCATTTCTTTTGTGTTTGTCAATGAAATTGAGTATCTTTTCATACGTTTTTCTTTTTATATTTCTTTTGTGAATCATTCTTTCCCAAATGCTACTCTTTTTCCTGTGGGATTTTTAAATCTTTCTCTTACTTTTTTTTTTTTTTTTTTTTTTTTTGAGACGGAGTTTAGCTCTTGTTGCCCAGGCTGGAGTGCAATGGCACGATCTCAGCTCACTACAACCTCCCCCTCCCAGGTTCAAGTGATTCTCCTGCCTCAGCCTACGAAGTAGCTGGGGTTACAGGCATGCTCCACCACACCCAGCTAATATTTTCTGGATTTTTAATAGAGATGGGGTTTCACCACGTTGGCCAGGCTGGTCTCGAACTTCTGACCTCAGGTGATCCACCTGCCTTGGCCTCCCAAAGTGCTGAGATTATAAACGTGAGCCTCACGCCTGGCCTTTTTCCTTTTTCCTTTTTTTTTTTTTTTTGAGACAGAGTCTCGCTCTGTTACCCAGGCTGGAGTGCAGTGGCGCAATCTTGGCTCACTGCAACCTTTGCCTCCGGGTTCAAGCCATTCTCCTGCCTCAGACTACTGAGTAGCTGGGATTATAGGTACGTGCCATCATGCCCTGCTAATTTTTGTATTTTTAGTAGAGACGGGGTTTCACCATGTTGGCCAGGCTGGTTTCGAACTCCTGGCCTCATGTGATCCACCTGCCTCAGCCTCCCAAAGTGCTGGGATTACAGGCATGAGCCACTGTGCCCGGCCCTCTTACTGTTTTTTAAAACCTTGTATGGAAAACTAACTTAGTTAAAAATGTTTTGGGTCAGACCTTTTATTGAAGCAGAACATACAGAGAAAAGTGTATAAAGTATATGGTTTAATGAACTTCTGCCAAGTGAAAACACCTTTGTAACCCATACCTGTATCAAAAAGCAGGAAATGACAAGCCACCCAGAAGCCTTCATCATGCCACTTCCAATCACTATCTCTTGATTCACAGCTAACGACTTTCTGATTTCTATCACCATAGATTATTTTTGCCAGTTCTTGAATGTCATATAAATGGAATTATACATTATTATTCTTTTGGGTCTGGCTTCTTTTACTTACCATAATGTTTTTGAGATCCATCCTTGTTACCTTATGTGTCAGTAGTTTGTTCTTTTTCCATACTATTCACTATTCCTTTTGTATAAATATAACACAGTTGTTAATCCATTCCCCTGCTGGTGGATATTCCATTTTAGCTATTACAAATAATGCTTCTGTGAGTATTCTTGTGCATGTGTTGGTGAACATATGTGTGCATTTCCATTGGATATATACCTAAGAGTGGAGTTGCTGGATCCTAGGTTAGGTGTATCATCTACCTCTTGCAGATGAGATAAGTTAGATAAACTAACTTAGATGTTAATTTAGATGTTCAGCTTTAGTAGATTCTACCAATCTGTTAAGTGCCTACACCATTTTACTTCCACCAACAATGTATGAGAGCTTCAGTTGCTCTACATCCGGCCAACACTTGGAAGGAAATTGGAAGGGTAGCAGATCCAGGATTTAGGGGGAGAAAGACTCAAATAGAATGCAAATAGCTGGGCCTGGTGGGGTGGCTCACGCCTGTAATCCCAGTACTTTGGGAGGCCGAGGCGGGTGGATCACCAGGTCAGGAGTTTGAGACCAGCCTGACCAACATGGTGAAACTCTGACTCTACTAAAAATACAAAAATTAGCCGGGCGTGGTGTCGGGCGCCTGTAATCCCAGCTACTTCGGAGGCTGAGGCAGGAGAATCTCTTGAAACTGGAAGGCGGAGGTTGCAGTGAGCCGAGATCGTGCCACTGCACTCCAACCTGCGTGATGGGAGCAAAACTCCATCTCAAAAAAAAAAAAAAAAAAAAAGAATTCAAAGAGCCTTTCAGGAAAGCTGAAGGTTGTTGGTCTTAATTTCAGTTTTCTGTTGGCATATAGTGGTATCTCACTGTGGTTTAAGTTTGCCTTTCTCTGATGACTAATGATGGTGAGCACCTTTTCATACATTTATTGGCCATTTGGATATCCTCTTTTGTGAATTACCTGTTCAAATCTTTTTTTCTGTTTTTTTCTACTGGATTATCTATCTATATTTATCTTATTGTTTGTAGGAGTTCTTTATAGTTTCTGTAGTATAAAAGTCCTTTGCTATATATAGGTATTGCGAATATCTCAGAAAAGCCCTTTTTGAAATGGTTAAAGAGTAGCTTCTCTCTGAAGAATATTTTCTTTATTTTAAAAAGTATTATCATTTTAATTTTTATCCAACCAATTGAATAGAAGCATTCCGTTACAGGGATCGTGTCATTTGACGATGTGTCTTGCGGATTTCACCCAGGAGTGGTGGAATTGACTGGATCCTCCTCAGAGGACCGTGTGATGCTAGAGAAATATAGAGAGATATAAAGATGTGATACTACAGAACTACAGCCATCTGGTCTCTGTGGGTGAGGATGGCTTCTCTGAGTAATTCATGGTATATCCAGTAGAATAACTTTCCATCTCTGAAGTGCTTCAATATTTTGACCTCAGGTTCTAGGGATTAAAGATGCTTAATCCCTCCTAGACTGAACAAGGTGTTTCTATTTTCATCTCCTATGTGAAATTTAGCCTCATGAATATGTGCCTTCCTAACTTTTTGAGGTCCCAAAGCCCACACAGACGTGCCCAAGTCTTGTATCATTTTCCGTTACAGGGTATCCCGTGACCAAACCAGATGTGATTGCCTCTTTGGAGGAAGGAGGACTTTGGATCACAGAGAGAGAAGTCCCAAGTTTGAGTTGTACAGCTAAGAAAGAAATGAGCAGGCCAGGCACAGTGGCTCACGCCTGTAATCCCAGCACTTCGGAAAGCCAAGGCGTGTGAATCATTTGAGGTCAGGAGTTTGAGACCAGCTAGGCCAACATGGTGAAACCCCTTCTCTACTAAAAATGCAAACATTAGCTGGGTATGGTGGCCATGCCTGTAGTCCCAGCTTCTTGGGAGGGTGAGGCACAAGAATCGCTTGAACCCGGGAGGCGGAGGTTGCAGTGAGCCGAGATCACACCTCTGCACTCCAGCCTAGGTGACAGAGTGAGACCTTGTCAGAAAGAAAGAAAGGAAGGAAGAAAGAAAGAAAAGAAAGAAAGAAAGAAAGAAAGAAAGAAAGAAAGCAAGCAAGCAAGCAGATGGGAAGTGATGAGAAGGATACTGCAGTGGGTCAGTGAGGGCTGGACATCTTTGAAAGCTCAGAAATATCTTCTTTTTTTTTTTTTTTTGAGACAGAGCCTCACTCTGTCGCCCCAGGCTGGAGTGCAGTGGCGGGATCTCAGCTCACTGTAAGCTCCGCCTCCCGGGTTCATGCCGTTCTCCTGCCTCAGCCTCCCGAGTAGCTGGGACTACAGGTGCCCGCCACCACGCCCGGCTAGTTTTTTGTATTTTTAGTAGAGACGGGGTTTCAGCATGTTAGCCAGGATGGTCTCGATCTCCTGACCTCATGATCCGCCCACCTCGGCCTCCCAAAGTGCTTGGATTAGAGGCATGAGCCACCGTGCCCAGCCTCTCCCCACTTTTAAAGTATTTTTCTTAAACAATCAAATTCACTTATATTTATCATCACTTTCCCATTCCAATTTCTATTAGAGCAACTTGGGTTTGTTTGTTTGTTTGTTTGTTTTCTCAAGCTCAGGGTGTAGGAAAGAAATGTACTTGGAATTTCTTTCTGACTGGTATATAGGCTTGAAAGAAAAGTCAGTCCCACCAGAGACCTACTTCTGACAAAGCTGTATTCACAGGCTAGAGTGTGGATTATTATTATTCTTTCTAGAAGCCTGGCAAGCTGATGACCAGCTAAAGAGGCACCTTTTGTGGCCTTGAAGGTATGAGGGCTGTCAGTTGGAAGCCAAACCTCACCATAAATCTAGATGCAGGTATTAAAGGAAACCCAATTTAATTAATTAAATAAGCATAGTCCTTGGAAATGATACTCAGGAAAAATGTCTCCAGATTTAATACCAAACTCTCATAGAAAAATTAATAAAATCTACTATTATTAAAAATCGCTGTTTTGTCATAATGGAGAATAAGTGCCATACAAGAACAAAAGGGTTTATCAAATTATAGGAAGTTACAGATTTAAAGATAGCCATTAAAAAACAACAATTAAAAATATACTTTAGGCCGGGTGTGGTGGCTCACGCCTGTAATCCCAGCACTTTGGGAGACTGAGGCGGGTGGATCACCTGAGGTCAGGAGTTCAAGACCAGCCTGCCCAACATGGTGAAACCCCGTCTTTACTAAAAATACAAAAATTACCCAGGCGTGGTAGTGGGCGCCTGTAATCCCAGCTACTCGGGAAGCTGAGGCAGGAGAATCGCTTAAACCCGGGAGGCAGAGGTTACAGTGAGCCACCGCACTCCAGCCTGGGTAACAGAGCGAGACTCCATTTCAAAAAAAAAAAAAAAGAAAGAAAAAGAAAAGAAAAAAGAAAGGAAAGAAGGAAAGAAAATAAGAAAAAACAAGAAATCAGTACCCAAAGTGTTGGCACTCTTTATGGACCCACAGGGAGATGTGAGATTTGATTACCTAGGCTGGTTGGGGTGCAAGGCGGGGGAAATCCAGTTGGCATTAAGGAAGGGGGCTCCGGCATTCCTTGGCATGCAGTGGCAGCTAGCTGTTTTCATGCTCATCTGTGATTATCCTGGTTGAAGTGAACACTTCAAGGTCTCAGGTGCTTGAGTATCCACCCCAATCAAAGAGTACAAAGAACATGAGGGACTGCTTCCTTATGGGAGTGGCTGCTTCCAAAGGTGCTGGCCATTGCAAAGAATGGCAAATTGAAATTCCTAAATTCTCTGCTCAAGACACAAAGTGACACTCAGGCACTCTGTAAGAAGAAATTATTACCACGTGTGTCCATTGAATGTTTTGCCTACATTCCCGCTCTGTCATTTTAAACTTCAGACTTTGATCATGAAAGAGGGGCTGGGGGCTGGAAGAATGGTGTTATGTGGGAGGATGTGGGGAAACGTACCTTTAACTCCTGATTCCCACTGAGCTTCCTGTGTAAGCACAATCCTATTAGATTCATTCTCCCCTGAAGAGACTGTATCTGCCTTAAATAAAGACCCTTTTTTTTTTTGAGACGGAGTCTCGCTCTGTTACCCTGGCTGGAGTGCAGTGGTGCGATCTCGGCTCACTGCAACCTCCGCCTCCTGGGTTCAAGCGATTCTTCTGCCTCAGCCTCCTGAGTAGCTGGGACTACAGGTGCATGTCACCACACCCGGCTAAATTTTTTTTTGTATTTTTAGTAGAGATGGGGTTTCACCATATTGGCCAGGCTGGTCTCGAACTCCTGACCTCATGATCCACCTGGCTTGGCCTCCCAAAGTGCTGGGATTACAGGCATGAGCCACTGCACCCCACCGAGAGTGATTCTTTTTAAGGGAAGCCAATTTTCATCTCTCCCATCCCACTCCTCTATCTCCAAACCTACAACTGTCTTATGTACCAAGCACTTTATGCGTTTTACAAATATTAATTCATTTAATCCTCCCAATAACCCCATCAAGTAGTTACTATTATCATCCTTATTTAACAGATGAGGAAACTGAGGCTCAGAGAATTTAAGTATCTCTTCCAAGGCAACACAGCTAGTAGGTGGTAGAGATGGCTTCTGAACCCAGGAGAACAACATGCTCTTGATTCACAACACTATCCTCCCTTCCTTCCCCACTCTGAGTGATCTGGTATTTCTTAATTAGAGCTTTGAATACATGGAGGAAGTGACGGAATGAGGGTACCTCCAGGCATTGAATAAATGAAGAGAGTCAGACATCAGAGCATCTTTTGCATTGTTTATAGATACCATCCTTTATTAAATGCACAAGAGAAAGAAATGAAAGGAAGATAAAATCTGTCTCTTCGAATCTGAGTCATGGATGAATTTTTGGATCAATTTTCACATGCATATCACACCCCTTGAGCCATTCAGATAAATCATGGCCAGAACAGTGTAGCCTCCAAGAAGTCCTGGGAAATGAAGGAAAGGAGAGAGGATGAAGTGGACAGGTTGATGGGGTGGCAGTGACACTATCCCTGGCTGCCCATGGCCTGGGCCATCCCCATGAACTTACCAGGCAGAAAGCCCATTCTGTGAGGACACAATCTGCTTGGCACACCTGATGTCATCCAGAATATGGCGATTGAGCAGGTCTGAGGGGGAAGAGAGGGACATGGTGGTCTGGTGCACTGGGGATAGGATAACAGTGAATGGAGGGCCCAAGGGTTTTGGGTTCCTTGGGGCCTGAAGAACCTCAACCACTATGTTGACTGATTCTTGATGACCTTGATTCTCTTGTCAGTTGGTTATGAATGATCTTAATCACCATGTTAGCTGGTTCTGTACAACCTTAACTCATGTTGACTGATCCTGGATGATCTAGATTGTCATGTTGGCTAGTTATGAATAACCCCAACCTCCATACTGTCTGGTCCTGGACAACCTCAACCTCCATTTGGGCTGGCCCCAAATAACCTCAGTCTCCATTTTTTCCTGTCTTGGACAACCTCAACCACCATTTTGGCCAACACTGAACAACTTTAACGGCTATTCTATTTTGTCCTCAACACCACCAGTCTTATCTGGAAAGTTCTGTCATTTCTGCATGGAGGTTATCTGTTTCTGTTTCTAGAACCAGACACTCTGCTTCTTTCCTCGGGGCCTGGGTAACCTCAACCCCAAATCAGGACAGTTTCTAACTCTGTTCCACATGGAGGTAAGTTTCCTGTTTCCTGAGTCTAAGAAAACTGCAGTGTCCATTCTGGGTGAGGATTGGGAGCTCTGAGCTCTTCTGTCCTAAACAACCTCTCAGGATAGTCTGGGTAGGGGTAGAGGATGGTGTCTTTAATAGCTCAGGCAACTTTTCTCCTTTTCCCATCATTTTTCTCTTGTTGCAGGAGATTATGGCTTAAACAACCTTGCCCTCCATGTGTGGGAGAGTAGGGCCCAGCAGGGCTTCAGTGGGTCCCCAGTGCTGACTTACCATGACAATCCATGTGGCAGAGGTTCTTGGTGGGTGTAATGCCATTGTCACACCACCAGGCAGAATTCAGTTGGAAAATGCCATATTCACTGCTGCCATCAGGATTGTGGTCCACGAAGGCGGTGTCAAAGCCACTCTCATAATGAGCCATGCACAGCCCTGGGGCAGGGAGAAGGGAGGCAGGGAGTAGGTATAGAGCTTGGGAATAGGGAAGGATAGGATGGGGGGAGGACAGGGATGGTTGTCATCTCAGTTGTGAGGGTGGTGATCTTGGTTTAGTGGTGGTGATGTTGGTGATTCTGGTGAGACATCAGTGATGGTGGTAGCGATGGTATTCATGATGGTAACAGTGGTGATGATATTGATTGTAGTGATGGTGTTGATGGCAGAGATGGAGGTGATGGTTGTGAAGGCAATAATGGTGGTGGTGTTAGAGTTAGTTAAACTACTCAGCATAGTCAGTCAGGGAGTGACTCAAGGGATCATGCCCAGGCCTGGAGAGGTGATAAAGGACAAGAAGGGGCCTGGGTCTGAATGTGGCGGGTGGCTCAGGGTTTGGATGGGATTTGGGGCAACTGGATTCTCACAGTCTCCAACGCCGTAGCCCTTGTAGCCGTTCAGCCCTGCTCTCTCCAGTCTTGCCGCCAGCTCGCAGCGTTCATAGATCTTGGCATCCACAGTGACAACCATCAGCGTGGCCAAGGTCACTACCACAGTGCCCCAGGCCTTCATTATGGCACCTGTAAGCCCTCCCAGGTGACTTGCTCCAGACTCACCCTGTGGTGTTCGGAATTAGGGGCATTCTGGAACTCTGGGCTCTATGAGCAAAGGTCTAAGTGGTAGATTCTGGAACGCGCAACACAGAAGCCTCAACATCGCCCAACACTGTTGCATTGGGGATTAAAGGCCCCACCTCCCAACACTGTTGCATTGGGGATTAAGTTTCTGACATCTGAATTTTGGAAGGCACACATTCAAACCATAGCACTCATCCTTGGTACCTTGTTCACCTCTCTGCACTTAAAGTGCTGTTCCATCCTAATTTACTGGAATGTGCCCCACATTTCATATTACAAATGGCATATTACATATACATTCTTATGCTTGACTGCTTTTTCAACTTCATTCTCATTCTGCCTTTTGTTCCTCCATTCACTTACACTGCCTTTCAGCCACTTATATTCACCCATACTGGGCCTCATATTATCGCAATTCCTCACAGTCTACTTAGCATTACCCAAATTCTTTCATGTCATATTCCTTCTTCACCCCACTCACTCTCACTCAGACTCATTTCCTATCTTTGCCTCTATTTCCCGCCCCTGCATCAAATGACTCTGGCTTACTCGCACGTGGCCCAGCCTTCAGCTTCTTTCATTGACCCGGGGCCTCATTATTTCCCCCCTTCACTCCCCCTCTGCCCCTCCTTCACCTCTATTCTCTCAGATGCTGTCCCAGGAACACCCCCATTTCCTGGAGCTCTGTCCCTATTACTCCCAAACACTAGCTGAAGTTACCCACATATACTTAGCCTACGCTAAGTGAGCCAAGATCGCACCACTGCACTCCAGTCACTGTTCTTTCTCAGTTTTCTCTTCATTGTTTCCATTTACTCTTACTCTGCCTCTCACTGCCTCATTCCTTTAAATCTATTCCCACTGTAACCCCTATCACCCTCTTCTTGCTCATATTCTGCTCCTGATTCATGGCTGCCATTCTGCCTCCCAGTACCCGCATTCTGTCACGCTGTGCCTCAAATTCGTTACTTTTGCTCACATCGGGCTCCCCATGTTTCCTCGCTTTACTCACCCGAGGCCATGAAGCCTTCATCCACTCTCTGCCTCACAATACCCACGTTCACCCATCCTCTGCTCTTCACTTTCATTCCCTCTCACTCTGCCCAACATCACCTCCATTCATGTGCACTCTTCAGCTCATTCACATTTGCCGATTCCCACTGGGATCCCTGTGCACCCACGTTCCTGGGCTACTACCCTGTATAACGCCCATGTAATCCCAGTCATCTCTAGTCATCCTTCTCCCTCGTAGCACCCACACTCAAACTCGGCCTGCTTCACATTCAAGGGGGGCTTCCATCTCCACTCTTTTATTGTGTCCCTCCCGCACCCCATTCTTCCTTTCTTTCCCACATTACCCCCATTCACTCCTACTGTCTCCCTAAATTCCCCTCTCTTCATTCATCTTGTGCCTCATAAAACCACCATTCATTCACACTCTAATCCTCAGTACTCACATAAACTCCACTCACATTCACCCCCTTCAGTTGCCCCATTCATTCAGAGTCTGCTCCCACTTTCACCTTTTTTCCACTGAGACTGTGCCTCATTTCCCATCATTTACTTAATCTCATCATAATCTCAAATTCATTCATAATTGAATGCATGCATAGTCATTCCCTCACTTTGGCCCACATCCACTCCACTCTGGTGTTCATTCACCTCCATTCCATTGCCCTTTGCCTCTCCTTGCTCTCATTTACTCCCAATTTGCCCTTCAGTCACCATTATTCATGCCCCTCACCCACCAGTCCCATGTATCTCCTGTTCACTGACACTCACATTGGCCAACACAGAAGCATCTGATGGATTGCTCAGGATTTGATTTGGCTGCACGCACCAACCCCACCACAAACACCAGTGGCTTCAAGAGGAGGGAAGCAGATTCCTCTTTTGGAGGCAGGTAATCCAGGGCTAGTGTGGTAGCTCCAAGGTCACCAGAGACCTGGCTCCTTCTGTGCTGTTGCTCTGTCAGCCTCACCTGCTGCTTCTGGTCCAAAATGACCGCTCACAATTGGCAAGGCTTTTGTGGTCTTGATAAAATGTATCATAAGAGCAATTGTAATGATGACTCGCCAGCCACGTGGGGGCTTCTCTCATTGTCTTTGGGTGGGAATGTCATATCATGCAGACTCTGTGGTGGGACCAGCCACCTGTCAGCTTCTCACTCTCCTTCACCTAGCCACCTGCTGCTTAGGTTACTGTATGAGGAGGTCACACCTGTAGGGAATGACGGTAGAGGATACCCAGGACAGAGAGTGGGAGTCCTCGCTCTGCAGCAGCAAAGTTAGCCTCACATAGCTTGTGCATGCACACTGTGGGCCCTCAGATAGTTTCTGAGGGGCTGTATCACTGGCTCCTCTGCCCCCCAACTCCCACCAACCCTAAAAGATTTCCTCCTTTGTGTAGGTGTGTGTGTACAAGGTGGTTGGAGATGACGTTTAGGTGCTAGAAGGGGCGACACTTGATGGGCCCTAAAGGACCAGCCCTTTCTATTTTCTACCTCCTAATGCATTGAGAGAGTGGATAAATTGTATACCCAGGAGGTGCTGATGTGTCAGGGAGCAACAGATGTGAGTTCCTTTTTTACTTTCTTTCTTTCTTTGTCTTGTCTACTGGGAAGCTCCATTCCTTTTGTTGTTGTTGTTGTTTGTTTGTTTTTTGTTTTTGAGATGGAGTCTCACTGTGTTGCCCAGGCTGGAGTGCAGTGGTGTGATCTTGGCTCACTGCAACCTCTGCCTCCCGGGTTCAAGCGATTCTCCTGCCTCAGCCTCCAGAGTAGCTGGGATCACAGGCGTGCTACCAAGCCCGGCTAATTTTTGGTGTTTTTAGTAGAGACGGGGTTTCACCATGTTGGCCAGGCTGGTCTTGAACTCCTGACCTCAGGTGATCCGCCTACCTTGGCGTCCCAAAGTGCTGAGATTACAGGCGCACGCCACCGTACCCAGCCCAATATATGTGTATTTTTAACGTTACTATATAATGCTAGATTGCTTCAGACTGGTCTTTACAGATCGGATCCTTCTTATGGTTTCCCATATGTCCAGAATGAAATATGAGCTCCCTGGCCAAGGAGGCCCTACAGCACCTGGCCCCAGCCTACACCCCCTACACTCCCAACACACTGACACTGTCTACTCATCCAGAAAAAGCAACCTGTTAGCCACCACTTAATATACCCCTTCACCCCCGGTGTGTGTGTCCCACATCGCCGTTTATTTTTCAGCTTGTTTGTCTGCATACCGACCCACCGTCCTTCAAACGCTACAACGTAAACTCCCAGTCCTGGCCACTGGATGAAGCCAGTGGCTTTTCCCTACCTCCTACTCTTTGTGCACGCAGAGCAATTTAGCCACGCATCCCGCCTTCCCGTTATTTTACACCTGCAACCCTGTTGCTGCCCTCCAAGTTCAAAGTGCGAAACACTTTGATGAAAGATCTTCATCAAAAGAGGGAATGTGAAAGCTGATTGTGCAAATGAACCAGCTTCTCCAGTGCCAATGAGCCTCATTTCTAAACAATATGTAACATTTTTCTTTCTAATAAAACTTCCAACTTCTGTTTGTTCATTGCACATACTGAAGACCACCCTAGTCTGTGTGTATGCCCTGAATTGTAATTTTGTGATTCCCAAATAGAGCATTTGATTTAGGGATTTGTCTCTATAATTTATTTTGACTTTGACACAATTAACCAATATGATGTGTTTAAAGATCGCCCCACCCCCTGACAAGGTGATTATTATACTGAATTTAAAAATTCATTCTAGACCGGGCATGGTGGCTCACATCTGTAATCCTAACACTTTGGGAAGCCTAGGTGGGCAGATCACCTGGGGTGAGGAGTTGAAGTCCAGCCTGGCTAACATGGTGAAACCCCATCTCCACAAAAAAATACAAAATTAGCTGGGCCTGGTGGCTCATGCCTGTAATCCCAGCTACTTGGGAGGCTGAGGCAGGAGAATCACTTGAACTCAGGAGACAGAGGTTGCAGTGAGCTGACATCGTGCCATTGCACTCTAGCCTGGGCAATGAGATGAAAACTCCGTCATGAAAAAAAAATCATTCTATTATTATCTTGACAATTGCTTTGCTTTGCATCTTACTATGGACTTGTTGGATATCTAGGTGGCTGTAAACTAGGCAGAGAAAGAAACAGCAGTGGAGATAATTAGAATATTGCAGTGTTGCTATAAAAGAATAACAAAAGGGGGAAATTGTAAGGGTAACTAAACATAAAATTGAGATTTTCCTGTTGCCAAAAGGGCAAGAAGAGACTTCACTTTCCTTAGAGCATTTCCTCGAAAAAATTTGTACTTGTAAATTCCTCCTTTGATATGTAAGCCTCTGGCCACCCTATAACCCAGGAATGTCTTGAACTTGAACTCCAGGCCTCAAGTGATCCTCCAGCCTCAGCCTCCAAAAGTGTTGGGATTACAAACGTGAGCCACCATGCCCGGTCCCTATAAATGTCTTTCTTTAGGGCCTTGGAGCCGTCTTTTTGAAATGTGAACATCGAGGAAGATGATGTCACTGTCTCCCTGTCACCAGGGGAGTTTAGCCTAGATGCCTTGCTCCAAGCTGTAAGCACCTGCTTGTCACAGAAATATGAGTTTTATTTTTCCTTCAGATAAAGGCAATTAACTAACACAGATGGGTACTCCAATTACTTGGTGAACTTAGGGCTTGCCTGGGAGTATTTAGTTTTCACCCTTGGCTGCTGCTGTACAACTAGGCCAATTAGCTACATACCTGGACTTTCTGGTTTCTGCTACCACCTTTTTGATTTTTTGTTTGTTTTGCTTTATTTTGTTTTTGAGATGGAGTCTTGCTCTGTCACCCAGGCTGAAGTGTCATGGTGCGATCTCAGCTCGCTGCAAGCTCTGCCTCCCAGGGTCAAGTGATTCTCCTGCCTCAGCCTCCCAAGTAGCTGAGATTATAGGCACGTGCGACCATGCCCGGCTAATTTTTGTATTTTTAGTGGAGACGGGGTTTCACCATGCTCGCCAGGCTAGTCTTGAACTTCTGACCTCATGATCCGCCCGCCTTGGCCTCTCAAAGTGCTGGGGTTACAGGCATGTGACACCACGCCTGGCCTCTGCTACCACTTTTGGATTGTATGAAACACTACACTTCAAAGTGTGGGATCTGGCTTCCCAGACAGCTGCCAAAGGGGCAGATGATGCAATCTAGAAGTGTGGGGGAGTTCGTGCCTGTGGGGTAAATTTTGACCAATAAGTAAAAGAACCAGGAGTGAGAGCCAGGTATGTAAATTCCCTCTCCTGTCCTCTCCCCATGCACCGTTCCAAGCATGGCTTCTCAGTATAGTCTGTCTAGAGGTGTCCTGTATGGCCCAAAGCCAATGGGAATTCACACACTTGCAGACAGTGTTAAGTGTGGTGGAGGACCCAGATCTGGGCAGAGGAAAATTATCCCAATAAGGAAAAGGACAATTTTGAGGATTTGGAATAGAGGGAAGGACTAGAAAAACCAGTAGTAGAATAGCTTATGGGTAATATTTTTGGAGAAAAAGGCAGTTCTGGTGATTTTTGCAGTGAACTGCTCAGCTCTGTAGAATGTATACTTCCTTTTTTTCCATCAGTCTCCCCTATGAAATCGCCCATAAATTATCCTTTTATAACTATCTACTGCCTGTGAAGTGAATTTTCTTTTTTCTTTTTCTTTTTATTTAGAGATAGAGTTTCTGTCCACCAGGCTGGAATGCAGTGGTGCCACCTTGGCTCACTGCAATCTCGGCCTCCCGAGTTCAAGTGATCCTCCCGCCTCAGCTGCCCTAGTAGCTGGGAATACAGGTGCACACCACCAATGCCCGGCTAATTTTTTATTTGTATTTTTAGTAGAGAAGGTGGTTCACCATCTTGGTCAGACTGGTCTCAAACTCCTGACCTCACGAGATCCACCTGCCTCCGACTCCCAAAGTGGTGGGATTATAGGTGTGAGCCACCACACCCAGCCTGTCACTTTTCTTTTGGAGAACAAAACAAATTGAGTCTTGTGCCAAAATGCAGGGGAAGCTGCACACAGACAGGTAACAAAATATTATATACAATAATAGATAGGTTTTCTACATACCAATATCAATCATTTAGAAAACCAAATTGAGAAAAAATACACTTATATAGTGACAAAAGTACATAAAATATCTAAAACCAGATGATTGGAGCAAGATGGCAGATAGATGCCGTGCCCCACTCAACATTCTATCGAACTGGGAGAAAATATTTTCAAGGGTCAATTCTTAACAGTAGAGGAAAATAGGAAAACATGTCAGTGGTCCACCAGAAATATTGAGGCATTCCTGGGAGATAGAGTAGATGGGGTCAGACTGATAGAGAAACCCAAGGAGACAAGACCACAGCTCAAATCACTGTAGGCGAAAGATGCTGTTTGTTTTTTGAGACGGAGACTTACTCTGTCGCCCAGGCTGGAGTGCAGTGGCGTGATCTCGGCTCACTGCACCCTCCGTCTCCCAGGTTCAAGGGATTCTCCTGCCTCAGCCCCTGCAGTAACTGGAATTCACAGGAGCCTGCCACCACGGCTGGCTAATTTTTGTATTTTTAGTAGAGACGGGGGTTTCACCCTGTTGGCCAGGCTGGTCTCAAACTCCTGATCTCAAGTGATCTGCCTGCCTCGGCCTCCCAAAGTGCTGATATTACAGCGTGGGTCACTGCGCCCGCCCAGGAGATGCTCTTTGTAACAAATCAGCTTTCACATTCCCTCTTTTGATGAAGATCTTTCTTTGAAAACCTCACTGATCAGCCATCTGAAAGTGAGGTTTCATTGTCACTCCATACCAGGATGGACCTGTGCCGGTCTATGTCAAGAGAAAGGTAAGGGGTCTATATCAGGGACATGGGCCACATTTGAGCCATAAAGAGCCAGAAGGAAAAAGAAAATCAGGCAGGTTTGTCTGGAGTTCAGTATCAAGTTTCATCGTGTTAGTCCCAGCTGTATTAGCAATCATCTTGAAGCACTAGGCCAACATTATCCTGTTGGGAGAACTGACTTAACAAATATTAGGCAACAAGAATGGAGCTCAAAAGTCATAATACAAAAATAACTAGCAATTGTTTTGTTTTATTCTATTTTATTTTATTTTTACGATTTTATTGCGATGGATTCTTGCTCTGTTGCCCAGGATGAAGTGCAGTGGCGTGATCCCAGCTCACTACAACCTACATCTCCCAGAATCAAGTGATTCTCCTGCCTCAGCCTCCCAACTAGCTGGGATTACAGGTGCTCACCACCGCACCAAGCTAATTTTTGTATTTTCAGTAGAGAGGGGGTTTCACCATGTTAGCCAGGCTGATCTCAAACTCATGACCTCAAGTGATCTGCCCGCCTTGGAATCCCAATGTGCTGGGATTACAGGCATGAGCCACCGCACCTAGCACTTTGGGAGGCTGAGGCAGGAGAATTGCCTGGACCGAGTAGATAGAGACCAGCCTGGGCAACATAGTGGGATCCTGTGTCTACAGAAAATACAAAAACTAGCTAGATGTGGTGGTGTGTGCCTGTAGCTACAGCTAGTTCGGAAGCTTAAGTGGGAAAATCCCTTGAGCCTGGGAGATCGAGGATGCAGTGAGCTGTAATTGCAGCAATGCACTCCAACCGGGATGACAGAGTGAGATCCTCTCTCGAAAAAACTCAAAAGAGTAATGCATCACTGGGCGTGGTGGGTCACGCCTGTAATCCCAGCACTTTGGGAGGCCGAGGCCAGTGGATCAAGAGGTCAGGAGATGGAGACCATCCTGGCTAACATAGTGAAACCCCGTATCTACTAAAAATACAAAAATTAGCCGGTCATGGTGGCACGCGCCTGTATTCCCAGCTACTCGGAAGGCTGGGGCAGGAGAATTGCTTGAACCTGGTAGGTGGAGGTTGCAGTGAGCCGAGATCTCGCCACTGCACTCCAGCCTGGGTGACAGAGTGAGTCTCAATCTCAAAAAAAAAAAAAAAAGAGTAATGTATCAGAACTTGATGGAGTTTCAGCCCTTCACAGTAATAATGAAGGAGAGAAACACATTTGTGGAGAGGGGACCATGTTCACTCTTTATCTATCCATGATAGACAGATAGTCGGGAGCTTTATATACCCAAGGAACCTAAGGAAAAATGTTCCCTGTCATGACTCACAATCTTCCAGCCACCCTTTCTTGCACCTGTCTTGTGGGCTTGGGGACCCAACTTATGGATTCCATCTTCCCAGGGAGAAAGAAAAATCAAATCCTTCAGTATCTCTTTTAGGGTATCCTCTGCTGTATTTACATGGAAGATAAGGCACTCCATATCTAGTAGCCGAATGTTACATTTGTGTAATACAGAGCTATATTGGGATAAAATAGAATTTGTTTCCTCTGAGACACAGGTAGAGGTACGTCCACACTGACCTGGGTGGCAGCCACCTCTTCCTGCAGTGCCAGGCAGGGCATGCTCACAGATCTGGGGAACCTCTGTTGCTCCTGGAGCCCCACAACCTCCTTACTAGCACCCTCTCCCTCTGGTGGCTGTGACAGCCCACACTTAATCTTGGGTATCCCCTGCTTCTTTGCCTGCCACTCTTCTCCCCACGCTGCACATCTCTGTCTCCCACTGTCCCCACTATGTTCACGATTGCCTCTCCCTCCCTGCACTCTCCATCTCTAAGGGTTCCTTGTCTTGGAAAATGAACCCACAGCCTCTACCTTGTGACTGGGGACAGAACCTGGGACTTGTTCAATTCTCCCTCCCTCCACCACACACACCTGTCCTCCTTAATGTTTCTGAAGTCAGTGAGCTCCAAACTCAGCCCCTCCTGCACCTGCCAGCTGTAGGACCTGTGACAAGATGCCTACCATGTGTCTGGGACTCCGTCTCTCACCTATCATATAGGCATAATGATGGTAGTTTCCTCCTTCCAAGGCTGGGGAGAAGCAAGAGGCCAAGGTGATGGGCTATGGACAATCAAAACAGCTCTGATCCTGCCTCCACCTGGGGCTGGTGTTTCAAGTCCATCGCTTGTGAATGGAGCTTTAATGTCTCCATTCACACACAAATGTTTTATTCTAAAATAGACTCCCCTCTGCCCTTCCCCTCCCCACAACTCTTTCCCCTCTGCACCGTGCAATGGTACGTGTGACAAAGAACTGTCCCATTCCCAAATCATCGTCCCCACCCCAGCCCCCAGGCCCTTGGTTGGTGAGACCCTTGATGGGCAGTCTCATGCTTCTGTCCAGGGGACTTTCCCACCGTTGCTCCCCTGCATGGAGACTAAGTGGACTCTTCTATTCCCTGGCCATCACAGGGTCTACAGTGCACGCATCTCCCTCATTCCTCTGCATTCCCCAGATGACGATTTCATCTGTGTCTCCTCCCACACACTCCCAAATGGACCGTCCCAGCCCTAGAACGCGAAAATCGTTCAGAGAGCGAAGGCCGAGATGCCCAACCACCTGCTGCAGAATCCTGCTCCAGGACTGAAGTGTATAGTCTCTATCAAAATAAAAACTGGACGCCAGGTGCTGCGGCTCACGCCTGTAATCCCAGCACTTTAGGAGGCCAAGGTGGGAGGATCGCTTGAGCCCAGGAGTTCAAGGCTGCATTGAGCTATGATCATGCCACTGCACTCCAGCCTGGACAGAGCAAGACCCCCATCTCTAGAAGAAACAAACAAACAAACAAACAAACAAACAAACAAACCCAACAACTGGAGACATCCTCCTCTAGAATGGTGGTCAGGAACATCAGCCTGCCTTGTTCCCTGATGTCTCTCCAGCACCTAGAAGAGCGCTCAGCACGAGGACGCACTCATTAGGGTTTTGTTGAATAAATGACTCCTTTGACACAGCGATTCCACTTCTAAGAATCTTTCCTAAAGAAATATTCACACACGTGCACAGAGCTGTGTGCACAATAATGAGAGGTGCAAACAACTGGGGAACGTTTGCAAAGGTTTATTAACTGTCAGTGACTGATAGAGGGGAATCGGATGAGGGGAGTACATGCTGAACAGGAAACAGAGTGAGGGGGGCTTGACCAGGACACATGGCAGTGGAGAAAAGCAGATGGGAGATGCTTATACTGGTACTTGGTGTGTGTGTGTGCGTGTGTGGTGTGTGTGTAAATGCAGAGGAAAAAATCGGAAATTAAACACTCAGACCTCCCCTCAGTAGTCACATCTGGGGAGAGAGGAGGGTAGTGCTGTTCTATGGAGAGAATACCTGACAATACTTGTTTTCTGAGGTAGGTGCATGGATACACAAGCCGAAATATGCATTAAGCATGTCTTGCTCATCAACGAAAATGCTAATGTCTAACAGAATGGCACACTGCAAGAAAATACAACGGAAACGCCAACATCGAACTCTTGGCACACTAAGAAAAATGACGCTCAACTTTTCACTGTTGTGAACACTTGCTTTCACTTGCTATACACCTGATGACGAGGGGTCCGCAGCCATGCCCACGTTCGTGAAAGGTCACCACGTTCTGCTTCTCATCATGGGCATGTGTCGTATCCCTGAGGCTGAGGCAAGAAGAGAGAAGGAAATAAGTGGCAGTGAGTTCCCACCACGTGGCAACTCAATCTCAACTCCTCCTGACCTGCAGACCCTGCACACTCTGATTCTGCCCTACCTCAGGACCTGCACACGCCTTCCACGGTTCCTCGAAGTGAACCATCTGTTCATGCCACAGTGACTTCCTCGCCTGAGTTATCAATTTCTAGGCTAGAGAAAGGTGTGGCCCGCATATCAGTGCTGACCTGGGGTTTGGGAGCCCACAGCATCCAGGGTAGGGAGGATCCCTGGATATACAGGGCAGGGAGTAGGAAGAGCATGGGAAATCTCATCGTTCAGCCTCAATGCTGTACAGTAGAAAATTATGAGAAGGGAATGATTTGGGGAACAAGTGACAGATGGGATACCAGTACCATAACAGAATAGCACATCTGCAGGGATGTGGAGGGTGAGCCGAAGGTTCACTTATGGAGTTACTTGTCATCTTCCTCAGGGTCGCTGATCTCTTCATAAATCACCAGCTGCTTTCTCTCACGCAGTCTGTGGGTCCAGGCATGTTTCCCCCTTTTGGGTCCTATGATGGAGAAGAGTTGGGAGATGAGGGTTGGGTAGGTTGGAGAGTGTTACGCTCTGTTTTCTCAAAAGCAGGAGATGCCTCCCCCCTCCCAAGTGCCCATGGGCCTTCTTTATCCAGTTTTTCACATTCTCTGGCTTAGAGAGGCTGAGACCTTAAACCCACACCAATACACGACAAATACCAATTAAAGTTTTTAGCTTCTGGCTCCTTCTGTTGTGACGTTTAGATTACCAACCTCTTCACTTACGGGAACATTCACCCTTACCTCCTTTCATTCTGCAAGTATTTGTTAAGGGCACACAGGCATACCTCGTTTTATTGCACCTCATTTTCGTAGTGCTTCGCAGATACTGCATTTTTTTTTAGAAATTCTCACCAATTTTACACTTTTCCATTATTATTATATCTGTTATGGTGATTTGTGATCAGTGAGCTTTGATGTTATTATTGCAATTGTTTTTGTTGTTTTTTAGTCTTTTAAAATAATTTTTGTTCTTTATTTTGTGGGTACGCAGTAGGTGTATATTCTTATGGGGTACATGAGATGCTTTGATACAGTCATGCAAATGCGTAGTAATCACATCGTGGAAAATAGGGTATCCATCCCCTCAAACATTTATCCTTGTGTTACAAACAATCCATTTACACTCTTTTAGTTATTTTTAAATGTATGATTAAGTTATTATTGACTATAGTCACCCTGTTCTGTGTAAATGTTTTGGGGGTACTAAGAACTGCGCCCACAGAAGATGACGAACGTAATCAATTAATGTTGTGTGTGTTCTGACTGCTCCACCGATGAGCTCTTCCCTGCCTCTCTTCCTTTTCTTGGGCCTCCCTATTATTTCCTGAGACACAGCAATACTGAAATTAGGACAATGAACAACCCTACAATGGCCGCTAAGTGTTCAAATGAAAGGAAGAGTCGCATGTCTCTCACTTTAAATCAGAAGCTAGAAATGGCTAGGCTTAGTGAGGAGGCATGCTGAAAGCCAAGACAGGCTGAAAGCTAGGCCTCTTGCACCAGCCAAGCTGTGAATGCAAAGGAAAAGTTCTTGAAGGAAATAATAGTATATACTGCAAAGGAAAAGTTCTTGAAGAAAATAATAATACTAATACTCCAGTGAACACACGAATAAGAAAGCAAAACTGCCTTACTGCTGAAATGAGAAAGTGGTCAGGATAGAAGACGAAACCAGCCACAACATTCCCTTAAGCCAAAGTCTAATTCAGAGCAAGACCCAAACTCTCTTCCAGTCCAGGAAAGCTGAGAGAGGTGAAGAAGCTGCAGAGGAAACGTGTGAAACTAGCAGAGGTTGGTTTGTGAGGTTTAAGGAAAGAAGCTGTCCCCATAACATAAAAGTGCAAGGTGTAGCAGCAAACACTGATGGAGAAGCTGCAGCAAGTTATCCAGAAGATCTAGCTAAAATCACTGATGAAGGTGGCTACACTAAACAACAGATTTTCAATATAGATTAAACAGCCTTCTATTGGAAGCAGATGCCATCTAAAACTTTCATAGCTAGAGAGGACTGACTCCAACTTTGAAAGAAGTTCTACTGTGGGTAAAATGCTATCCAATAGCATCACATACTACAGATAAATCTTTCATGAAAGGGAGAGCTAATCGATGTAATTCATTGTTGTGTTCTTTTAAGAAACTGCCACAGCCACTCCACCCTTCAGCAACCACCACCTTGATCAGCCAGCAGCCATCAACACCGAGGCAAGACCCTCCACCAGTAAAAAGAGTGTGACTCACTGAAGGCTCAGAAGATTGTTAGCATTTTTAAAAAATGAATTATTTTAAAATTAAGGTATGTACTTTTTAGACATAATGCTATTGCACACTTAGTAGACTACACTGTAGTGTAAACATAATGTTTATATGCACTGCAAAACAAACAAAAAACAATGTGTGTGACTCACTTTATTGCAGTGGTCTGGAACCGAACCTGCAATATCTCTGAAGTACACCTGTATTGGGTATCAGGCATTGAGCTGAGTAAGATGTGATCCCAGGTTCCCAGGTTATCACAGATAGAATCGCCTGAGCACCGTTCATGTCATCAGGCCTCCTAGATTAAATTCAATGCCTCCCAACAATCTATGAACTATGATTCTTTATTTCCATCTTATGGACTGGGAATCTGGAGCTGAGAAAATTTGGAAGACTTGCCCCAAGTCACATGGTTTTTTATATGGATGACAACTCCAGTCTGTGTCTCTGGAAGTCATGTGTAACATCTCATCTGGAGCTGGGCGAGCTCCTCAGCCTAGCCTGGACCCAGGCTTGTCTGGGATCCATGCCACACACCCAGTCCACACACCTGAACATAGCCAGGGAAGCCAGAGGGGTTGTTCCCAAATCGTTTCCTCTTACCAGATCTCTCGTGAATCTTCTCAGAGCTACTTGCTTTTCCCGGCGGGCACAGCTTTTTCCCATCGTTCTGTGGGCCAGATGCTTCTGGCACTCCCTTCGAATCACTTCCTTCCTCTGCTGGCTTCTCGGGCATGATCTTTATAATATGAAGGTCACAGATAAACAGTATCAGTGACATTTCTATAGTGCTTTAGAGCTTACAAAGTGTCTTCACATGCATTACCTTAATCAATGTTCTCAACAACGCTGGGAGAGTCACATGTGCCTAAATTAGGAGAAACCTGGGAGGTTAGAAGCGAAAGGAATGGCCTAAATGAATGGGGTTTCCAGGGCTAGAATGCTTATCTTCACACTCTTTTAAGATTCGTGCAAACAGCAGAAATCTCCCTGTAATTGAGAGTGTGGTATACAGAAGTTTTGGAGAATAGCATTCTAAGAATTCACAAGGTCTATAAAAGGAAAAGCTTCTATAAAATACGAGGGATCCCAATATAAGCTTGTAGACAGCTGCTGGGAGAGTAAATGTAAAGACATAGAGAGGGGACAAAACACTGCTGGGAAAGATGGTGTGGGGAGATGAATACAGGGAAGAGAGAGGGAAAGAAATGGTTTGCTGAAATTAATCTAGACATCAAAGAAAGCAGTACCAGATATGACATACCACCCTACCGAGGCACCGACATTGAATGTGGAATTCAGTGAGGTGGTGCCCATAACAATTCTGGTTGCATTGGGATGTGTCACTGACCAACAATCTTAAGCTACCCTTTTTTGTTTTTGTTTTTGTTTTGTTTTGTTTTTTATTGATCATTCTTGGGTGTTTCTTGCAGAGGGGGATTTGGCAGGGTCATAGGACAATAGTGGAGGGAAGGTCAGCAGATAAACAAGTGAACAAGGGTCTCTGGTTTTCCTAGGCAGAGGACCCTGTGGCCTTCCGCAGTGTTTGTGTCCCTGATTACTTGAGATTAGGGATTGGTGATGACTCTTAACGAGCATGCTGCCTTCAAGCATCTGTTTAACAAAGCACATCTTGCACCGCCCTTAATCCATTTAACCCTGAGTGGACACAGCACATGTTTCAGAGAGCACAGGGTTGGGGATAAGGTCATAGATCAACAGGATCCCAAGGCAGAAGAATTTTTCTTAGTACAGAACAAAATGAAAAGTCTCCCATGTCTACTTCTTTCTACACAGACACAGCAACCATCCGATTTCTCAATCTTTTCCCCACCTTTCCCCCTTTTCTATTCCACAAAACTGCCATTGTCATCATGGCCGGTTCTCAATGAGCTGTTGGGTACACCTCCCAGACGGGGTGGTGGCCGGGCAGAGGGGCTCCTCACTTCCCAGTAGGGGCAGCCGGGCAGAGGCGCCCCTCACCTCCCGGACGGGGGGGCTGGCCGGGCGGGGGGCTGACCCCCCCACCTCCCTCCCGGACGGGGCAGCTGGCCGGGCAGAGGGGCTCCTCACTTCCCAGTAGGGGCAGCCGGGCAGAGGCGCCCCTCACCTCCCGGACGGGGTGGCTGGCCGGGCGGGGGGCTGACCTCCCCACCTCCCTCCCGGACGGGGCAGCTGGCCAGGCAGAGGGGCTCCTCACTTCCCAGTAGGGGCGGCCGGGCAGAGGAGCCCCTCACCTCCCGGACGGGGCGGCTGGCCGGGTGGGGGGCTGACCCCCCCACCTCCCTCCTGGACGGGGCGGCTGCCGGGCGGAGGGGCTCCTCACTTCTCAGACGGGGCAGTTGCCAGGCGGAGGGTCTCCTCACTTCTCAGACGGGGCGGCCGGGCAGAGACGCTCCTCACCTCCCAGACTGGGTCGCGGCCGGGCAGAGGTGCTCCACACATCCCAGACGGGGCGGCGGGGCAGAGGCGCTCCCCACATCTCAGATGATGGGCGGCGGGGCAGAGACGCTCCTCACTTCCTAGATGGGATGGCGGCCAGGAAGAGGCGCTCCTCACTTCCCAGGTGGGATGGCGGCCGGGCAGAGACGCTCCTCACTTTCCAGACTGGGCAGCCAGGCAGAGGGGCTCCTCACATCCCAGACGATGGGCGGCCAGGCAGAGACGCTCCTCACTTCCCAGACGGGGTGGCGGCAGGGCAGAGGCTGCAATCTCGGCACTTTGGGAGGCCAAGGCAGGCGGCTGGGAGGTGGAGGTTGTAGCGAGCCGAGATCACGCCACTGCACTCCAGCCTGGGCACCATTGAGCACTGAGTGAACGAGACTCCGTCTGCAATCCCGGCACCTCGGGAGGCCGAGGCTGGCGGATCACTGGCGGTTAGGAGCTGGAGACCTGCCCGGCCAACACAGCGAAACCCCGTCTCCACCAAAAAAATACGAAAACCAGTCAGGCGTGGCGGCACGCGCCTGCAATCGCAGGCACTCGGCAGGCTGAGGCAGGAGAATCAGGCAGGGAGGTTGCAGTGAGCCGAGATGGCAGCAGCACAGTCCAGCTTCGGCTCGGCATCAGAGGGAGACCGTGGAAAGAGAGGGAGAGGGAGACCCTGGGGAGAGGTAGAGGGAGAGCTGATTGCCACATTTTTATAAATTGAACTGGGCCAGGCTGGTGGGCTTGTTTTTTTTTTTTGAGACAGCGTCTCACTCTGTCGCCAGGCTAGAGTGCAGTGGCGTGACCTCTGCTCACTGCAATCTCCCCCTCCCCGGTTCAAGCGATTCCCCTGCCTCAGCCTCCCGAGTAGCTGGGACTATAGGCAGGCACTACCACGCCCCACTAAGTTTTGTATGTTTAGTAGAGACGAGGTTTCACCACGTTGGCCAGGATGGTCTCGATCTCTTGACCTCGTGATCTGCCTGCCTTGGCCTCCCAAAGTGCTGGGATTACACTCGTGAGCCACCGCACCGGGCCCTTAAGGTACTTTTTACTCAGCTTCCTCACTTATGAAATAGTGAAAAATATGTGTAAAATAGGCTAAGGGAAATTCCTCTCTGAGCTTGTAAACACTGTTTAAATGTAATAATAATAACAATTAATACCTTTCTGGATCCTGCTTTGAATTCGGTCTCCACACTGGCAACCCAGCTCCCAGATCCCTTTACCATCTAAACCAGAGTTGAATCTGCAATTGTGGGGTCACTCATTCAGGGGCCTCCGATGGATCCCCTGGGCTGGGACTGGGGTTTCCCGGATGCCCCAGGTGCAGACAAGGCCCTCAAGGAGCTCACAGTATGGAGGGGCCAACAGTCAAAGCGATTCCTAAGCCATGCGAGTGGCCCCGGTAACAGAGCAGAGGCCAGCTGGTCCTTCCTGTTGTGAGAGTGGGTGTCTCAACGGAAGCACCAGGAGGCCCTATGGGGTGAAGCCCTAGTGAGCAACATCTGAACTTCATAAACAAATGCAGACGTGAATGAGCTTTAAATGGCTTGGAGCTCTGGATTAGACTACCACTGACACTGCGCCTCAGGAAAATTCTTTAACATCTCTGTACCACGATAGCCTCATTTTATTATTATGTTGCTGATAACTATGATCTAAAACATGAACTATGATTCTTTACTTCCATTTCATGGACCAGGAATCTGGAGCTCAGAGAACTTAGAAGATTTGCGCCAAGTCACATGGCTTTCATATGGATGACAACCAAAGTGTGTGACTTGTTATTCTTTGGAGATAATAACAGAAACAATGTCATAGAGGTCTTCTTATGGATTAAATTAATTAATCCATCTGAACTGCTTAAAATAGTATCTGGCATCACTATGAAAACAAAAGAAGTATTAAGGATCACAACTGTTAGTATTATCAAGCCATTGATGCCACATCTGGTGTTGTGATAGACATGGGGAGAAGGAGGCAATGAGGACATTTTTGATATTCTCCCGCTCTTACCAGTGTTCACATCCGTGGAGGGACAAAGGTTCTCTGGTCCTGTAGATTTGAGAGATACTCACCTTCGGGATGATTCTCTGGAGCCTGCCAAAAGTCATCTGAGGACGTTCAACTGAAAGAGAATACATTAGAATTTTTCTTTGTTGGTAAAGATTCCCAAACTCTAGACAGACTTCTGTCGCATCAGGGCATTCTGCAGCAGAGGTTTATGAGTCTACTGATTCTTGAGGAGTTATTTGAGATTTGCTTCTGAATTATGTTTAGTCATGGTTGGTTCACTTATCTGTGGCATCAATTCAGAATTTTCCATCTCATAGTTTATCAAATGGGGGTTAAACCCCATCACAGTCTCATCTTATTCCATTACATATCTTTTACTTTTTCCCAAATAATTAAATTGATTGGTTGGGAATCTGAACTGTATCCACTCAAACTAAAAATCACTGTACACTTCAAATGGGTGGATCTTATGGTATGTCAATTAAGCTGTTAAATGTGTGATGAACCATGGATGACTTAGTCCGGTGGCTCTGAAACATTTTCAGTATAAAGACACTCCTTTAAAGTCAAAAGCTTGGCAGATACTCAAGCACTGGATTTTCAGACCTCTTGTAGTGATTGTGGGAGATTGTAGAATCTGGCCTGTCTGTTGGGGAGTAACAGGTCTATTGGAGACAGTTTGGACATTCTGACCTTGTCTTATGATTGTATTGTCAGAGCAGAAGAGCCAGGAAACACATATGACCCCTTTATATTCCTGAACTGCACAAAGCTCTCTACCCAAGAACCTGTCTTTTTTTTCACCCTGTGTTATCTCTGCTCACTGACAAGTGGGAAAGCTCTCTGTGTGTTGGATGAGGGATCACTCTTTCAAACTCACTTCCAAGCTCATCACGGAGAATCGGGGTTGTTTGGGAATGAGAAGACTATTTGGTTTTAATAAAATACAGAGAAACAGCGATCTTTATTACATAATGTGTGCATCACCCTCTCTCTTAAGATATTTATCCAATATCTACATGCTGTTAATGAAACAAACTCTGGAAGTTTTTGGCGGCTCTACACTTTTAACATTTTCTTTCTGTTTTTCACTTTTAACATTTTCTTAACTGTCCTTTGATTCATTAGCAGTGTTTAGCAAGAACAACATGTCCTTTAAAAAAGAAATATTTCAAACACACACAAAAGTATGGGGAATAATATTGAGTTCAGTTGCATCTCAACATTACCCCATGACTATGTTAGATCTGATTTATTTATTCAGAATGTTAGAAACACTATAAACGGGCCGGGTGCGGTAGCTCACACCTGTAATCCCAGCACTTTGGGAGGCTGAGTGGGTGGAACACCTGAGGTCAGGAGTTTGAGAACAGCCTGGCCAACATGGTGAAACCCCGTCTCTACTAAAAATACAAAAATTAGGTGGGCATGGTGGCGGGCGCCTGTAATCCTATCTACTCAGGAGGCTGAGGCAGGAGAATCGCTTGAACCCAGGAGGCAGAGGCTGTAGTGGGCTGAGACTGTGCCATTGCACTCCAGCCTGGGAGACAAGAGCAAATCTCCAGTTCAAAACAAAAACAAAAACAAAACAAAACAAAACACACTATCAACAAGTCATGACTGAAGCTGCCTGTGCAGCACTCACCAATCCCTGCCCCTGCTCCTTCTCCATTTACAGCCAGTCTCCTCAATTTGATGGCTTTTTATTCACATTCATGTTTTCATGCATTTACCATTTACTAATTATCCATAAAAATATATATTCTTGTTTTGCATGTTTTAAAATTTTATATGAATGGCCTCTGTAGTTAACTTTCCGCCTGCAATTTTTTTTCACTCAGCCCTGATGTGTATGAGAGAACAAATGCCTGAGGATCTTTCCCAGGTAGCTGAGCTGAAAAGCAGTTGGGCTTGAGGAGACCCTTTCCAGTCCCTTCCCATCTACTCACCCTCATTCCCACGGTTACGGTCATTATCAGAATCATTCCTCTGAGAGTCTGTGGCCCGTTTATTACGCATGAAAAGTGAGAGGGTGACGTTGAAACCTAGAAAGAAGCAAAATGTTTATTCCTTAAGGGACAAACTTAGGCCTGGCACGGTGGCTCATGTCTGTCGTACCAGCACTTTGGGAGGCTGAGGCGGGAGGATTGCTTGAGGCCAGGAGTTCAGGAAGAGCCTGGGTAACACAGAGAGACCCCCATATCTACAAAATATAAAATAAAATTAGTTGGGCATGGTGGCATGTGCCTGTAGCCTCAGCTACTCCATAGGCTGAGCAGGAGGATTGCTTGAGCCCAGGAGTTCGAGGCTGCATTGAGCTATGGTTGCACTACTGGACTCTAGCCTAGGTGACAGAGTGAGACTCTGACTCAAAAAGAGAGAGAGAGAGAGACGGAGAGGGACAAGACCAGAGGAGGAAGGTAGGGTGGGAGGTGTGCTGTGATGCCACAGAGACAGCTGGGCTCATCAGAACAGACACCTATGGGAAAGAAACGTGCAGGATCCAGGTACGAGCTCCACTGTGGCCAGTCCCTGCCCTCAGCCCTGACAGGATACAGAAGAGCAGAACACCCAGGAGCTGCCTTGCCATTTTTCCCTGCACAAAAGGAAAACGTGGGGTACTTTCTGCAGTCTAAGAAGTAGCCTAGGCAGGAAAAGGGATGCTCATGTGTCCCCAGACTTGTCTGTTCCTAGAACTTTCTGTTACCTAGTTTAGTCATGGCCTCATACTTTCTCTTCATATGCACACAGCTGATTTTCTCCGAGAATTTCATCTTTTCCCACTCTTCCTTAGAGAAGTATTTGGCAATATCATCGAAGGCCTAGGAAAAAAGAAAGAAATTCTGGCAGTGACTCAACTAGGCATGTCTGCCATTCAGCTGGAGCCGCTTCCTGTGTGCTGGATCTGGGAATTGGGGATGATAATCCGTCCTGGTTGATGCCATGGCTAACTGACAGAACATGGGGACCTTCCCTAGCTTCTCCCCTGCCACACAGTAGGGCTTCAGTGATGCTGGCTGGCTCTCTTCCCACCTTCCAGAATGGAGTGAGAGTTACCAAATGTAGAGCAAGGTCACAGACTTGTCTCCAGGGATGGTAGGTGATGACAGAGCGAGGGTGGGAGGCTCTCAAGGGTCCAGATCTCCCCCGAGACCCTGGTCCTTGTCCCCAGTACCTCTGTCCTCCCCTCCTCAGAAACCTGGTCACCCTACTCTGTCCCCTGGACCACTGCTCTGCCCCCTCCAGGTCACCTCACCTTGCTTCTCTTCTCTGATGCTTTAGCATCATCCCTGGGTCTCTTTGCAAAGGCGTCGTCTCCGTTCATGGCACCAGGAGCACTCTGACCTGCAAGAGAAACAGCCTGAGTCTTTCCAGTCCTGCGGAGGGAGAAATCTGTGAAGGCCGGCCACACTCAGTCACCTGGAATCAGGTGTTGCATTTCTGCATCCGGGACTTATCTGCCCGTGAGTAAGGACATGGGGAGAAGTCAGATGAAAACAGGGAGCCAGGGGTCTCTGGGAGAAGTATTGATTGGGGATGACAAGTTTCCTATGGACATAGCAGCCTTGAGTCTTTGGGAGGGGGTTGGCTAATGTTGTTAGCAGTTTCCCTGGAGCCAGGCTTACCCTGAAAGACGTACAGACCCTTGTTGGGGAGGCAGGGACATGACTGTGTAATTTTATTGAGTGGGGGCGTTCTGACACCACCACTCAATAAATTAAGGAAGGGAAGTGAGTCCCAGAGATAACATGGTCTCTCTGGTGATGGATCTGATCAGGCAGAGGGATGGGGGGTTCTGTTCTGTTGATGAGAAATGAGCATGGCCAATATGAACGGATTTAGAGGCTATTACTGGGTTATTTGTAAATCATTAGAAGGAAGAGAGCTAGAATCTCCAAGACTACAAGAGCCCGCCATCACTTAGAGAGAATGTGGGGCATTTCAAGTTGCAGCAATCGGCCAGGCGTGGTGGCTCATGCCTGTAATCCCAGCATTTTGGGGGGCCGAGGCGTGCAGATCGCTTGAGCCCAGGAGGTCGAGACCAGCCTGGGAAACATAGCAAAACCCCCATCTCTACAAAAAAAAAAAAAAAAAAACCCAAAAAAAATTAGCTGGGGGTGGTGGCACAGGCCTGTAACATCTCAGCACTTTGGCAGGCCAAGGGAGGGGCGGATCGCTTGAGCCCACGAGGTCGATACCAGCCTAGCCAACCTAGTGAAACCCTCCACTAAAAAATAAATAAATAAATAAATAAAAAATATTAGTCGGGGCAGGGTGGTGCGCTCCTGTAGTCCCAAGGCCGAGGCAAGAGGATCTCTTGAGCCCAGGAGGTCCAGGCCAGCCTGGCCAACATAGCAAAACCCCATTTCTACTAACAACAATAACAACAAAAAAATAGCACGGGCAAGGTGGCTCCTGCCTATAGTTCTAAGGCCGAGGTGGGAGGATTGCTTGAGCCCAGGAGGTCAACACCAGCCCAGCCAACATAGTAAAGCCCCGTCTCTACTAAAAACAACAACAACAACAAACAAACAAACAAAAAACAAACAAACAAACAAAAAACTAGCAGGGGTGGAATGGCACACACTTGTAGTCCTGAGGCCAAGGTGGGAGGATCGCTTGAGCCCAGGAGGTTGAGGCCAGCCTGGCCAACGTAGTGAAACCCGGCTTCTAATAATTAAAAAAAAAAAAAAAAAAAAAAAGCGTGGGCAGGTTGGTGCACTTCTGTAGTCCCAGGGCCGAGGCGGAAGGATTGCTTAAGCCCAGGTGGTCGAGGCCAGCCTGGCCAACATAGCAAAACCGTCTGTACTAAAAAAATAAAAAATAAAAAATATTAGTGGGGGCAGGGTGGTGCGTGCCTGTAGTCCTGAGGCCGAGGCGGGAGGATTGCTTGAGCCCAGGCGGTTGAGGCCAGCCTGGTCAACATGGCAGAACTGTCTCTACTAAGAAAAATAAAAAATAAAAAATATTAGTGAGGGCAGGGTGGTGCGTGCCTGTACTCCCGAGGTCGAGGCGGGAGGATTGCTTGAGCCCCCCGTCTCTACTAAAATACAAAAATAAAAAAATATTTCCAGGGGTTGGATGACACAGGCCTGTAGACCCGAGGCCGAGGTGGGAGGATCCTCCATGATGATCCTCCTGAAAGGCATTAGCTGTCTTTCAGTCCTCAAGATTTTCAGAACCCCGAGCACTCGAGGGCCCTACAGAGGCTTCCTCCTTTTCTATCTGCCCCCATTAGCCCATCTAGGGTGTCCCTTCAAGAGAACCTACCTCAGAGACAAAGCAGTGGTGGCGAGGTCGGCAGCAGTTGGTGACAAAGTGTGGTTGGAGGAGGAGAAAATATTCTGCAATGTCACTGCCCCAGGATGATGGACCAATCAGGGCAGTTAGTGAACTCCATTTGGCCAATCAGAAGTCAGAACAGTAGGTGGGAGGAGCGAAGGTGATGTGGGGTCTATCAGTTGAGGCTCCAGGGACACAACCTTCTCAAAGTGGGGGCGGAGACTCTGATTTTCCCGCCTAAAGCATCCCCTGGGATTGGCTACTCCAAGTTCAGAGTATGCATGCTCTGATATTCTCTTTAGATTCTTCCAAAATCAGAGTACTCATGTGCTGATTTTCTCTTTCCATTTTTTTCCTATCCCTCCCTACCCCCCCGCGGTGCATTTGTTATCCAGTTTTAATAAGTAGTGTATATGAAGCAGGTCGTCATCTCAAATCCTTCCTGTCAGTTTCTAACTTTTTCAGGTATGGGATTTTTCCTAGGAACTCTGTAGTAACGTCAGAAATTTGGGCCGGGCACGGTGGCTCATGCTTGTAGTCCCAGCACATTGGGAGGCCACAGCTGGTGGATCGTTTGAACCCGGGAGGCAGAGGTTGCAGTGAGCCACAATCACGCCACTGCACCCCAGCCTGGACAACAGAGCGATACCCTGTCCCTTATCTCTACAAAAAATAAATAAAATTAGCGAGGTGGGGTGGTGTGCCTGTAGTCCCAGTTACTCAGGAGGCTGAGGATCACTTGAGCCCAGGAGTACGAGGTTGCAGTGACCATGATCCAGCCACTGCTGCCTACCTCGGCCACAGAGCGAGATCTTGTCAGAAAAAAAAAAAAAGAGAAAGAAAGAAAAATTTCAATGAGCCAGTCCCAGTGGCTCATGCCTGTAATCCCAACACCTTGAGAGGCTGAGGCAGGAGGTGGAAGGATCACTTGAGGATAGGAGTTCCAGAACAATCTGGGATGCATAGTGAGACCCCCATCTCTATAAAAAAAATTTAAAAAAGAAATTCAAACTAAAAAAAAAAAAAACTTCTATATATGTTTTTTTCTAGAAGACCAAAGAACCAGAAATATATTTTACCCATTGATATTAATAATGTTTATCGTAATAGTATTAAAAAGAGTATGTAATTCAGGCCCACTGTGTTCATCAGGGAGCTCATAAGTCAATTTGTCCAAGAAGTTTCCCCTACCCCCATCCCTAGTATCTCCAACATGACCCCGTTCCTCTCTGGGCTTTCCATCTACAGCCCTGATCTCTCTAAGATCCTCCCAGGATGACAGCAAGCTCTCTTAGGGCAGGGACAGGGCAATGGCCCTTTAGTCCAGCACAAAGCCCTTTATGTGCATCTTCCGATTAGTTTTCACAACCTTCTCTGGAGTTAAATACTATTATCATCCCCAGTGCGCAGATGTTGAGACTGAGGCTCAGAGAATTAAGCAGTCTGCTCGAGGTCACATAGTCAGTGGGTGACAGAGCTGGGATTCACCCCCAAGATGAATTGAGTCCAAAGTCTGTGCTTTTATTTATGTATTTATTTATTTTTAATTAAAATAATTTTTTAAGAGATGGGGTCTTGCTATGTTGTCCCCGCTGATCTGGAAGGAACTGCTGGCCTCAAGCAATCCTCCTGCCTTGGCTTCCCAAAACACTGGGATTATAGGAGTGAACCATCCCACGCCCGGCCTCAAAGTCGGTGCTTTTAATTACTCTTCTATATTGCCTCGACTATTTGTTGAATGAATGAATGCATCTTACAACTGCAAAGGTTCTTTAACATAATTTACATAACTCCTTACAATCACCCCAAATTCCCTCTGGCTGCTGTAACAAATTACCGCAAACTTTGTGGCATAAACAACATCAATTTATTCTCTCACAATTCTGGAGCCCAGAAATCTGAAATCAGTTTCACTGAGTTGAAATCAAGTTGTCGGCAGGGCTGTACACCTCCAGAGGCTCTAGGAGAGAACCTGTTCCTTGCCTCTTCCAGCTTCCCGTGATTGCCAGCATTTCTTGGCTTGTGGCTTGATATGGATTGGCTCTGTGTCCCCACCCAAGTCTCATCTCGAATTGTAATCCCCACAGATTACAAATCCCCACGGGGGTGGTTTTCCCCATGCTGTTTTTGTGACAGTGAGTTCTCATGAGGTCCGATGGTTTTACAAGCGTCTGGCATTTCCCCTGCTTGCACTTCTGTCTCCTGCTACCATGTGAAGAAAGTCTTTGCTTCCTCTTCACCTTTGGCCATGATTGTTTCCTGAGGCCTCCCCAGCCATGCGGAACTGTGAATCAGTTAAATCTCTTTCCTTTATAAATTACCCAGTCTCGGGCAGCTCTTTATAGCAGTGTGAGAACGGACTAATACATGGCTGCATCACTCTAATCTCTACCTCCATGGTCATTGCCTTCGTTTGTTTTCTGTTACTATAATGGAATACCACAAACTGGGTAATTTATAAAGGATAGAAGTTCATTTGGTATACAGTTCTAGAGGCTAGGAGTCCAAGAACATGGCGCTGGCATCTGGTGAGGGTTGTGTCATGATGGAAGGATGAAAGGCAAAAGCAAGTGCAGGAGACAGACAGAGAAAATGTGACTAAGCTCCCTTTTATAACAAACCCAATCTCGTGATAACTAATCCACTCTTATGATAATGGCATTAATCACTTCCTAACAGCCCCACCTTTTAATATTGTTAACAATGGCAATTAAATTTCAACACAAGTTTTGGTGGGGACGTTCAAACCATGGCAGGCTTACTGCCTTCTTCTCTTCTGTCTGTGTCAGATCTCCCTGCCTTAATCTGATAAAGGCACTCATTATTACATTTAGGGCCCACCCAGATAATCCAGGAGAATCTCCCCATCTCAGGATTTTTAACATAATTACTTTTTTTTTTTTTTTTTGAGACGGAGTCTGACTCTGTCACCCAGGCTGCAGTGCAGTGGCGTGACCTCGGCTCACTGCAACCTCTGCCTTACCCTCCTGAGTAGCTGGGATTACAGATGCCCGCCACCATGCCCAACTAATTTTTGTATTTTCAGTAGAGATGGGGTTTCACCATCTTGGCCAGGCTGGTCTTGAACTCCTGATCTCGTGACCCACCCGCCTCAGCCTCCCAAAGTGCTGGGATTATAGGCGTGAGCCACCATACCTGGCCAACATAATCACATTTTTTGTTGTAAGCTAACACTCACAGGTTCCAGGGGTTACTATATCGCTATCTTTTGGAGGGGTGTTGTTCAGTCTACCACAGCCTGCCCTCTGGCCCCCAAGTATTCACATCTCTCCCACATGCAAAATACATGCACCCCATCCCCAAATCCTCAAATGTCTCAAACCGTGCAACATTAGCTGAAGTCCATCTTATCCATATAAGATCAGCTCAAAAGTACCAAGTCTCCTCATCTAAAACAGATATGGATGAGACTCTGGTTATGAAACATCCTGGGGCAAAATTCTCCTGCTGTGAATTTGTGACACTAGAAAGCAAGTTATCTGTTCCAAAAATACAGTGGCGGGGCAGGTGTAGGATAATAGTTACAGATATTTCCATTTCAAATGAGAGAAACTGGAAGAAAGGAAGGAGTCCCTGCTCCCAACCATTTTGAAATCTAGCGGGACAAATTCCATTTGGTTTCAAGGACTCAGAATAATCCCCTGTAGCTTGAAGCTCTCCCCTCTGGTCCCATAGCCCTCCTCTCAGAATGTATGTCATAGTGATTCACACCCTTAGACCAGCAGGTCCTTCTGTATCTTTCCCAGATAATATCATTTCTATTAGCAGCTATGGCTGAGCATAGTGGAAGAGCTCCTTGAGTCATGTGCCTAATCTCCTCAGCACTAGCAAACATAGCCACATTCTTGACATTGTCTCTAGAGCATACCTTCCCATACCTTCCTGACAGTGCCTCTCCTAATTTTAGTGTCTTTTGCAACCTTGATAGGCTGAGAATTTCCCAAATCATCAAGTCCTGGATCCTTTTTGCTTAACAGTCTTTTCCTCAGTGTATCTCTTTCCTCTCACATTTTACTAAAAGCAGTAAGATGGAATCAGGCCATACCCTTAACACTTTGCTTGCAATACCTCTGTAGGTAAATATCCAAGTTCATTGCTTACAATCTCTCAATCTCTCTGTCTCTCTCTCTCTCTCTTTTTTTTTTTTTAGTTTGGGTTTCAGATAAATAACACACATTGCTTGCAATTTCTATTTTCCACATAACTGGAGGACACAATTCAGTTAAGTTTTCTACCAGTATGTAACTAGAATTGCATTTCCTCTAGTTTCCGAGTACATACTCCTCATTTCCTTCTGAGCTCTTACTAATGGCACCTTTTTTAGGGGGGTATGGAGTTTCGCTCTTGTTGCCCAGGCTGGAGTGCAATGGCATGATCTTGGCTCACCGCAACCTCCACCTCCCTGGTTCAAGAGATTCTCCTGCCTCAGCCTCCTAAGTAGCTGGGATTACAGGCATGCACCACCATGCCCGGCTAATGTTTTTGTATTTTTAGTAGAGGTGGTGTTTCTCCATGTTGGTCAGGCTGGTCTTGAACTCCCGATCTCAGGTGATCCGCCTGCCTCGGCCTCCCAAAGTGCTGGGATTACACGCGTGAGCCACCGTGACCGGCCACTAATGGTAGCTTTAATGTTTATATTTCTACCAGCATTCTGCTTAGGATGGTATGATGATATATGTATTCTCGAAGATGACATTGGCTTTCTCTCCCATGTTCCTCACTTCTTTCTGAGCCCTCATCAGAATTGCCTTCAATGTTTACATTTCTCCCAACAGTCTGTTCACGTAAATCGAGGCTTTTTCTATCAAGTTCTTCAACATTCTTCTGGCACCTACCTACCTATTATTCAATTTTAAAGCCACTTTCACATTTTTAGGTATTTGCTACAGCAGCGCTCCCCCTCTAGGTGCCAAAATTGGTATGAACTTCCGGTGGCTGTTGTAACAAATTGCCGCAAACTTGGTGGCAGAAAACAACACATATTTATTCTCTCAGAGTTCTGGAGGTCAGGTCTGAAAACAGTATTACTAGGCCAAAACCAAGGTGTCAGAAGGGCCATGCTCCCTTCTCAGGCTCTAGGAAGAATACTTTCTTCTCTTTTTTTATTTTTTTTTTGTTTATTTTTTTTGAGATGGGGGTCTCACTCTGTCACCCAGGTTAGAGTGCAGTGGCACAATCACGGCTCACTGCAACCTCTGCCTCCCAGGCTCAAGCGATTTTCCCACCTCAGCCTCCTGAGTACCTGGGACCGCAGACATGCACAAATACACCAGGCTAATTTTTTGTATTTTTGGTAGAGACAGAGTTTTACCATGTTTCCCAGGCTGGTCTCAAACTCTTGAGCTCAGGCAATCCACCCACCTCCGCCTCCCAAAGTGCTGGGATTACAAGTGTGAGCCACCATATGCCTGGTGAGAATCCTTTCTTGCCTTTTCCAGCTTTTGATGGCTGTTGGCATTCCTTGGCTTCTGGTGGCATTACCACATTAGTCCATTTTGCATTGTTATAAAGGAATACTGAGACTGGTTAATTTATAAAGAAAAGAGGTTTATTGATGCTCACAGTTCTGCAGACTGTGCAAGCATAGCACCAGCATCTGCTTCTAGTGAGGGCTTCAGGAAGCTTCCAATCATGGTAAAAGGTGAAGGGGAGGAGGCATGTCACATGGCAAAGAGAGGGAGCAAGAGAAATGCCATGCTCTTTTAAACAACCAGCTCTCGTGTGAACTAACAGAGTGAGAACTCATTCATTACCATGGGGAGGGCACCAAGCCAGTCATGAGGGATCTGCCCCCATGACCCAAGCACCTCCCACTAAGCCCCACCTCCACCATCAAGATTCACATTTCAGCCTGAGATTTGGAGGGGACAAACATCCAAACTATATCAATGACTCCAATCTTGATGGCCAAATTTCTCTCTCCTCCATCTTCACGTTGTCTTCTCCTCTGTATAGCTCTTCAAATCTCCCTCTGCCTCTTTTTTTTATAAGGATACACGTGATTACATTTAGAACCCACTGTCATGGTTATTAACCGTGGTTAATAACCATTAACCATTAGGTGTCACCTTGACTGGATTGAGGGCTGCATAGATGGCTGGTGAAGCATTGTTTCTGGGTGTGTCTGTGAGGGTGTTGCCAGAGAAGATGACATTTGAGTCAGTGTTTGACTGTTAGAGGAAGATCCACCCTCAGTGTGGATGGGCACCATGCAATTGACTGCCAGCGTGGCTAGAACAAAGCAGGTGGAAGAACAGCAGCTTTCTTGCTGAGTCTGTTTGCTTTCTCTCTTCCTGTCTGCTTCCTCTCCTCCTGCCTTTGGACACCAGACTTCAGGTTTGTTAACCTTTGGACTCTGGAACTTGCACCAGCAGCCTCTCAGGGGCTCTTGGACCTTTGGCCTCAGACTAGGGCTTGTACTGTCAGCTTCTCCAGTTTTGAGGCTTTTGGATTTGGACTGAGCCACACAACTAGCTTCTCTCCCCAGTTTGCAGACGGCCTATCGTGGGACTTCACCTTGTAATCATGTGAGCCAATTCTCCCTAATTAACTCCCTTTTTATATACATATATCCTATTGGCTCTGTCCTCTGAAGAACCCTGACCAATACATCCACCCAGATAGTCTAGATAATCTAAAATAATCTCTGCATCTCAATATCCTTAACTCAATCACATCTGCTAAGAACCGTTTTCCAAATAAGGTAATATTTATAGGTTCTGGGAATCAAATCCTAATATCTTTGGGAGCCATTATTTAGCCTATTACAAGGAGTAACTCAGAAACTTTGTTCTAAAGTTCTGGAGTGATTGGGTTCGTAAAGGAGTGACTGGAGCTCTTTGAGGCCACATGGGGTGGTAAGCAGTCCAGCCTATTGGGAAGTGATATGGTTTGGCTGTGTCCTCACCCAAATCTCATCTGGAATTGTAGATCCCATAATCCCCATGTGTTGTGGGAGGGACCCAGTGGGAGGTAATTGAATCAAAGGGGGCAGGTTTTTCCTGTGCTGGTCCCATGATAGTGAATAAGTCTCACAAGTTCTGATGGTTTTATATAGGGGAGTTCCCCTGCACATGCTCTCTTGCCTGCCACCATACAAGATGTGACTTTGCTTCTCCTTCCCCTTCCACCATGATTATGAGGCCTCCCCAGCCATGTGGAACTGTGAGTCAATTAAACCTCTTTCCTTTATAAATTATCCAATCTCAGGTATGTCCTTATAGCACTGTGAGAACAGACTAATACAGGAGGGATATGGGCTCTGTAGTCACACAGACTTGAGTTCACTTCCCAGCCCCAACACTTGATGACCTTGGACAGGTCACCTGACCTCCTAAGCCCTCCAATTCCTCCTCTGAAATGAGGTAATGATTGTACTTCCTACACAGGGCTGTTGTAAGGTGTGCTTGCAAAGCACTTAGCATAGGTCTGGGCACATTGTGAGTGATCAAAAAACAATTAGCTGTTGTTAAACCACAAACATGATGAGAATAATACTACGCATTTACTCTGTGCCTGCTCTGTTCCAGGTTCACAGGGAGTCGTAAAACATACTCCCCAGAAACATGCAATGTAGATGGCCTTATTGCCCCATGCCACAGATATAGACTCAGAGGCTAAGATTTGTCCAAAGTTAGACAGTCAACAAATAATAGAGGAAGGACAAAGACCCTGTCTGGCTGATCCTTCCCCACAGCTCTGCTCTCCACCATAGGAGATTCTAAACGCCAGTCCTGCAGAGAACACGTGTAAATGACAGGGACACATCTGCAGGCAGGAAAGTCTGTGGCCAGCTGTATGGAGGGACTTGCTGACTGTCAGAGCTGCAGACTGTGGTGTGAGGAACCAGAATGGTGGAGGTCTGTGTGTGCAGCACTTTTTCATGGAGAACAGCAAAGACCCTCTGCACTGGTGGTGGCAACAAATCTCTGTGTGAGGGCAGGACCTACCCTGGGATGCTGTGGACCTTCTGACCCAAGGTTGGGTGGATGAAAAGGCCAGCATTGGCTGGGCATGGTGGCTCATGCCTGTAATCCCCTAGCACTTTGAGAGGCCAAGGTGGGCAGATCACTTGAGCCCAGGAGTTCGGGACCAGCCTGGCCAACATGGCGAGACTCCATCTTTAAAAAAAAAAAAAAAGAAAGAAAGACCAGCATTATGTGGCTCCTGGGGTTCCCCATGATTACCCAAGAATATTGTTTATTGAGCCCCAAATTATTTCACTCCATAGTATATTTTCAGTTCTTTTTTTTTTTTTTTTAAGAAGTAAACTTTGGCCAGGCACGGTGGCTCACACCTGTAATTCCAGCACTTTGGGAGGCTGAAGCAGGTGGATCACCTGAAGTCAGGAGTTTGAGACCAGCCTGGCCAACATGGCGAGACTCCATCTTTAAAAAAAAAAAAAAGAAAGAAAGACCAGCATTATGTGGCTCCTGGGGTTCCCCATGATTACCCAAGAATATTGTTTATTGAACCCCAAATTATTTCACTCCATAGTATATTTTCAGTTCTTTTTTTTTTTTTAAGAAGTAAACTTTGGCCAGGCACGGTGGCTCACACCTGTAATTCCAGCACTTTGGGAGGCCAAAGCAGGTGGATCACCTGAAGTCAGGAGTTTGAGACCAGCCTGGCCAACATGGTGAAGCGCTGTCTCTACTGAAAATACAAAAATTAGTCAGGCGTGGTGGCACACACCTGTAGTCCCAGCTACTTGGGAGGCTGAAGCAGGAGAATCGCTTTAACCCGAGAAGCAGAGGCTGCAGTGAGCGGAGATCGCACCACTACACACCAGTCTAGGCGACGGAGCAAGACCCTGTCTCAAAAAAAAAAAAAAAGTAAACTTTACATTGATGAAATATTGCACAAATCACAACTATATCACTTGAAAAGAGTGGGAAAACCCAAGATGTGGGAGATGGTGTTATCTTCCTCAAGGTGAACCATTGCTGTTGAGCATGACATCAGAAAAATATCTGTCATGCCAGGCACAGTGGCTCACACCTATAATCCCAGCACTTTGGGACGCCGACGTGGGCAGATCACCTGAGGCCAGGAGTTTGAGGCCAGGAGTTTGAGGCCAGGAGTTTGAGACCAGCCTGGCCAACATGGTAAAATCCCGTCTCTACTAAAAATAGAAAAATTAGCCGGGTGTGGTTGCGGGTGCCTGTAATCCCAGCTACTCGGGAGGCTGAGGTAGGAGAATTGCTTGAACCTGGGAGGCAGAGGTTGCAGTGAGCCGAGGTCGTGCCACTGCACTCCAGCCTGGGCCACAGAGCAAGCCTCTGTCTCAAAGAAAAAAAAAAGAAAAGTAAAAGAAAAATATATCTGTCGGTTTTATGGTTCAATAACTTAGACTTTCATCTTTTTTTCACATAAATTTTTATTTTTTGTAGAGATAGGGTCTTGCTATGTTGCCCATGCTCGTCTCAACTCCTGGCCTCAAGGAATCTTCCCTCCTCAGCCTCTGAAAGTGTTGGGATTACAGGTGTGAGCCACCACGCCTGGCCAACTTAGACTTTCTTGTATGTATTTCTGGCGTAACAGACCATTGCTGGAGAGACTTTGTTACTGTCTATAAAGATTTTTTAAAATAACTTTATTGAGATATAACCGACATACAATAAACTGTGCATATTAAGAGTATACAATTGATATAGATATATATTTCCCTAAAATCAAGATAGTAAACATATCCATGATTCCCTTCCTCCCATCCCCACCCCCACTCTCCCATCTCCATGCAACCACCAATCTTCTCTCTGTCAGTAAAAATTAAGTTGCATTTTATGAAGTTTTAATAAGAGGCCGGGCTCAGTGGCTCATGCCTGTAATACCAGCACTTTGGGAGACCGAGGCAGGCAGATCGCTGAGCTCAGGAGTTTGAGACCGCCCTGGGCAACATGGTGAAACCCTGTCTGTAATAAAAATACAAAAATTAGCGGGCATGGTGGTGCCTGCCTGTAATCCTAGCTACTCAGGAGACTGAGGCATGAGAATCACTTGAACCTGGGAGGCGGAGGTTGCGGTGAGCCGAGTGCGCCATTGCTCTCCAGCCTGGGCGACATAGCGAGACCCCATCGCAAAAATAAAAAATAAATAAATAGGGTTTTATGTAAGAGAGTCATATAGTCTGTGCCCTTATTTTCCTGGCTTCTTCGCTCAGCATAACTATTTTCAGATTCATCTATGTTGTTATGTTGTATGAATATACACCAATTTATTTATTAATTCACCTGTTGATGGACATTTGAGTCCTTCCCAGTTTTTGGCTATTATAAATAAAGTTGCTAGGCAAATTTTTGTTCAGGTCTTTGTATGGACATGTATTTCCTTTCTTCCTAGGTAAAAATCAGCGTGGAATAGCTGGCTCATATGCTAGGTGCATGCTTAAATTTTTAAAGAAACTACCAAACTGGTTTCCAAAGCAGTTGTACCATTTTACATTCCTAATAGCTGCATATGAGAATTCCAGCTCCTGCACATCTATGCCAACATTTGCTATGGTTGGCCATTTTTTTTTTTTTTTTGAGACAGAGTCTTGCTCTGTCACCCAGGCTGGAGTGCAGTGGGTCACTCCCTACTGGATTCAAACGATTCTCCCATCCCAGCCTCCTAAGTAGATGAGACTACAGGCACGAGCCACCTTGCCCAACTAATTTCTATATTTTTGGTAGAGATGGGATTTCACCATGTTGCTCCAGGCTGATCTTGAACTCCTTGACTCAAGTGATCCTCCTGCCTTGGCCTCCCGAAGTGCTGGGATTATGGGTGTGAGCCACCTCTCCTGGCCTAATTTTAGCTATTTTAATGAGTGTATAGTGGTATATCATTATATTTTTATATATCCCTAATGACAATGATGTTGAGCACCTCTTCATGTACTTATTTGCTATCTGCATATTTTCTGCTCATATCTTTTCGGCTTTTTCATTGGGTTACTATTTTTTTTTTTTTTGACAGAATTTTTGCTCTTGTTGCCCAGGCTGGAGTGCAATGGCACAATCTCGTCTCACTGCAAACTCTGCCTCCTGGGTTCAAGTGATTCTCCTCCCTCAGCCTCCTGAGTAGCTGGGATTACAGGCGTGCGCCACCATGCCCGGATAATTTTGTATTTTTAGCAGAGACGCGGTTTCTCCATGTTGGTCAGGCTGGTCTCAAACTCCCGACCTCAGGTGATCTGCCCACCTCGGCCTCCCAAAGTGCTGGGATTGCAGGTATGAGCCACCGTGCCTGGCCCCTGGGTTACTTTCTTATACTTGAGTTTTGAGAGTCTTTTCTATATTGTGGATAGAAATCCTTTAACAGATACATCCTTTACAATTTTTTTTCTCCTAATATGTGGCTTGTTTTATTTATTTTTTTTTTCATTCTCTTAACGGTGTCCTTTAAACAGCAGATTTTTTACTTTCGATGAAATCCAATTTTTCAATTCGCACCCGGCCTGCTGATCTCTTTCTGATGCATTCTCTCCATCCCCATCTCTCTAAACCCTAACAGACTCTCAGACTTTCCTCTCCCTCCTACATTCTCTTCCTTTTCTTTTGTCTCTCTCTGCTCCTCACCTCTTGACTAAAGATGTTGGCAGCTGCATCTCTAGCCAATGTCCAAATCCTAATACTACAACAAACATGGCCAGTGACATCTGCCTTTAAGCACTTGTCACAGAGGTCACCTGTGCATCGTCCACTTCCAGCCTCCAAAGAAACAATTCACTACAAACCACTTCTGGAGACGTGGCACCAACTACCAGGGAGGCAGCCAGGGAAGGATGAGGAACTCTCATCATCATATTTCTGCTCGGGACCAAGGTTCCTGAACTGGAAAGGGCCCATCTGCTCAGCCCTCCCCATCACCCCTAACCCCTGCAATGCTGCAGGTTTTCATAAAGTTGTTTTTTTCTCTACTGACACCTACAAGCTTCTCACTTTTGAGAAACAAAGATTGTAAAGGTTTTTTTTCATAATTAACTAAATTTAATTTAGAGCAAATTTTTTTTTAACTCATGTGTTTTAGTTAGTAAAACACCATCTTGGGCCAGGCATGGTGGCTGTAATCCCAGCAGTTTGGGAGGCCGAGGTGGGCGGATCACCTGAGGTCAGGAGTTCAAGACTAGCCTGGCCGATATGGTAAAACCCCGTCTCTACTAAAAACACAAAATTTAGCCAAGCGTGGTGGCACACGCGTGTAATCCCAGCTACTCGGGAGGCTGAGCCAGGAGAATTGCTTGAACCTGGGAGGCAGAATTCAGTGAGCCGAGTGCAGTGAGTCGAGATCGTGCCACTGCACTCTGGCCTGGGCGACAGAGTGAGACTCTGTCAAAAAAAAAAGAAGGAAAGAAAGGAAGAAAGGAAGGAAGGAAGCAAAGAAGGAAAGAAGGAAGAAAGAAGCAGATAAAAGGCAGAGACAGAGTGGGCCACTTGGTGAGGCGGGGATGGAGAGTCACCTGCCTCAGGCACACCCACCCAACTCACAGGTGAAACTGGAGCGGAATCAATGAGGAACTAAGTCAGGGATCTGGCTACTCTTGCCTCTCTCTAGAGGACCCCTTGCCCTGCCATCAGTCCCACTGAGAACCCTCACTGTGCTTCCTCCAGGACAAATTCACATGTCTAGTGGAATCCATGGAGAGCCCTCCCAAGGCAAAAAGTCAGGAACTGCAGGCTAATGCTTCCCTCCCACTGGACAGGCCTGGGGAAGACTGGGAAGGGGCTAAGGGAAGCAGAGAAACTGCCTTCTCTGCCCAAGAGCAACAGACATAGCTGCAGGGCAGGAATGAGGGACCCACATCTGATACACTTGGGACCGGGCTTCAGAAAGTGTCCCCTCCCTATGTTGTTTGTGTCTCAGCAGGTGATTTTGTCCAATCAGCAGGTGATTTTGTCCAGCCCTCTTCCCCCAGGTACCAGGAGGTACCAGCTGCACTAGCAGGTTCAAAGGCCTCAGGGGACGACCCTGTGTCCCAGATTTCTGAGCAGATGGCCTAAGCTACTTTGCTTTGCAGCTTTATAATAATTATTGGGTCAGACAGTGTTAAACACTAGTTTAACACTAGTTTAACACTAGTTTAACAGACAGTGTTAAGCACTCTAGCTTTGTTTTTCTTTTTTAAGAGTTGTTTTGTCTATTCTAGATTTTTGCATTTCCATATGAATTTTAGAATCAGCTTGCCATTTTTTTACCAAAAATCTTGGTAGAGTTCTGATTGATATTGTGTTAAACCTATAGATTAAATCTGGGGAGAATTGACATCTAAACAATATTGACTCTTCCAATCTATGAACAAGGTATATCTCTTCATTTATTTAGGTCTTAGTTTCTCCCAGCAATTCTGTAATTTTCAGTGTACAGGTCTTTCACATCCTTTGTCAAAGTTACCCTTAAATATTTAACATTTTTTATGATATCGTAAATGCTATTTTTTTTTTTTGAGAAAGGGTCTAACTCTGTGGCCCAGGCTGGAGTGCAGTGGCGTGATCTCGGCTCACTGTAACCTCCGCCCCCAAGTTCAAGCAATTCTAGTGCCTCAGCCTCTCCAGTAGCTGGGACTACAGGTGAGTGCCACTGCATCTGGCTTATTTTTGTATTTTTGGTAGAGACAGGGTTTTACCATGTTGCCCAGGCTGGTCTCAAATTCCTGACCTCAAGTGATCCACCTGTCTTGGCCTCCCAAAGTATTGGGATTACAGGTGTGAGCCACTGTGCTGGGCTGGCTATGTTTATTTGTTTGTTTGTTTGTTTTGTTTTGTTTTCTGAGACAAGGTCTCGTTCTGTCACCCAGGCTGGAGGGCGGTGGCACAATCTCGGCTCACTGGAACCTCCACCTCCTGGGTTCAAGTAATTCTTATGCCTCAGCCTCCCGAGTAGCTGGGATTACAGGCGCGCGCTGCCACACTTGGCTAATTTTTTTGTATTTTAGTAGAGATGGGGGGTTTCCCCATGTTGACCACGCTGGTCTCAAACTCCTGACCTCAGGCAATCCACCCATCTTGGCCTCCCGTCTTGGCCTCCCAAAGTTCTAGGATTATAGGAGTGAGCCACTGCGCCTGGCCTCTGATATTATTTTTTAATTTTAACAATGAGCTTACCGTTAACCACAGATTTGTCGTTTTAATGTGCCCCTCATTTAATACCTTTTTTCCTAAAAATAAAAGCCATTCCACAAAACCTTTTACTTAGTATTCACTTCCACTATCGATAAACTATTAGAGCAGTGGTTCTCAACCAGAGGTAATTTTGCTTTCCAAGGGACATTTGGCAATGTCTAGGAAATTTTCATTTGTCACAGCTGGGACTGGGGGTACACTGGCATCTAGTTGATAGAGGTCAGGGTTGCTGCTAAACAGCCAACCATGCACAAGACAGCCCCCACAACAAAGAATTATCCAGCATGAAATGTCAATAGCATTGAGGTTGAGAAACTCTGCGTTAGAAGTAGATACACAGATGTGCTCCTCACAGTTAATATACTTGGTAGACAACATGGCATGGACCAATATGGCAGGGTTTGTATAATTTCACATAAGTTTCATTCTTTCCTCAGATCCTATAAAATCTCTATCCTTTCCTTGTTTGGTGAGACATTCTATAGTCCTTCTGGTGTGAAGTTTCTCTCATTGCAAAGGGTTAATAAACTTGTCATTGCCAGATTACAGGTTTCTTCTGGGTGCTCCTAGGCCAATAAATCAGGCTCTCTAGCTGATTTATCAAGCTAGGATAAATTCATGGTGTAGAATCAGATTCTCCATTTTAAGGGGCGTTTCTGTGAAACTGGGCTAGTCCAGAGACTCTGGAGGAATGGGAGTGGAGGTGAATAGCTTCTCAGCTGAGCCTCTGAAGGATAGGCAGGGTGAGCTGAGTAAAGGATAGAATTTATGAGCATCCTTGGCTGAAACACCCTCTACTTGCAGTGACCTTGCTGCTCCTTTCTTTGCCTCAGCAACTTCCTCAGCACCTGGGGGATTAATGTCCAGATGATGGCCCAGCCCTGTGGCCTGAACCTTCTGGCAAAACTGATGTGTTAGGGGGGCTGTGTAACTTGGGTTCCCATGACAGCAGCCCAACCCAGCCGGACCACCAAGCATAGCATCCTTGAAAGGTGGTGGCACTGGTGCTCAGGCTCAACATCTTTTCCAGGTGGATGTTGAGTTCTGCACTGCCTGCTGGTAGCGAAATTCAGATGCCACTATCTATCAAATCTTGAATAATTCATGAAGTGCTCTTCCACCTTTGGCCCAGAAGTTCCCACAGCCCCATTGGTCCCTGGTCTCTGGAGCTAATTCCTTTTAGTCTGCAGAGCTGCAAAGCAAAGTAGCTTAGGCCATCTGCTCAGAAATCTGGGACACAGGGTCGTCCCCTGAGGCCTTTGAACCTGCTAGTGCAGCTGGTACCTCCTGGTACCTGGGGGAAGAGGGCTGGACAAAATCACCTGCTGATTGGACAAAATCACCTGCTGAGACACAAACAACATAGGGAGGGGACACTTTCTGAAGCCCGGTCCCAAGTGTATCAGATGTGGGTCCCTCATTCCTGCCCTGCAGCTATGTCTGTTGCTCTTGGGCAGAGAAGGCAGTTTCTCTGCTTCCCTTAGCCCCTTCCCAGTCTTCCCCAGGCCTGTCCAGTGGGAGGGAAGCATTAGCCTGCAGTTCCTGACTTTTTGCCTTGGGAGGGCTCTCCATGGATTCCACTAGACATGTGAATTTGTCCTGGAGGAAGCACAGTGAGGGTTCTCAGTGGGACTGATGGCAGGGCAAGGGGTCCTCTAGAGAGAGGCAAGAGTAGCCAGATCCCTGACTTAGTTCCTCATTGATTCCGCTCCAGTTTCACCTGTGAGTTGGGTGGGTGTGCCTGAGGCAGGTGACTCTCCATCCCCGCCTCACCAAGTGGCCCACTCTGTCTCTGCCTTTTATCTGCTTCTTTCTTCCTTCTTTCCTTCTTTGCTTCCTTCCTTCCTTTCTTCCTTTCTTTCCTTCTTTTTTTTTTGACAGAGTCTCACTCTGTCGCCCAGGCCAGAGTGCAGTGGCACGATCTCGACTCACTGCACTCGGCTCACTGAATTCTGCCTCCCAGGTTCAAGCAATTCTCCTGGCTCAGCCTCCCGAGTAGCTGGGATTACACGCGTGTGCCACCACGCTTGGCTAAATTTTGTGTTTTTAGTAGAGACGGGGTTTTACCATATCGGCCAGGCTAGTCTTGAACTCCTGACCTCAGGTGATCCGCCCACCTCGGCCTCCCAAACTGCTGGGATTACAGCCACCATGCCTGGCCCAAGATGGTGTTTTACTAACTAAAATACATGAGTTAAAAAAAAAATTTGCTCTAAATTAAATTTAGTTAATTATGAAAAAAAAAACCTTTACAATCTTTGTTTCTCAAAAGTGAGAAGCTTGTAGGTGTCAGTAGAGAAAAAAACAACTTTATGGAAACCTGCAGCATTGCAGGGGTTAGGGGTGATGGGGAGGGCTGAGCAGATGGGCCCTTTCCAGTTCAGGAACCTTGGTCCCGAGCAGAAATATGATGATGAGAGTTCCTCATCTTTCCCTGGCTGCCTCCCTGGTAGTTGGTGCCACGTCTCCAGAAGTGGTTTGTAGTGAATTGTTTCTTTGGAGGCTGGAAGTGGACGATGCACAGGTGACCTCTGTGACAAGTGCTTAAAGGCAGATGTCACTGGCCATGTTTGTTGTAGTATTAGGATTTGGACATTGGCTAGAGATGCAGCCGCCAACATCTTTAGTCAAGAGGTGAGGAGCAGAGAGAGACAAAAGAAAAGGAAGAGAATGTAGGAGGGAGAGGAAAGTCTGAGAGTCTGTTAGAGAGGGTTTAGAGAGATGGGGATGGAGAGAATGCATCAGAAAGAGATCAGCAGGCTGGACATGGTAGGTCACGCCTGTAATCCCAACACTTTGGGAGGCCAAGGCGGGAAGATCGCCTGAGGTCAGGAGTTCCTGACCACCCTGGCCAACATGGTGAAACACCGTCTCTACTAAAAATACAAAGATTGGCTGGACATGGTGGTGGGCACCTATAATCCCAGCTACTCGGGAGGTTGAGGCAGGAGAACGACTTGAACCTAGGAGGCGGAAGTTGCAGCGAGCCAAGATCACAGCACTGCACTGCAGCCTAAGCAATAAAGTGAGACTCTGTGTTGGAAGAAATGAAGAAGAGAGAAAGAAAGAAAGAGAGAAAGAAAAGAAAGAAAGAAAGAAAGAAAGAAAAAAAGAAAGAAAGAAAGAAAGGAAAGAGAGAGGGAGAGAAAGAGAGAAAGAAAGAGAGAAAAAAAGAAAGAAAGAAAGACAACACCTTGTAACATTTTATTTCCTACTGTTGTAGTAATTGCTCTAGAAAGAAAGACAATATATTGGGCACATTGGTATTGTTCCGTGGTGAGCAGTTCTATGTAAACTTACCCTCAAAGGCCAAGGGCACTGAGAGGCCAAAGAAAGAGGCTGACAAATCGAGTTTCTCAGAAATAAACAATTAATGGTGACCTTTGAACAGAAGCTATGTGTCCAGTGGCTGCAAGAGGGTGGAACCCACACCCGTCCTCCAGAAAGTTTACTTTCTATAGAAAATTTTTATGCTAAACATGAGCACCTGGCCATGTCTCACACTTTCTTGCAGAAACTCTTGACCACTGGAGAGGTTAGATAAGCATCTTTATGAGACATTATCTACGCTACGGCCAATGTTTAAAGACCTTGTTGCCAAATACCTTGGTATGCGGGAGTCAAACATCTGTCATCATGATATTTTCCCTTCAAGATGAAATCACTCTGGCCATGCAGCAGGCTGTATACCTACACTCCACTCCTCAGTACTGGTCCTTGCAATCTCACGTGCCCACCTGTTCCTTGATAGTCCCTGGGTCTAGAGGGAGGGTGCTTGATATTGTATAGCTATAGCAGCAGCTCATTGGCTTTATTGGAGGAAAATGCTGCAGCAACAGTAAAGGCAAAACCAGGACAGTAAGGAACATAGGAGCACAACACCTAAACCAAGAAGCAGCTTCTGCCACCAGGTGCCCCAGGACCGAAGCCAGCTATGAAGCCAGTAACAACTACAGCATTCAACGCAGGGGTTCAGTCTGAGAAATTGGTCATTTGTGTTATATAGTCTCTCCAATCTCATCCTTGGAAAGGAGATACCCACCACGGCAGGCCAGAAGCATGGGAGAGTGGCATGAGGCCGCATACCAAACCAATGTTTTTCTTTTTTTCTTTCTTTCTTTTTTTTTTGAGATGGAGTCTTGCTCTGTTGCCCAGGTTGGAGTGCAGTGGCGTGATCTCAGCTCACTGCAACCTCCGCCTCCTGGGCTCAAGCGATTCTCCTGCCTCAGCCCCCTGAGTAGCTGGAATTACAGGCGCCTGCCACCACACCCGGCTAATTTTTGTATTTTTAGTAGAGACGGGGTTTCACCATGTTGGCCAGGCTGGTCTCAAACTCCTGAGCTCCAGTGATCCACCTGCCTCAGCCTCCCAAAATGCTGGGATTACAGGTGTGAGCCACTGTGCCCGGCCCCAACAGATGTTTTTCTGTAAGCCAACAGCATACTCTTGGGCCCATTGTAGGAAAAGGTTTGCTTCCTAGGTGGCAGCTAGTGATAGTATTGACAGAACATGACAACTAAGGATGAAAGGAAACAAACTTAGTGGGTATTTGCAAGGAAATTTATTTTCCATCTGTCAGAATACACCAGTCCATTCATTTAGAGTAGTTAGTATAGAGTCAGCTCTTGGCTTTTGTAAAGGGAAAGGGGCCATATACCAACCATGTTGCCCAAGGATGAAGTGTCAGCAGCCGTGGTCAAAGTAATTTGATTGAGAGTACACCATATTAGAGAGCTCACCACCATGCCATGGGGTATATATGCTTCCCCTGACCATTTATAATGAGTGATCGGGGACCAGTATTCAATAAGATCAATGCGAACCACTCTAACTGTTGAGGATATTCCCCCATCTCTGGCAGGAAATAGCCGATCCAGCCTGGGTGTATTTGCCATTCTGAGCCCCAGTGCAGTGTCCCCTCCTCTGGTAGAATGTCTGTCACTGTCTTCATGCAGAAAATATGGTGGGTGTCAACTAGGTCTGAAAGTAAAGCAGTCCTCTCAGTTACCCGTATGTGAAAAATAGTAGGCTTGGGGAATGGTGGTCCCAACCTATCACATGGGGCAGGCACCTCATCCCTTTGGCTGAAGTTAAAGAAATAAGGGCTTCAGATCACACATTCATCCACCTTTGCAAGGTAGGTTTCTCCAGGAAAGTTTGAATTTGTGCTTCTTTTTTTAAAAAAAACTTTTATTTTAGGTTCAGGGGTACATGTGCAGGTTCCTTATATAGGTAAATTGCATGTCACAGGGGTTTGGCGTACAGATTATTTCATCACCCAGGCAATAAGCTTAGTATCCTATAGGTAGTGTTTCGATCCTCCCTCCCTCCACTCTCAAGTAGGCCCTGGTGTCTCTTGTTCCCTTCTTTGTGTCCATGTGTACTCAATGTTTTGCTCCCATTTACAAGTGAGAACGTGCAGTATTTGGTTTTTTGTTCCTGTGTTAGTTCGCTTATAATACTGTTTCCCCTAACCATTTATAGCGGGTGATCATGGGTCCAGTATTCAATAGGAGCAATGGGAACCACTCTAACTGTTGAGGATATTCCCCCATCTATGGCAAGAAATAGCCTATCCAGCCTGGGGGTATTTGCCATTCTAAGCCCCAGTGCAGTGTCCTCTCCCCTGACAGTATATCTGTCAGTGTTGTTATGCACAAAATATGCTGGTTGTCAATCAGGTCTGGGAGCAAAGCGGTCTTCTCAGTTACCCATATGCAAATAGTGGTAGGCTTGGGGTACGGTGGTCCCAACAAGTCATATGGAGCAAGCATCCTGCTTTGGCTGAAGTTAAATACATAAGCCCTGCAGATCACACATTCATCCACTCTAGCAAGGTAGGTGATAGGTGATATGGTTTGGATCTGTATCTCCACCAAATCTCATGTCAAATTGTAATCCCCAATGTTGGAGGTGGGGCCTGGTGGGAGGTGATTGGATCAAGGGGGTGGATTACTCATGAATGGTTTAGCACCACCCCCTTCGTACTATCCTCACAATAGTGCGTGAGTTCTTGTGAGATCAGGTTGTTTAAAAGTGTGTAGCACTTCCTCTCTGACTCTCTTTTGCTCCTGCTCCTGCCATGTGAGATGCTTGTTCCCCCTTTGCCTTCCACCATGATCAGAAGCTTTCAGAGGCCTCTCCCAAAGCAGAAGCTGCTGTGCTTCCTGCATAGCCTGTATAACGGTGAGCCAATTAATCCTCTTTTCCAGTTACCCAGTCTCAGGTATTTCTTTGTAGCAATGTGAGAACGGATTAATACTGTAGGTTTCCCTAGGAAACTTTTTTTTTTTTGAGACAGAGTCTCGCTCTGTTGCCCAGGCTGGAGTGCAGTGGTATGCTCTTGGCTCACTGCAACCTCTGCCTCCCAGGTTCAAATAATTCTCTTGCCTCAGCCTCCAGAGTAGCTGGGATTACAGGTGTGTGCTACCACGGCCAGCTAATTTTTGTATTTTTTTTTTTTTAAATAGAGATGGGGTTTCGCCATGTTGGCCAGGCTAGTCTCGAACTCCTGACCTCAATCGATCCTCCCACCTCAGCCTCCCAAAGTGCTGGGATTACAAGTGTGAGCCACCATGCTCAGCCTCCCCAGGAAACTGAATTTGTGCTTTCAGAAGACCAGTTTTCTTTTTAGTGAACCCTGCTGTTTGGAGGTTACATGGGAGATGAAAATGCCATGATCTGTTGTGTTCCGTGGCCCAGTCCTGCACATCATGTCCAGCAAAATGGGTCTTTTGGTTACTGTCAATGTGTCAAAGATATCCATACATAGTACTGAGAGCCTCTAAACCTTTAATAGTACTGGCTTGATTAGCTCACTTACAAGGACAAACTTACAGCAGTTCAGTAGCAGTATCTACACAGGCCAATACATACTTTTTGTCTTGACTTACAAAAAGAAGCCCTATATAATTCATTTGCTGATCTGTTATAGGGTAGACAGCCCTATGAGTGTGTCCTGCATGGTATGGTATATAGTGTGGATGGAATCAAGAATGTGGTATACATTTGTATTAGTCCGTTTCTACACTGCTATAAAGAACTACCTAAGACTGCGTAACGTGTAAAGGAAAGAAGCTTAATTGACTCACAGCTCCATGTGGCTGGGGAGGCCTCAGCAAACTTACAATCATGGCAGAAGGCAAAGGGGAAGCAAGGACCTTCTTCACATGGTGGCAGGAGAGAAAGAGAGCAAGGAGGGAACTGCCAAACACCTTTAAACCATCAGATCTCATGAGAACTCACTCACTATCATGAGAACAGCATAGGGGAACCGCCCCCATGATCCAGCCACCTCCCCTGACATGTGTGAATTACAATTCAACATGAGATTTGGGTGCAGACACAGAGCCAAACCATATCAACATTTTTAACAGCTATTGGGAGGTCAGTATATTTTAAGGGCAATCCTGCCTTCTTGGCTATCTCCAAGCCTACTCTTGCACTTCTATGACTACTACTTTTGTTATGTACACAGGTCTCTATTTATTGGCCTGGGACAGAGCACAATGCTTCTAATTGTTCTTAGGGTGTCAGCTTCTATACTTCCTGGAACTGAGTCCTATTGTGTACCACTACATGAAATACCAACTATTTCATCAGCTGCAAGGTGTTGCAGCTTCTCTATGTGTCTTGCCACATGTTCATGCCTTATATGGGTTTGTGCATAAACACCCATTTTTCTTGTTGCCACTGGGCTAGCCACATAATTAGGCCTTTGAATGTAGCCCAGCTATCAGCACAAAGAGCCAGGGGCCAGGGCTTATGTGTGATTATTAACCAAGCAGCTTGCAACTCAGCCCACTGTCTACTGTGATGGGTACTTATATCAAGCCAGATTGTATCAGTTTGTGGTCATATAGCAACAGCGGTCCAAGTACAGGGGTTTCCCTTGCTGGAGCCATCTGTATACCAAGCATGATCAGGGATGCATAACACTCCTTTGCTTATCGAGTCACACACTGGGGTAGGAAGGGGCAAAGGGATGTCCTTTGGTTGCTCACATATAACAAGGCCTAACACAGCATGCAATTCTCGGCTTAAGGGATTGGTTACCAGGACACTTCATTGTTGCAAACAGGCATGCCATTTATTCAAGATAGGTGTTTGGGATTTAAACGGAGGTGGGTGATTTAAATAATCCTTCTATACATCCCTTGATTGGTAGACCAGTTCTCACAGTCATGGGAAGGGTCTTTGCTAATTATTCCACCTTCTGTAAAGCATACACTGCTAGCACTTGTTCAATGGGAGAGTACTGATAGGGACAGGAGGCAGATAAATTCTAGGCAGAAGAAGTGGAGTCCCTGACGAGGGCCCCACCTTCAAGCTTGGAACCGCAGCCCAAAGTGAGAACTTCACATCCCCGTTTTCCTGATCGAATGTTGCCTTTTCCAAAACCACCCCTGGCCCGCCATGCTCTCCATCCTGTACATATAAAAACCCCAGGCTCCACTGGCAGAGAGCAGAGAAGGGGAGAAGAAAAGAAGCAGCTGAACATTGGAGAGGTGCAGTTTGACTTCAGAGGGATGGCTTGATGGCAGAACTTTGGAGAACAGTCTGGCTGAAGATGGCCAGACTTCAGGGGAAGAATACTCTCCTGCTCCTTCCTCTTTCCAGCTCCCTTTCCTGCTGAGAGCCACTTCCATCGGCAATAAAATCCCCTGCATTTGTTATCCTTCAATTCGTTCGTGCAATCTGATTTTTCCTGGATGCTGGACAAGAGCTCGGAATACAAAAAGGCTGTCACACTGACCCTTTGCCCTCACGAAAAGGCAGAAGGTTCACTGAGCTGTTAAACACTTACTTAAGCCATCCTCGGGCAGTAAAGCTAAAAGAGCTCACTGTAATGCATGCCCTGGGGTTTTGGGGGCCCACGGGAGTTTTATCCTCCTTAGATGCTGCCTTGGGGCACGCACAGAGTTTTGCTCCTGCCAGCACCCTAAAGCACTTTCCCTGGCTCTTACACGAGCTCACCTGCATGCTTCCCATCCCACAAGGGGTTGAGAGCTGTGGGCTGAGTAAGCAAGGCACCCCTGTCATGAGGCCTGTGAAGGGGTCAGGGAAAATTTCCTTTCAGTATCTGGCTTCGCTCCTTTCCGTAATTGTGACCAAAATCTTAAAGGGATTGATTTACCATACCGTGGTTGCCATAAGGCCCAACTCCTGCCCACAGGAGTAGCAGTAACATCCAAAGTCATCTCTACTCCCTCTAAAGGGGTGCCTGAGGCTTGCACCTGCTATACTAGCACTTTAGCCTGTTCAAAGCTCCCTGCTGTGACGTGTCTCAGTCTCAATGTTTCCTTTCTCTAATAAGTCCATATAGTGGCCTCAAACATTGGGCTAAGGGTGGGACAAATGCTCTCTAATATCCTAAAAGACCCACAGATGTTTGGATTTCTCTTTTGTTTTCAGAGTTGGATATTACTGGATTTTGTCCATTAATGTACCCAATATAAAAGGAATCTTACTCCACCATGTAACCCCTAAAACTTCACTGCAGGCCCTGGGCCCTAGATCTTCTGAAGGGTTGATTTCCCACCCTTGTTCCAGAAGATGATTGCACAATGCCCTCAGACTTTCATAATACACATGAACATCTCAGAGGTTAACGCCATATTATAAATATAAGAAGACTAAAAAAGAGAAGTCAGGAGTGAGAGCAAAGACAAGTCTCTAGCTATCATTGGGTGACGAATTGTAGGAGTGTGAAATAGCCCTAGGGCAGCACTTGAAAGGTCCACTGGAAACCTTGCCAGGTAAAAGCAATTGGTTTTGTGATTATTTGGACAGTAGAATGCAGAAAAAGGTATTAGCCAAACCTAAGACAGCATGATGTGTACCCAGGACAGACACGATGTGGTTGACTACCTGAGTAATTTAAGAAACTGCAGCTTGTATGGCCAGGGTTACCTTGTTCAATTTCTGGTAACCCGCAGTCATCAGCCAGGCCTGGTCAGGTTTGCATGCAGGCCAGATGGAACTGATAATCTTGCTTTGAGTTGGCCGGATAATATGTACCTTTTAAGTTCCTCAATAGCTGCACTTATTACAGTATGCCCCTCAGGCAATTTGTATTGTTTAACGTTGACAACCTACCTGGGGCTAGAGAATTGTACGGGTTTCCATTTTGACCTCTCCTGAGAATACCTGTACTATACCCACCTTTAATCTGAATTCTTCCACTGAAGTTTACAGTCTTTCCTAACAGAATATCCATGCCTAAAATATTTTATGGAATAGAGGAAATAAGCACCATATATGGGGCAGAGGACACTTTCCCCAAACCGAGATGTATTAAAGTCCTTTTTACCGGGATCATTTGTCCCCCATAACCCTCAATGGCAGACCATTGACCAAAGGGTCTTTCTGAATGTGTCCATGGATTAAAGTACATTCTGTCCCTAGTAAGGCAATAGTCTTAATTCTCAGGACCAGTAAGTGATGAGCTCAATATGGGGCCTCTGGTCGCCCTCTATTGTTCAAACATGGGATTAACCTCGGCCCTAGTAATTTCGGAGCCCGGATGGGATCCACCCTGATAGGCTGGGGCATTACAAGAAGGGGTCTAGTCTTCCTCTTCTGCAGGAGGGGCAGAAAGGAAGCAACGAAATTGCTGTTTAGGCGGTAGTTCCCTCTATGTGACTGCTAATACAGCGTTAGGTTGTTTGTCTATTTTTTATTGGGGTGTTTCTGCTCCCAATAAATCATGCCACATTTACTTACATGTGCCTCTTATCTATCCCTTTCCCTTTTTTTCCTCCTTCTTTCTGTGGGATTTTCTTTTTCCCTTTTGCTAACCCTCGTCAGGTTCCCAAGCTTACCCTGTCCCTGGTTTGCTCAGTTTTTTCCAAATTTGCAATGCCTTGTCCCACATCATATACATCTTGTTCCACTCCAGGCCTCAACAAAGACAGAAAAGGGCCCTGCCATTCTCTTCATGCATGCTGTAGCAATTTATTTTTCACCCTGGCAGTAAAAACTGCTATATCAGTTCCTGTGAAAACCCAGGTATAGATGGCTTGCCTCATTCCTAATTCCCAGAGAAGCCCCAGGGCCTCTTTGATTGACCACCAGCAGGTTGTCCCTCCTGGTAAATCTTTCTCATTAGGCCAAGCCTCTCTCATAGCTAGAATAATCCATTCCATAAGGCTATTCTTCCTGGGTTATGAAGGTATTGCTGCAGGACCAGGTGGGTGATGATATTAATCATTTTTCTCTGCTTGATTCCCAGCTAAAGAAAAACCCTGTGTCCCACAATTGGACCATCTAAGAGGTCAGTGGTTCCTTAGGTGGTTGTTTAAACGTCTTTGCAATCTTTAGGAGTTCTGTAGCAGTGAGATAGTGATAGTGAGAGTGATATACACTGATTGTGAGATTCTCCTGGATCAGCCAACTCCAATTTTGCTGGAGTTGTTCAGCTTTCACTTTCCTGTGCACGAGGGGCGAGCTTGCCAAAGATCTTCATTCCCCTCTTCAGCTATGACTTCTATGTCATCGAAATATTCCTCTCCACAACATTCCCAGGGTTTCCAAATTTTCACATCCCAATCGGGCTTAGTTATGACAGCTTTAATTTCTGGTCATTTCCATTTCATTCCCCCTAGGCGGACCAATCTATCTACATGCTAAGGTTTCAATTTTTGTTCTCTTGGTCGTCAATTTTCTTCATTATGTTGGATGCAAGGAGAAAAGTCAAAAGTCACGTGTCTTTTTCTTGTTGCAATTCCTTCCCTAGCCATTTAATTTTCATCTCTGCTGCTAGCTGGGCCTCCAATGCCAAATGAACAGCCCAGAGAAGTGGCCAGCCCACTGGATAGGTTATCCACCACCCTTCCCTATCGCAGTGCACTATATGGCTTTCAGTTAATAACTCCTTTTGAGTTTTCGGGATGTCCCATTACTCATGCGGAGGTCCACAAGCATCTAACAGAGGTGTCACACCACCCCACATAGATGTTGCTGGCCACCCTGGAGTTTCACGCACAGATGCTTCATTCCCCTTACCCATTTCTTTTTTTTTTTTTCATATCAGATGAATAATGTGCTGATGTCATAACAAGGTTTGAGAAAGGCACATCTCACATAAGCACATGAACACCCAATCATCATGCTTAGGAACTACAAAAGGATCAATTTCTTAGTTCTTCAGCTCCTGCCTGGCTCAGCAAATGTTCCACAGTAGCTGGTATACGCAAACCCACCCCTAAAGGCCAAGGGAACTGAAAGGCAGAAGAATAAGGCTGACAAACCCAGTTCTCAGAAAGGAATATTTAATAGGGACTTAGGAATGCAGGCCATCTCAGGGAGCTCTAAGAGGGTGGAACCCCGCACCCGCCCATCAGAAAGTATTCTTTCTATAGCATGCTTTTAGAGTAAAGACACGTCCAGCCAGTCTGGTCTTAGACTTGCTTGCCAAAACTCTGGAAAACTGGGGAGGCCGGGCACAGTGGCTCACACCTGTAATCCCAACACTGGGAGGCCGAGGCGAGCAAATCACTTGAGGTCAAGAGTTTGAGACCAGCCTGGCCAACATGGTGAAACCCTGTCTCTACTAAAAATGTAAAAATTAGCCAGGTGTGGGTGGCAGGCACCTGTAATCCCAGCTACTCTGGAGGCTGAGGCAGGAGAATTGCTTGAACCCGAGAGGCAGAGGTTGCAGTGAGCCAGGATCGCACCACTGCACTCCAGCCTGGGTGACAGAGCGAGACTCTGGAAGAGAAAGAAAGAGAGAAAGAAAGAAAGAAAGAAAGAAAGAAAGAAAGAAAGAAAGAAAGAAAGAAAGAAAGAAAGAAAGAAAGAAAGGAAGGAAGGAAGGAAGGAAGGAAGGAAGGAAGGAAGGAAGGAAGGAAGGAAGGAGAAAGAAAGAAAGAAAGAGAGAGAAAGAGAGAAAGAGAGAGAGAAAGGAAAGAAAAGAAAAAAAAGAAAAGAAAAGAGAAAGAAAACTGGGCAGGTTAAATAAGCTTATTATTAAGGTTATCTATACTGCAGGAACTGTTTAAAAACCTTGCTGCAGAACACTTCGGTATGCAGGAGTCAAACGTTGATCATGATGGTGGATTTGCTTCAAGATAGCACCGTTTTTGCCATAAACTGGCTGTTTTCTTGCAGGTATATGGAACACACTTTAACTTTTTAAACCCTAAATTAAATAAAATAGTGAAACTCCTCAATTTCTGGGTGATCCCACAACCATGCGCTCAGGTGAATTCCCCCACCCTCTTCAATACATTACACCCAGGAAATCTAAGAAGCACGGTCAGGCCTTTGGATACATTTACTGCAGAAGGGAACCGGAGCATGGAATCATGGGAATCCACCTCCCAAGGCCCAACACTTTCATCCTGAGCTTGCGCATGAAACAATAATGAACGAGATTTTTACCTAAAGGGGATGGGTAGGAACATGGTGGAAAGGAGGGGATGGGAAGTAGGGATGAGCAGGGAGGAACACTTTTATTCTTTTGGTATAGTTTTGCCTCTTTTAAAAGCATAGTAGTGTTTCACATATTGCAAAAATAGATATAGAAAAGTGAGGAAGTAGGTGAAAAAATAAATACATTAAAATAAACTAGGCTTGGGGGGACCCAAAATGGAACATAAATAGAAACAAAGGAACCTAAGTATATTACAAATGAATAACATAACCACGCTAACGGGCATGAGGAAGAAAATAGCTAATCTGAGTAACTTTGGGAAACAGTTATTTTGACTGGATACTATAAGACAAAAATCAAAAATGACTGTATGCAAATATTGTACTTTTTTATTTTTATTTTTTAAATAGTGATGGGGTTTCCCTATGTTGCTCAGGCTAATCTTTAACTCTTGTGCTCAAGTGGTCCTCCCACCTCGGCCTCCCAAAGTGCTCGGATTACAGGCATGAGCCACCATGCCCAGCCAAATTTTGTAATTTAGTTAGTGATTTTTTTTTTAACACAGGGGTATGGTTAGGAATTCTGAGACTACTTTATGTGTATATGAGGATTGAACAAATGAGTAAAATAGAGATAATGAGAGCCATGTTTCTCACTGTCTGAGAAAGGCATTACAAATCTGGAAAGGAGGTAGGGCTAAAATAATCCTGAGACCTTGGACTGGAATCAGAGATGTCAGTATGAACCCAAGGTACATTCTGCAAAACAACCTGCCTATGTCCTTCAAAAAAGGCCAATGTCATAAAAGATGAAGAAAGGACAGATTAAGGGAGACTGAAGAGATGAGACAGGTAAATGCAAAGCAGAATCTAGACTGGATCCAGGAACAGAAAAAAAGTTGTCTTTTGCTGTAAAGAACATTATTGGGACTATTGGCATATTTTGAAAAGGTTTTGTTTTTGTTTTTTGAGACAGAGTTTCACTCTTGTCACCCAGCCTGGAGAGCAATGGCATGATCTTGGCTCACTGCAACCTCTCTGCTTCCCGGGTTCAAGCAATTCTCCTGTCTCAGCCTCCCAAGCAGCTGGGATCACAGGCACCCACCACCACACCCAGCTAAGTTTTGCATTTTTAGTAGAGATGGGATTTCACCACGTTGGCCAGGCTGGTCTCCAACTCCTGACCTCAAGTGATCCACCCACCTCGGCCTCCCAAAATGCTGGGATTACAGGCTCAAGCCACCGCACCCAGCCCAAAAAGGTTTAAAGATTAGATAATTGTGCTGTATCAATGTTAATTTCTTGACTTTGATTATTATATTATGGTTATATAAGGCAATGTCCTGTTTTCTCTGTTTTTCTTTAGCAAAAACACACTAGTATTTAGGGACATTTATTGTTTCTGTTTGTTTGTTTTTTGAGACAGAGTCTCACTCTGTTGCCCAGACTGGAGTACAGAGGCATGATCTCGGCTTACTGCATCCTCCACCTCCCAGGTTCCAGCAATCCCCCCACCTCAGCCTCCTGAATAGCTGGGACCACAGGTATGTGCCACCACACCTGGCTAATTTTTTGTATTTTTGGTAGAGATGGGATTTTGCCATGTTGCCCAGGCTTGTCTCGAACTCCTTAGTTCAAGTGATCATCCCACCTTGACTTCCCAAAGTGCTGCAATTATAGGCCTAAGCCACCTTGCCAGGCTGACATTTATTGGGGAACCTACCCCGATATTCACATAGGTTCTTTTCTATTTTCCTTAAGCATCGGCCAGCTTGAGAAATAAAGGGACAGAGTACAAAAGAGAGAAATTTTAAAGCTGGGCGTCCGGGGGAGACATCACATGTCGGTAGATTCTGTGATGCCCCACAAGCCGTTAAACCAGCAAGTTTTTATTAGGGAGTTTCAAAAGGGGAGGGAGTATACGAATAGGGTGTGGGTCACAGACATCAAGTACTTTACAAGGTAATAGAATATCACAAGGCAAGTGGAGGCAGGGCGAGATCACAGGACCACAGGACCAAGGTGAAATTAAAATTGCTAATGAAGATTCGGGCACCATAGTCATTGATAACATCTTATCAGGAGACAGGGTTTTGAGAGCAACCGGTCTGACCAAAATTATTAGGTGGGAATTTCCTCTTCCTAATAAGCCTGGGAGTGCTATGGGAGACTGGGGTTTATTTCACCCCTGCAGTCTTGACCATAAAAGACAGGTGCACCTGGGGGGGCCGTTCATAGGCCTATATCTCCAGGTGCGTATTCTCTTTCTCAGGGATGTTCCTTGCTGAGAAAAGGAATTCAGCCATATTTCTCCCATTTGCTTTTGAAAGAAGAGAAATATGGCTCTGTTCCATCCGGCTCACCGGCATTCAGAGTTTAAGGCTATCTCTCTTATTCCCCGAACAATTGCTGTTATCCTGTTCTTTTTTCAAGGTGCCCACATTTCATATTGCTCAAACATACATGCTGTACAATTTGTGCAGTTAACGCAATTATCATATTGTCCTGAGGCGACATACATCCTCCTCAGCTGACAGGATTAAGAGATTAAAGTAAAGACAGGCATAGGAAATCACAAGGGTATTGATTGAAGAAGTGATAAGTGTCCATGAAATATTTACAATTTATGTTTAGAGATTGCAGTAAAGACAGGCATAAGAAATTATAAAAGTATTAATTTGGGGAACTAATAAATGTCCATGAAATCTTCACAATTCACGTTCTTCTGCCATGGCTTCAGCCAGTCCCTCCGTTTGGGGTCCCTGACTTCCTGCAACAGACATTTATATTTAAATGATTCAGAAAAAATTATGTGTATATATATATATATAATATGCACCATATATATGTACATATATGTTATATATATGTAAAGAAAATAGGATAAAATAATCACATTTGGAGAATCTGGATGAAGGGTATATGAGAGTTCTTTGTACTATTTTTGCAACTTTTTCTGTAAGTTTGAAATTATTTCCAAATAAAGCATTAAAATAAATGCAGAGTATTGGACCTCATCCTTGACTTATTGGATCAGAAGCTCTGGGTCTAGAGTCCAGGAGTATGCATGAAAGGCATTACTTACTGCATCAGAAATTTTTGTAAAGATTATTTTATTTTTTATTATTATTATTTTTACATTTTTTGTAGAGATGGGATCTCACTAGGTTGCCCAGGCTGGTCTCCAATTCCTGGGCTCACGCTATCCTCCTGCCCTGGGCTCCCAAAGAGTTGGAATTATAGGCCTGAGCCACTGTGCTCTGCCTAAACATTTTATTTTTAAAAATTCCTGTGGACATGTCTAGAGAGAAGCATCAAAAAATTATTGAGAAGGGCTTTGATCATCATGAAAATTCTTAACTTCCAGGGGTCCTGTCATACATAGTTTCCCACATATTTGAGAGAAATCTTAAAGATGTACATAGCTACTGTATTAGTCTGCTTAGGTTGCCATAACAAAATACCATAGACTAGATGGCTTAAACAATAGAAATTTATTTTCTCACAGTTCTGGAGGCTGGAAAGTCCAAGATCAAGGTTCCAGAAAGGTTTGGTTTCTGGTGAAGCCTCTCTTTCTGGCTTGCCGATGGCTGCCTTCATGCTGTGTCATCACATGGCGGAGAGAGAATCTCTTGGGTCTCTTACACTTGTCTCCAATCAGGGTTCCACCTTCTGACATCATTAACCTTAATCATCTTCTTATAGGCCGTATCTCCCATGCAGTCATGTAGGGTGTTAGGTCTTCAACATACAAATTTTGAGGGAACACAATTCAGTGCACAGCAGCTACTGCATAACACTGATGAAGTCTAGACATGATTGTGGCTTTAGTTAGGGCTACACAGCAGATTATGTGTCCTCTCTTCTCCACACTGAATCTAGGCCTTGGGTCACATTTCTGCCATCTATGGCCTTCAGATCTGAGCCTTGATCTTGGTCCTGTGTTAACTCTTCCACTTTCACTGCCACTCAGGCCTGACCTTGCACCTGGTTCTCTGTTCAGTTTTCTCTCTTTCTTTCTTTCTTTTTTTTTTGAGATGGAGTTCCACTCTGTTGCCCAGGCTGGAGTGCAGTGGTGTGATCTCTGCTCACTGCAACCTCCCCCTCCCGGTTTCAAGTGATTCTTATGCCTCAGCCTCCTGAGTACCTAGGATTACAGGCATGTGCCACCACGCCTAGCTAATTTTTGTATTTTTAATAGAGATGGGGTTTCCCCATGTTGGCCAGGCTGGTCTCAAACTCCTGACCTCAAGTGATCTGCCTCAGCCTCCCAAAGTGTTGGGATTACAGGCGTGAGCCACTGTGCCTGGACTGTTCAGTTTTCTCTTTATGCCTACTTCTGTTAATGCTTCCACCCCTAATGCCCCACTTGTTGGGGCATCTCTGTTAACTATTTCATCATCAACTCATTTCTAGCATGAAAACCAAACCTGACTTCTTTTTATTTTTCCTCCATCAATGCCTCTTCTGATCTGTGAATTAAATCCAGGTTTCTTAACACCATTAGTTTTCCCACTCTGATTTATATATTAAACCTAGAGCTCAGTTATAGATTTTAGCATTAATGCTCCCATTTTTTGACATTGAATCTGGCTGGCTGTTAAATTTTTTTTTAGGGGTCTTGCTCTGTCACCCAGGCTGAAGTGCAGTATCACAATCATAGCCCACTGCAGCCTCGAAGTCCTGGGCTCAAGCGATCCTCCTGCCTCAGCTTCTGGAGTAGCTGAGATTACAGGCATGTACCACTGCACCCAGCTAATTGTTTTTTTATTTGTAGAGATGGGTTTTTGCTATGTTGTCCAGGTTGGTCTTGAACTCCTGGGCTCAAGTGATCCTCCTGCTTCAGCCTCCCAAAGTGCTGGGATTACAGGTGTGAGCCACTGCACCCAGCCCTGTTAAGTCGTTAATCATCAATGGCCCTCAGATTTTTTGTTTTGTTTTGTTTTGTTTTGTTTTTTGAGATGGAGTCTCGCTCTGTCACCAGGTGGGAGTGCAGTGGCATGATCTCGGCTCACTGCAACCTCTGCCTCCTGGATTCAAGCAATTCTCCTGCCTCAGCCTCCCGAGTAGCTGGGACTACAGGAGTGCACCACCATGCCCAGCTAATTTTTGTGTTTTTAGTAGAGACGGGATTTCAGCGTGTTGGCCAGGATGGTCTTGATCTCTTGACCTTGTCATCCGCCCACCTCGGCCTTCCAAAGTGTTGGGATTACAGGCATGAGCCACCGCACCCAGCCCACCCTCAAACCTGTTAATTATTCCACCATCAATGTGTCTATATTGTAGATCTTAAACCTGGGCCTCTGTTGACTTTTTTTTTTTTTTTAACCACCAGTGCTCCTGGGGCTTTGATCCAGAGCTCAGGATCTCTGTTGAGATTCCATCAATTTCCTTTGAAATTTGAACTTTGACTTTGAATTTCCTTTAACTTTGAACTCAGGCCCTTGATGCAATTCTGACGTAACAGCCTGGACCCCTCATCTAGGCCCATCCTATGTGAACTTAAATCTGATTCAAACCATTGATCGTTTTCTCTTGTTAATACCCTATGCTTCAATCAAATCTTCCGCCCCCATTGGCCCTCTGGTTTGACTTAAACATTGGGCATTGTGGTAGACAGATTAATAGTCCCCCCAGAGATATCCCTCTCCCAACCCCTAGAACCTGTGAATATGTTACCTTACAAAGCAAAAGGAACTTTGCAGATGTGATTAAGAATTTTAAGATGAGATTTTCCTGGATTATCTAGATGGGCCCAATGTAATCAAGGGTCCTTACATTATCTAGATGGGCCCAATGTAATCAAGGGTCCTCCTTCATAGAGGGAGGGAGCGCTCTGGGAGGCTGAGTTGGGAGGATTGCTTGAGGCCAGGAATTGGAGTCCAGCCTGGGCAACCTAGCAAGACCCTGTCTCTACCAAAAGTTAAAAAATGGCCAGGCGTGGTGGTTCACGCCTGTAATCCCAGCACTTTGGGAGGCTGAGGCAGGCAGATCAGGAGGTCAGGAGATCAAGACCATCCTGGCTAACATGGTGAAACCCTGTCTCTACTAAAAATACAAAAAATTAGCCGGGCGTTGAGGCGGGCACCTGTAGTCCTAGCTACTCTGGAGGCTGAGGCAGGAGAATGGCGTGAACCCAGGAGGCAGAGCTTGCAGTGAGCCGAGATTGCGCCACTGCACTCCAGCCTGGGCGACAGAGTGAGACTCTGTCTAAAAAAAAAAAAGAAAAGTAAAAAAATTAGCTGGGCGTGGTGGCATGTGCCTGTAGTCCTAGCTACTCCAGAGGCGGAGGTGAGAGGATCGCTTGAGCCCCGAAGTTAAAGGTTACAGTGTCTGATCACACCACAGCACTCCAGCCTGGGTGACAGAGCAAGATCCTGTCTGTCTGTCTCTCTCTCTCTCTCTCTCTCTCTCTCTCTCCATATATATATAAAACAGGGAAGGAGAAGGGTTTGAGTTAGAAAAGGAGACGTGATGATGGAAGCAGGTTACCGTCAGAGAGCAATGTGAAGATGCTACACTGTCAGCTTTGAAGATGGAGGAAGGGACCATGAGTCAAGGAATACAGGTGACTTCTAGCAGAAGCTAGGTAAAGCAAATAAACAGAGTTTCTCCTAAGCCTCTGTAGGGAGTGCCCAGTGAAACCCATATCATATTTCTGACATGTAGGACTGTAAGATAATAAATTTGTGTTGTTTTGAGCAAGTAAGTCTGTGATAATTTGCTATAGCAACAACAGGAAATGAATACAGGCATCTTTGAAATATTCCATCATTGATGGCCCGTCTGGTCTATACTCAAACCATGTCCTTCTTAACTCTTCCACCATCCCTATCCCTCTGACCTCACCTCAAACCCCAGCTGTTGTTAGCAATTCCACCATCAAAGTCTCTTATCTGTGCTCTCCAACCTGGGCTTCTATTAACTCTTCCAACCTAAATCAACCCTTAATTTTACCTTGAACTGGGGAATCTGTTATCCATTCCACTATTAATGGGTTTGGATCTAGAGAGAGAATTCAGGGCTTTGAGGGTGGAAAATTAATAATCCTGGGTCTATGTGTTAAGCTTGAGTTTCTGTTCACTTTTCCATCACCAGGGCAATTTACATGTGAATCTTTTTGCATGTCTGTTAACTCTTTCCCCATTACTGCCCCTCAGTTCTTGCTCACTGCAACCTCCACCTCCCAGGTTCTAGTGATTCTCATGCTTCGGCCACCCAAGCAGCTGGAATTACAGGCATGCACCACCACGTCTGGGTAATTTTCGTATTTTTAGTAGAGACAGGTTTTCGCCAAGTTGGCTATGCTGAGTCCTGGCTTCAAGTGATCTGCCTGCCTCCACCTCCCAAAATGCTGGGATTATAGGAGTGAGCCACTACGCTCTGCATCCCTCAGATCTTTACACTGACTGCAGGCCTCAGTTGAGTCCTCTCCATCTATGATCCTTTGGTATGTACAGAAAATCAAGGCTGTACTAACTTTTTAGCTACTTGTGCCCCTTCTCCTGTATCCACCAACCCCAATCCTCAGTTAACATTTATTTTTATAGAGATGGAGTCTCACTATGTTGCCCAGACTGGTCTTGATCTCCTGGGCTCACATGATCCTCCCGCCTCAGCCTCCCAAAGTCCTGGGATTACAGGTGTCAGCCACTGTGCCCGGCCCTCAGTTAACATTTTTTTCTTATTTTTATTTTTTGAGACAGAGTTTTGTCTCTCCCCCAGGTTGGAGTGCAGTGTCACAGTCTTGGCCCACTGCAACCTCCACCTCCCAGGTTCAAGCGATTCTCATGCCTCAGCCTCCCAAGCAGCTGAGACTACAGGCATGTGCCACCACATCTGGCTAAATTTTGTATTTTTAGTAGAGATAGGGTTTTGCCATGTTGGCCAGGCTGGTCTCTAACTCCTGGCCTCAAGTGATCCTCCCGCCTTGGCCTCCCAAAGTTCTGAGATTGCAAGTGTTAGCCACTGTGCCCAGCCCTCAGTTAACATTTTTATCATGAATGCCATTTGGTTTGACTTTGAAGTCAGACCTTGATTAATTCTTCCACCATCATTACCCCTTTGGTATAGGCTGTGAATTCCGGGGCTCTGTTAACCACATCACGTGACTTTAATGGGTCTCTGGTCTTGGCTCAGATTTGGGTCTAAGTTAACCTTCCATTTAAGGCCTCTCTGAAATAACTTTGGAATTGGGTTACTATTGCACCACCAGTGCCCCTCTGATTTGATCTTCAAGCAGGATATTTGTTAATGTTTTCTCCATCCATACACCCTGATAGAGGTCTTGAATCCTAGGACTTTCTTAACTATTGTAACCATCAGAGTTCCCGTTTTGTATCGAACATGAACCTTTGTTAACTCTGCAATCCTGTTCCGGGCTGACTTCCAATCCAGCCCTTTGTTAAGTCGTCTAAAACCAATGTCCCTTAGGTTTTACCTCGAACCTCTGACTCTATGAACTCTTTTAGTTTTGATACGGGCTGCAAAAGGCCATATAAGCCTACTTGAACTAGGGCAGGCAGAAGTCCAGGCTGTAAATGACAGGTGAAGGTGGGCCCTTCCGTGTTCAAAGGAGCCAATGGAGGACCGGTGGGCAGTGAGTGACAGATGGGGGCGGGTCCTGACGCCAAGCAGGAACAATAGGAAGGCGGCAGGGCGCCGAGGCCAGGTGGGGAGAAGTGGGCGGGTATGTGTGAGCCCCCTGAAAGGCTGCATGATGTCAAAGGTCTCTTCCCTTTCTCCAGACGTTTTAGGAATTCGCTTCTGCGGAGGAATCTCCCGGGGGGTGCTCTGTCCAGCCTTCCCACTTTCCCCGTTTCCCACCCTGCCATGTCGCCACGCCTTTGCTCAGGCCGTGCCTCTTCTGGTGGCCGGGAACGCCCACTCACCCGGACAAGTCGCGGCCCTTCCAAGCCTCACACTGCTTTCGTAGGATCAATTCCGAATACCCAAACTCGGAGATATCACGAGGACTCCCCCGGGCCCCCAAACGCACCTCTCCTCTGGCTGGAATGGGAGCCTCCAGAAGCAGTGCGAGACCACGGCCAGCGACAGAGGTCCTGGCGCTGGCGGAATGACGCCATTTTTGTTACTGGTAGAGCTCGGCTTCGTGGCTGTTTCGGAGCCACCGAAAGATAAGCTCCCTCGTCACCCTGACATCTCTCCGGGAAGACTGGAAGGGAAATGGCCTTTCGGGGGATGTTGAACGCATTTGGGCAGGCGGGGAGCCAAGCCCGGCTTGAGAGCAGAGCCGGGGTGAGGGGCCTGGCTGAGTGCTGCGGGTCTATGTGATCAGTGACGGATGGAGACAAGTGGAGGGCCTGAGGAGGGGATTGAGTGACGTGGAGAACAGTGATAGGGGAGCCTGTGGGACCAGGGGTAACAGTATGTGGGTTATGCAAATGGGAGTTTGTGGGGTGATGGGGGATCTGTGCGGTGTTTGATGATGTCTGTAAGGGTGAGTGATGGGGCTTCTATGGGATGGGTGAAGGGAGTCTGGGGTGAGTGATGGGTGGTCTGTAGGGTGAGGGATGCTGATCCGTGGGGTGAGTGGATAGGGGGATCTGGGGTGAGGGATGAGGGTCTATGAGGACAAGAATGGGAGTGTGTGTGGGGTCAGTGTTGACATTCTGTGGGGTCCATGATGGGTGGCTTTTTCAGATCAATCATATGTGCATGAATGAACAAAAATCTCTGCTCCTGTGGTGTCCACATTCCGATGGAGAAGTCCAACTTGGTGGTTTGATTTGTATTTCCCTCATGACCAATAAGTTTGAGCACATTTTCTTATATGGATTCATCACTTGGAGATCTTCTTTTGTGAGGGGCCTGTCTTTTGTTCATTTTTCTGTTGGACTCTCTGCCCTTTTCTTAATGATTTGTAGGAATTTTTTTTTTTTTTTTTTTTTTTAGACGAAGTCTCACTCTGTCGCCCAGGCTGGAGTGCAGTGGAGAAATCATGGTTCACTGCAACCTCCACCTCCTGGGTTCTAGCAATTATCCTACCTCAGCCTCCCGAGTAGCTGGAATTACAGGCGCCTGCCACCACGCCTGGCTGATTTTTTTGTATTTGTAGTAGAGACAGGGTTTCGCCATGTTGGCCAGGCTGGTCCCGAACTCTTGACCTCAGGTGATACACCCACCTCGGCCTCCCAAAGTGCTGGGATTACAGGTGTGAGCCACCGTGCCCGGCCAGGAATTGTTTTTATATATTCTGATACCACTCCTTTAGTAGTGGTATGTGTTTTGCAAATATCTCCTTCCAGCTTTTGGCTTCTCTTTTCATTTTATGGCTTTAAATATGAAGATTTTCAGTTAATTTTGAACTGTAAAGCACATTCTTCAGTTAAAAAGCAGACAATATCGGCTGGGCGTGGTGGCTCACACCTATAATCCCAGCACTTTGGGAGGCCGAGGCGGCCGGATCACGAGGTCAGGAAATCGAGACCATCCTGGCTAACACGGTGAAACCCCGTCTCTACTAAAATTACAAAAAAATTAGCTGGGCGTGGTGGCGGGCTCCTGTAGTCCCAGCTACTGGGGAGGCTGAGGCAGGAGAATGGAGTGAACCAGGGAGGCGGAGCTTGCAGTGAGCCGAGATCGCGCCACTGCACTCCAGCCTGGGCGACAGAGCGAGACTCCATCTCAAAAACAAAAAACAAAAAACAAAAAAAAAAAAAACAGACAATGTCCTGTGGAATTTAGGAGGATAACTAATTTTTTAGGGCATCCAGAAGCAAGGGGTGTTGCCTGAAAATCTTAGTGCTAGGACAGCTTGGGAGGAGTTCTTTACTTTTTGTTCCTCTACCACCTCGCTCTAAATCACTGGCAGTGTGATCTTAGACAACTCATGAAACCTCTCTAGGCATCAGTTTCCCACTGCGAAATGAGGATAATAGCAGGGCCTACCCTGTGAGGCTTGGGATGAGAAGTGAGTTAATACCTGAATGTTACCTATTCGCCATAGTTTTGCAGCACTAATTTTGTATATATTTCATGGATCTTCCTTGAACTCAAGGTTACTGCTGCTCATGTAATACCAAAATCTGGTGAAGGAAATTAAATACCAAGGAATAAGGTTTTGTCAGCTATGGTTGCTTTGGAGGGTCACAACCCATTGTAATATCTAAGAAGCTTTTTTTTGTTTTTGTTTTGTTTTGTTTTGTTTTGCCTCCAAGAACTAATTTTTGTCCCCTTGGGGGCAGTATCACCCCCCAGTGAGAATGTGTGATCTACATGGTATTTTTTTTTTGTTTTCTTTTCTTTTCCTTTTTTTTTTTCTTTGACAGGGTCTCATTCTGTTGCCCAGGCTGGAGTGCAATGGCGTGATCTCAGCACATTGCAACCTCCGCCTCCCGGATTCAAGTGACTCTCCTGCCTCAGCCTGCCAAGTAGCCAGGACTACAGGTGTGCACCACCACGCCCGGCTAATTTTGTTTATTTTTTGTAGAAACGAGGTCTCACTATGTTGCTCAGGCTGGCCTCGAACTCCTGGACTCAAGCAATCCTCTTGCCTTGGCCTCCCAAAGTACTGGGATGACAGGTGTGAGCCACCACCCCTGGCCTGTTATTCTGTTATTAAACAATTAGGAATACATTCTTGTGTTCTGCCTCTTCTTCATTTTACAGTGATGTTTCCATGCCATTAACTTAATTCCCGTAGTACGACTTGGTTTATTTCTATGGTAATACTTAACTATAAACCTTTCTTATGGAAATTTTCAAGCATCCACAAAAATAGAGGGAATTGTATAATGGAACCCCATTATGCCCACCACCCAGTCTCATCAGTCATCAACTCATGGCCCATCTTGTTTTATCTAGACCAGGGGCTGGAAAACTGGGCAGTGGGCCAAATATGACATGTTGCTTTTTAAAAAAAAAATACAGCCATGAGCTAAGAAATGGTTTTTTCACACTTTTTATCATTGGAAAAAAATCAAATGGAGAATATTTTGTGACCCATGAAAATGATATAAAATTCAAATGTCAGTGCCCAAAAATGATGTTTAATTGGAACACAGCCAGTGAACACCTTTAGTTTATGTATTGTCTAGGGCTACTTTCAACCTGCAATGGCAGGGCTGAGTAGTTACAGCAGAGACCACAGAACCCACAAAATTGAAAACATTTACCATATGACCCTTTTACAGAAAAAGTTTGCCAAGTCCTCATCTAGGCCACCCCCTCACTTCTTCCTCCCGGAATGCCCTTCCTCCCTTTCTTCCTTCCTTCCTTCCTTCCTTCCTTCCTTCCTTCCTCTCTCCCTCCCTCCCTCTTTTCTTTTCTTTTCTTTTCTTTTTTCTTTTCTTTTCTTTTCTTTCCTTCCTTCCTTCCTTCCTTCCTTCCTTCCTTCTTCCTCCCTCCCTCCCTTCCTTCCTGCCTTCCTTCCTGCCTTCTGTCCTGCCTTCCTTCCTGCCTTCCCTCCTGCCTTCCTTCCTGCCTTTCTTGCCTTTCTTTCCTCTTTCCTCACTCGCTCGTTGCCCAGGCTGAAGTGCAGTGGCTCAATCTCGGCTCACTGCAAATGCCACCTCCTTGGGTTCAAGTGATTCTCATGTCTCAGTCTCCCTAGTAGCTGGGAATACAGGCGCCCACCACTACGCCTGGCTAATTTTTGTATTTTTAGTAGAGGCGAATTTTGCCATGTTGACCAGGTTGGTCTCGAACTCCTGGGCTCAAGCCATCTGCCTGCCTCAGCCTCCCAAAGTGCTGGGCTTACAGCTGTGCACCGCCACGCCAGGCTAATTTTTTGTAGAGATGGGTCTCCCTATGTTGCCCAGGCTGGTCTTCAACTCCTGGGCTCAAGCAATTTGCCCACCTCCGCCTCCCAACATGCTGGGATTACAAGCATGCACCACCACGCCTGGCTGCTTTTTGCATTTTTTTAGTAGAGATGGGGTTCGCCATGTTGCTCAGGCTGGTCTCCAATTCCTGAGCTCAGGCAATCCACCCGCCTTGGCCTTCCAACGTGCTGGCCCACCGCACCCGGCCTGTATGCAGTTCAATGACTTTTTACATGGGTAGTCTTTATTATTTTGAAACAAATCCCAGACACATATTTTCATCCATACATGCTTCATTATGAAAAAGATAAGGCCTTAAAGGTTGATGCTGTTACCCTAAGGTAAAATAATTAGCAATAATATCTTCAGATAATCAATGGTTAAATTCCTTAATGTTATCAAATATCTAGTCAGGGTTCAAACTTTCATGATTATCTCAAAAATTTCTTTTGTTTATTCAAGTAAAGAGCCAGACAAGACCATACTTTACATTTGCTGGTGGTGTTTCCTGAACCTTTTTGAATCATCTGGAGTGTTGCTTTTAAGGGCTGCCTGCCTTTGCAGCAGTCTTTAGTGCTGGGCATTTGTGTTATTTTCAATAATATGGTGTTAAAGACAAAACTGTGTTGAAGGTTTCTGTGGTTAAATATCTGCACATATCCATGATTATTACCTTAGGACGAAGTTCCGGAAATGGAATTACCGAGTCAGATGAGAAACACAAGTCATCAATGAATTAACAAGCAACACATTGTCACATCCAGCTGTTGAAGAGTGGTTAACTCAGCTTGATCTCCGAAGACTCTTCTGCACCCCACCCCGCCCCCAACTGCTTTCCAAAGAGAAACAGAAAATGATTGAGTCCCAGGTAAGTTATTTGTTTGCCACTTGGTTTTCCCACAACAAAATGAGAAAGGGCAATTAGTTGAAAATAAGGATTAGAGAAATTTAGAGAGAATAGATGATCAACAGGCAAAATTGCTGTGAAGATACACAGATCACCTGGCCTTACTTCATAGAAACTTAGCTAAAATTTTGACTATAAGCAAAACATTTTGACTGGCAGCTTCAGTGAAAAGGGTAACATAACATGATCAATAATGTGATTTGCATTCTCCACAAAAAGAAATCAGTCCAGCTCCTTAGCAAGTCAAGATTTCTGGGACTTTAACTTGAGGAATTTTATTACTGAGTTTTCCTGAAGGTCAGTGGTTTTCAGTCCAGGGTGGTATTGTCAGTAGTTGTTCTAAAGAGACTGTTTTTAGTTAAAGTTCTCTGGCAGGGGCTTGGAGAGTGGGATAGTTTCCTTGTTTTCCATGGCTCCTTTGCTGTCATCTCAGAGTTTGTGGGGTCTCAACCCAACTCAAGGCAGTTCCTTCTCTGCTCTTCCAATTTTAGTCGTTTTTTTTTTTTCTCCCTGAAAAGGTAATCTATACATGGGGCAAAGAATGTAAACAATATAGTTTAAAAAAAAAAAGGAAGTGAAATATCTCCAATCTTACTTCTTCCTCCTTCCCCGACATAACTAGGATTATCTGGTTTGAGGAGGATCTCTTTTCTTTATGCATTTATAACTCCATCTATGTGTGTAGATGGATGTGTAAATGTGTGAAAGTGATCTCATTATTGTCATGTATTTTTTCTTTACCACACACAAAAAATACACACACTGTTTCTATTCCGTTCTGCTACTTTCTTTTCTTGCCTAATATAAAATATATACGAAAGTAGAGATTTTAGTGAACCCTTTTGTAATTACCCATCTGCAAATATTATCAACTGATAACCAAGCTTGTTTTATCTATCTTTCATCCCCACCTACTCCTATCGTCATCATCATCATGATCTAGCCAATCCCTTGTTAATATTTTGTTTAGGGTTTATACTACTGTGTTCATAAGACATAAGGGCCTGTAATTTTACTTTCTTCTATTGTTTCTGTCACCTTTTGGTATCATGTTACATTGGCCTCATGTTGGAAAGTATTCTCTTTATATTCTCTGGGAAAATTTGGGTAATATTGGTACTATTTCCATCTTAAATTTTTTTTTTTTTTGAGATGGAGTTTCACTCTTGTCGCCCAGGCTGGAGTGCAATGGCACGATATCCGCTCATTGCAACCTCTGCCTCCCAGGTTCAAGCGATTCTCCTGCCTCAGTCTCCCAAGTAGCTGGGATTACAAGTGCCCGCCACCAAGTAGCTGGGATTACAAGTGCCTGCCTGCCTTCCTTCCTTCCTTCCTCCCTCCCTCCCTCCCTCCCTCTCTCTCTCTCTCTCTCTCTCTTTCTTTCTTTCTTTTTTTTTGAGACCGGGTTTCACCCCAGTTGCCCAGGCTAGAGTGCAGTGGCACTATCTTGCCTCACTGCAGCCTTGACCTCCCAGGCTAACTTTTGTATTTTTAGTAGAGATGGGGTTTCACCATGTTGGGCAGGCTGGTCTCGAATTCCTGGCCTCAGGTGATCCACCCACCTCGGCCTCCCAAAGTGTTGGGATTACAGGCATGAGCCACTGCGCCCGGCCTATTTCCTTCTTAAATGTTTGAAAGAGCTCCCCAGTGAAGCCATCAGGGTATGGAGTTTTCTTTGTGGGAAGGTTTTAAATTACATATTCAATTTATTTAAAAGATATACTACCATTCAGATTTTCTATTTCTTTTTATGTCTGGTTTGGTAAATTGTAATTTTCAAGTAATTTGTCCAGTTCCTCTAAGTCAGGGGTCAGCAAACTTTTTCTGTAGAGGGACAGATCGAAGTATCTGAGGCTTTGTGGGCCATACGGCCCCTGTTGCAACTATTCAAATCTGCTGTTTTAGGTAGAAAGCAGCTATTGACAATATGTAAACCAATGAGCCTGGCTGTGATTCAATAACACTTTATTTATGGATGCTGAAGGTTGGATTTCATATAATTTTCATGTGTCATAAAATATTCTTCTTTTGACTTTTTTTTCAATCATTAAAAATGTAAAAACCAGACCAGATACAGCTAGCTATTCACGCCTATAATCCCAGCACTTTGGGAGGCCAAGGTGGGCGGATTGCTTGAGCTCAGGAGTTCTAGACCAGCCTGGGCAGCATGGCGAAACCGCATCTCTACAAAAAAATACAAAAATTAACCAGGCATGGTGGCATGCGCCTGTGGTCCCAGCTACTCAGGAGGCTGATGTAGGAGAATCACTTGAGCCCGGGAGGAGGAGGTTGCAGTGAATCAAGACTGTTCCACTGTACTCCAGCTTGGCTGATAGAGCAAGACTGTCTCAAAAGAAAACGTGTAAAACCAGTTTAGCTTGTGGGCCATTGAAAAACACATGATGGGCTAAATTTGGCCTGCAGGCTATAGTTTGCTATGTCCTGATCTACATTGTCTACTGATGTACATTGTCAAATTAATGTCCATTAAATGTCCATTTAATGTTTGCAGGATACCAGAACCTTGTTGATGGGCTGTAAAAAAGTTATTTCTAGTTTTTCTTTTATATACAGTAGTAATAATAATAAGAAGAATCATAGCTACTATTTACTCAGTGCTTATCATGTGCCAGGCACTGCTATTATAAAATATCGTGGGATTAACTTATTTAATTCACCCAGGAACCCTCTGTGCTAGGTACCATTGTTATTCCCATTTTTCAGATGAAGAAAATGAGGCACAGAGATCACACAGCTAGTACATGACCTAACCAGACCTCTCAAGCAGTGAAGTCACAAATAAAACAACCATATAAAGATATCTTTTTATATTTGTGAAGTATTTGTGTAGGCCACATTCTCAGACATGAGTGTGCTAGGTCAGAGGCACACAGACTTATAAATTTAAAGAGTATTTTTCAAATCGTATATATATATATTTTTTTGAGACAAAGTCTCACTCTGTCCCCCAGGTTGGAGTGCAGTGGCATGATCTCAGCTCACTGTAACCTCCGCCTCCCAGGTTCAAGCGATTCTCATGCCTCAGCCTCCGGAGTAGCAGGGATTACAAGTGCCTGCCACCACGCCCGGCTAATTTTTGTATTTTTAGTAGAGACTGGGTTTCACCATGTTGGGCAGGCTGGTCTCGAACTCCTGACCTCAAGTGATCTGCCCACCTTGGCCTCCCAAAGTGCTGGGATTACAGGCATGAGCCACCCTGCCCAGCCCAAATTGTATTTCAATACTGTGTAATCAGCTGAACATGTGGCCACAAATTGTTTACAAGAAAGCCCACCTGTTTCCCAAGGTTCCCCCTCCCTCCTGCCACCATTAGCCATCATCTGTTTTTTTCATTCTTGTTGTTTTTATGATTAAGCATTATATCTCATTTTCATTTGCTTTTCTATAGGGATTAAATAAGCTTCAGCATCTTTTCACATATTTATTTTCCATATTGTATTTCTCTGTGAATCCCTCTTTCCTTGTCTTTGCTTATGGTTTCCCAGGAGCTTTTTGTATATGAGTGATTTTGAAGTGCACATTGCAAACTTTTTTTTTTTTTTTTTTGGCCAGGTAGTGATTTTTCTCTCAACCTTTTTGTCTGTCTCCCCTCACTAGAATACAAACTCCTTCAGGGAAGGTATTTTTGCCAGGTTTTTTTTCCTGCTGTATCCCCAGTTCCTAGAATAGTGCTTGGTATTCGCTAGGTACTCAATAACTGCTTGCTGAGTGAATGAATGTTTATTTTCACTTAACAGTGTATCTTAAATATTGTGGCATATCAATTAATATAGATCTTCCTTGTTGCCTGCCTGCCTGCCTTCCTTCCTTCCTTCCTCCCTCCCTCCCTCCCTCCCTCTCTCTCTCTCTCTCTCTTTCTTTCTTTCTTTTTGAGACAGGGTTTCACCCCAGTTGCCCAGGCTAGAGTGCAGTGGCACTATCTTGCCTCACTGCAGTCTTGACCTCCCAGGCTCAGGTAATCCTCTCACCTCAGCCTCCCTAGTAGCTGGGACTATAGGTGTGTGCCACCACACCCGGCTAATTTTTTGTAGAGACAGGGTTTTGCCATGTTGCCCAGGCTGGTTGTTTGTTTGTTTTTGAGACAGAGTCTCAGTCTGTCGCCCAGGCTTGAGTGCAGTGGCACAGTCTCGGCTCACTGCATCCTCCGCCTCCTGGGTTCAAGCAAGTCTCCTGCCTCAGCCGCCTGAGTAGCTGGGACTACAGGCATGCACCACCATGCTCGGCTAATTTTTGTATTTTTAGTAGAGACGGGGTTTCGCCATGTTGGCCAGGCTGGTCTTGAATTCCTGACCTCAAGTGATCCACCTGCCCCTGCCTCCCCAAGGGCTGGGATTACAGGCGTGAGCCACCACATCTGGCCCCTTCTTTGTTGCTTTTTATAATTGCATATAGTATTCCCTTATGGAGATTGTAGCATTATTTATTCATCCAATCTCCCATGAGGTGGTTTCCATTCTTTTGCTATTATAAATAGTACTGTAGAGCAGTGTCTTCACACATGTCATTTGCTCACATAAGTGAATGTTTATGTAGAATAACTTCTAGAAACCAAATTGCGAGTCAGAGGATGTATACATTATAAATTTGGATAGATATTGCCAAATTAATTGCCTTCAAAATATACCATACACCACAGACAATTTGAGTATGCCTGCTTCTTGACATCTTCACTAACTTACCCTAAGTCACTGTGACTTATCCCTAGTCATAGCATTTGACCAGTGACTTATCAAACACCCATCTTTGATAATATGTAAGGGAAAAATGCTGTCTTGTCTTAGTTTGCATTTATCTTCATGTGAGTGAAGTTGAGCATCTTTTTACATGTTTAAAAAACATTTGCATTTTATTTTCTGTGAAATGATGGTCATGTCCCTTGACCATCGTATTAGTCTGTTCTCATGTCACTATAAAGAAATACCCAAGACTGGGTAATTTATAAAGGAGAGAGGTTTAATTGACTCACAGTTCCACGGGGGTGGGGAAGCCTCAGGAAACTTACAATCATGGTGGAAGGGGAAGCAAGGACCTTCTTCACATGGTGGCAGGAGAGAGAAGTGCCAGCAAGGGAAATGCCAGACGCTTATAATACCATTAGATCTTGTGAGAACTCACTCACTATTATGAGAACAGCATGGGGGAAACTGCCTCCATGATTCAATCACCTCCTTCACTTGACAAGTGGGGATTGCAATTCAAAATGAGATTTGGGTGGGGAAACAGAGTCAAACCATATCAACCATTTTTTAAAAAGTTATTGGTCTTTTTCTTCTTGCTTTGTAGGAGCTCTCTCTATACATGGAGGAAATTAACTCTTTGTCCATCCTATCTGTTATGTGTATATTTTTTCCCTAGTTAGTCATATCCTTTGAGTTTGTTTGATATATTTTGCCATGTAATACATAAAGTAGTCACATTTATCAGTGTTTTCATTTGTGGCATCTGGGTTTTGGGGCATGCTTAGAAGAGTCTTCTCCACTCAAAGATTATTTTTTAAAACCTCTCCTGTCTTTATTTTATAGTTTCTCTTTTTTCATTTAAATTTTTGTCATGAATTTATTTTTGTATATAGTGTGAGGTAGGGAATCCAGTTAATTTTTTTCTGATAGCTCTCCAGTTTTGAATAGTCTGTTTTTCCATTCCTGTTTAAAATGCTACCTTTATTATATATTAAATTTCCCATTTTTATTTGTATCTATTTCTAGACTGTCTGTTCTGTTCCACTAACTATTCTTGCTAATGGCAGGGTTTTACATTGTTTCTCTCATAAAGTATGCTGGGCAAAGTGCAAAGTAGGCATCCTACATGTACTGCTATGGTAAAAATGACCAGAACGAGCAGATTGTACAGGAATGTGCTGTTATAGGAACCAGTGACATTTGAGGATGTGGCTGTGGACTTCACGCAGGAAGAGTGGCAGCAGTTGAATCCTGCTCAGAAGACCCTGCATAGGGATGTGATGCTGGAGACCTATAATCACCTGGTCTCCGTGGGTAAGGGCAGATTCCCTGTGTACCAATGAATCAAATCCTCCTCATCCTTCCTTTAGTGCTGTCAATACCATGACCTTTATGATATTCCTTTAATAGAGTGTGTTCTTTTATAGTTTTGGTTTTTCATGTTTATACTTTTGTTATATCTAGAATTTATTTTTATGTTATGGTGTGAGTTAAGGATCCAACTTTGCTGGGAGGCCCCTGCAAGTGCTTCTCTTCATGAATTTCTGAGCTGCCAAGGCCAAAGCCACTACAATTTTCTCTTAACAGGGTGTTCAGGTATAAAACCAGATGTAATCTTTAAGTTGGAACATGGAAAGGACCCATGGATCATAGAGAGTGAGTTGTCAAGGTGGATCTACCCAGGTAAGTGAGAATTGGGTACATGGTCAAGCGGGCATCTTCTTCTTCCTTGACATCTCTGACATCCGTTACCTTTTTTCTTCCTTAAAATTTATCAGGCCTCCTTTATAACATTCATTCTACAACAGCCACCTTCCTAGTACCTCTGTTCATTGCCAACTGTTTTGTGTGTGTGTGTGTGTGTGTGTGTGTGTGTGTGTGTGTGTGTGTGTGTGTGTATTTGATTTTCCCTCTTTCTTCTTCCTTCAGACAGAGTGAAAGGCCTTGAATCTTCCCAGCAGATCATTTCTGGAGAACTTTTATTTCAAAGGGAGATACTAGAAAGAGCCCCAAAGGATAATTCATTGTACTCTGTTTTAAAAATCTGGCATATTGATAATCAGATGGATAGATATCAAGGAAATCAAGACAGAGTTTTGAGGCAGGTCACAGTCATCAGTCGTGAAACATTGACTGATGAGATGGGTTCCAAGTACAGTGCATTTGGGAAAATGTTCAATCGGTGCACAGACCTTGCTCCTTTAAGTCAAAAATTCCATAAGTTTGATTCATGTGAAAATAGCTTGAAGTCTAATTCAGACTTACTAAATTATAACAGGAGCTATGCAAGAAAGAACCCCACTAAGAGATTTAGATGTGGGAGACCACCTAAGTATAATGCTTCCTGTTCTGTGCCTGAGAAGGAAGGCTTCATTCATACTGGAATGGAGCCCTATGGAGATAGTCAATGTGAAAAAGTTCTCAGTCATAAGCAAGCCCATGTTCAGTATAAGAAATTTCAAGCCAGAGAGAAACCCAATGTTTGTAGTATGTGTGGGAAAGCCTTTATCAAGAAGTCACAGCTCATTATACATCAAAGAATTCATACTGGAGAGAAACCATATGTATGTGGAGATTGTAGGAAAGCCTTCAGTGAGAAATCACACCTCATTGTGCATCAGAGGATTCATACTGGGGAGAAACCCTATGAATGTACTAAGTATGGAAGAGCATTCTCCCGGAAGTCACCTTTCACTGTTCATCAGAGAGTCCATACTGGAGAGAAACCCTATGAGTGTTTTGAGTGTCCAAAAGCTTTCTCCCAGAAGTCACATCTAATTATACATCAGAGAGTTCATACCAGAGAGAAGCCCTTTGAATGCAGTGAATGCAGGAAAGCCTTCTGTGAGATGTCTCACCTTTTTATACACCAGATAACTCATACTGGGAAGAAGCCCTATGAATGTACTGAATGTGGGAAGACCTTCCCTCGGAAAACACAGCTCATTATACATCAGAGAACGCATACTGGAGAGAAGCCCTATAAGTGTGGTGAATGTGGGAAAACTTTCTGCCAACAGTCCCACCTCATAGGACATCAAAGAATTCATACAGGAGAAAAACCTTATGTGTGTACTGACTGTGGGAAGGCCTTTTCCCAGAAGTCACACCTCACTGGCCATCAAAGACTTCATACTGGAGAGAAACCTTATATGTGTACTGAATGTGGAAAATCCTTCTCTCAGAAATCACCTCTTATCATACACCAGAGAATTCATACAGGGGAGAAACCTTATCAGTGTGGTGAATGTGGCAAAACCTTCTCCCAGAAATCACTCCTCATTATTCATCTGAGAGTTCACACAGGGGAGAAACCTTATGAGTGTACTGAGTGTGGGAGGGCCTTTTCCCTGAAGTCACATCTCATTCTACATCAGAGAGGTCATACTGGAGAGAAACCCTATGAATGTAGTGAATGTGGAAAGGCCTTCTGTGGAAAGTCTCCACTCATTATACATCAGAAAACTCATCCTAGGGAGAAAACCCCTGAATGTGCTGAGTCTGGAATGACTTTTTTCTGGAAATCACAGATGATTACATATCAGAGAAGACACACTGGGGAGAAACCCTCCAGATGCAGTGACTGTGGGAAGGCATTCTGCCAGCATGTATACTTTACTGGGCATCAGAATCCATATAGGAAAGACACCTTGTATATATGCTGATTGTGGGAAGGCCTATTCCCAGAAGTCAGTCCTCATTGTCTATGGGAAAACTCACATTGAATAGAAATAGTGACAACTTCTCAACTGTAGAATAGACTAATATGTTCCTCAGTATACATGATTACCCTTCCACAGAATGATCTGCTTAGGCCCTCAGAATATTTTCAACATCACAAATATGGAATCAATTTGCTCACCCTCAAACTGTCTCAGCCCTCTTCACAGAATAAATGTATCTGGAAGAATTAGCACTACTTTGGTGTTGTTTGGTCATTAAATGCTTTATAGAATTCTCTTGTGAATTTATTTGGGCATGGTGCATTATTTGAAGGGTATCTCTTTGTCATCTTTCTCTATTTTTTCCATATTTTTCTGTTTAGATTATATATGCATTTATGTATTTATTTATTTTGAGATGGAGTCTCGCTCTGTTACCCAGGCTGGAGTGCAGTGGCGTGATCTTGGCTCACTGCAACCTCCACCTCCTAGGTTTGAGCGATTGTCCTGCCTCGCCCTCTCGAGTAGCTGGGATTATAGGCATGCACCACCAGGCCCGGCTAATTTTTGTATTTTTAGTAGAGATGGGGTTTCACCATGTTGGCAAGGCTGGTCTCGAACTCCTGACCTCAGGTGATCCACCCACTTCGGCTTCCCAAAGTGCTGGGATTACAGGCATGAGCCACAGCACCTGACCTATATATGCATTTAGATTGAGATATTGATATATCAATATATAGATGTAGAAATATGGACTCTTTGTAATTTTTAAAAATCATGTATTTCCTCAAGGTTCTTAATATATTTGCATAATTTTGGGTAAAGTAGTCTCATGATTAATTTCCTTTATATCTGTGGTTATTTCTCCAACATAGTTCTCATAGAGTGTATTTGTGATTTTTTCCCTCAATTAGGTAAATAAATGCTAATATTTTATTTCTTTTACTCTCCCTCACCTGTGTTGCAGTTCATGCATTTTTTGCCGTTTTTCTATTTTCTAATTATGCATTTATGCTTTTATTTCACTAAAATCCTTCCATCTGCTTTTAATTTTTTTTCTTTTTCTAACTTCTTTAGTTTAATGTATAATTCAATTAATCTCACTCTTTCTGGTTTATTATAGGTATATTTGGATTATGTATCTTAATCTGAGAACTACTTTAGACATTGTGGTCCAATCTGAGAGTATTCTGTTTTTCAGTAGGTAAATTCTGTTGTTCAGCCCAATTTTGTTTGTCAGTATAACAAATCTATTTGGTCTTAGGACTCCCAGCATATTTCCTGTTGTGCATCCTGTTTTCATTGCTTTATTGTCTTTTGACCCTTCATCTTGTGGTCCTGATTTCACTTGTACTGTTTTAGATGTGTTACTTTTGTTCCAGGGTATAACAAAGAGAGGGAGTCTCCCAGTGGGTTTTCAGGAAGCTAAGCATAATCCTGATATCCTTAATCTTGATAACCCATAATACCTGGAAGGTGGGAGTTTAAGCTGCAAAGAAGCATGATGGTAGGCCAGTGGCTATAAATGTTCAGAGGGCATTTTTACCTTTCCACTTAGTGCCAAGATTTTAGATGGATGATTCCCTTATCGTTTATCTCAGTTCACTTTGTACCTCTACAACAGAATGCCTAATATTGGTAATTTATGAAGCATAGAAGTTTATTTCCTACTATTGTGGAGGGTGGGAAGTCCAAGATCAAGACACTAGCATTTGGGCTGGTGAGGGCCTTCTTGCCATGTCCTCACATGGCAGAAGGCAGAAGGGCAAGCTAATAAGCTAGTGAGCTAACTGAACACTTCGTGAATCTTCTTTTAAAAGGGCATTAATCCATTAAGGAGGGAGCAGCCCTTGTGACCCAATCACCTCTTAAAGGCCCATCTTAATACTAGCACATTGACAGCATCTGAATTTTGGAAGGGACACATTCAAACCATAGCACAGTCCCTTGGGCAGAGGTGGTTTTATTTCAAGCTCATTCTTTCACTGAAACTGAAGCCATTTTTGTTCCCAGATTTATGTCAGCAGTCTTTACCCACCTTGAGCAGGCCATGTTCTTGAGAATTGCAGCTTCAGTAATCTTGGTTTGGCAGATACTCTCAAAGTGAAGGGGTAGCAATAGTGGATGCGTTTGTGTACTCCCAAAATTCATATTTTGAAACCTAATTACCAAAGTGATGATATTAGAAGGTGGGGCCTTTGGGAGGTGATTTGATCTCAAGGGTTCTGCCCTCATGAATGGGATTAGTGACCTAATAATAGAGGCCTGACGGAGCTTGTTTGCCCCTTCCACCATGTGAGGATACATCAAGGAGATGCCATCAATGATAAATGGGCCCTCGCCAGACACCAAATCTGCTGGCACCTTGATATTGGATTTGTCAGCCTCTAGAGTCGTAATAAAGAAATTTCTGTTGTTTATAAGTTACTCAGTTTATGGTATCTTTGTTATAGCAGCCTGAGCAGACTCAGACAGTGGAGTGTCTGTTTTGTTGAGGTTGCTGTGGCCGAGCTTCTGCGGTCTGATTTCCTGTGAAGTCAGTGCTTGCAGCAAGCCACAGGAACAGTGAAGAATTTCCTAAAAATCTCCCAGAGTGTGGATGGACATTGTTTTTTTGTTTGTTTGTCTGCTTGTTTTGAGACGGAGTCTTGCTCTGTCACCCAGGCTGGAGTGCAGCTGCGCGATCTCAGCTCACTGGAAGCTCTGCATCCCGGGTTCATGCCATTCTCTTGCCTCAGCCTCCTGAGTAGCTGGGACTACAGGCGCCTGCCACCATGCCTGGCTAATTTTTTTTTGTATTTTTAGTAGAGATGGGCTTTCACCGTGTTAGTCAGGATGGTCTCGATCTCCTGACCTCGTGATCCGCCCACCTTGGCCTCCCAAAGTGCTGGGATTACAGGCGTGAGCCACTGTGCCCGGCCAGACATTGTTTTTTCATGTTCAGCAAACCTTTGTTGAGCATGTACTGCATGGCAGACCCCATTGAGTTGTTTTTTTTGTTTTTTTTTTTTTTTTTTTTTTTTTGAGACGGAGTATCTCTCTGTCTCCAGGCTGGAGTGCAGTGGCATGATCTCAGCTCATCTCAACCTCTGCCTCCCGGGTTCAAGCGATTTTCCTGCCTCAGCCTGCTGCGTAGCTGGGACTACGGGTGCACGCCACCATGCCTGGCTAATTTTTTTGTATTTTAGTGGAGACGGGGTTTCACCATGTTGGCCAGGATGGTCTCGATCTCCTGACCTTGTGATCCGCCCACCTCTGCCTCCCAAAGTGCTGGGATTACAGGCGTGAGCCACCACGCCCAGCCTATTTTGAGTATTCTACAGTGAACAAAGCAGAAAAAATAGTTCCTGCTTTGTGGGGACATGGATAATAAAAAGGTGATACATAGATAGTTATAGGTTTCTGTTGTGTGCATGTGTGTGTCTGTGTGTATAAGTATTCATCCTCTGGTGATGAATGAAAGTAAATCAAGATAGGGGAACAAGGAATCACCTGTGGATGTGGGGTGGGCAGGGAAGGTCTCAATAATAGGGTGCCATTTGAGCAGAGATCCAAAGGAAGTGAAGGAGGATTTGAAGTAGGTCATGCCAGGCAGAGGGAATAGCAAGTACAAAAGCCCTGAGCCAGAGGATTAGCTGCCATCATGCTTCTTTGCAGCCTCAAGTCACATCTCCAGTGTATCAGCAAAACACCTCAAGGATTTACTTGAAATGGTCCCAGGTTGTAGTGACCCAAGATGCCTGAGAGAAGTAAACATAAATCCACTTTGGTGTAAGCCACCTTTCAACCCACAGATAAAATTTCAAAATATAGGAACCCACAGTGTAAAAACTCATAGTGCACACAAGATAACAAGACACAAAACACTATTAGCAAGATTCATAAAAAACGACAGTCAAACCTATACAACTTCAGATATAGAAGTTATTAGACATAGACCGTTTAGTATAGGCTGGGTATGGTGGCTCACACCTGTAATCCCAGCACTTTGGGAGGCCAAGGTGAGAGGATGACTTGAGGCCAGGAGTTCAAGATCAGACTGGATAACATAATGAGACCCCATCTCTATGAAAAATAAAAAAATTAGCCAGGCCTGGTGGTATGCACCTGTAGTCCTAGCTACTCAGGAGGCTGAGGTAGGAGGATTGCTTGAACCTCAGAAGTTAAGGCTGCAGTGAGCCATGATTGTACTCCAGCCTGGATGACAGAGTGAGACTATGTCTCAAAAAAAAAAAAAAAGTACACATTTAAAGTAACAAAAGAAGGTGTGCTTGTTTGCTAGGGCTGCCATAATAAAGTACCATAGACTGAGTTGTTTAAAAGATAGAAATGTATTATCTCACAGTTCTGGAGGCCAGAAGTCTAAAATCAAGGTTTTGGAAGGGCTAGTTTTTTTCTGAGGCTGTTAGGGAATGACTACTCTGCCATTAGCACTGCAGAGTCAATTGAACCTCTTTCCTTTATAAATGCCATTAGCAGAGTAGTCATTGAAAGAGAATAGAGACCAGAAAGAGAACAAAATACAAGTGAGAATTTACAAACATAAGTGACTGATATGGTTTGGCTGTGTTCCCACCCAAATCTCATCTTGAGGTGTAGTTCACATAATCCCCATGTGTAGTGGGAGGGACCTGGTAGGAGGTAATTGAATCATGGGGGCGGTTACCTCCATGCTGTTTTCATGATAGTGAGTTCTCATGAGATCTGATGGTTTTATAAGGGGCTTTCCCCTCCACGCTGCACTCCTCCTTGCTGCTGCCATGCAAAGAAGGATGTGTTTGCTTTCCCTTCTGCCATGATTGTAAGTTTCCTGAGGCCTCCCCAGCGCTGCAGAGTCAATTGAACCTCTTTCCTTTATAAACTACCCAATCTTGGGTATTTCTTCATAGCAGTGTGAGAACAGACTAATACAGTGACATTTCATGTACCTGGAAGAAAGATTATTCAATACTGAGTAGCCATCAGAAAAAAATAGTTGGAGCCTTACCCACTGGGCCTTCTACCTATTTCATACCATACATGAAATAAATTCCAGATGTAACAAAAAGGTAAACATTTTAAAAATCCAGAAACTACAGAAGTTGTAATGTAGCAGGACGAGCCACAGACAAAACTCCTCAGACACCGGGTTAAAGAAGTAAGGGGGCTTTATTCGGCTGGGAGCTTCGGCAGACTTACGTCTTGAGAGCTGAGCTCCTCAAAAAAGAAAAAAGGCCTTTTTAAGGGCTTACAACTCTAAAGGGTCCACGTGAAAGGGTCATGAAAGATCAGGCAACCATGGAGAACGTGATGATTATTATTTTTAACCACCAAGGCCAGATGGTGGTGCCAAGGTCGTCTGGCCATTTATCTTACTTTTGTTTCTTTCCAACTTTTTGTTTTCTCCCTTTCCTCTTGTCTTATAAACTAGGCAAGACAAGGGGAGAGGAAGGCAGCAGGGGAAGTGGTGGTCTCTTTCCTTAGTAAAAGAAGAAACCTTACATAAAAAGTTCCACATGACAAAAATTTAAACCTAACATATTGAAACTGTAAAAGTAATAAGAGAAACACAAGAGAAACAAGATAATCTTTTGCTTATAAATTCTTTGTGGGGAAGCCCTTTTAAAGCATTACAGAAAATCTAGATTTCATAAGAGAGAAGATTGGTAGGTTTTCCTTTATAAACTTTTTTTTTCAAATTATGCTGAAATCTACCATGAACGAAGCAAATTGCAAGACACAGTATATAGCAGATTTTTTTTGTCAAGGAAAATACAGAATATAATGAACAGCACACTCATTTTACACAAAACAACACACAGATAGACAGGATTATATGCATAGTAAATAAAGCCTGTTAGGCTTTATTTCAAGCCAGATAATCATGGTTAGGTTGAGTTGGGAGTCAGAAGTTAGATTATGGAGGATTTTCCTTGTCCATTTATAGAGGCTTTTCCTTTCCTAGTGTTTACGTATTTATGTTGTTTACATATTTTGCTCCACATGTAGATCATATTTGTAGGGAGAAAATAATAATAAAGACTTTTCTAGTGGAAGAGTATAGGAGAAGGAATTTGCCTTGAGTTGGGTATGAACTCACATACAGAGACAACAGCAAAGAAGCCATAGAAAACCAGGAAATCCCACTCTCTGCTCTGCAAGCATCTACCAGAAAAATTTAAAAACAGTTTCATTGAGAGAGTCCTGAGCTGAAAATCACTACTGACCTTTAGAAAGAATCAACAATAACATTTATTAGGCCTAAGTGCCTGTTTTTTTTTGGGGGGGGGGGTTGTTTTTTTTTTTTGTTTGTTTTTGCTTTTTTTTTTTTTTTTTTTAAGATGGAGTCTCACTCTGTTGCCCAGGCTGGAGTGCAGTGAGTCAATCTTGGCTCACTGCAACCTCCACCTCCCAGGTTCAAGCGGTTCTCCTACCTCAGCCTCCTGAGTAGCTGGGATTACAGGCGCATGCCACCACACCCGGCTAATTTTTTGTATTTTTAATAGAGATGGGGTAGTCTCTAACACCTGACCTCAGGTGATCCGCCTGCCTAGGTCTCCCAAAATGCTGGGATTACAGGCATGAGCCACCACACCTGGCCTGGAAATTTTTACTTCCTAAGAAGTTGACCTATTTTCTCTTTATGGAGAATGAAATCATGTAGCTGATGATGTTTGCCCTTTTCACAGACAAATGTGCAGTTTATACAGAAGTAAGGTCATATGAGCTATTAATCTCTCTCTCTCTCTTTTTTTTTTTTTTTTTGAGACAGAGTCTCACTCTGTCACCCAGACTGGAGTGCAGTGGTGCAATCTCAGCTCACTGCAACCTCCACCTCCCAGGTTCAAGCAATTGTCCTGTCTCAGCCTCCTGAGTAGCTGGGTTTATAGGTGCCTTCTACCACGCTCGGCTAATTTTTGCATTTTTTAGTAGAGATGGGGTTTCACCATGTTGGCCAGGCTGGTCTTGAACTTGTTGGCTGGGCTGGTCTCGAACTTATTAATCTCTTTATTCTCTCTAAATTTCTCTGATGCATGTTTTTCAATTGTTTTCTTTTTTCTATTTTGTTTGTTTCGTGGAAAACCTAGTAGGGAATACTGTGTTGGGGGTCCCCTAAACCACTCTCAGACTTGATAATTCACTAGAAGAACTCACAGAACTCAGAAGAATGGTTCTATTCATGGTTATGGTTTATTATAGCTAAAGATACAGATTAAACCAGCAAAGGAAAAAGGTGCATAGAGCAGAGTTGAGGAGAAACCAGGCAGAAGCTTCCGGTTATCCTTTCTGAGTAGAGTCAAGTGAATAGCACTTAATTTTCCCAGCAATGATATGTGACAACACATATAAAGTATAGCCAACCAGGGAAACTCACCTGAGCCTTGACGTCTAGGGTTTTTTATTGAGGGCCAGTTCTGTAGGCTCAGAATGCATAAGACTTGACCTTAGCCATTTAGACCCCAGCTCGCCAGAGGTCAAACTGATACAGTGTGACCCAAAATCCCAAGCATACAAAAATAGGCATTCACATAGATCACATTGTTAGCATAAACTATTTGTCTTGCCCCAAGGTTTCAGGTATACAAAGACACTCTTATCAGGCAAGATATTCCAAGGGCTCAGAGATTATTTTTAGGAGTTGGTCCAGGGTCAATTCTAAAGACATTTGGAATGTGCAGGGTTTGGGCAGCCTAGGCCTGCTGAGTTAACACTTTACTGCATAGTCCACTCTTCTGGCCCTTGGCCTAGGTTTTATTACAGCAAAATGATAAAATTTGTTTGAGCATCTACATTTAGTGTAGTATTTAACACAGCATATACCAGACACAGCGATAGTATCAGTTTGCATATTCCTAACATTTGGAAGAGCCAGTGTAGGGTAGGGGTAGATTTAAAGAAACAACTAATCCATCTTACAAAACCATTACATTTCATACTAATTTGATTATTTATTTATTTTGAGACACAGTCTTGCTCTATTACCCAGACTGGAGTGCACTGGCACAATCTTGGCTCACTGCAACCTCTGCGTCCTGGGCTCAGATGATCCACCAGCCTCAGCCTCCCAAAGTGCTGGGGTTACAGGCATGAGCCACTGTGCATGGTCTAATTTGATTATTCATTTACCCTCTCGATCTACTGCTATTTGTACCTTATGATAAATCTGTACAGAACTATTTAGGATAAACATTAGCTGATGGCTAGCTAAATCTAGTTCTTCCTCGGACTAGTGATTCCCCACCAGTATTACATCCTGAATAAGCTTTAACTCAATCTTCCAATAAATTTGATTATTAATATCTGTATTATCACATGAGTTATTTATATAAGGCAATTTAATCTTACTAACAATGCCAGTGTTACACCCTATCACAGTATGGTCAGAGTATGATTCAAGTCAGTAAGAATTATAGAGGTATTTGCTAAGCCTTCCTAACAGAATCAGCACTTGTGCATATACCAGATATTATTCCTGTCAAGTATTATTACGATGAGCTACAACTTGATTCTTGGTTATTTCTGGGTTCTAAGACAATTGAGGACAAAACCCACCATCTATCTCAATCCACAGGCTTGTACTGAGACTGAGACTGATTTCCATTATGTGCTGTTATAAATTAGGGCCCATCTCCCTTCTGTGGGGAGGACACAGGAGTCCTTATGGCCATTTCAGCCTCCATCTGTATTAAAATAGTCAAGAGGCCTTGCTGGGTCTGGGTACAAACCCTTTCCCAATACTGGATCCTAGCATTACCCAGCATTATTTGTTGAGTCTGCCTGCCCCACTTCACTAAAGCTTTGTTATCCCAGGCTGACACTCATCCTTTGTCTTTCTCCTGGAAGAGAATCTCTCTAGTCTACTTATTCTAATTAATACATCTTTTCCTCTGAATGCTGCTTCTCCTTAAAAGCAAATTGAACTTGTCCCACAATCCCTAGACCAGCATCTTTCTCCCTTAAAGCTCTTTTCTGTTCTGTGGTCAATGTTGTTTAATCCACTATGCATGTTGTTGCCATTGTGCACTGCTGGCCTGAGTGCAGCTAGGACACATGTTGTGTATCCCAAAATGTTGGGACCCCCATAACAGGGTTAGATGAGTGGTAATCACATCTAGATGTAATTTAGTCTGGGCATGACATAAAGTCTCACATGGCCTTCCTCATTTCAGGGTGGGGCATTTCCCTAGGGAATTTGAGCCTACCACCTGATGTCTACTGCTTTAATCCCATCTGAAACCCATTGTTTTTTCTATTCTGGTTAATATTAGGTTGGTGCGAAAGTAACTGCGGTTTTTGCCATGACTTTTAATGTAATGTAAAACTGCAATTACTTTTGCATCAACCTGATAACTTTCTGTCCACAAAACAAAGGTGATATACATTTGTGCATGGCTAACTGTAGCATGTCAGACATGCTACTGCTATATTTTGCCTCTTAAAACCAGGGACCTTTCTAAGCATTCTATCATTAAGGTCTATAGTTACACAGTAATCAGTCTGCTCGGAATTTTACACCACACAGTCCGATGGCCTGGCAGGGTGTAGCTCCTAGAAACTCCTTCCCAAATGATATCCTTTTTTTTTTGAGACAGAGTCTCACTCTGTTACCCAGGCTGGAGTGCAGTGGTGGCGATCTTGGCTCACTGTAACCTCCACCTCCCAGGTCCAAGTGATTCTCCTGCCTCAGCCCTCCTGAGTAGCTGGGATTACAGGCACCTGCCAGATGCCAGGCTAATTTTTGTATTTTTAGTAGAGACAGGGTTTCTCCATGTTAGCCAGGCTGGTCTTGAACTCCTGACTTCAGGTGATCCGCCCCCCTCAGCCTCCCAAAGTTCTGGGATTACAGGCATGAGCCACTGTGCCTGGCCCCAAATAATATACTTTTGACAAGAGTCTAAAGATACTGTCATGTAGAGTTTCACTCAGTCATCAACAATTGGTCCAGTTCATCATCATATGATGTACCCAAAATGTCTCCCAGAATGATGTTACTCAGGTTTGCAGGCTTCCATTCAACCTTGTCAGGTTCCAAAAAGAGAAGTAGTTTCAGCAGACATATGGCCTCACCTTTCAGGGATCTGGCATAATCGTGCTAGAAGGCAATATAATTCTCTTGATCTGAGCCTCTCTCGAGGCACCAATGTAATACTGGATTTCCCCTATTGCATAAACCATTTATTTATTCATTTCCCCTGAACTACCATATTTCTTCTTCTCTCCATTTGTCAATTATTTCTATCCAAACATTTTGGCCTTTGGAAAGGATGTTAGGTTCAGTCACTGTACTGACTCAGATTTCTGTCAGTAATGCCAATCTAGCAAGTGCTTCCCCCTCAGTCCATTCCCATTCATATGGGGGTAGGGTTACATAGGTACAGAACTACTGAGCTATTAATATTTTACCACTAGGTAATACAGCTGTATTCACTGTCAACTCCAATTTTGCCAGAGATGTAGGAGGTTTGAGGGATTTGGGGGCTGATGGAGGAATGATATTATCATGAGGTGGCAGTAGCATACACAACTTTAGTGGGTGGTGCATCGACAGCTTGTATGTGGCAGAAGTCCCTCACAGCAGGAGTCTGTATAGAGGTTACTCAGAAGGGAAGGAAGGCAAGGAATTCTTAGGGGAGATGGGGGTCAGAGAGGGGACTTACGTGTCTAGGTGATGTTGCTCAGCCCGCAGTGTGGAGTTATTGGGTCAGAGAGCTCAGAAGGGCAGCAGAGGCTTGGGGTCTTTATGGCCCAGGGCTTATCTATTGTCAACAGATGTGGGGTGAGATTTTGTGGAGTATGCAAAACAGGCAGGATGTAAATTGCTAAAAAGTCTGCCTCTTTGGTCTAGTTTAAAAAATAATCTGAGCTGGGCGCGGTGGTTTACGCCCGTAATCCCAGCACTTTGGGAGGCTCAGGAGGGCGGATCACGAGGTCAAGAGATCGAGACCATCCTGGCCAACTGATGAAACCCCATCTCTACTAAAAACACAAAAATTAGCTGGGCGTGGTGGTGAGCACCTGTAGTCCTAGCTACTCAGGAGGCTGAAGCAGGAGAATCGCTTGAACCTGGGAGGTGGAGGTTGCAGTGAGCCGAGATCGAGCCATTGTGCTCCAGCCTGGCTACACAGCAAGACTCTGTCTCAAATAAAAAATAAAAATAAAAATAATTGGATGTGCAAATATTTAAGTTTGGCACTGGTGGGCATTTGAACTAATGGATCTCAGCCTGCAGGGAAGAAATAACCTAGGGGTTAATACATTGACATTGGGAAAAGGGCTTGTGGGGTGCCTGCATAAATTGGCATTGTGTATCTGTTTATACAGGCACCCCCCGCCCTTTTCCCAACACATAGAGGTCATGTTTGGCTCATTTATATATGAAAAAAACCATCCTGGGCCGGGCACGGTGGCTCATACCTGTAATCCCAGCACGTTGAGAGGATTGCTTGAGGCCAGGAATTTGAGACCAGCTTGGGTGACGTAGGTGCAGTGAGCTATGATTGTGCCACTGCACTCCAGCCTGGGTGACAGAGAGACCATGTCTCAATGAATAACTAAATACATAAAAATAAAAATCCATGCCCTGGACCCAGGTGGCTTTATAATCTTAGTTGTATGTTATTTCATAATAACTGATTTTGGTGTCAGTGATAAAGCAACCTATAAGAGTTGTATAAGATTCTTGGTCTTATAGGCCACAAACTAAGATTTCAGCCAGTTTGCAGCCAGTCTGCCCATTTAGTGGGGGAAAGCCAGGAGAAAAGATCAGAAAGGGAGAAGACTGTGATTTGTTTGTCCCTTTGGTGCACCTGGCTAGCTATAAGCCTTGGAGAGTGTCATCTGCCCCGATCAAGGGTTCACAGTTGCCCATTGCTTACCCTCTGCTTGTCCTTAAACCCGAACACAAAGACCCAGGGCATGCCCCTTGCTTGTCCAGCTTCCTTTCCAAAGATTATTTATCCCTGCTTGCTTCCTCCTTCCTCTATAAAAGAAAAACCTTTTTCTGTTTGGCTTTGAGAATCTTGCAGACCTTATAGTCACAGCATTCTCCCTATTGCAGTCATCCTCCTCTCCCTATTTCAATAGTCCTTTTCCCTCCCTTGTAATAATCCTTTTAAATAAAATCTCTCCTTACTAAATCCTGATTTGTGTTTCTTTGAATACTAATGGCGCTGTGACTCAGATGGAGTGCTGGCTGTTCCTCGGAACCTGTGTCTTCACCCAGGTATTCATGCTGGCTTCCTGGACCCTTTGTGTCTTTTTCTGCCTGGAAAAGTAGGAATCCATGGTGGTGAGTCACACTTCCTTATCTAATCCAGTGCTTTGGACGTTTATCTGCTGTAATGTGGTAGTCAGGAGTTACGTTTATTCTTTCTGGCAAAGTGATTTCTTTATCCCTTTCTGTGAAGCCTCTTCTGTTTTTTTCTTGGCTCTCTAAACTGGGGGATTATGCATAAGAATTTTCTTGGCATCTCAAACATGGGGATGGCGTGTGGGAATTTCCTCAGCTCCTCAATCCCTGGTGATTGCATGGGGCAGGGGGTTCACTTGACTCCACCCCAGAAATTGTGCGTGGGAGTTCTCTGGGCTTTCTGCCATGGAGATTACATGAAGTGTTCCCTTGGCTCTTCAATCTTGGCTTAACTATCTGTTAATCCCATGGGGAACTCATTCTCTCAGATGCCTTCCCTCCTCTTCTTTCCTGTTTACTACATGTCTTCCCGCTGGGGCACTGATTCAGTCTAATGTATTCATAAATGGCCAAAAAATTACCAGAGGGAATTTGGAACTTCAGTAGCCTCTTTAGGGAACTTGCGATCTCCCCAGATTAGCTCATCTAAGACCTTTCCCTTCCCATGGCCTCTACTCCTCCTTCCTTCCCTTACCACCTTTGATCTTCCTTTCAGTTTCCTGGGATCCTTTGATGTTGTCCCCATTCATATACCTACCTCCTCCACCTCTCTGTCTACCCCTGCCAGACCTTTCCCTTCTCAAACCAGTACCTCAACTCCCTATAGTCATTAGCGCTTTGGTCCTTCTGCCACCACAGGGGGACTCTTGAGGGGTTCAGAGGCTCCAAAAGCAAGCATCAGAGGCTGAAAGCTAGCTGGAAACAGACTGGATATTTTAGCTACTCAGATGGTCTTTGGAGATACCCAGATGGCTGCTGGGTGTCTGTTCAGTCCCTCACCAAACATTTGGTCCACAACATCCATCAAATTACACATCAGGGCAAAGAAAATCTTAAAAGTCTCCTCCATGCCGGGCGCGGTGGCTCACGCCTGTAATCCCAGCACTCTGGGAGGCCGAGGCGGGCGGATCATGAGGTCAGGAGATCGAGACCATCCTGGCTAACACAGTGAAACCCCATCTCTACTAAAAAATACAAAAAATTAGCCTGGCGTAGTGGCGGGCGCCTGTAGTCCCAGCTACTGGGGAGGCTGAGGCAGGAGAATGGCATGAACCCAGGAGGCGGAGCTTGCAGTGAGCCGAGATCACGCCACTGCACTCCAGCACTCCAGCCTGGACAACAGAGTGAGACTCCGTCTCAAAAAAAAAAAAAAAAAAAAGAAAAGAAAAAAAAGGTCTCCTCCAGAAATATTGATGGGAAGCTTTAGCCCTCATGTTGAATAGGTAAACCTCAACTTGTCCCGTCTGCCAGAAACAGAATTCTGATAAAAATACAAAGTGGGGCAAAGACAATGAGCCAACTCTGTTGTATTGACTAGTGAGTTTTGTATTTCTGTGTTTATGCCTGAATCGTGGCTAAAATTTTAGAATGAAACCTGTAAGATCTTTATTTGCATCTGCCTGTATGTTTATGTATTTATTTTATGCATATGTGATATTTTTCTACCTCTGGATGATACTATCAAATTAATTTATAAAATTCCTTAAAAACCCTAAAACTGTCAGAAAAAAAAAATCTGAACTTCTAATACTTCCAGTGTGGGGGAAAAAGTATTCTCTAAAACCTAACATAAATGTTTTAAAAATTCAATTTACTGCCGGGCGTGGTGGCTCACACCTGTAATCCCAGCACTTTGGGAGGCTAAGGCGGGTGGATCACCTGAGGTCAGGAGTTCAAGACCAGCCTGGTCAACGTGGTGAAACTCCATCTTTACTAAAAATACAAAATTAGCCGGGCGTGGTGGTGCATGCCTATAATCCCAGCTACTCGGGAGGCTGAGGCAGGAGAATCGCTTGAACCCAGGAGGCGGAAGTTGCGGTGAGCCATGAGCACACCACTGCACTCCAGCCTGGGCAACAAGAAGGAAATTCATCTAAAAAAAAAAAATTCAAGTTACCTAATTTAGGTAAATCTTTGGCAAACAAAATTAGCTTAATATTGTTGGCTTAATAAAAATAGCTATGTTTTATGAGTTATTACCATTAAGTATAACAGAAGTATACACTTCTTTCTACTTGGTATGTTCTTCCTAAATGTGTACAGGTTTACTAGTCGAATAAGCCAATATTGTATCAACTAGATTGTGAGATATATATTCATAAGCTTTGCTAGCCTGCTCTATGATAGACAGTTCATAGTTATCTACTTCCTAGTTTTCTCTGCAAAGTAAAAGTCATTAGTGGATAAAATTATAATCAATATATGTAAATGAAACTACTAGAAGCAATGGGGCAAAGATAAACAACTTTGTATGTAAGATATGCTCAGTATGTTTCCTCAACATTTTTCATAATTAAATCTTCAAGCATACAGAAGATACAAAGAATTGTTTGGTAAGTGCCAATATACCCTACACCCAGACTGTTACATGTTGTTAACCTGGCTTTATCTCATCTCTTTTCATCTATCCATGTTTCTATCTGTCCATCAATCCATGTTATTTTTTGGTGCAATTCAAAGTAAGTTGCAGATTTCAGTGCACTTCGCTTCTAGATAATTCAGCGTACATATCATTAACTAGAGTTCAATATTTACAGTTTTAAGTAAAATTGTATACAGTGAAATGTATAAATCTCAAGTGTATCATTCAAAGAATTTTGACAAATGTAAACCCCTATCAAAACATTAAACACGACCATCACCTGAGACAGTTCCCTCATGCCCTTTCCTTATCAATCCCTGCTGCCACCCCCTCCAGAGGCAAGCATTGTCCTGACTTTTCTCACCATAGATTAGTTTAGCCTCTTCTAGAAACTTCACATAAATCGAGCCATGCTGAGCTGGCTTGTGCCATTTCGCTGGGGCCAGCTGTTATCAGCACACCACTGATTGCAACCCAGAATTTTATACCTCAAGGCTGATCCCCTTCTGCTGCCAGACAGGAATGTGTTGTGCTAAAGTCTTCCAGCACAGTTTTACTTGATCCTCATGGGAATCCCACGTAAATGAGCCCTGGCTTCATTTTACAGATGGTGAAGGAGAGTCCCAGAGAGGGTAAAACTTTAGTTCATTGGAGATTGAGTTTTTCCATCAGTTTACTAAGCTTTATTGTTTGTTTGTTTTTGGTTTAGTTTTGTCTTTTACAGATGGGGTCTCACTATGTTGCTCAAGCTGGTCTTGAACTCCTGGTGCCTTGACCTCCCAAAGTGCTGGGATTACAGGCGTAAGCCACTATGTCCAGTTTAGCAAGCTTTAATTTTAATAGTCCGTTAGGTCTGTCTATCATTACAGGAGAGAGAGATGATAAAAATATTCTGTTTTAATATTTGGTCTTTGACCCCAGTTTCTGATACAAAGCTCTTAAGACCGTTGTAATTTCTTGTGTGATAGGAGTGTCTGACACAGAGCTTCTAAATCCCTTGGAATTTCCTGGGTGATAGAAGCATCTTTTGCTCTAATGAGGTGACCTCTTAATGTCCTCCTGGATAGCCTCAGGATGGGAGCTGGTTGCCAGGGGAATCAACCATGTGATTAGAAGGTTGGGACCTCCAGCCCCATCCCTCAACTCTGGGGCTGAAGGTTGAATTGATCATCAATGGCTAATGATGTAATCAATTACATCTAGGTAATGGAGCCTCTATAAAAACCCAAAAGGACAGGGCTTGGGGAGCTTCCAGATAGCTGGAAATGTGTGGGTTCTTGGAGGGTGGTGCTCTGGAGGCGGCATGGGAACTCCACACCCCTTCCCTCATGCCTTGCTCTATGCATCTTCGCTATCTGGCTGTTAATCTTCATCCTTCATTATATCCCTTATTAATAAACCAGTAAACATAAGTAAAGTGTTTGCCTGGGTTCTGTGAGCTGCTCTAGCAAATGAATTGAACCTCAGGGGGGTCGTGGGAATCCTGACTTACAGCCAGTTGGTAAGAAGTACAGGTCTCAATATGTGCTTGCAACTGGCATCTCAAATGGGAGACAGTCTTGTGAGACTGAGTCCTCAACTTGTGGGAGCTGACTCTGTCTCCAAGTAGATAGTCAGTAGTGGATTGAATTAGAGGACACCCAGCTCTTTATACCTGTGCTTTATGTTGACTTTTTCATATCCTTAGTTATTTAAGAGAATCAAGTTTTTTCACTTTTTAAAGAGCTATTTTTACAACCATGTTACCTCCTATATTTACTTTAAAATCACTTTAGTTAAATGGTAGCCAAGTATTGTTTATCAGTGACCCATGACCCTATTTAACCAAATTTTCAAGTATCCTAACAATTTTTGACATTTTGCCTTCCTCAAATCTAATCTTTTTTCTTTTTTCTTTTTGAGACAGAGTCTCAATCTGTCGCCCAGGCTGGAGTGCGGTGGCTCCATCTCCGGTCGCTGCAACCTCTGCCTCCCGGGTTCAAGCGATTTTCGTGCCTCAGCCTCCCGAGTAGCTGGAATTATAGGTGTGTGCCACCATGCCTGGCTAATTTTTGTATTTTTTAAGTAGAGACGGGGTTTCACCATGTTGGCCAGGCTGGTCTCAAACTCCTGACCTCAAGTGATCCGCTGGTCTCGGCCTCCCAAAGTGCTGGGGTTATAGGCATGAGCCACTGCGACCAGCTCCAAATCTAATATTAAATGGTATGTTTTATACCTAAACCTGCCTTTGAGATTTTCCAGAGGGTCCCAAGGAAATCACAAAATGATTTGTTCTTTCACTTTTTAAAAGGAGGTACTAAAATAATTAGATTTAGTTAATATTATATAAAGTGTATGGGAAGTGTTGTAAAAAAAATACTTAGCCTTCCCTAAATTAACAGGGCAAGTGTTTTGCACATGGACAATTCCATTAGCTCTTTTTAAGTGGCTGAGGGACCCATTTCACCAGTAAAGTAATCTAAGAAATCCAAGTCGTTCTTCCTGTATCACAAAAATATGTAGTCCTTATTATCTCTCCGGATCATCCCTTATCACCTATCTTTCCTGTAATAATAGACAGACCTAATGGACTATTAAAATTAAAACTTGCTAAAGTGGGTATGGTGGCTCACGCCTGTAATCCCAGCACTTTGGGAGGCCAAGGCAGGAGGATCACTTGAGGCCAGGAGTTCAAGACCAGCTTGGGCAACAAAGCAAGATCCCATCTCTACAAAAAAAACAATTAAAAATTAGCTGGGTGTGGTGGCACATGCCTATGGTCCCAGCTACTTGGGAGGCTGAGGTGGGAGGATTGCTTGAGCCCAGGAATTTGAGACCAGCCTGAGCAACATAGTGAGATCCTATCTGTAAAAAAAACAAAACCAAACCAAACAAACAATAAAGCTTGCTAAACTGATGGAAAAACTCAATACGCAATGGCCTAAAATTTTACCCTTAGCCCTGATTGCCTTCTGATCCTCTCCTGCCAGATCACACAAACTATACCCATATACAATAATAACTGGCAAGCCCCATGAGAATTCCCTATTCTATTTAGGCTTTCAAATATCCTAACCTGGTCAATTCAGACAATCTAAATTACTTCAAAATATTTATCAATTATACTCAAACTTACCTTCAATAGGTTGAGGCTGATTTTCCTCCAATTTTCCTATCCAAACCATTGTACAACCTAGAAATTGGAGACCTTGTTCTCTAAAGTCAACATCACCAGAAAACTAATCTTAAACCCTGTTAAAAGGGCCTCTGCATTGTCCTCTGTACATCACTAACACTGCTGCCAAGGCTACAGCAACCAAAACAGCATGGTACTGGTACCAAAACAGAGATATAGATCAATAGAACAGAACAGAGCCCTCAGAAATAATGCCGTATATCTACAACTATCTGATCTTTGACAAACCTGAGAAAAACAAGCAATGGGGAAAGGATTCCCTATTTAATAAATGGTGCTGGGAAAACTGGCTAGCCATATGTAGAAAGCTGAAACTGGATCCCTTCCTTACACCTTATACAAAAATTAATTCAAGATGGATTAAAGACTTACATGTTAGACCTAAAACCATAAAAACCCTAGAAGAAAACCTAGGCATTACCATTCAGGACATAGGCATGGGCAAGGACTTCATGTCTAAAACACCAAAAGCAATGGCAACAAAAGCCAAAATTGACAAATGGGATCTAATTAAACTAAAGAGCGTCTGCACAGCAAAAGAAACTACCACCAGAGTGAACAGGCAACCTATAAAATGGGAGAAAATTTTTGCAACCTACTCATCTGGCAAAGGGCTAATATCCAGAATCTACAATGAACTCAAACAAATTTGCAAGAAAAAAACAAACAATCCCATCAAAAAGTGGGCAAAGGACATGAACAGAACTTCTCAAAAGAAGACATTTATGCAGCCAAAAAACACATGAAAAAATGCTCACCATCACTGGCCATCAGAGAAATGCAAATCAAAACCACAATGAGATACCATCTCACACCAGTTAGAATGGCAATCATTAAAAAGTCAGGAAACAACAGATGCTGGAGAGGATGTGGAGAAATAGGACACTTACACTGTTGGTGGGACTGTAAACTAGTTCAACCCTTGTGGAAGTCAGTGTGGTGATTCCTCAGGGATCTAGAACTAGAAATACCATTTGACCCAGCCATCCCATTACTGGGTATATACCCAAAGGATTATAAATCATGCTGCTATAAAGACACATGCACATGTATGTTTATTGCGACACTATTCACAATAGCAAAGATGGAACCAACCCAAATGTCCAACAATGATAGACTGGATTAAGAAAATGTGGCACATATACGCCATGGAATACTATGCAGCCATAAAAAATGATGAGTTCATGTCCTTTGTAGGGACATGGATGAAATTGGAAATCATCATTCTCAGTAAACTATTGCAAGGGCAAAAAACCAAACACCACATGTTCTCACTCATAGGTGGGAATTGAACAATGAGAACACATGGACACAGGAAGGGGAACATCACACTCTGGGGACTGTTGTGGGGTGGGGGGAGGGGGGAGGGATAGCATTGGGAGATATACCTAATGCTAAATGATGAGTTAATGGGTGCAGCACACCAGCATGCCACATGTATACATATGTAACTAACCTGCACATTGTGCACATGTACCCTAAAACTTAAAGTATAATAATAATAATAATAAAAACACTGCTGCCAAAACCTGGAAGGTCTAACCCTGGATTGATGTTTCTCAACTGAAAATATATTAAAAGCTACTCTAAATGGAAATCTGCCCCAACCAGAGACTTTAAACTGAGGCTGTCTTGAGAGTCCCAAGAAACAGTGTCTTGAGGTAGACAGCTCTCCCAAGAACTTCAGACCAAGTAGATGACATCACGAGGTGGTTAATTTCCACCCAAGATGCTGGAACATTACCCTGTAGGATTTCTTTGCCAACGTCCTATTCTTACCCTTTTTACTGTCCTTTGCTGTGTCCTCTTTTTTCTCTGTCCCCTCCAGCATCACCTTCACTCTCTGCATAACTTCCTCCATTGCAACTGCAGTTTTCCATGATGAGGGTTGCTTTGTGTAATCTCCTCTTCCTCTTCACCCAAGTTATTCTCCCTCTTAACAATTCCACCATCTCTGCAAGGACCCCAGAATCTAAGACATTCATTCATTCAACTCATCTCAACCTCAGTCTCACAACCCTGCTTTTCATTGCAGGCTGTGTGTTTCCTTCCCTTTGGCAGCCTGCAGTTTTCCCTAAGTTCCTATACCTGTCTCAGATTTAAAGGCATCCTTTTGCTATCACTCAGGTTCCTTTAGCTTTTCTCCACAGCACCTTTTTAAAAATTTTTTTAATTTTACTTAAAGTTCTGGGATACATGTGCAGAACGTGTAGGTTTGTTACATAGTATATGTGTGCCGTGGTGGTTTGCTGCACCTATCAACCCATCATCTAGGTTTTAAGCCCCGCATGCATTAGGTATTTGGCTTAATGCTCTCCCTCCCCTTGCCTCTCACCCCTGGACAGGCCCTGGTGTGTAATGTTCCCTTCCCTGTGTCCATGTGTTCTCATTGTTCAACTCCTACTTATGAGTGAGAACATGTGGTGTTTGGTTTTCTGTTCCTGTGTTAGTTTGCTGAGAATAATGGCTTCCAGCTTCATTCATGTCCCTGCAAAGGACATGAACTCATTCTTTTTTATGGCTGCACAGTAATCCATGGTGTATATGTGCCACATTTTCTTTATCCAGTCTATCACTGATGGGCATTTGGTTGTTTCCAAGTCTTCAAAAGGAAGCTTTTTTCAACTTCAAACTTTTCGAAAAGGACAATCTATGCTTAACCAGACTGGCTTATTCTCTCACCTCAACTACTCTATTACATCCAAAGTTTTCCAGACACTAGATGAGCCAAAGGGTCTATGGAAACATGTTACAAGTTTAGGCAGAAAGAACCCCAGCCCTAGAGGGAGGCTGTGACTTTCCTTTCTCATCAGGTTTTCAAGAAGGCTTAGAACAAGAGGCTAAGAGATTGGGAATAAACCAAAAAAATCTTGATTGCTGCAACAGATCATGTATGGGCAACTTTAATGCCTAGAGCCACTGCTGTGTGGGCCACTCAGTTCACTGGAACTCCTCCATGTTCCATGTTCTGCTACATGAAATAACCATGACTATGGACAATCTTACCAAAACCACCACCATCATTGCCAAAGGATGATAAGTACTTCTGCAAGCAGAGTGATCCTTCATAATCAACTGGCATAGGACATGATCTTGGCTTCTCGAGGGGGCACCTGTGAAATGATCAGAAGCAACTGGTGTACATATGTTCCCAGAAACCTCTCTGATGTCTCTGCCATCATGAAAAACAGGCTGCAAACTTGGAAATTTGTCAGATTTCTACTGTCATCCTCATTCCACTATATGAATACACTTTAGACCAAGGGCTAGGAATCTTCTTGACTGGCTCCTTCCAAACCTCAAATCTCAAATTTTGGTTTTACTCCCTTATTCTACCTTTTTTTTTTTTTTTTTTTTGAGACAGAGTCTGGAGTGCAGTGGCACAATCTCAGCTCACTGCAGCCTTTACCTCCCAGGTCAAGTGATCCTCCCACCTCAGCCTCCCAAGTTGCTGGGACTACAGGCACGTGCCACCACGTCCAGGTTTGTTTGTTTGTTTGTTTGTTTGTTTGTTTGTTTTGAGACAGAGTCTCCTTCTGTTGCCTAGGCTGGAGTGCAGTGGAGCGATCTCAACTCACTGCAACCTCTACTCCCCAGGTTCAAGCGATTTTCGTACCTCAGCCTCCCAAGTAGCTGGAATTACAGGCGTGCGTCACCATGCCCTGCTAATTTTTGTATTTTTAGTAGAGACCGGGGTTTTGCCATGTTGGCCAGGCTGGTCTTGAACTCCTGGCCTCAAGAGATCTGCCCACCTTGTCCTCCCAAAGTGCTGGGATTACAAGTGTGAGCCACCGTGCCTGGCCTTTTTTTGTATTTTGTTTTGTAGACATGGGGTCTCACCATGTTGCCCAGGCTGGTCTCGAACTCATGGGTTCAAGCAATCTGCCTGCCTCAGCCTCCCAAAGTGGTGAGATTACAGGCATGAACCACCATGCCCAGCCTTATTCAACTTTTCAAAACTATTATTTTTATCCTATTCTCATTAAGTGCCTAGTCTCAAAGTCCTTCTGACAGCTGTCAGTCTGATAGCATGCTCGACAGATAATACAGTCGTCCTTCAGTAACAAGAATGTGAAGGCTAATACACTCATGGACATTCTTTGGAGAAAATTCAACCTCACAATGCCTCTTATTCCATCCCTAATAGAGTTTCAGGATAGACTTTGCACTTATTAATACATCTGGCTGTATGTGAGTTGTCAAAGAAAAACACTTAAAACAACAGAGGAAACAGATCAAGGGTTCACAGTCATGCATTGCTTACCGTCTGCTTAGTCTTGACCAAACTTGAGCCAGGCTTCTCTCTCTCCTACAGGCCCCCAAACTCTGATTGTCCCTAAGCCTGTGCAAACACACGAAAAGGAGGAGTGTGCCCCTGCTTCTCAGCCTTTCCTGGGAATGGGCCAATCACGGTGGGACATTTTCCTGGCAGGCCCCACTGGACATTCCCTCTTATTTGTGCAGCTTCCTCTCCACAGATTCTGCTTATCTCTGCCTGCCTCCTTACCCTCTACAAGAAAAGCCTTTTTTTCCTGCCTGGTTTTCATCGCCTTGGAGACCTTATGGTCACAGCATACTCCCTATTGCAATCATCCCCCTCTCCCTGTTGCAATAGTCTCTTCTCCTTCCCCACAAAAATCTTTTTGAACAAAAGTTTCTCCTTAATAAGCCCTGATTTGTTTTTCTTTGACAACTCACATACAGCAAGATGTATTAATAAGTGCACAGACCTCTCCTTCAGCAGCCAGTGGGTAATCTAGGACTATGCAGTTATCTTACACCATGGCCCCCATGGTTGGACAGTACAGCAGGATTTGACCAAGAGCTCTTGGTTCTTGGGCCATCATCTAATTCACGTAGACAACTCCTTGGACACAGCTATCTGCATTTCTTTTTTAAATTGTGGTGTGGTGTCCTGCACATATGCTGTTCCTACTGCTCCTAAAATTAGTGATTCTAAGGTGGTTAGTTCCAGGGGAGGTATTTGGAAAGCTCGTTTATGGCATCAGAGAATTGCAGCCAGCGTGGTTTATAGAGGCGAGTCCTCAGAGAATTCCATTGCTGAGTAAAAATCTACTGAAATTTTGAGCCAAATCCAAATGCAGGAAATATTTTACAGTGTCAGATAAGCGGGAGCTTGTAATAAGCCCTTTGATTCCCTTACAGACCCACCAGGGTCCTTCTCCTGCCTGCATTCTCTATGTTCCTATGAAGGGAAGTTTGTGTGGCTTAGGACAAATCCAGGTGGTGTTAATAGGAACTTATAATGTTACAGGGAAACAAATGTGCATGTTATCCACCCCATATTCAGCACCTGGGTCAACTCAGTTGGTTATGGGCTCAGCCCACCATTGTCCACATATTTGCATGAGATTAACCTCTGGATATTGCTGTTGGATGTCTATAGCCAGGGAATTAGGCTCATCTTGATGAGTGAGGTTTGTTGGGGAGCTTGGCTGGGAGAGAGAAATTACACTATGTGGATTAAAATCAGGTTGGCAGAAGTAAGCACGCAGTTAAATTTGCCATTTGTGGATGACTGTGGCTAAGGCTATATATATGCATGCTAGGTTTGGTGGGCAATTATTATGTTCCTCTTCGTTCTGATTGGTGTGCATTGGTATTCAAGTTTCTTGCCAATTGCCCATATTAAATAGCATCTTTGTACTTCCATGGGTATGGGATAAACTTTGCAGGTGTTCTGAGCATTTTTTTAAAAGTTGTTAATTTAGCCCCATACCAAAGTAGATTCTGTACTAAGGGGCACTCACATATGGGATCTTCACAGGGGCATCCAAGTTATTTCAAACATAGACATCAATTGTATTCTATGTTTGAGCCATATCTGTCCTGTGTTTAAAAGATTGGGAATTCCCAATTGTGGGGGACAGTTGCTCCACTCCTTTCATCCTTGGGGAAACTGTTCTAGGGCAGCCATTTGTACAGTTTTTTTTTTAGATGGAGTCTCACTCTATCGCCCACGCTGGAGTGCAGTGGCGCCATCTCAGCTCACTGCAATCTCTGCCTCTTGTGTTCAAGCGATTCTCTGGCCTCAGCCTCCCAAGTAGCTGGGATTACAGGCACCGACCACCACATCGAGCTAATTTTTGTATCTTTAGTGGAGATGGGGTTTCACCATGTTGGCCAGGTCTCCAACTCCTGACCTCAAGTGATCTGCCTGCCCCAGCCTCCCAAAGTGCTGGGATTACAGGCGTGAGCCACCACGCCCAGCCATTTGTGTAGCTTTAATAGCCTCCGGGTTGGCCCCTTGGGAGCAAGTGGCGTAAACAATTAGTTGCCGATTTGAGTGGAGAAAGTCCCAGGTAGAGAGCAGTTAGATTTCTCCATGGGATCAAATGTGGCTTTTTTTTTTTTTCCTTTTTTAGAGAGAGGATCTCACTCTTGCCCAGGCTGGAGTGCAGTGATGTGATTACAGCTCATTGCAGCCTCGAACTCCTGGACTCAAGCAATCCTCCTGCCTCAGCCTCCTGAGTAGGTAGGCATAGGCGGTGCCGCCATGCCCCACTAATTTAAAAAAAATTGTAGAGACAGGGTCTCACTTTGTTGCCCAGGCTGGTCTCGAACTTCTAGGCTCAAGCAATCCTCAGCCCGGCCTCTCAAAGTGCTGGGATTACAGGGGTGTGCCACCTTGCCCAGCCCAAATATGGTTTTGGTAAGAACTGTCTTTGCTGTAACACCCAAGAACTTTGATGGCTCACTGTGGGCAGCCACTGTTGCAATTGTTGCAGAGCATAGAGCCCATTTCCACTGAGTGTGATGTAAAACTTGCTGTTGGGATTGTGAGATTAGGTTAGGAAAGAATTCCTAAGCTGGTTGTAATCCCTGGTATTGTAGACATGCCTTGGTGCAGATAACATGGTGTAACATGCATCGCTTTTCTGTATATATTGAAGAGGCCAGGGAGAGGCTTCATGGAAAGATGCCCTTGGCCACTTGGTTAGTGCAATTTCTTAGCAAGCGGGGCTTGTACTGGAAAGGGACAGAGATCATTATGAGAAGCAGAAAAAGAGGCCAGGAGTTGTAAGGGTGTACACTGGTGGCAGGGTTTATACTTATCATCATCCCAGGGATTTGTAAGAGCTAGAATTTGATTTCTGTAATCCTTAGGGCTTACTGGTATTGGCTGGATTCAGCATTTTTACTTTGATTGCACCAGTCATGAGCATCGTGGTTGCACTGTCAGATCCACAGTATCTCCGGGCATGCCTTCAATGAGACTCCATAGGTATGGCCCATTGCCCTGTTGGATGGCAGTTGTTAATAATGGTTTTATTGAATTTGAAGCAAAAGTTGCGCTATAGGACTTACAAGGCACCCATGATTCACAAGTGATAATCTGAGTCTGGCTTAGTTGAAATGGGTGTTGATTGCAGTAGCAGAGAGAGGAGAAGGCATGCTAGCCTCAGGGTTGATGTCTGGTTGTGTTAGTAGGAATGACCAGCTCAAATAGCCAACAGTGTGGTTCCCATCATCCCCAGATGCCCTGTGTCATGTGTTACCCCATGGGGTACATGTGAAATAGTATTTCCAGACATACCTTGGTCAGCAGTAGGGTGTAGATGATCAGGGTAGGGTGTTCCATCAGTGGATGTGTACTTGACACTGGTGAGGGTATGAGCTTCTCAGGTAAGAAAAGGGCACAGCAACAGAGTAGGGGTTAAAGTCAGAGGTCACCTGTGGCCAGGAGTAGGGATTAGATTGTCCTTTGGGTATTGCTCAAGTGGTATTAGTGGTTCAGAGGTGATGAGTGCATGTCCTGGGTGTGGGGAACAGGTCCAGGTGTGTCCCACGGTACCTTCAGTGGAGGACATGGGCGGCGGATGAGGGCGTCTCTCTCCGCAGATGGTGGCAGGTGGTTTGCTGCTCCACCGGGTGAGGAGACACAGGCTGAGGATGGTTCTAGTGGGTGGTCCTTGTCAGATCCTCATTGGGATTGAAGGGAAGTGGCTCGGCCCTGCACTCTCCAGGAGGCAGAAGGTAAATATGAAAGTACCAGATGAAAGTTCCTTTGCTGTGGGAACTACATCAAGGCTCCTGAGTCTTGTGAAAGCCGGTAACTATCTCTGGTGTGGGCGTGTACACCGGCAGGGGTGGCAGTGTCCTGTTGGCAGTCTCCTCATTTATCGTGAATTTCAATATGGTGTAGTTATGGCATAGGCATGTGAAATAATGATCAGGCCTATGGGCAGTATTTTTTTTACCACTTGGTGGGGCATTTTCCTACAGGTTCTCTCAATAGTCCTTGTTTTAAAAGCCCACTGTGGGTGGAGCACATTGGCTCATGCTTGTAATCCCAGAACTTTCAGAGGCTGAAGTGGGAGGATCACTTGAGCCTAGCTGGTCAAGACCAGCCTAGGCAACATAGCAAGACCTCATCTACAACTCTTTTTTTTTTTTTTTGAGACAGAGTCTTGCTGTGTCCCCCAGGCTAGAGTACAGTGGTGTGATCTCGGCTCACTGCAACCTCTGTCTCCTGGGTTCAAGCGATTCTCCTGCCTTAGCCTCCCACGTAGCTGGGACTACAGGTGTGCGCCACCACACCTGGCTAATTTTTGTATTTTTAGTAGAGATGTGGTTTCACCATGTTGGCCAGGCTGGTTGCAAACTCCTGACCTCCGGTGATCCACCTGCATCGGCCTCCCAAAGTGCTGGTATTACAGTCGTGAACCACCGTTCCCGGCCTCCAATTCTAAAAAAAAAAAAATCCCATCATGTCTGTCTCTGATACCTGCCTCTTTAGGGTGATGGGGTAGGTGGAAAACCCAAGTAATGTGATTTTGTAACATCCACTGCTGCATTTGTTTGCGGTGAAGTAGGAGCCTTGATCTGATCATACACCTTGTGGCAAATCCAAATGCTGTAAAAGCTGATGTGCTAACACTGCAATAACGTAAATAGAGGCTGCTACCTTGCATGGGTAAGCCAATAGATGACTGTGTAGGCATCCACCGCTGTTCAGGCATATTTCACGGTTCCAGCTGCTGCAGGGAGATGCCCAATGGAGTTGAATTGCCAGTTTTAATGTAGCCCTTCTCCTCTCCAAATGTTTCCTCCCACGAGGTGGTCCCAATGTCTGGATTGCTGACACCTGGTACGGTCCCTATGACTTTGTTTAAATGTCCCTCCACTGGATCAACTCCTCTCTTAACAACATATTTTCACAACCTCATGGTGCCCAAGTGCCTTGACCTCATGTGTCCATTTGTAGAAGGGGTCAGGTGGCTTGTCTCCAGGGTCTGAGGACTCGCCCTCCTTCGCAGCCCTGCCTGCTTGGCTGGTTGGGTTAGCTCATCTTCAGCATGGTATCGCACCTCCTACACATCTTGTTTAATGTGAGCAGAGGTATGGTACACAACCATGGGCAGAGCAGGGTGAATTTGGCAATTTCCACCCCTGCCCCTGACCCCATCTCTTTATCCCAAATGTCTGGGCCTTGTATTTTCAGCCTTGATTCTGTTAATGCCCCAACTATGTAGTCAGCCCATTAGCCTCTGACCTGGAGTCAGTGAAACACCTTGGGAAAATATTTGCCAAGAGCATGGTCTGTTGCTAGGAGTATTGCACGCAGCTCAGCCTGCCCGCACTGGGGCCCCTCCCCGACAAGGAAAGTGGACTGGTGGCCTGGGGTGCGGGGCTGCGGGTGTCTGGCTCTCGTATTCCCCATGTTCGCTCCATCTGTAAAGAAAGAGCATTGCTTTTCCTGTCTTGAGAGTGCTGTGGCCTTCCTCCCTTTGGCTCCCCTTGAGCAAGGGGTGGAGGCATTTCTAGGGTTTCTAAAGTTCGTGTCACAGTCAGGGCACGTGGCAGTTTGCTCATGGAGGTTGTGGCACTCCAGGAGGGCCGAGTTTAGCTGGAGCCAGTGGAGCTCATTTCTATTTTGATCAGGGTTTTAGGGGGAGCTTCTCCCACTGCACGGGGCATACTAGGAATCTCAGCGTGTAGGGTGATGGGCTATGTCCCAGGAAGGGCTTCCATTTCCAGAAGTGCCCAGGGCGCTGCCAGGTGGTGCCTTTCTCATGGCGAATACCTTTGGGCTGAGGCTGCAGCCGCCTACAGCTGAAGCCCATGGGTAGGTGCTCGCTTGTGCATTTGGGGCAGATGCTCCAGGAAGCAAATTTGGAGGCGGCTGGACCTTCTCACTGTGAGTCCTGCCCTCGGGGCAGGTCAGGGAGCTGAGGTAACAGCCTGCATGCGTTTATGTGGCTTCTGTTGCTCAGGTCCCACTGGAGAGTGGAAGAGGTAAGGGGGACTCCACAGATAGCGCCCAGCAAATATTGGAAGTGGGGGATGTGGTGGCGCCAGAATCCAAATACATCTGCTGCAGTTGGGCGTGTGGGAGGCTGCAGTTCTGGGAGCTTGTCTTTTTTTTTTTTTTTTTTTTTTTGAGATGGAGTTTCTCTCTGTTGCCCAGGCTGGAGTGCAGTGGCGTGGTCTCGGCTCACTGCAAGCTCCACCTCCTGGGTTCAAGCAATTCTCCTGCCTCAGCCTCCCAAGTAGCTGGGATTACAGGCGCCTGCCACCACACCTGGCTAATTTTTTGTATTTTTAGTAGCGATGGGGTTTCACCACGTTGGCCAGGCTGGTCTCAAACTCCTGACCTCGTGATCCACCCACCTCGGCCTCCCGAGTAGCTGGGATTACAGGCATGAGCCACCGCGCCCAGCCAGAGCTTGTCTTTTACAGGATCAGGTACAGTTTGCCCTTCTGAGTTCTACACGTTGCCCCCGAATTCAACAGACCCGGAGGGGCCATGGACCTTTTAGAGGGGCAGTTGTCCATCCCCTCGCAGTGAGGTGCTTGCTCAAGACTGCGACCACCTGTGGGACAGCGCCTTGGTCCCTTTCAGTGACGAGGATGTTGCCAATGTGATGGCAAAGCCGAGCTCTGACGGGGGTGCAGGCAGCACTCAGGTCCTGTGTGCAAAGCCTGTGTGCAAATCCCGTGTGCAATCGTGGTGGGGGGCAGCTACTGAACCACTCCAGAGTCGACCAGTACAAGGTGTCTTGTTGGCCCTGAAGGGGAAGGCGATTGTGGTGAGTCTCCTGGGACATTTTCACAGAACAGAACATGTCAGCAGACTCTTCAACTCCAAACTATTTAGCCAGGTTGTTTTGAATGTCGTCTTAAGGCAAAGATGTCTGGTAGAAGTGCTCTAAGCAAGGGGATAGCCTTGTTTAAGGCTCCGTAGTCTGGAGTTAGCCTCACACATTAGTAGTGGCTTTCAGCACAGCTCGTACTGGGGAGCTGGAAGGTGAGATGGTAGGAGTTCGTTCCCTTTCCCTAACCAAGTGAGCGCAGCAGGACTTGCCTCCGCTGCTATGGGGTGTGTGGAACCCCACACCAGCAGGGGAAGGGGCTTGGTTAACTGGCTCCCACCTGTCAGTGGCAGCAATAGCACAGGACCCTTAGGCCGTTCTCTGAGGTCACCCGCTGACTGAGAGGGCCCGTTCCAGCGATGGGAAAAGGGGCAGATTGGGGACAACAACCAGGACAGAAACGTCTTTTAGCAACCCTGGGCCAACCTGAATAGGGAAGAGGGTGATGATGCTTTCCTGGTTCCTCTTCCCAAGCGGGCCACCTCCTGGGGAGGGCCCTTTAAAGCTTGAATGTTGCCTGGGATGAGGGAGATTCCAGCACCTGTATTGGCCTGTGGTGTTGATTTGCTGAAGGGCAAACCACAGTTAATGTGGAAAAGGCTGATTGTCTGCCAGAGGGACCTGCTTCCATGACCACGGGATCTGTGTGGGGTGGGTCCCTGTCACTGGCAGAGATCAAGGCAGGTGTTGAAGGTGAGGCTGCCTTGGAAGCAGAGGCCTGCCATGGCTGTCCCCTCACCCTGGCTCGTATTGTGTTGTTGCACTGATTTATCAGAGCACATCCAATTTGGGATCCTCTTGTCCCTTGAGGCTCCATACAACCCGGGATGGTGAATTTTACGTGTCAACTTGCCTGGGCTACAGGGTGCCTAAACAATGGATCAAACTGTCCTGGGTGTGGCTGTGAGTGTGTTTCTGGGTGAGCTTAACCTTTCTCTGGAAGACTAAGTGAAGCTGACCTCCCTCCTAGATGTGGGGGGCCCCACCCAGCCAGTTGAAAGCCTGAGGCAAACAGGACTGCTGACCCTCCGTGAGTCAGAGAGGACTCCTCCTGCCTGAGTGCTGGGGCTGGGACATCAGTTTATTCCCGCCTTGGAGCATGCGCTAAAACGTCAGCTCTTCATTGGCCTCAAGTCTGCTGGCCGTCACACTGGACCTGCACCACCCACTCTCCTGGGTTCCCAGCTTGCCAACTACAGGTCTTGGGATCTGTGGGCCTCTGGGCCCATGTGGGCCAATTCCTTACGATAAATCCCACATATCTCCACATAGACGTAGACATATCGCCTCCTATTGGTTCTGTTGCTCTGCAGAACCCTGACTAATAGATGACCTCTTCCGTGCATCTCAGGGTTCCCGCTCAACTGGGGGCCTGGCTGGTGGTGGTTTATTTGCACTATGAGGGGGCGGCCTTGCCGGTGATGTTCCTTGTGATTTAGGCCAGGTGGGGCATTGTTTTCATAACTGCAGGCAACACTGGGCTGTGAGTTTGTCCTCCATGAGATTCTATTCCATCCAGGGCAGCCATGGCCTGGTGGATTGTTTAGCCTTAGCCATCGCTGACAGAAATCAGGACTTGTACTTGTCAGGTGCTCCCTGAGAAACTACTGTGTGGGCTCAGCACTCCATTCAGCCTCCTCAGACTATAGAGTCCTCATGCCCTGCCATCTGTCACCAGATAATCCCACTGGAATGTGCAGAGCTGATGGAGGACATCTTTGGCCTCAGCTAACGTTTTCCACCGCCATTCTGCCCAGGGGGTTGTGAGGCCTCGTGTAGGGTGGGCAGCTTTCCAAGCCACCAAAATTCACAAAAATGCAAAATCCATACTGACCAGGTGTACATGGACTGCAATGCAAAGCCTCCTGGGAGTCACTCTCAGCTTCTGTACTAACTGTGCAGAATCCTTTAGTAGGGAAGCCACTTTTCCATACCGTCCTGGGGCAGCCAAGTGCTTCACTTCAGCCCCTGTCAGGTGGAGCTTGCTGTGCTCTGTTCGATACATTGTCTGTAGCTTTTTTCTTTTCTTTTCTTTCCTTTTGACGGAGTCTCGCTCTGTCGCCCAGGCTGGAGTGCAGTGGCGTGATCTCGGCTCACTGCAAGCTCCGCCTCCCGGGTTCACGCCATTCTCCTGCCTCAGCCTCCCCGGTAGCTGGGACTATAGGCGCCTGCCACCACGCCCGGCTAATTTCTTTTTGTATTTTTAGTAGAGACGGGGTTTCATCGTGTTAGCCAGGATGGTCTCGATCTCCTGACCTCATGATCCGCCCGCCTTGGCCTCCCAAAGTGCTGGGATTACAGGCGTGAGCCAGCACGCCCGGCCATCGGTAGCTTTTTCATTTGGTTCCCTGGCTAGGTCCTTACGGACAGGCAGGGGCTCCGGGTGAGACAGAGGGTGTCTCCTCCTCCAAATGAGAAATGGCCTCTCCTTCTTGACCCTCCCCTGTTGTCTCTTCTGTTTTTTTGACTTTGCTGTTGGTGACTGGCAAAGGAGAAGGTCAAGTTCCTCACTCTCTCATGGTGGTATTGTGTCGCGTCATCCTCTAGAGGGCGCCAGTCCTCTTCTCCGGGGTCTTCTACGCCTTCTGGTCTCCTCTGATGAAAGAAGATTATATGACCACAAGGTGGCGTAGCACAATAAGGGTTATTATTATTCTATGCCCCGATCATAGACTAGAGTAGACAGCCAGGCTTAATGTGGCTACTATGAATGAGAGACCTACCCTCTGGGCCGTGTCCTGGCGAGAAGCGCGCAAGCCCAACATGGGTCCCCTGGTTTGGATTCAAGAGGACAGCCACCTCCTTTGGAGTCCTGGTTGGGACAGCAATATAAACGTCTTTAGTCACGTGAAGTAACAGTTTTGCCCCACCTCAACAAATTTGGGGTCTTGATATTGCTCCGGAAAGGAACAGAAATGATGTCATCTGTAATAGCAAATTCAAATGCGACAAGAACAGAGGCATGCTAGCTGTTTACAAAAGCGCCTCCCCCAGCTGTGCTTAGGGGATCCACGTCAGCCCGACATCGCTGCTTTATAGCCATGTTCACGTGTCATATGCGTCTCAGGGTACCCAAAATCACAGGGCCAACTCACGGGGCTCCTACCACTCTAGCCAGTCATGGGGTCAGGATAGCCTACCCTCAGTCCAGAGATGTGTACTCCCCCAACCTTTTGTGTTCAGACCCACAGGCCTTATAGCGCCCTGTGCGTGCCCCAGCATTTCCCTGCCTAGTGGGGCTCCAGGCGGGCAGGGTGACCTCCTTCCCCAGGCAGTTCCACACCTGATCCCAAAAGTCAGTTCTAATGAAGTGGATTCATTCAAATACTGGTGTTACTGCTTGGCCAGGCTAGTGAGGCACAGAGAAAACCCACAAATGTAGAGTATGTGACACAGCACAAAGCAGTCCCATGCCAAACTGATGCAATGGCATTCCAAGTTTAGAGTTCCACCGCTTGAGACCATCCAGGATTCTTTTACCAATTATTTGTCCTACTGTCTCCTATCTATTTCATGATTACCAGAAATCCTTCCCTTTTCCTCTTTGTCACTTACAGGGAGTTTGAGCGATTTAGGGCGCTGATGAAGGAAATAAATGACCACAAGGTGGCGTAGCACAATAAGGGTTATGGGGTGATTCTGTGACAGGTTTGCATGAAGTCCCTCACAGCCCGAGCCTGTACAGAGGTTATGGCCACTGGTCAACTATTCGGAAGGGCAGAACGACAAGGGAAGTGCTGGGGCATCAAGACGGGGGCTTATTTGTCTAGGTGATGTCATTCAGCAGCAAAGAGAAAATTCTCTGGGTCAGAGAACTCTGAAGGGCAGCAGCAGCAGCTTTGGGTATTTTATGGCCTGGGGCCTAACTTATCTATTCCCCAAAGATGAAAGATGTAGTACCAGGTTTTCTGGGGTATGTAAAGCAGGAAGACTCTCAGTGGCTAAAAATCTATGTGTTTGGGCTATTTATGAAATATTTGGGTATGTAAAAATTTGTTTGGTGCCAGCAAACTTTTGAGTTAAGGGGTCTCAGCCTGCAGTGAAGAAATAAACAACCTGGGGGTCAAACATAGAGGCCATCTTTGGCTTACTTATATAACAGTAAAGGCATAATTCATTCTATCTGGTCCTTAGAAATTCTGGCATAAAAGTTTAAGGGTAGAGAGTTATAGTAACAAGATAAGGATGCCTACTTTTGTCACTTCTATTAAAGATTGTACTCAAAGTTCTAGCCAGATAAATTTTCAGGCAAAAGAAAGAAATAAGAGATGCCCAAATTAGAAAGAAAGTAAAACTATTTCTATTCCCAGATGGTATGATTTATATATATATAGAAAATCCTAAATAATCTGCAAAAAAAACAACTGTTAGAACTCATAAACAAATCCTGCTAAATGGCAGGATGCAAGATCAACATACAACTATCAATTGCTTTTCTATACACTATCAATGAAAAAGCCAAAATGGAAATTAAGACAACAATTTTGTTTACGATAGGATAAAAAGAATAAAATACTGAGAAATAAAGTTAGCCAAGCAGATGCAAGACCTGTACAAAACATTGCTGAAAGAAAGTAAAGAAGGCCAGGTGTGGTGGCTCACGCCTGTAATCCCAGCACTTTGTGAGGCCGAGGCGGGTGGATAACCTGAGGTCAGGAGTTCAAGACCATCCTGGCCAACATGGTGAAACCCCGTCTCTACTAAAAATACAAAAAAAATTAGCCAGGCATAGTGGCGGTTGCCTGTAATCCCAACTACTCAGGAAGCTAAGGCAGGAGAATTGCTTGAACCTGGGAGGCGGAGGTTACAGTAAGCCAAGATCACGCCACTGCACTCCAGCCTGGGTGACAGAGCAAGACTCCATTAAAAAAAAAAAAAAAGTAAGGAAAACTAGATAAAAGGAAAAACTAAATAAAAAATAAAACTAAATAAAAGGAAAGTGTTCGTGGATAATTAAGGAAAACTTAACATTGTTAAGATGCCAATACTCCCCAAAGCAACCTACAAATTCAATGTAATCTCTAACAAAATCCCAAATCCCTTTTGTGCATAAAGGGGAAAGCTAATCCTAAAATTTATATGGAGTTGCAAGGGTCCCTGGATAGCCAAAACAATCTTGAAAAAGAAGAACAAATTTGGAAGACTCACACTGCCCTATTTCAAAACTTACTGCAAAGGTACAGTAATCAAAACAGTGTGGTGCTGGCACCAGGATAAACATATAGATCAATGGAATAGAATTGAAAGTCCAGAAAAAAAAAACCCATGCAGCTCAAATGATTTTTGATTAGGGTGCCAAGATCATTTAATGGGGAAAGAATAGTCCGTTCAACAGATGCACTGGAAAAATAGATATCCACATGTAAAAGAATGAAGTTGTACCATGACCCCATACCATATATAAAAGTTAACTCAAAATGGATAAAAGACCTAAATACAAGAACTAAAACTGTAAAATAACTAGAAGAAAATGAAGGAATAAATCTTCACGTCTTTGGACTTGGCAATTGTTTCTTAGATATGATACCAAAAGCATAAGTAACAGAAAAAAAATGAATAATTGGACTTAATAAAAATGAAAACTTTTGTGTATCAAATGACATTATCAGGAGAATGAAAAGACAACCCAGAGAATGGGAAAATTATAATCTGATAAGGGTATCCAGAATATATAAAGAACTCTTACAATCTAATAACCAAAAAATCCCCAGTTAACACTGGGCAAAGACTTGAATAGATATTTTTCCAAATAAGATATACATGATATACACATGGCCAATAAGCTCATGAAAAGATTTGTCATTAGTCATCAGGGAAATTCAAATCAAAACCACAATTAGATACCACTTTACATCTGCTAGGATGGCTACAATAAAAACCAACAAAACAACAAGTGTTAGAGAGGATGTGGAGAAATTGGAACCCTAATACACTGCTGGTTGGAAAGTAAAATGGTGCAGCCACTGTAGGAAACAGTTTGGTGGTTCCTCAAAAAGTTAAACACAGAAATACCACATGATCCAGCAATTCCACTCCTAGTTATATACTTAATAAAATGGGAAACAGGTAGGTATTCAAACAAAAACTTACACACCAATGTTCATAGCAGCACTATTCATAATAGCCAAAAGGTAGAAACAGCTCAAATATCTATCAACTGATGAGTGGATAAACCAAATATGGTATAGTATATCCATACAATGGAATATTATTCAGCCACAGAAAGGAATGAAGTACTGTTACTGATTAACCTTGAAGACATTATGCCACGTTAAAGAAGCCGGACACAAAAGACCACAAAGTGTATGATTCTACTTATATGAAATATCCATAATAGGCAAATCTATAGCACCAGAAAGCAGATTAAGTGGTAGCCAGGGGCTGGGGGGAAAGGGGAATAGGGAATGATTGTTTAATGGGGATGAGGTTTCCTTTTGGGGTGGTGAAGACAGCCTGGAATTAAATAGTGGTAATGGTTGCACAATACTGTGAATGTCCTAAATGGCACTGAATTGTGCAATGTAAAATAGTTAAAATAGTAAGTTTCATGTTATGTGTATTTTACCACAATAAAAAGAAAGGTGTTTATATGGGGTACAAGATGCGTGAATGGTGGCCATGAAGCAGAATGAATGAAAGAAAATGGCAGTGTGACTGAATGGCGGGAAATTGGGGGCACCGTGGGAGAGAATACATGTTAATGATTGGTAGAGTGGGAAGGAGTAGGAGCCATGAGGGGCAGAGTGAGCTGGAAGGGGAGTGATGCTGTTACTTTATATCTGAGTGGGTCCTGTGCTCCTGGAAAGCAGTCATGGTTACAAAATTCTCACAGCCCCTGGCTCCCTTTGGGGTTCCAGCAAAGGGCTAACTGCAAAAGTCCCTGGATTACCTGCTTGGGCTGCCATAATAAAATGCCACAGACTGGACGGGTTAAACCAGAAGTTTATTTGGCATAGTTCTGGAGGCTGGGAGAAGTCCAAGATGAAGGGGCCAGCTGATTTGGTTCCTGGTGAGGGTTCTCTATAAAGAAAGCCATAAGGCTTGCAGACAACTGCCTTCTTACTGTGTTTTCACATCACCTCTTTTTTGTGCAAATGGAGAGAGAGTGAGCAAACTCTTGGACGTCTGTTTTTATAAGGGCACTAATCCCATTAGACCAAGGCCCCACCCTCATGACCTCATATAGCCTTAATTACCTCCCAAAGGCCCCATCCTCAAATACCATCACATTGACAGTTTGGGCTTCAACGTATGAATGGGGGGGGGGGGGGGGAAGGGGCGCAATTCAGTCTATAGTAGTCCCTAATGTATTTACACATTCTGAGATAAGACCTATCTCTATCTGTCCTGATTGATGACTCAAGGATGACTCTTTTGCTTACCTGCCTCTATACAACCCGAGGTCTCTTTCCTTGTCTTTGGGATGTTCCTCATTAAGAAAAGTTTTCCCTATTGCAATAAGCTGAAAGGGCTCACCTGTGCATTTTCTTTCAGGTGATCAATTGGTAGAATATGATTAATAGGGGAGAGTGTTTGAGGTCCGGAACCTGATCACTGTCTGTCTCCTGTTTATTCCCCTAGGCCTCAGGGAGGCCTCATAGGACTGGGACCCTGGAATCTCCGCCCTCTCAAATCTCTCTGCAACAGTTTCCCAGGAGGAGGATGGAATGTAGTCCTGGCGGGGTCGCGATCAGATCTGTCTTCTCACCTAGTCTCCGACTAATATTCCACCTCACCTGGGCCCCTTTATCCCTGGGCTTATGTCTCCAACTCTCCCTGCGCCTATGTTTACCAATGTCACTTTCTTCACGTTTCTTTCTCCGTGGGCAGATTGTACCACACCTCCCTATTTGCACCAGTGGTATCTCCCACAACGGACTGTACCAACCTGAGCCTTCGCCACCGCTAGCTTAATAGTATCTATCTCCCTACTGTTATTTTCTTGAGAGGAGTACCAGCTCCACACGTTCTCCCCATCTCCCCACTGATACTGACCGGTGGAGGAATGTATTATCACCGGCTCTGCATCCTTTTTCCCCGGTAATAGGTACCAGGGATGTCCGTACCATTTCAGGCGTCCCCCGTCTCCGCAGTGGTATCTCCCGGCGGAGGGGTCTGTGGTCCTGAACTCAACATTTTTACATACCCGTTCTCTTGAAACCCCCCCAAACACGCCCATAATTTGCCCGTCACTAGCTTTGCACAAAGGGCCCCACTTTTATCGCCAAGTTTTCAAAGTCCTCTCGGAGTTCTATCTTTTCCAAACTTTAAAAGGCATATTACTCTCCTGTACGGAATGGTAAGGGCTGTAAAGATGCCTGCTCCCTTGACAAGCTGGTTTACTGGCACGGCCATTTTTCTTGCCAGCCAAATACGTACAATCATTGCAGTTAAGGAACAAAAAAGTTTTGGTGTTCTATAGCACTGCTTAATAACTATAGTTAGCAATAATTTATTGTACATTTTCAAATACCTAGAAGAGAGGATTTTGAATATTCCCAACGCAAAGAAATGATAAATATTTGAGGTGATGCACATGCTAATTACCCTGATTTGATCATTACACATTGTATGCATGTATTGAAATACCACTCTGCACCCTACAAATATGTACAATTAAAAAAATTTAATCATTAAATTAAAGAAAACCACAGAACAACTTTGGCTGCTAGCACCGACGGCTTTGGGAACGGTACTGCGCATGAGCAAGTATAGTGACTGGCAGTACCTAATTAATGCAGGATAAAGGTCGGAAAAAGGTGGCTGTCAGAGGAAGTTGTGACTGATTTTGGAAACACAAGGGGACCTTGCCTGAATAAGCATTCGGATCTTAACATCAGAGCAGGGTATGAGGCGGGGCAGAGAGTTTACATCGAACGGAAGTGAGAGGGCTGGTGGTCTGCGGACAGAGTCGTCATTTAACCTCTTTGTGCCTTAGTTTCTCTAACTGTAAAATAGGGATGATGATGTTAATGATAATAATAATAATACCTGCCTTGTATGGTTGTTGTGTAGATCAATTGAGTCAATATAAGTGTTTACAACAATGCCTAGCACATACGTAAGTCTTATATATGAGTTTAATATTATTATTATACTATTATTAATACCATAAAATGGATACATATAAACACATAAAATGGAATAGGGAAGTAGAGCAAAACCAAGGCCAGGTTGAAATGTCTATATGTAGATCATAGGATTCTACATAATTATGTTGAGCTACAGTTATTTTTCTGAGCTTCCTAGAAGCCACAACATAGAGGGGGAAAAAAGCTCATTTGCTTTATTTATCTCACCCATACAGAGAAAGTAAGCCACTTCCTCAGAAGCAAAGATTTCTTTGATAAGACAGTTCTCTGATGCGTCAGCCAAGTCCCTTATCAGCAATCTTGTGATAAATACAGAGATAGGATTGCTCTGCTGTGACTTAAAATATGTCTGCATGTCAACCAAAGGTGTCCTGCTAAAGCAGAACTAAAAATATGTGACTCTTCAGGAAATCAAAGCCATGTCTGCACAAATAGCTCTTATGTTCTGGCTCAATATATGGACCTTGATCATCAGGAAGAATCAGTAAACCTCATGCCCTTCAAATTCTTTTCTGATCTATATGTAGTTTTTCCACATCTGGGGTTTCAGAACAGCCTGAGCAACCCAAAGGTCTGCCCTTTTCCTTTTTAGGCTCAGAATTCATGATGTCCCTAAGCATGTTCAGTACTTTCCCTTCTGCCCTTTTTAAGAAAGTCTATATTATTTTGTCATTTTTTTCTCTTCCTACAGAAGTGATTTAGAAGTGGCACACCAAAAATCCAAACTCTTGAGGAATATACAATCTGAAAGGGGGAATTCACTTATAATCTCATATCACCACTCATTCCAAATAACCAATTTCTGATGAATTTGGTTAATTTCCACCTATACACCTCTCTCTCCCCCTTGTTCTTTCTCTTTATATTTACATACACATATAAATATATACGTATGTAAATGTCTTCCTTTTGCTAAAATCTGCTCATTATGTAAAACTGTTTTGCCATTCCATTTGCCCAGAATAGTATTAATAATGGTCATAGTGGTAATGATAATGATAATACAAATGATAATGATAACAAAAGTGACACAACAAGAGCCGACATGTAGTGAGCTCACACTGCACCTGACACCATACTAAGCATTATATATGCATGATCACTTTTAATTCTCACAATGACCTTAGGAAGTAGGTACCATTTTTATCTACCTCTTACAGCTAAGGAAGCTGAGTACCAGAGTGGATAAGCAGATTGCATGGGCTTGCACAGCTGCTCACTGGCATAGCTGGAATAGCCCCTACTTAATGAACACTTGTTGATGGAAGGTATTTCAGTATCAGGACATAGAGATATTTTTAAGAGATGCTTTTTTTTCTTGTATGCATGTACTACGATTTATTAATCAGCCCCATATTGAAGGACTTCTGTGTAATTTCTGCTACAGTGTGGCAGTGATCTCTCTTGTCGTCTTTTTCTTTAACTTTTATTTTAGGTTCAGGGGTACATGTGCAAGTTGGTTATATAGGTAAACTCATGTCACGGGGGTTTGTTGCACAGATTATTTCATCACCAAGGTACTAAACCCAATGGTTATTTTTTTTTTTCATCGTCTCCCTCCTCCCACCCTCCACCTTCAAGTAGGCCCCAGTGTCTGTTGTTCCTCTCTTTGTGTCCATTAGTTCTCATCATTTAGCTCCCACTTATAAGTGAGAACATGCAGTATTTAGTTTTCTGTTCCTGTGTTAGTGTGTTAAGGATAATGGCCTCCAGCTCTATTCATGTTGCTGGCCTCCAGCTCTATTCATGTTGCTGCAAAGGACATGATCTTGTTCTTTTTAAAATTGTTATTATTATTTTTTTGTAGAGACGAGGTCTACAGATGAGGTCTTGTTATGTTGTCCAGGCTGGTCTTGAACTCCTGGGCTCACATGATCCTCCCACCTTGGCCTCTCAAAGTGCTGGGATTACAGGCATGAGCCACTGCACCTGGCCTGATCTCATTCTTTTTGATGGCTGCATAGTATTCCATGGTGTATATGTACCACATTTTCTTTGTCCAGACTACCATTGATGGGCATTTAGGCTGATTCCATGTCTTTGCTATTGTGAATAGTGCTGCAGTGAACATATGCATGCATGCGTCTTTGTGGTAGAACAATTTATATTCCTTTGGCTGTATACCCAGTAATGAGATTGCTGGGTTGAATGGTAATTCTCTCTTTAGCTCTTTGAGGAATTGCCACGCTGCTTTTCACAATGGTTGAGTTAATTTACATTCCCACCAACAGTGTATAAGCATTCCCTTTTCTCTACAACCTCAGCAGTACCTGGTTTTTTTTTTATCTTGTCATCTATCTTTGTACACAGTGGTGAGCATTTCTAGAGTGTCTGGTTCAAAAGGTGGGCACGTTTTGAACTTTCATAGACATTGCCAAATTGCCTTTTGAAAAGTTAGTACAAGTTGACACCCCCCACTAATAATGAATGAAAATACCCTTTCTAATCTTCTTGTCATGGTTTTAATCCTTGCCATTTTTTTTTAAATTTTTTTAGTATTTATTGATCATTCTTGGGTGTTTCTCGGAGAGGGGGATTTGGCAGGGTCATAGGACAATAGTGGAGGGAAGGTCAGCAGATAAACATGTGAACAAAGGTCTCTGGTTTTCCTAGGCAGAGGGCCCTGCCGCCTTCCGCAGTGTTTGTGTCCCTGGGTACTTGAGATTAGGGAGTGGTGATGACTCTTAACGAGTATGCTGCCTTCAAGCATCTGTTTAACAAAGCACATCTTGCACCGCCCTTAATCCATTTAACCGTTTCTGGACATAGCACATGTTTCAGAGAGCACGGGGCTGGGGGTAAGGTTATAGATTAACAGCATCCCAAGGCAGAAGAATTTTTCTTAGTACAGAACAAAATGGAGTCTCCTATGTCTACTTCTTTCTACACAGACACAGTAACAATCTGATTTCTCTTTCTTTTCCCCACATTTCCCCCTTTTCTATTCAACAAAACCGCCATCGTCATCATGGCCCGTTCTCAATGAGCTGTTGGGTACACCTCCCAGACGGGGTGGCAGCTGGGCAGAGGGGCTCCTCACTTCCCAGATGGGGTGGCCGGGCAGAGGCGCCCCCCACCTCCCAGACGGGGCGGCGGCCTGGTGGGGGCTGCCCCCCACCTCCCTGACAGGGCTGCTGGCTGCGCAGGGGCTGACCCCCCCACCTCCTGGACAGGGCGGCTGGCTGGGCAGGGGCTGACCCCCCCACCTCCCTCCCGGACGGGGCGGCTGCCAGGCGGAGATGCTCCTCACTTCCCAGATGGGGCGGCTGCCGGGCGGAGGAGCTCCTCACTTCTCATACTGGGCGGCCAGTCAGAGACGCTCCTCACCTCCCAGACGGGGTGGCGGCGGGGCAGAGACACTCCTCAGTTCCCAGACGGGGTCGCGGCGGGGCAGAGGCACTCTTCACATCTCAGACGGGGCGGCGGGGCAGAGGCGCTCCCCACATCCCAGACGATGGGCGGCCGGGCAGAGACGCTCCTCACTTCCTAGACGGGATGACGGCCGGGAAGAGGCGCTCCTCACTTCCCAGACTGAGCGGCCAGGCAGAGGGGCTCCTCACATCCCAGACGATGGGCGGCCAGGCAGAGATGCTCCTCGCTTCCTAGACGGGGTGGCGGCCAGGCAGAGGCTGCAATCTCGGCACTTTGGGAGGCCAAGGCAGGCAGCTGGGAGGTGGAGTTTGTAGCAAGCCGAGATCACGCCACTGCACTCCAGCCTGGGCAACATTGAGCACTGAGTGAGCGAGACTCCGTCTGCAATCCCGGCACCTCGGGAGGCCGAGGCTGGCAGATCACTCGCGGTTAGGAGCTGGAGACCAGCCCGGCCAACACGGCGAAACCCCGTCTCCACCAAAAAATACGAAAACCAGTCAGGCGTGGCGGTGCGCGCCTGCAATCCCAGGCACTCGGCAGGCTGAGGCAGGAGAATCAGGCAGGGAGGTTGCAGTGAGCCGAGATGGCGGCAGTACAGTCCAGCCTTGGCTCTGCATCAGAGGGAGACCGTGCAAAGGGGAGAGGGAGACGGAGAGGGAGGGGGAGGGGGAGATGGAGAGGGAGAGGGAGAGGGAGAGGGATGAGGGAGAGGGATGAGGGAGAGGGAGATGGAGAGGGAGAGGGAGAGGGAGAGCTAATCCTTGCCATTTGATAGTTGAAAATATCTCATTTCTTTTGTGTGTGTTTGTCAATGAAATTGAGTATCTTTTCATACGTTTTTCTTTTCATATTTCTTTTGTGAATCATTCTTTCCCAAATGCTACTCTTTTTCCTGTGGGATTTTTAAATCTTTCTCTTACTTTTTTTTTTTTTTTTTTTTTTTGAGACGGAGTTTAGCTCTTGTTGCCCAGGCTGGAGTGCAATGGCACGATCTCAGCTCACTACAACCTCCCCCTCCCAGGTTCAAGTGATTCTCCTGCCTCAGCCTACGAAGTAGCTGGGGTTACAGGCATGCGCCACCACACCCAGCTAATATTTTCTGGATTTTTAATAGAGATGGGGTTTCACCACGTTGGCCAGGCTTGTCTTGAACTTCTGACCTCAGGTGATCCACCTGCCTTGGCCTCCCAAAGTGCTGAGATTATAAACGTGAGCCTCACGCCCGGCCTTTTTCCTTTTTTCTTTTTTTCTTTTTTTTTTTTTGTTTGAGACAGAGTCTCGCTCTGTTACCCAGGCTGGAGTGCAGTGGCGCAATCTTGGCTCACTGCAACCTTTGCCTCCGGGTTCAAGCCATTCTCCTGCCTCAGACTACTGAGTAGCTGGGATTATAGGTACGTGCCATCATGCCCTGCTAATTTTTGTATTTTTAGTAGAGACGGGGTTTCACCATGTTGGCCAGGCTGGTTTCGAACTCCTGGCCTCATGTGATCCACCTGCCTCAGCCTCCCAAAGTGCTGGGATTACAGGCATGAGCCACTGTGCCCGGCCCTCTTACTGTTTTTTAAAACCTTGTATGGAAAACTAACTTAGTTAAAAATGTTTTGGGTCAGACCTTTTATTGAAGCAGAACATACAGAGAAAAGTGTATAAAGTATATGGTTTAATGAACTTCTGCCAAGTGAAAACACCTTTGTAACCCATACCTGTATCAAAAAGCAGGAAATGACAAGCCACCCAGAAGCCTTCATCATGCCACTTCCAATCACTATCTCTTGATTCACAGCTAACGACTTTCTGATTTCTATCACCATAGATTATTTTTGCCAGTTCTTGAATGTCATATAAATGGAATTATACATTATTATTCTTTTGGGTCTGGCTTCTTTTACTTACCATAATGTTTTTGAGATCCATCCTTGTTACCTTATGTGTCAGTAGTTTGTTCTTTTTCCATACTATTCACTATTCCTTTTGTATAAATATAACACACTTGTTAATCCATTCCCCTGCTGGTGGATATTCCATTTTAGCTATTACAAATAATGCTTCTATGAGTATTCTTGTGCATGTGTTGGTGAACATATGTGTGCATTTCCATTGGATATATACCTAAGAGTGGAGTTGCTGGATCCTAGGTTAGGTGTATCATCTACCTCTTGCAGATGAGATAAATTAGATAAACTAACTTAGATGTTAATTTAGATGTTCAGCTTTAGTAGATTCTACCAATCTGTTAAGTGCCTACACCATTTTACTTCCACCAACAATGTATGAGAGCTTCAGTTGCTCTACATCCGGCCAACACTTGGAAGGAAATTGGAAGGGTAGCAGATCCAGGATTTAGGGGGAGAAAGACTCAAATAGAATGCAAATAGCTGGGCCTGGTGGGGTGGCTCACGCCTGTAATCCCAGTACTTTGGGAGGCCGAGGCGGGTGGATCACCAGGTCAGGAGTTTGAGACCAGCCTGACCAACATGGTGAAACTCTGACTCTACTAAAAATACAAAAATTAGCCGGGCGTGGTGTCGGGCGCCTGTAATGCCAGCTACTTCGGAGGCTGAGGCAGGAGAATCTCTTGAAACTGGAAGGCGGAGGTTGCAGTGAGCCGAGATCGTGCCACTGCACTCCAACCTGCGTGATGGGAGCAAAACTCCATCTCAAAAAAAAAAAAAAAAAAAAAAAAAGAATTCAAAGAGCCTTTCAGGAAAGCTGAAGGTTGTTGGTCTTAATTTCAGTTTTCTGTTGGCATATAGTGGTATCTCACTGTGGTTTAAGTTTGCCTTTCTCTGATGACTAATGATGGTGAGCACCTTTTCATACATTTATTGGCCATTTGGATATCCTCTTTTGTGAATTACCTGTTCAAATCTTTTTTTCTGTTTTTTCTACTGGATTATCTATCTATATTTATCTTATTGTTTGTAGGAGTTCTTTATAGTTTCTGTAGTATAAAAGTCCTTTGCTATATATAGGTATTGCGAATATCTCAGAAAAGCCCTTTTTGAAATGGTTAAAGAGTAGCTTCTCTCTGAAGAATATTTTCTTTATTTTAAAAAGTATTATCATTTTAATTTTTATCCAACCAATTGAATAGAAGCATTCCGTTACAGGGATCGTGTCATTTGATGATGTGTCTTGCGGATTTCACCCAGGAGTGGTGGAATTGACTGGATCCTCCTCAGAGGACCTTGTGATTCTAGAGAAATATAGAGAGATATAGAGATGTGATACTACAGAACTACAGCCTTCTGGTCTCTGTGGGTGAGGATGGCTTCTCTGAGTAATTCATGGTATATCCAGTAGAATAACTTTCCATCTCTGAAGTGCTTCAATATTTTGACCTCAGGTTCTAGGGATTAAAGATGCTTAATCCCTCCTAGACTGAACAAGGTGTTTCTATTTTCATCTCCTATGTGAAATTTAGCCTCATGAATATGTGCCTTCCTAACTTTTTGAGGTCCCAAAGCCCACACAGACGTGCCCAAGTCTTGTATCATTTTCCGTTACAGGGTATCCCGTGACCAAACCAGATGTGATTGCCTCTTTGGAGGAAGGAGGACTTTGGATCACAGAGAGAGAAGTCCCAAGTTTGAGTTGTACAGCTAAGAAAGAAATGAGCAGGCCAGGCACAGTGGCTCACGCCTGTAATCCCAGCACTTCGGAAAGCCAAGGCGTGTGAATCATTTGAAGTCAGGAGTTTGAGACCAGCTAGGCCAACATGGTGAAACCCCTTCTCTACTAAAAATGCAAACATTAGCTGGGTATGGTGGCCATGCCTGTAGTCCCAGCTTCTTGGGAGGGTGAGGCACAAGAATCGCTTGAACCCGGGAGGCGGAGGTTGCAGTGAGCCGAGATCGCACCTCTGCACTCCAGCCTAGGTGACAGAGTGAGACCTTGTCAGAAAGAAAGAAAGAAAGAAAGAAAGAAAGGAAGCAAGCAAGCAAGCAAGCAAGCAGATGGGAAGTCATGAGAAGGATACTGCAGTGGGTCAGTGAGGGCTGGACATCTTTGAAAGCTCAGAAATATCTTCTTTTTTTTTTTTTTTTTTTGAGACGGAGCCTCACTCTGTCGCCCCAGGCTGGAGTGCAGTGGCGGGATCTCAGCTCACTGTAAGCTCCGCCTCCCGGGTTCACGCCGTTCTCCTGCCTCAGCCTCCCGAGTAGCTGGGACTACAGGTGCCCGCCACCATGCCCGGCTAGTTTTTTGTATTTTTAGTAGAGACGGGGTTTCAACATGTTAGCCAGGATGGTCTCGATGTCCTGACCTCATGATCCGCCCACCTCGGCCTCCCAAAGTGCTGGGATTACAGGCGTGAGCCACTGCGCCCGGCCAGAAATGTCTTCTTAAAGGATATGAACTTCTGTTGCTAACTGTAAATTGTTAGTTTTGTGAGCTATTCTCTCACAGTAATGTTGGAGTGAGATGGTGAAGAGCTAGCCTCACCACAATCTGGCCTCGTCCTTCTGCTTATTCTCTTGGTCACCTCATTTGTTTCCAGCTTTCCTAAAAGGCTATTTGCGTTCTATTTGAGTCCTTCTCCCCACAAATCGTGGATCTGCTACCCTTCTAATCTCCCTTTCCCCTGTTCATGGCTCCCTAAACCTATTTTTACCTTCTCTCCCCTATTTTATTTTTATTTATTTATGTATTTTTGAGACACAATTTCACTCTGTCGCCCAAGCTGGAGTGTAGTGGCATAATCTTGGATCACTGCAACCTCCGCCTCTTGGGTTAAAGTGATTCTCATGCCTCAGCCTCCTGAGTAGCTGGGATTACAGGTGTGTGCCACCACGCATGGCTATTTGTGTGTGTGTGTGAGTTATTAGTAGAGATGGGTTTTTGTCATGTTGGCCAGGCTGGTCTCGAACTCCTGACTTCAAGTGATCCACCCGCCTTGGCCTCCCAAAGTGCTTGGATTAGAGGCATGAGCCACCGTGCCCAGCCTCTCCCCACTTTTAAAGTATTTTTCTTAAACAATCAAATTCACTTATATTTATCATCACTTTCCCATTCCAATTTCTATTAGAGCAACTTGGGTTTGTTTGTTTGTTTGTTTGTTTTCTCAAGCTCAGGGTGTAGGAAAGAAATGTACTTGGAATTTCTTTCTGACTGGTATATAGGCTTGAAAGAAAAGTCAGTCCCACCAGAGACCTACTTCTGACAAAGCTGTATTCACAGGCTAGAGTGTGGATTATTATTATTCTTTCTAGAAGCCTGGCAAGCTGATGACCAGCTAAAGAGGCACCTTTTGTGGCCTTGAAGGTATGAGGGCTGTCAGTTGGAAGCCAAACCTCACCATAAATCTAGATGCAGGTATTAAAGGAAACCCAATTTAATTAATTAAATAAGCATAGTCCTTGGAAATGATACTCAGGAAAAATGTCTCCAGATTTAATACCAAACTCTCATAGAAAAATTAATAAAATCTACTATTATTAAAAATCGCTGTTTTGTCATAATGGAGAATAAGTGCCATACAAGAACAAAAGGGTTTATCAAATTATAGGAAGTTACAGATTTAAAGATAGCCATTAAAAAACAACAATTAAAAATATACTTTAGGCCGGGTGTGGTGGCTCACGCCTGTAATCCCAGCACTTTGGGAGACTGAGGCGGGTGGATCACCTGAGGTCAGGAGTTCAAGACCAGCCTGCCCAACATGGTGAAACCCCGTCTTTACTAAAAATACAAAAATTACCCAGGCGTGGTAGTGGGCGCCTGTAATCCCAGCTACTCGGGAAGCTGAGGCAGGAGAATCGCTTAAACCCGGGAGGCAGAGGTTACAGTGAGCCACCGCACTCCAGCCTGGGTAACAGAGCGAGACTCCATTTCAAAAAAAAAAAAAAAGAAAGAAAAAGAAAAGAAAAAAGAAAGGAAAGAAGGAAAGAAAATAAGAAAAAACAAGAAATCAGTACCCAAAGTGTTGGCACTCTTTATGGACCCACAGGGAGATGTGAGATTTGATTACCTAGGCTGGTTGGGGTGCAAGGCGGGGGAAATCCAGTTGGCATTAAGGAAGGGGGCTCCGGCATTCCTTGGCATGCAGTGGCAGCTAGCTGTTTTCATGCTCATCTGTGATTATCCTGGTTGAAGTGAACACTTCAAGGTCTCAGGTGCTTGAGTATCCACCCCAATCAAAGAGTACAAAGAACATGAGGGACTGCTTCCTTATGGGAGTGGCTGCTTCCAAAGGTGCTGGCCATTGCAAAGAATGGCAAATTGAAATTCCTAAATTCTCTGCTCAAGACACAAAGTGACACTCAGGCACTCTGTAAGAAGAAATTATTACCACGTGTGTCCATTGAATGTTTTGCCTACATTCCCGCTCTGTCATTTTAAACTTCAGACTTTGATCATGAAAGAGGGGCTGGGGGCTGGAAGAATGGTGTTATGTGGGAGGATGTGGGGAAACGTACCTTTAACTCCTGATTCCCACTGAGCTTCCTGTGTAAGCACAATCCTATTAGATTCATTCTCCCCTGAAGAGACTGTATCTGCCTTAAATAAAGACCCTTTTTTTTTTTTGAGACGGAGTCTCGCTCTGTTACCCTGGCTGGAGTGCAGTGGTGCGATCTCGGCTCACTGCAACCTCCGCCTCCTGGGTTCAAGCGATTCTTCTGCCTCAGCCTCCTGAGTAGCTGGGACTACAGGTGCATGTCACCACACCCGGCTAAATTTTTTTTTGTATTTTTAGTAGAGATGGGGTTTCACCATATTGGCCAGGCTGGTCTCGAACTCCTGACCTCATGATCCACCTGGCTTGGCCTCCCAAAAGTGCTGGGATTACAGGCATGAGCCACTGCACCCCACCGAGAGTGATTCTTTTTAAGGGAAGCCAATTTTCATCTCTCCCATCCCACTCCTCTATCTCCAAACCTACAACTGTCTTATGTACCAAGCACTTTATGCGTTTTACAAATATTAATTCATTTAATCCTCCCAATAACCCCATCAAGTAGTTACTATTATCATCCTTATTTAACAGATGAGGAAACTGAGGCTCAGAGAATTTAAGTATCTCTTCCAAGGCAACACAGCTAGTAGGTGGTAGAGATGGCTTCTGAACCCAGGAGAACAACATGCTCTTGATTCACAACACTATCCTCCCTTCCTTCCCCACTCTGAGTGATCTGGTATTTCTTAATTAGAGCTTTGAATACATGGAGGAAGTGACGGAATGAGGGTACCTCCAGGCATTGAATAAATGAAGAGAGTCAGACATCAGAGCATCTTTTGCATTGTTTATAGATACCATCCTTTATTAAATGCACAAGAGAAAGAAATGAAAGGAAGATAAAATCTGTCTCTTCGAATCTGAGTCATGGATGAATTTTTGGATCAATTTTCACATGCATATCACACCCCTTGAGCCATTCAGATAAATCATGGCCAGAACAGTGTAGCCTCCAAGAAGTCCTGGGAAATGAAGGAAAGGAGAGAGGATGAAGTGGACAGGTTGATGGGGTGGCAGTGACACTATCCCTGGCTGCCCATGGCCTGGGCCATCCCCATGAACTTACCAGGCAGAAAGCCCATTCTGTGAGGACACAATCTGCTTGGCACACCTGATGTCATCCAGAATATGGCGATTGAGCAGGTCTGAGGGGGAAGAGAGGGACATGGTGGTCTGGTGCACTGGGGATAGGATAACAGTGAATGGAGGGCCCAAGGGTTTTGGGTTCCTTGGGGCCTGAAGAACCTCAACCACTATGTTGACTGATTCTTGATGACCTTGATTCTCTTGTCAGTTGGTTATGAATGATCTTAATCACCATGTTAGCTGGTTCTGTACAACCTTAACTCATGTTGACTGATCCTGGATGATCTAGATTGTCATGTTGGCTAGTTATGAATAACCCCAACCTCCATACTGTCTGGTCCTGGACAACCTCAACCTCCATTTGGGCTGGCCCCAAATAACCTCAGTCTCCATTTTTTCCTGTCTTGGACAACCTCAACCACCATTTTGGCCAACACTGAACAACTTTAACGGCTATTCTATTTTGTCCTCAACACCACCAGTCTTATCTGGAAAGTTCTGTCATTTCTGCATGGAGGTTATCTGTTTCTGTTTCTAGAACCAGACACTCTGCTTCTTTCCTCGGGGCCTGGGTAACCTCAACCCCAAATCAGGACAGTTTCTAACTCTGTTCCACATGGAGGTAAGTTTCCTGTTTCCTGAGTCTAAGAAAACTGCAGTGTCCATTCTGGGTGAGGATTGGGAGCTCTGAGCTCTTCTGTCCTAAACAACCTCTCAGGATAGTCTGGGTAGGGGTAGAGGATGGTGTCTTTAATAGCTCAGGCAACTTTTCTCCTTTTCCCATCATTTTTCTCTTGTTGCAGGAGATTATGGCTTAAACAACCTTGCCCTCCATGTGTGGGAGAGTAGGGCCCAGCAGGGCTTCAGTGGGTCCCCCAGTGCTGACTTACCATGACAATCCATGTGGCAGAGGTTCTTGGTGGGTGTAATGCCATTGTCACACCACCAGGCAGAATTCAGTTGGAAAATGCCATATTCACTGCTGCCATCAGGATTGTGGTCCACGAAGGCGGTGTCAAAGCCACTCTCATAATGAGCCATGCACAGCCCTGGGGCAGGGAGAAGGGAGGCAGGGAGTAGGTATAGAGCTTGGGAATAGGGAAGGATAGGATGGGGGGAGGACAGGGATGGTTGTCATCTCAGTTGTGAGGGTGGTGATCTTGGTTTAGTGGTGGTGATGTTGGTGATTCTGGTGAGACATCAGTGATGGTGGTAGCGATGGTATTCATGATGGTAACAGTGGTGATGATATTGATTGTAGTGATGGTGTTGATGGCAGAGATGGAGGTGATGGTTGTGAAGGCAATAATGGTGGTGGTGTTAGAGTTAGTTAAACTACTCAGCATAGTCAGTCAGGGAGTGACTCAAGGGATCATGCCCAGGCCTGGAGAGGTGATAAAGGACAAGAAGGGGCCTGGGTCTGAATGTGGCGGGTGGCTCAGGGTTTGGATGGGATTTGGGGCAACTGGATTCTCACAGTCTCCAACGCCGTAGCCCTTGTAGCCGTTCAGCCCTGCTCTCTCCAGTCTTGCCGCCAGCTCGCAGCGTTCATAGATCTTGGCATCCACAGTGACAACCATCAGCGTGGCCAAGGTCACTACCACAGTGCCCCAGGCCTTCATTATGGCACCTGTAAGCCCTCCCAGGTGACTTGCTCCAGACTCACCCTGTGGTGTTCGGAATTAGGGGCATTCTGGAACTCTGGGCTCTATGAGCAAAGGTCTAAGTGGTAGATTCTGGAACGCGCAACACAGAAGCCTCAACATCGCCCAACACTGTTGCATTGGGGATTAAAGGCCCCACCTCCCAACACTGTTGCATTGGGGATTAAGTTTCTGACATCTGAATTTTGGAAGGCACACATTCAAACCATAGCACTCATCCTTGGTACCTTGTTCACCTCTCTGCACTTAAAGTGCTGTTCCATCCTAATTTACTGGAATGTGCCCCACATTTCATATTACAAATGGCATATTACATATACATTCTTATGCTTGACTGCTTTTTCAACTTCATTCTCATTCTGCCTTTTGTTCCTCCATTCACTTACACTGCCTTTCAGCCACTTATATTCACCCATACTGGGCCTCATATTATCGCAATTCCTCACAGTCTACTTAGCATTACCCAAATTCTTTCATGTCATATTCCTTCTTCACCCCACTCACTCTCACTCAGACTCATTTCCTATCTTTGCCTCTATTTCCCGCCCCTGCATCAAATGACTCTGGCTTACTCGCACGTGGCCCAGCCTTCAGCTTCTTTCATTGACCCGGGGCCTCATTATTTCCCCCCTTCACTCCCCCTCTGCCCCTCCTTCACCTCTATTCTCTCAGATGCTGTCCCAGGAACACCCCCATTTCCTGGAGCTCTGTCCCTATTACTCCCAAACACTAGCTGAAGTTACCCACATACACTTAGCCTACGCTAAGTGAGCCAAGATCGCACCACTGCACTCCAGTCACTGTTCTTTCTCAGTTTTCTCTTCATTGTTTCCATTTACTCTTACTCTGCCTCTCACTGCCTCATTCCTTTAAATCTATTCCCACTGTAACCCCTATCACCCTCTTCTTGCTCATATTCTGCTCCTGATTCATGGCTGCCATTCTGCCTCCCAGTACCCGCATTCTGTCACGCTGTGCCTCAAATTCGTTACTTTTGCTCACATCGGGCTCCCCATGTTTCCTCGCTTTACTCACCCGAGGCCATGAAGCCTTCATCCACTCTCTGCCTCACAATACCCACGTTCACCCATCCTCTGCTCTTCACTTTCATTCCCTCTCACTCTGCCCAACATCACCTCCATTCATGTGCACTCTTCAGCTCATTCACATTTGCCGATTCCCACTGGGATCCCTGTGCACCCACGTTCCTGGGCTACTACCCTGTATAACGCCCATGTAATCCCAGTCATCTCTAGTCATCCTTCTCCCTCGTAGCACCCACACTCAAACTCGGCCTGCTTCACATTCTACCATGTATCCATCTCCACTCTTTTATTCTGTCCCTCCCGCACCCCATTCTTCCCTTTCCATCCCACATTACCCCCATTCACTCCTACTGTCTCCCTAAATTCCCCTCTCTTCATTCATCTTGTGCCTCATAAAACCACCATTCATTCACACTCTAATCCTCAGTACTCACATAAACTCCACTCACATTCACCCCCTTCAGTTGCCCCATTCATTCAGAGTCTGCTCCCACTTTCACCTTTTTTCCGCTGAGACTGTGCCTCATTTCCCATCATTTACTTAATCTCATCATAATCTCAAATTCATTCATAATTGAATGCATGCATAGTCATTCCCTCACTTTGGCCCACATCCACTCCACTCTGGTGTTCATTCACCTCCATTCCATTGCCCTTTGCCTCTCCTTGCTCTCATTTACTCCCAATTTGCCCTTCAGTCACCATTATTCATGCCCCTCACCCACCAGTCCCATGTATCTCCTGTTCACTGACACTCACATTGGCCAACACAGAAGCATCTGATGGATTGCTCAGGATTTGATCTGGCTGCACGCACCAACCCCACCACAAACACCAGTGGCTTCAAGAGGAGGGAAGCAGATTCCTCTTTTGGAGGCAGGTAATCCAGGGCTAGTGTGGTAGCTCCAAGGTCACCAGAGACCTGGCTCCTTCTGTGCTGTTGCTCTGTCAGCCTCACCTGCTGCTTCTGGTCCAAAATGACCGCTCACAATTGGCAAGGCTTTTGTGGTCTTGATAAAATGTATCATAAGAGCAATTGTAATGATGACTCGCCAGCCACGTGGGGGCTTCTCTCATTGTCTTTGGGTGGGAATGTCATATCATGCAGACTCTGTGGTGGGACCAGCCACCTGTCAGCTTCTCACTCTCCTTCACCTAGCCACCTGCTGCTTAGGTTACTGTATGAGGAGGTCACACCTGTAGGGAATGACGGTAGAGGATACCCAGGACAGAGAGTGGGAGTCCTCGCTCTGCAGCAGCAAAGTTAGCCTCACATAGCTTGTGCATGCACACTGTGGGCCCTCAGATAGTTTCTGAGGGGCTGTATCACTGGCTCCTCTGCCCCCCAACTCCCACCAACCCTAAAAGATTTCCTCCTTTGTGTAGGTGTGTGTGTACAAGGTGGTTGGAGATGACGTTTAGGTGCTAGAAGGGGCGACACTTGATGGGCCCTAAAGGACCAGCCCTTTCTATTTTCTACCTCCTAATGCATTGAGAGAGTGGATAAATTGTATACCCAGGAGGTGCTGATGTGTCAGGGAGCAACAGATGTGAGTTCCTTTTTTACTTTCTTTCTTTCTTTGTCTTGTCTACTGGGAAGCTCCATTCCTTTTGTTGTTGTTGTTGTTTGTTTGTTTTTTGTTTTTGAGATGGAGTCTCACTGTGTTGCCCAGGCTGGAGTGCAGTGGTGTGATCTTGGCTCACTGCAACCTCTGCCTCCCGGGTTCAAGCGATTCTCCTGCCTCAGCCTCCAGAGTAGCTGGGATCACAGGCGTGCTACCAAGCCCGGCTAATTTTTGGTGTTTTTAGTAGAGACGGGGTTTCACCATGTTGGCCAGGCTGGTCTTGAACTCCTGACCTCAGGTGATCCGCCTACCTTGGCGTCCCAAAGTGCTGAGATTACAGGCGCACGCCACCGTACCCAGCCCAATATATGTGTATTTTTAACGTTACTATATAATGCTAGATTGCTTCAGACTGGTCTTTACAGATCGGATCCTTCTTATGGTTTCCCATATGTCCAGAATGAAATATGAGCTCCCTGGCCAAGGAGGCCCTACAGCACCTGGCCCCAGCCTACACCCCCTACACTCCCAACACACTGACACTGTCTACTCATCCAGAAAAAGCAACCTGTTAGCCACCACTTAATATACCCCTTCACCCCCGGTGTGTGTGTCCCACATCGCCGTTTATTTTTCAGCTTGTTTGTCTGCATACCGACCCACCGTCCTTCAAACGCTACAACGTAAACTCCCAGTCCTGGCCACTGGATGAAGCCAGTGGCTTTTCCCTACCTCCTACTCTTTGTGCACGCAGAGCAATTTAGCCACGCATCCCGCCTTCCCGTTATTTTACACCTGCAACCCTGTTGCTGCCCTCCAAGTTCAAAGTGCGAAATTGCCGCCTGCTAGAATCTTTTCCTTAGTTGGGCACTTCCCCTCCCCGCCCTGCCGTAAGAAAATTGGTGTCTGAAGTCTTAGGAGTGCCTGCCTCTGCATAACTAAGTAAACAACCGCTTTGCGACGCAGCCCCAGCAGCAAAAGGACACGGTGGGCACGGCCATCTGGCCTGGAGCAGTGACGTCACCGGCAAGGCTACCTTCCCTCTGCGCCTGCGCTGCGGCCCCATGTTGACTATTGGCGGACGGGGTCTCAAAGGCGCCACTGAGCGTGCGCAGAACCGACCCCTGCAGCCCTTTAGGCTGCGGTGCCAAAGAGTCGGTCCCGAAGCGGAAGTGCTTGTTGGGGCCAGGCTTTGTAACGGTCTCCTGAGCAGCGAGCAGAAAATCTGTTATCGAGAGAGAGTGAGGTTGAGGGGGCAAGTGCTAGGGGTCGTGGGCTGAGTGATGGGGAGTTCTGTGGGATGAGTGAAGTGGGAGTTGGGGGTTGAGTGATGGGGGACCGAGAGGTCAGTGGACGAGGTTCTAGGGGCTCACTGGTGAACAAAGTTATGGGGGCTAAGCAGGATTAAATGGGGCTTATTAAACTTTGACTTTTACACGTTTTCCAGCACAGTGACCTGCCCCTAAAGGTTCATGCGCATCCCTCAGACCCCTCTTTAGACGCGCCCCGCTTCTCCCTCTGCCCTCTCCCCTTGCCCAAGCCCCGAGGTGGGGGCCTGGTGTGAATGCTCCGGCCGAAGTGAACCTGCACCCCCGCACCCGAAGGCCTCTTTCCGGCTTCTGGGCAAGGCGGCCCCGGTGAGGTGAGCAGAAGGAAGGAGAGGCACCTGCGAGGTCTCACCTGACCCCGGGCCTCGCCCAAGTTGGGGGCGTGGGAGGAGGGGTAGGTGCGGGGTCTGAGGGAGATGGGGGTAAAATGTAATTGGGATAATAGTTTTAGAGTGTAGTTTTTTTTGGCATTTAATAAATAACATTTGAATATATAGATTAATTCTGAAATAGAGAAAAAGAAAATCAACAGGAACTAATTCTTCCCCCACACATTTAAATGTCCGTTTTTAGACATTTTTGGTGTGTATAGGGGTATGCCTTTTAAACATTTAACATATAACTTTAAAATGGATTCCCGCAGTTTTAAAACCTACTTTGTAATTCACCTTAGGATTTTTTTGTACACCTTTTAAAAACGTTTAGTTGAGATACATATACCACAAAGTGCATAGATACTGTACAGTTCCATATAACGCTTTTAACAGCTTTGTAGCATTTTATCTTTTATATTTTGTTATTATTAATCCCTTATGGGTCATAGAGGATCGTTTAAGTTTGGCATTATTGAAATCAATGCTGAGACGTGGGTACGTGCAGAGAAATTATGATACATTATGATAAATTATTTCCTTAAGGAAAATACCTACAAATACACTTTATGGGTCAGTACACAATTTAATATATGTGTATATAAAACCTTTTGTGTTCAATGTTCACATGAAGAGTGAATAATACACAGATTGTTAAAATCACATGGTTGCCCAGACTCTTCCAGAGAGCAGTCTGATGGCCAGCTGATGTGAGGGGATTGCTAGGCAGCTAATTCTGGGCACTGAAAGTCTGATGGGGTCTCCTCATCTGCTGTACTCTTCTCCACTTGTTCCAGCTCGGCCGTCACACATCTCTGCTTTTTCCCAAGAAGAGCAGGAAATGGCCAAACCCCAGGTAAGTATGTTGTCTGTTTCTTCATTCCTCTATTTTACTGTGGATGTGACGAAATATGTGGAAATCCCTGCCATAAAATAGGAAAGTATTTGTAAATAAGGATTGGATCAGGCAAAATAAGAGACAACAGATCAAGGCCAAATTAGAATGTAGAGGTGTGCAGGACTCAGGGTGTAACAGATATTGATGTTGGGCTGTCAGTTTCTCTTTGAGCCTTCTGGTAGCCAAAGGGAAACATAACCAGTACCTTGGCTCACCTTACTCATCAGGAGAGAGCACACAGCCTTCATGGGAAGTCAAGGTTGCCTGGAATTGTGTTTAAAGGTATTTCTTTGCTGGGTCTTCATGTGGATAGTGCAGTTGCCCTCAACCACAGCCTGGTGACAAATGCTTTCCTGCAGATATGTGCTACAGCTTTCCTCAGTGAGCTGGAGACATCATGTCAAAATGTAACTTGGGAATGAAATCTCTTAGGGAACCTGCTTGTCTTTCCAATGATTTTCCTGAAGCAATTTCTTAGTCGGACTTTGAATTATCTTTTGTCCAAGAGACAAAATTTTTTCAGATACCTGCAGCCCACCATATTTTTTCTTTCACTTTAAACATTTTTATTTTTTAAATTAACATACAGTGAAATTGATTTTTGTTAGATTGGTGTAACTAATCTATAGGATAGATAATAGTTTCATCACCCCAAAAAAACTCCTTCATGCTACTCTGTTAATAGTCATGTCTTCCCCAACCTGTAACCTCAGGCAGCGGTAGGTCTGTTCTGTGTCACTGTAGTTTTGTCTTTTCAAGAATGTCATATAAGTGAGGTGTCATGTATTATGTAACCTTTTCTTTCTGAGATGATTGATTTACATGCAATTGAAAGAATAATACAGAGAAATCCTGTGTACTCTTTTCCTAGGTTCCCCCAATGATAACATCCTGCAAAAACCATAGTACAATATCAAAGTCAGGATGTTGACATTGATATGATCAAGCCCCATCATCGCAAGGATCCCTCAAATTGTCCCTTATAGCCACAGCCACTGCCCTTCCTCCCCCATACCCATTCCTAAACTCTTGGCAGCTACAAATCTGTTTTCTGTTTTGGGAATTTTGTCATTTCAGGAATGTAATAGAAATGGATCGTATGGTATGTGACCTTTTGGGATTTGTTTGTTTGTTTCCACTCAGCACAATTCCCTGGAGATTCATCAAAGTTGTGTGTGTCAGTAGTTGTTTCTTTGTTATTGCTGAATAGTAGTCCATGGTATAAATGTACCACAGTGTATTTATCCATTCACCTGTTGAAAGACATTTGCGTTATTTCCAGTTTTTGGCAATTATGAGTAGAGCTACTTTAAACAATCATGCACAGGGTTTTGTGTGAACATAGGTTTTCATTTCTGTGGAGTAAATATTGGATTACTAGGTCATATGGTAAGTGTATGTTTAACTTTTTAGGAATCTGCCAAATTATTTTCTAGAGTGGTTGAACCATTTTTCATTTCTCCTAGCAATGTATGAGTTCCAATTGTTCCATATTTTTGTCAGTACTTGGTATTGTCAGTATTTTTTATGTAGTCATTTATCTCATAATGATTTTAATTTGCATTTCCTTAATGGTTAAAGATGTTAAGCATCTTTATATATGCTTATTTATTTTTGGTCTATCCTCTTGATGAATGTCTGTTCAAAAGTTTCCGCCCATTTTTCAATTGGATTTTCTTGCTGTTGAGTTTTAAGAGTTCTTTATATATCCTTTACACAGGTCCTTTGTCAGATACATGGTTTGTAAATGTTTTCTCCAAGTGTATTGCTTGTCCTTTTCCTCTCATAACATTGTTGTTTGCAGAGCAAGAATTTTTAATTTGGAAAATTTCCAATTTATGAATCATTTATTTATGGATCATGCCCTTGGTGTCATGTCTAAGAACTTTGCCTAACACTAGGTCATGAAGATTTTCTCCTATTGTATAATTTTATAGTTTTAGATTTTACATTTAGATAGATGATTCCTTTTGCATTAATTTTTTTTTTTTGAGATGGAGTCTCACTCTGTTCCCCAGGCTAGAGTGCAGTGGCGCCATCTTGGCTCACTGCAACCTCCACCTCCTGGGTTCAAGTGATTCTCGTGCCTCAGCCTCCCGAGTAGCTGGGACTACAGGCATGTGCCACTACACCTGGCTAATTTTTATATTCTTAGTAGAGACAGGGTTTCACCATGTTGGCCAGGCTGGTCTTGAACTCCTGACCTCAGGTGATCCGCCCACCTCGGCCTCCCAAAGTGGTGGGATTACAGGCATGAGCCACCGCGCCCGGCTCTTTTGCATTAATTTTTGTATAAGGTATGAGGATTAGGTCAGGTTTCATCATTTTGCATACGGATTTCCAATTGTTCTAACCCCAATTGTTGAGAATTTTTTTTTGCTTTATTATTTTATTATTTAATGTTTTAATTTTTTTTTGAGATGGAGTCTTGCTCTATTGCCCAGGCTGGAGTGCAGTGGTGCGATCTCAGCTCACTGCAACCTCCGGCTCTCAGGTTCAAGCAATTCCCCTGCCTTAGCCTCCTGAGTAGCTGGGACTACAGGCATGTGCCACCACACCTGGCTAATTTTTGTATTTTTAGTAGAGACGGGGTTTCACCATGTTGGGCAGGCTGGTCTCGAACTGCTGACCTCAGATGATCTGCCTGCCTCAGCCTCCCAAAGTGCTGGGATTACAGGCGTGAGCCACTGTGCCCAGCCTTATTATTTTAAATTGACACATAATAATTATACATATTTATGGGGTATACTGGGATGTTTTGGTAAATGTCTACAATGTGTAATGATCCAATCAAGATAATTAGCATATCCATCTCAAACATTTATTTCTTAGTATTGAGAACATTCAAAAATTTCTAGCTATTTGAAAATATGCACTAAATTGTTGTTAATTATGGTCACCCTACAGTGTTGTTGAATGCTAGAACTTATTCCTCCTATCCAGCTGTACTTCTGTATCTGTTAACCAACCTTTGGCTACCCACCCCGCAACCCTTCCCTGCCTCTAGTAACCACTGGTCTTCTATGAGAACAACTCTACTTGTATGAGAAGAATTTTTTAAGCTTCTACATATGAGTGAGCACAGGCAGTATTTATCTTTCTGTACCTGGCTTATTTTACTTAGGATAATGTCCCCCAGGTTCATCCATTGTTGCAAATGGCAGAATTTCCTTCTTTTTTTTTTTTTTTTGAGATGGAGTCTTGCTTTGTCACCCAGGCTGCTTGGCTCATTGCAACTTCCGCCTCCCAGGTTCAAGTGATTCTCCTGCCCCAGCCTGCTGAGTAGTTGGGATTACAGGCACCTGCCACCACGCCTGGCTAATTATTGTATTTTTAGTAGAGGCGGGGTTTCACCATGTTGGCCAGACTGGTCTTGAACTCCTGACCTCAGGTGATCTGCCTGCCTTGGCCTCCCTAAGTGCTGGGACTATAGGCATGAGCCACCGCTCCCGGCCTGAATTTCCTTCTTTTTAAAGGCTGAATGATATTCCATTGTGTATATATGCCACATTTTCTTTATCTGTTCATCCACTGATGGAAACTGAGGTTGATTCCATAACTTGACTGTTGCAAATAATGCTGCAATAAACATGGGATTGTAGATATCTCCTTGACATCCTAATTTCAGATCCTTTGGATGTATACCCAGGAGTGATATTACTGCATCATATGGTGATTCTTTTTTTTTTTTTTTTTTTGAGACGGAGTCTCGCTCTGTCACTTAGGAGTATAGTGGTGCGATCTCGGCTCACTGCAACCTCTGCCTCCTGGGTTCAAGCAATTCTTCTGCCTCAGCCTCCCGAGTAATTGGGATTACAGGCGCCCGCCACCACGCCCAGCTAATTTTTTTGTATTTTTAGTAGAGACAGAGTTTTGCCATGTTGGGCAGGCTGGTCCTGAACTACTGACCTCAGGTGACCCACCCGCCTCGGCCTCCCAAAGTGCTGGGATCACAGGCGTGAGCCACCACACCCGGCCTCCTCTAAGCACGTCTTTAGCTGCATCCCACACATTTTCATATGTTGTATTTTCATTTTTGTTCAGTTTGAAGTATTTTCTAATTTTCTTTGAGACTTCCTCTTTGACCAATATATTATTTAGAAGAATGATGTTTAATTTTCAAGTACCTAGGGATTTTCCTGTTATCTATTACTATAAACAAATTCATTATGTTCTAAGAACACATTATCCTTTGCGTGATTTCAGTTCTTTTACACTTGTTAAATTTGGGTTTCCGACTCATGATATGGCCTTTCTTGGTGAATGTTCCATGTGCATTTGAAAAGAATGTATATAAAAAATTAGCTAGGTGTGGTGGCACGTGCCTGTAGTCCCAGCTACTCGGGAGGCTGAGGCAGGAGAATTGCTTGAACACAGGAGGCGGAGGTTGCAGTGAGCCAAGATCACGCCATTGATTGCACTCTAGCCTGGGCAACAGAGCGAGACTCTGTCTCAAAAAAAAAAAAAAAGAGAAAAGAAAAGAATGTATATTCTGTTGTTTTATAGTGGCGTGTTTTGTATATCTCAATTGCATACAGTTGGTTGATGGTGTTTAGTTCTATATTCTTGCTGATTTTCTGTCTACTGGTTCTATCAGTTACTGAGAAAAGAGTATTGAGTATACAGTTATTATTGCAGATTTGCCTGTTTCTCCTGTCAGTTGCATCAGTTTCCCTTCATATATTTTGAAGCTCTGTTGTTAGATGCATACACTTTTAGGAGTGTTGTATCTTTTTGGTGAATTAATTAATTCTTTTTTTTGAGATGGAGTCTTGCTCTGTCACCCAGGCTGGAGCGTAGTGGTGCAATCTTGGCTCACAGCAACCTCCCCCTCCCGGTTTCAGGTGATTCTCCTGCCTCAGCCTCCTAAGTAGCTGGGGTTACATGTGCCTACCACCACGCCCAGCTAATTTTTGTATTTTAGTAGAGACGGGGTTTTGCCATGTTGGCCAGGCTGGTCTTGAACTCCTGGCCTCAAGTGATCTGCCCGCCTCGGCCTCCCAAAGTGCTGGGATTACAAGTGTGAGCCACTGTGCCTGGCCGGTGAATTTTTTTATCCTTATGTCATTCATTATCCTGGATGAGTTTTGGCTCTGAAGTCTACTTTGGCTGTTATTAAATATGGTCACTCCAGTCTTCTTTGGTTAGTATTTCAATGGTGTACTTTTTTCCATTCTTACTTCTATCCCACCTGTATTATTATATTTGAAGTATGTTGTGTTTTTTTTTTTTTTTTAGCAGGATCTCCCTCTCTCACCCAGGCTGGAGTGCAGTGGCATGATCTCAGCTCACTGCAGCCTTGACCTCCCGGGTTTAAGTGATCCTCCCACCTCAACCTCCCAAGTAGCTGGGACCACAGGCACACACCACCACGACTGGCTAATTTTTTGTAGAGATGGGGTTTTGCCATGTCTCCCAGGCTGGTCTCGAACTCCTGAGCTCAGGTGATTCGCCTACCTCGACCTCCCAAAGTGCTGGGATTACAGGTGTGAGCCACCGTGCCCGGCCAGTATATTCTTTTAGACAGCATGTAGCTGGGTATATTAGTCTGCTCGGGCTGCCATAACAAAGTACCATAGATTGGGTGGGTTAAACAACATAAATTAATTTTCTCACAGTTCCAGAAGCTGGGAAGTCCCAGATTAAGGTACTGACTGATTTGGTTTTAGCCTCGGGCACTCTTTCTGGCTTGCAGATGGCCACCTTCTTGCTGTGCCCTCCCATGGCCTTTCCTCTGCTCACACACACAGAGAGCAAGCTCTGATGTCCATTTCTCTTATATGTACACCAGTTCTGCTGGGTTAGGGCCCCACCCTTATGACCTCATTTAACCTTAATTGCCTTTATAAAGGCCCAGTCTCTAAATACAGTCACATTGCAGGTTGGGGCTTCAATGTATGAATTTGTGGAGTGGGAGTACAATTCAGTCCATAACAGTTGGGTAATATTTTTTTAATCCATTTTGAAAACTTCTTCCTTTTAATTGGTACATTCAGTCCATTGACATTTAATGCAATTATTGATACTCTTGGATTTAGGTATTTACCACTTTATTATTTGTTTTCTGGTTTTTCTCCCTTTTTATTCCTTTGTTTCTCATTTTCTGCCTTCTTTTGGGTTATTTGAACATTTTCTTAGATTACATTTTTATTTGTCTATTGTGTTTTTTACTATATCTATTTACAGAGTTACATAGTTTTTTTTTTGGTGGTTGCCCTGCAAATTACCATATATATTTAAGTTTACACAACATGCTTAGCATCAATATTTTACCTCTTTAAATGGAGTGTGTGAACCTTACCATCTTATAAGTCCCTTTTCCCTCTCCCCTTTATGTTTTTGTTGTCTTATGTATTAATATTACTTTCACATACATTGAAATTTCTACCAGAAAATGTTATTTCTCTTCCAACTGTCAAATGTATTTTAAAGAACTCAAGGATAATCTATTCTATTTACCCAGATTTTTACCACTTTGATGTTCTTCCTTCATTGTTCACAATCTTAAGTTTCCTTCTGATATCAATTGCCTGTTATGAAGAACTGCCTTTGGCAGTTGTTTCAGAGCAAGTCTGCTGGCAACATAGTCTTGGTTTTCCTTCCTTGAGAATGTCTTCTTTCACCTTCATTTCTGAAGGAGATTTTTACTGCATATAGATTTTTCAGTGGACTGTTGTTTTCTTTTGGAACTTTCACAATGCTGTTCCACTTCTTCTGCACACCCTGGTTTCTCATGAGAAATCCACAGTCATTTAAATAGTTGTTCTCCTGTAAATAATATGTTGTTTTTCACTTGTCCTTAGTTTTCAGCAGTTTGGTGATAATGTGTCTGAGTGTGGATTTCTTTGGGGTTATCCTGTTTTGGACTTGCTGAGCCTCTTGAACATATAGATTTTTGTCTTTTGCCAAATTTGGGGAAGTGTTCAGGAATTATTTCTTCCAGATATTTTTCTGTACTATCCTCTTTCTCCTCTCCTTCTGGAACTCTGATGGCATGAATTTTGGACCTTTTGGTATTGTCCCAGAGGTCCCAGAATCTGTTCATGTTTCTGCAGTGTTTTTTCTATTTTTGGGATTAGGTAATTTTTATTGGTTTACCTTGAAGTTTACTTGCTCTTTTCTCTGATATCTCTGTTGTGTTGGGTCCATCAATTGGGGATTTATTTCAGTTATTATCTTTTTCAGTTTCAAAATTTTCATTTGGTTCTTTTTTTTATTTTTGAGACAGCGTCTCGCTCTGTCGCCCAGGCTGGAGTACAGTGGTGCAATCTCAGCTCACTGCAACCTCTGCCTCCTGGGTTCAAGCGATTCTTCTGCCTCAGTCTCCCAAGTAGCTGGGACTACAGGTGCACACCACCACACCCAGCTAATTTTTTTGTACTTTTAGTAGAGATGGGGTTTCACCATGTTGGCCAGGATGGTCTCGATCTCTTGACCTTGTGATCTGCCCGCCTCAGCCTCCCAAAGTGCTGGGATTACAGGCGTGAGCCACCGCGCCCGGCCTCTTCTGCTGGTCTTATAAAAGAAATGGAACTCTTTCTCATTGCAGATGGAACAGTTGCACACAAACTACTCAGGAATCTAAAAAAAATGTGAATATAAAAAGGCACAGTTGGCCAGGTGCAGTGGCTCACGCCTGTAATCCCAGCACTTTGGGAGGCTGAGGCAGGTGGATCACCTGAGGTCAGGAGTTCAAGACCAGCCTGGCCAACATGGCGAAACCCTGTCTCTACTAAGAATACAAAAATTAGCTAGGTGTGGTGGCAGGTGCCTGTAATCTCAGCTACTCAGGAGGCTGAGGTGGGAGAATCGCTTGAACCTGGGAGGCGGAGGTTGCAGTGCGCAGAGATCACACCACCGCATTCCAGCCTGGGCAACAGAGCGAGACTCCATCTTACACACACAAAAAAGTATGATTGGTTAAATCACCCTCTGGAGAGAAGGGGACTCATCTTCACAGTTTGCTAAATGTCCCTAGGGAAGTTTGTCTCTCATTCTTTCTCTTTCCACCCCTTCCTCTGATTCCCTTTCTCCTCCCTATGTATTTATATCGAATTGGTCATTTTTCCGCTCTGTTGTTCCTGGTTCTTTCTTGGTGCTTTGAGATTCATTCTTTTATCACTTCCCTTGTGTTAGAAGAACTTCCTTTAGGCATTTTCTTAAGAGTAGGTCTGCCAGAGACAAATTCTTTCAGTTTTCCTTCACCTGAAATGTCTTAATTTCCCCTTCATTCCTGAAGGATAACTTTGCCAGATATAGAATTGGTGGTAGACAGTCCCTTTTTGTTAGCACCTGAAAAATATTATGCTACTTTTTTCTAGCCTCCATGGTTTTTGTTGAGAAATCTGCTATCATTCAAATTGTTTTTTTGTTGTTGTTGTTTATTTTTTGTTTTGATTTTTTACCTATAGGTAATGCATTGTTTTTCTCTGGTTGCTTTCAAAATTTTTTCTGTTTCTGTAGTTTTCAGAAGCTTAATTTTGCCATGGCTTGGCATGAATTAGGGATTTGGTCAGCTTCTTGAATCTGTAGGTTTATGTCTTTTGCCAAATTTGGGAAGTTTTCAGGTATTATTTCTTCAAATACTCTTGTTACCACCTTCTGTTTCTCCTCATCTCCTTCTGGAATGGCAATGATATGAATTTGGATCTTCTGTTATAGTCCCATGTATCCCTGAGATTCTGTTCATTTTTTTTTTCAGTTTTCTTTTTCTTGTTTTTCAGATTGAGTAAATTCTATTGATCTTTTCTCAGGTTCACTAATTCTGTCCTTTGTCATCACCACTAAACTATTGATCTCATTCAGTGAGTTTTTATTTGCTTGTTGTATTTTTTGGTTCTATAATCTCCATTTTGTTCTCTGTTTTATAACTTCTGTTTCTTTGCTGAGATTTTGTTTTTATCTCAGAAGAACTTGTAATCATGGGAGCATTTTTGTGTTGGCTGCTTTAAATCTTTGTAAATTGTTACTGGGCTGAATTGTGTCCTCCTCAAATTCCTACATAGGTACTAGAATTAGTGCAGAACCTCCAAGTTAAGGGCTCATTCCCACAAGACTACCTCCACTTCAGATGCCAGCCACGAGTGGGGTGCCCAGGCTACCTGTGTTTCTGCCTGGTTGACTACAAATTCAGAGATTCTCATGTACCCTTCAGGTTCAGTAATTTGTTAGAACAACTCACAGAACTCAGGAAAGCACTTATGATTATTAGTTTATTATGGTGGATACAACTCAGGAACAGTCAAATGGAAGAGTTCTACAGAGCAAGGCATGGGAGGGTACAGGGTTTCCTTCTGTGCCCTCTCTGGGTGTGCCGCCCTCCCAACACAGTGTGTTCACTGAACCAGAAGCTCCCTAACCCTGCCATTGAGAGGTTTCTATGGCAGTTCCATAACATGGGCATGATTGATTAAATCATTGGGCATTGGTGATTAACTCAGTCTGTAGCCCCTGTTCCCTCCCTAGAGGTCTGGGGGTGGGCCTGAAAGTTCTAACCTTCTAATAATGTGCTTGGCTTTAAATTCTAACCCCATCCTGGTGGGGCACCAGGGAATGTGGTTGTGGGTGTTTACAAATGTGCCTTTCAGAGAATTCTTCTTTATTCTGGTGAGCAGCTTAGTGCCTGTGTCTGACCCATGACCAGGTGTCCCTCTCCCAGGAAACCTGTTTATTCTGGCAGACACCCTTGTGGCTCTTGTCTGATCTGGGTCAAGCTTATTCCTACCAAGATAGCCACTCTCTAGGAGAGCCCTGACTGGGAGAGAAGTTAGGTTTGGGTGTGTGGGGCAGGTGAGACACAGAGGAGGCAACTCAACAGAACACAGAAAGTCACGGAGGTAGCACATTCCTCACAGGTCCAGACGGAAGAGGGCAGCACACCTCACAGGGCCAACGGGACACAGAGAGCTGACCATGACACATGTGCTCAGCCAGCGAGTGGGGACAGAGAGGGGCACGGGGGGACAGACCTGTGGGGTGAAGCCTTTTCATGGAGAGTTTTAACTGATGGGTTTGGAGCAAGCAGGTGCAAGTTCCATGGAGTCACGCTGTGACTGGAAGGTGGTCAGTGTGGCATATCTGTGCAGTCCATGTGGGGTGTGGGGATCAGAGGGGCGAGTCAAGTGGGTTGTGTCTAGCTGTCCCCTAGGGAGGTGGTCACCAGTAGGTGGTTATATAAGGCTGATATCTGAGTCGACCACATTTAGGAACAGGGAGGAGATGGAGGACTGGAGACTGTGTCAAAGGTGACTGAGTCCTGCTTCTTGTTTGAGAAAGTCCAACTTATATTCAAAGTGGATGCTAAAGCAACATAAAATTCCAGGAATTCACTACACAGGGGACAAACAGTGCTTCCTTGGCTGGGTGCCTGTTGTGTCCAGATTTTCCCCTGCTGCATCTGCATGGTGTCTGTTCTTTGGGTGAGAGAGCCAATTTTTTGGCCAGCAGGGATGAAGAACATTTCCTGGCTGGGTGCTTGTTGTGTGGGGATCCCCCTGCCGTCCTACCTGACTGCCAGGTGTCTTGAAGTGGAGAGGGAGTGTCTAGATAGGGGAAGGAAGTCTCAGGCTCAGTGGAGAAGAAGAAGCACTTCCGGTGGCTGCTTATTGTCAGCAAGGCTCCAGATTAATCTCCTTTGCTGGTGTCACAGGCTTGTCTGGTGTTGTTGGAAGGACTCCTGCTGATTTGGGGGAAGACAGAGACTACCTAGGCTGTGTTCTGTTGCTAGGTTGGGGGTTTAGAGACACAGGCCTGGGTTGCCTTCCGTTGTTGGGGTGGGGGGATCATAAGATGTCCTGCCACTGTTTAAGTCCTTGGGTCCCTAACCTGTGTGCTTTCCACTTTCCTCCTTTCAGAGTCCTCTTTTGGTTGTCTCTTGCATCACTTTCAGGGTTTATAGTTGTACTTAGTGGGGAAGAGCAGGGAAAGAGGAGTCTGTGCCATCATGTCAGGACTAGAAGTCTACCATTTCTATCTAATATCCATTTATATGGAACAAGGAAGGCTTGTAAGTATAGTTTGCCACCTCGTGGTTTTCACTCAGTGTGGTAATTTAACAAATACTCATCAAATGAGTAACCAAAGTGTGGTCACCTTTTCCTTCTTAACAGTTGCGGAAGATTATTGTATTAGTCATTTCAGGCTGCCATTACAAAATACCAGAGATTGGGTGGTTTAAACAACAGAAATCTGTGTTCTCACAGCTGTGGAGGCTGGAAGTCCAGGATCAAGGCACCAGTAGGGTTGGCTTCTGGTGAGGCTGCTCTTCCTGGCTTGCTGAGGGCTGTCTTCTCGCTGTGGCCTCACATGGCCTATCTTCTTTGGGTGCAGAGAGAGAGAGAGGGACCTCTGGTGTCTTTTTCTCTTCTTATAAGGACACCAGTCCTCTTGGATGAGGAACCTACCCTTATGGCCTTATTTAACCTTAATTACCTCCTTAAAGACTCTCCCTCTACATATAGTCACATTGGGGGTTAGGATTTCAACATACGAATTTTGGGGGGACATAATTCAACCCATAACAATTATAATTCAAGCATAAACCATCATTTTTCTTTTATTTGTTCCCTTATTGATAGAATTTTGGGGTGCTTCCACTTTTGTTTTATCACAGAGAGTTAGGAAGGGAATGAATGTGCATGTCTGTATTCTTGTGGAGACATTTCTGTAGGACAGATTCCTATAACTGGAATTTCTGAAATGAAGAAATTGTTTTAATTTTTAACAGGACTTGCCAAATTCTCTTCTAAAAAGGCTTAACAAGGTCATGCTGTCACCAAGAGTGCAACAGAATGCTTGTTTCTGAATATTGTCCCCACAAGCATATATTATCAGTGTTTTTATACCTTGCCAATCATATAATTGATGGATGATTGCTCATTTTCATTTATTTATTAATGAGGTTGACCAAATTTACACATGTGCTAGCCACTTCCTATAGAGAAGCTGCGAGAATAGTTCAATGAATGATTATATAGCTTTCATCTAGATTCACCAATTTTTGACCTTTTCCCACATTTATTTTTACTTTATTTCTGTATGTATATGTGTATGTGTGTGTCTGCATACACACATATGTATGCATTTATTTTGGGGGTGACAGTTTGAGAGTTAATGGCAGACACAATAGCATAATGACAGCTTACTCCTGCTACCCACTTCAGATAGTCTTTATGTTAGTCATCACTGTGCAGACCCTAATGAGGCTGTATGTTGAGCCCTGTGTAGCCCAGTACCTGTCCATTAATTTTTTAGTGAGAAGCCCGTCAGTCTCTTAGAGACCCCGTTATTGAGTAACCAGACGCGGATTTTTGGAGGAAGGCTCTTGCCCATATTATTTAGGGGAGGGTGCCTGATTTGTATTTTTATTGATATTGTAGATATCAACAAAAATATATTTGTAGATGTTGGTGATTAATTTTTATTATTTTGTCAGTTGCTGTTTTTTTTAATGCCTGAGAATTTGTCAGCTATGATTTGGATTTTGTTGTGGACTAGTTGACCTGACCTCCTGATGAAGGCTACTCTGGCTCAATAATCAGCAGGAATGGCATGAACAAACCTAGAAATTTGAATTAATGATCATCATTCTCCAGTGAAGGTGCCTGGCCTAGGAATACAGATATTTGTAAGAGTGGGGCTGGCCAGTCTCTTTAGAGATTATAACGTTCTGGCTATATATTCCAAGTCTGATGTGGGGGCAGATTTCTCCTACAAAGCCTGACAGCTGAAGTCTTTGTAATTGTCATTGGTCAGGCCTTAATAATTAAAAATCACACATAGAGTTTTAGCCAGGAGCTGGCCTCCTCAATTTCTTAAGAGCAAGGACATTCTCCTATATCATTAAATTACACTGAACACACTCAGAAAGTTAACATTGATATAATACTATTATGCAGTGTATATTCTTTATATTTTAATCTGGAAGACTTCCTCAGCATTTCTTTGTTTTTCATGTCTGTGACATTTTTAAAGCACATAGGCCATCCGTATTGTAGAACGTCCCTCACTTTAGATTCCTCATGGTTTGATTGAGGTCATGCATTTCTGGTAGGAAAAAAATGTAAGTGATGTATCCTTGTATCACATCAGGGGCATATGATGTCAATTTGTCTTTTTTTTTTTTTTTGAGACGAAGTCTCACTCTGTTGCCTAGGCTGGAGTGCTGTGGCGCCATCTCAGCTCACTGCAACCTCCACCTCCCACATTCAGGAGATTCTTGTGCCTTAGCCTCCCAAGTAACTGGGATTACAGGTGTGAGCCACTGCGCCTGGCTAATTTTTGTATTTTAGTAGAGATGGGGTTTCACTATGTTGGCCAGGCTGGTCTTGAACTCCTGGCCTCAAGTGATCTGCCCATCTCAGTCTCCCAAAGTGCTGGGATTACAGGTGTGAGCCACCACACCCAGCCCAATTTGTCTCATTTTTTATGATATTAACTTTGATCACTTGTTTCTCTCACTAACCACGTTTCTGTGCTGTAACATTACTATTTTTCCTTTGTAATTAATAACTAATTTGTGGATGATACTTTGAGGTTACATAATTGTCCCATTCTTCATCAAACTTTTCACCAATTAGTATTATTATCCATTGATTAATCTTGCCTGAATCAGTTATTGTGATGGGTGCCAAATGACAATTTTCTAACTCTTATTATTTCTTCTGTATTTATTGTCATTTTACTATGAGGCAGACCTTCTTTATCTCCTTTATTTATTTATAATCTGGTATAGAAAATTTTTATTTTTATGGGTTTTTATTTTAGTCAGTGAATATTACTGTCATTATTTATTTCGATGCTCAGTTGTCCCTGAGTTGGCCAGTGAGAGTCCCTTTAAGCTGGCTTTTGTGTCGTTTTGAGACATCCCTATAATTTTCTGAACATTTTCTTTAGAAAAAAAAAGTTATAAAGAAAAGTGGTTTATTTGGCTCACAGTCCTGCAAGCTGTACAAGAAGCATGACACCAGCATCTGCATCTGGTGAGGACTCAGGAAGCTTCTACTCATGGCAGAAGGCAAAGAGGGAACAGGTATGTCACATGGCAAGAGTGGGAGCAAGAGTGGGGGAGGGAGGCACCAGACTCTTTAACAACCGGATCTCGTCTGAACAAATAGAGTGAAAAGTCACTCATCACCAAAGGAATGGCACCAAGCCATTCATGAGGGATCCATCCCCATTACCCAAGCACCTCCCACCATGCCCTCCCTTTAACACTGGGGATCATATTTTTTTTTTTGAGGCAGTCTCTCACTCTGTTGCCCAGGCTGGAGTGCAGTGGCGTGATCTCAGCTCACTGCAACCTCCGCTTCCTGAGTTCAAGCGATTCTCATACCTCAGCCTCCTGAGTAGCTGGGATTACAGGCATGCACCACCACTGCCAGCTAATTTTTGTATTTTTAGTAGAGATGGGGTTTCACCATGTTGGCCAGGCTGGTCTTGAACTCCTGACCTCAAATCATCCACCCACCTCAGCCTCCCAAAGTGCTGGGATTACAGGCATGAGTCACCACACCCAGCCAGGATCACATTTTAACATAAGATTTGGAGGGAGAGATAGCCAAACTATATCAGTCCTGAAAGTGGAATTTTAAGGCTTTGGTAGGTTTGGTCCATTTCTGAGCTCTGAGCGTTTTCTTATTTTCTGGCACAAGATGTTCCAGCCTTCATCTTTAACTTTACTTGCCCTGGAATCAGCCATTTCTCCAAGGAGCTCTGGTTCCTGTTAATGGATAATTATATTTAGAAACCAAAATCTGGGTGCTAGCTGTGCTCATTGCTGCTGGGGCATTGTTACTTCTAGGCCCTTTCGGTGAACAGAGATGTGTGTATGTACATATATATCTACATCTGTATGTCTACATCTATATGTGTACACACATACACCACACACACATACAAACATACTTTGAGTTCATACAGCATCCTGGGAATCTTAGTCATCCCTCGTTGCATATTTGCATCTCCCTTCTTTAACAGTGAGAGCATTGGTTCCTAGCATCAATAATTCATTCATTTGTTCAGTCTACAATATACAGAAAGTAGAGTCAGAATTGCTGCACCCACATCACTGTGGAAAACCAACCTACTGAATATAATACACAATTTGTTTTTATGCCTTTTATCTTTAGACTAAGGATAATGTCAGGATCTCAACCTCTGCTTTCTTATTGTTTCCATTTATTTGTCTGGTCGACCATTGCCTATCCCTTTACTTTTAGCCTTCTCGAATCACTTTGTTTTAGTTGTATTTCCTGTATACAACATACAGCTGGATCTTGCTTGTGAGTCAATCTGGAGATCTTCTTTTAATAAGCCTTCTTAAGGCCTAATAACATTAATTGATTTGGCTGGTATGTTTGGTCTAAACTCTGACATGTTGTTTTATTTTATAATCATTATGTATATTAAGTTGCAATGACTTCTGTATTAGTCAAGGTTCTCTAGAGGGACAGAACTGATAGGATAGATGAATATATGAGGGGGATTTTATTAAGGAGTATTGACTCACACGATCACAAGGTGAAGTCCCACAGTAGGTTTTCTGCAAGCTGAGGAGCAAGGAAGCCAGTCTGAGTCCCAAAACCTCAAAAATAAGGAAGCCAACAGTGCAGTTTTCATTCTGTGGCCAAAGGCCCTGGCAAACCACTGGTATACGTCTAAAAGTCCAAAAGCTGAAGAACTTGGAGTCTAATGTTTGAGGACAGGAAGCATCCAGTATGGGAGAAAGATGAAGGCCGGAAGCTCAGAAAGCCAGCTCCTCCTACCTTCTTCTGCCCGCTTTATTCTAGCTGCCCTGGCAGCTGATTAGATGGTACCCACCCAGACTGAGGGTGGGTCTGCCTTTCCCATTCCATTGACTCAAATGTTAATTTCCTCTGGCAACACCCTCACAGACACACCCAGGAACAATACTTTGCATCCTTCAATCCAATCAAGTTGACACTCAATATTAACCATTATAAGTCTACCCCTTATCAACTTAAAACTGTACACATCTCCTGAAATCACACATAAATCTTCAAGTAAAGACAATAATAAGGTCGTAATTATGCCTAACATAATACAGCTATCCCTCGTACAACTGGAAGCACACTAATTCTTAGCCTAATTGCTGTTACATAAAGTTAACAACACTTAAGTGCTGATATGAAGTCAATAAATCTTATGTCACATGATAAAGGAAAAAGGAAATAACATGAAGATATTTTCTTAATACAGGTGTAAACATGCACAGACATATTTTTAACAAAATAAGGAGGAAATCCTCATGACAATTACAGTCCTCGTTTCTGCAACTGCTCATGTGGTCATAGCTGATATTGATAACTTCCTTCTTCTACTATCCATTCTGTATTCCCCTTGCCTTCAGCAAATACCTCAATGGATTGTGGTGTTTTACCCAGTAGAGTGACCCAAACCTTCATTCCTGAAGAGTCTGGGCCATTTGTAATCCTGCCTGGATTGGGTTGGTGTAGTTTCCCATTGACTTTAATCACAGGGCATGGTAATACTAAGAGATGCCCTAAGGGATCTCCTGTATTCCACACATACTCTTCTTTACCTCCGTTGTGGAGTATTAGACTGATTTCATCTTGATAGTGTGGGTCAGTCACCCCAGCCAACACTATAACTCTCTTTGTAGCCTGTTGACCTACAGGTAGGAGGAGCCCAAAGTAGCCAGGTGGCAGTCTTAACTTCCAGTTTAATGGAATCATTGTTGTGTCTCCTGGTGGCAGCATTCCTCCCTCTGGAACTAAGATCTCTAGGCTGGCAGAACATAATGTTGCAGGAACAGGAAGCAAAAATTTTGCTAGTGGGTCACTAGGGGTGATGGTGAATGGTGCCACTTCCACTTCCACACCTTGATTCAACTTAAGGGTTCTCGGTATACACTCAGGTTTAATAATTTGGTAGAATGACTCATATAACTCAGAAAAGTACATGCTTATGATTACAGTTTTGTTATAGCAAAAAGATACAAGTAGAACCAACCAAAGGGAGTGATGCATAGGGTAAGGTCTCAGAGGGTCCCAGCCATGAAGCTTCTGTTGTTCACTTTCATGTCACCCTCCCAGCACATTGAGATGTGACAATATGCACAGTATTGCTGACCAGGGAAGTAGTATTGTTGACAAGGAAAATATAGATATATTTTCAGTCTTTGTAGTTTTTATTTACCATAAATGTAATATATAAATGTAATCATGCAGTATGCAGCCTTTTGAGTCTGGCTTCTTTCACTTAGCATAATACATTTGAAGTTCATCCATGTCGTTGCATAAATCATTAGTTCTCTCATTTTTATTGCCAAGTGGTATTACATTGTATGGAGGATTCCAGGTTGTTATCCATTCACTGGTTGGAAAACCTTTGATATGTTTCTAGGTTTTGATCATTAAAAATGTAGTTGCTATATAAATGTTCATGTACAGGCTTTTAGGTTTACCTAAGTTTGCATTTCACTGAGGTAAATAAACGTGGGAGTGGGATTGCAGGGTTGTAAGGTAGATATACATACATATTCATTCCTGCTTATGACAGGAGAGGTGCAGTTGCTCTACATCCTCACCAACACTTAGTATTGTCAGTTTTTTCCCCATTCTAATAGGTGTGTAGTAGTATCTCATTGTGGTTTTAATTTACAGTTCCCTCATGCCTAATGATGTTGAGCATCTTTTTATGTGCTTATTTGCCATCTGTTTATCTCCCATGGTGAAGTATCTCTTTTGCCCACTTTGTTTTAATTTTGAAAGTTTTTTTTATATATTCTCAATAAAAGTTATTTGCCAGATATTTGATTTGCAGATATTTTCTTCCATTCTGTGTCTTTTTAATCTCTTAACAAGTGATTTTTGAATTTTGGTGTCACATCTAAGAAATATTTGTCTAACCCAAGGTTAAAAAGAGTTTCTTCAATCTTCGAGTTTCGAAGCAGGTGAACCTGCTTCACAACATGCAGTTCATTCATTTTCATTACTATACAGCATTCCATTGAATGATTGTGCCACAATTTACCCATTCTACTGTTGATGGACATTTGGATTTTATCTGTGATCTAGTATTAGAAATAGTGCTGCTATGAACATCCTTATATTTGTTTTCTAGAGCACATATGCCTGATTTTCTCTAAGATGTGTACCTAGGAGTAGAATTGCTGGGTCATGGTATATGCAAACCATTAACCTTTGTAAATAATGCCAAACTGTTACCAAAGCGATTATACCAGTTTATATTCCTGCTAATAGTGTGTAAGAGTTCTCATTTCAACACAATATTATGTTATTTTAGTCTGTTTAATTATAACCTTTCTTGTGGGTGTATAGTGGTGTCTCAATGTGGCTTAATTTTTCACTTACCTGATTGCTAATGGGGTTGAGTACATTATCTTGTGTTCATAGATCATTTGGTTTTGCTTTTCAGTGAAGTACCTATTCACTTCTCTTATCCATTCTTTTGTGTGTGTTTCTTATTGATTTGAGGGGATTATTTTATATATTCTACATACGATACCTTATCCCTCATGAATATTGCCAGCAATTTCCCCATCTGTGGCTTGCCTTTTCATTGTAGTACTTTTGATCTTATAACACTTGTCTTTTCCTTTATGAGGAGTGCTTTTCATGTTTTGTTATAGAATTGTTTCCCTACTCCAAAGCTTATGAAAACATTTTCCTGTATTATTTTATAGACACTTAATTGGTTACCTCTCACATTAGATTTACGATTTACCTGTAGCTGATTTTTATGTGTGGCTAGAGGGGTTAAATTTCATTTTCTCCATATAGATATCTAATAACCCATCCACATCTATTGAAAAGGTCATCTTCTCCCTACTGCTTTACTGTGCCAACTTTGTCATAAATCAGGTGTCCATACATGTTTGGATTCTCTTTTTAGTTCCACTGGACTGTTTGTCTGTCCTTGTGCTGATAATGACATTGTCTCAAGTATTCTCTTACTTAGTTTTTTTTTAACCATGATTTGTGATTCTCCCACAAAGTAGATCACTAACTTGATATGAAATAGGCATCCAATATTGAGTCATCATGATGAACCAGGAACCCAATCAGAAGTTCCCGTGCATTTTATCCTCATCATCTAGTGGTCAGCATTTTAAAATAAAAGGAATGTACCATTACAGGGGCTAGTGACATTTGAAGATGTAGCTGTGGATTTCACCCAGGAGGAGTGGCAGTACCTGAACCCACCACAGAGGACCCTGTACAGAGACGTGATGCTGGAGACCTACAGCAACTTGGTCTTTGTGGGTAAGAATAGCTTCCTTAGGTAATTTTGCAGTTTATGATTATTGCATCCAATGGAAGGCATTTCCTTTCTCAGTTCCCTCTTTTCTCTCCTGAAAAAGTGTTTGTGAGCTCAAAATGCAGGTTAAATGGTTTGACTTTACCATTATGTCAAGCAATAGATTCCTTGTGCTGCCCCCAATATGTAACTTCTTCTGTCTCAGAGGCTCTGAAAGCCAAGGAGGTATCACTGTCATTTCTCATCAACAGGGCAGCAGGTTACCAAACCAAACCTCATCCTCAAGTTGGAGGTAGAAGAATGCCCGGCAGAAGGAAAAATCCCATTTTGGAACTTTCCAGGTAAGTGGAATTTTGACCCAGGCTCTGGGGACATGAAGTTCCACCCTATTAGTCAGAGGTGAGGCCCTCTGACAGGGCTTTCAGGAATATCTTAGGAAAAGGTTCTGGCCCTTGGCACTGTTGGAGGACAGGGACATGAACACCTCAGACACAAAACTGACACTCCCGCTGTCCCCCATACACCAGGCCACTCTCCTTAAGTTGGTGCTTACCTGCAAGTTTCTGCACAGTTCCTTTTGTCCCGTATGAAAGAGTCTTTTAAATGCCACAACCCCCTGGCCTTGCCACTTTCACGACTCTCACCTGTCACCGACTTATATAAAGCCAGGCCCACGTTAGTCACAGGCCTGGACTCTAATGCTCTAATTTCAGATTGAACAACCTGAGTCCAGTCTTCTCATTCAGTTTAGATATTTGTCAGATTTGCTCTCCTAAAACATCTTATCTATTTTTTAAAAGTAGCTTTATTGAGATATAATTCACATATCATAAAATTCACCCTTTTGAAGTACAGAATTCAGTAGTTTTTAGTATATTCACAGAGTTGTACAACCATCACCACTACCTAATTCTAGAACGTGTTCATCACACTGAAAAGAAGCCCCTACTCCCTAGCAGTCATTCTCATCCCTCTTCCCCTCACTCCCTGGCAACCACTGATCTATTTTGTCTCTATGGTTTTGCCTGTTCTGGACATTTTATTTAAATAGAGTCAGACAAAATGTGGCCTTTTATGTCTGGTTTCTTTCACTTGGCATGTTTTCAAGGTTCATCCGCATCGTACCATGTATCAGTACTTCATTCCTTTTTATGGAGGAATAAAATTCCATTGTTAGGATAGAACACATTTTGTTTGTCCATTCATCAATTGATGGAAATTTTGCTTGTTTCAACCTTTTGGTTATTATGGATAATGGTGCTGTGAACATTGATGTACACATTTTTTGTGGTGATATATGTTTTGTTTCTTTTGGGTAGATACATAGGATTGGAATTATACCATGTGGTGGTATAAAAGGAACTGTATGTTTAACTTTTTTTTTTTTTTTGAGACAGAGTCTTGCTCTGTTGCCCAGGCTGGAGTGCAGTGGTGTGATCTTGGCTCACTGCAACTTCTGCCTCCTGGGTTCAAGCAATTTTCCTGCCTCAGCCTCCCGAGTAGCTGGGACTACAGGTGCATGTCACCACACCCAGCTACATTTTTGTATTTTTAGTAGAGATGGGGTTTCACCGTGTTAGCCAGGATGATCTCGATCTCCTGACCTTGTGATCCACCTGCCTTGGCCTCCCAAAGTGCTGGGATTACAGGCGTGAGCCACCGTGCCCGGCCCCACTGGAATAATTCTATAAAGAGAAATTGCTTCTTATCTATTATTTGGCTACCATGAGTTACATATTGTACAGAAAAGACAGGCTCAGTGATTGAGCTTTTCCATTTATTTACTAGTTTTCAAAATAATTGATTTTGTAGCATCATCCAAAGGTGACCACTAAGTTATATCTTTTTGTGACTCATTTATGGACTTATGGCTGTATACATTTCTATGTTTTAATCCATTGTCTTATTTTCCATGTTACACATGACACTGTCCCATCTTTGGCCAGTGGAATCTCCTTCAAGTTGGCTCCTGAGTCTTTGGTAGCTTCCTTGCTTTCTGGTGTTACAACATGTCCCAGGCTCCTTTTGTATATTTCCTGCCTCTGACCTAGAATTGGTGATTTCTTCAAGGGGCTCTGGTTCTTTTTAGTGGAAAATAATGTTTTAAGCCCACGATTTAGAGGTTAGAGAATTGTTTTGAGGCCTTTTCATTGACAAAGCTAGGAACTATTATGTATACATTTTTTACAGAAAAAATATCTCATGTTCAAATTAATATTTCCAAATCAAATTTTGCGCTTAAAGGTTTTTAATTTATGAATCTTACATCTGACAGTAGTATTGTTAGTATTCTTCTTGAGGCTGTTGCTTGTGTATAGCGAGTTGAATGAATTGAGGTAATCATTTTGGTGCCATTGAGAATCAAGACTTTCCAGCATGGTCATTAGGAAACGCAGCAGAAAGAATATTTACTATTTTTAAGGAATCCTTTTATGTTCAGTTTTGCTTTATGATTATATAAAATAGTTACAAAAGATTTATTGGTTCCAAAGTCCAACACAGAAAACAAGGTATATTCAGAAAAGTCCAGCTTCTTTCCCTTTCCATTCCATTCCCTTCGTTCCTTCCTTCCTCATAGGTAACCTTTATTAAAATTTAAAGGTTTATTCTTCCATCACTTTTTACAACATGAGCCTATAAGAATATATATTTATTCATTTCCTACTATGCACAGTTTTTTAAACATTTTAAAAAGTTTTACTTTTAGTTGACACATAATTGTACATATTTATGGAGTATGGTGTGATGTTTTGATACATATATACAGTGTGTCATGATCAAATTAGGGTAATTAGTATATTCATCACATCAAATATTTGTTTCTTTGTGGGGAGAACATTCAAAATCTTTTCTTTTAGCTATTTTGAAAGATACACTATATTGTTAACTATAGACACCCTGCTGTGCAATGTAACACGGAAACTTATTCCTCCTATCTAACTATATCTTTGCACCCATTTACCAACCTTTCCCTATCCTCTCCTCCCCTCTTCACCTCCCAGTGTCTGGTCACTATTCTACTCTCTACTTCTATGAGAGTAACTCCTTTAGCTCCCATATATGAGTGAGATCATGCAGTATTTGTCTTTCTGTGCCTGGCTTATTTCACTTAACATAATGTCCTCCAGGCTTATCCATGTAGCTGCAAATGACAGTATTTAATTCCTTTTTATGGCTGAACAGTATTCCATTGTGTAAATAGATGACATTTTCTTTATCCGTTGATATTCCTTGATGGACACTTAGGTTTGATTCCATGTCTTATAACACCTTTCTTGCTTCCTTCAAACCTCCACTCCAAGTTGTTTTTCCCTCTCTTTTAGCAAATGATCTCATCTCATTCCTTGCTATAAAAGAAGCAAAGTGATGAAACTTATACCATAACACACACACACACACACACACACACACACACACACACACCCCACACACACTTTAAAAACCCTTCAGCTTCCCTCTCCTATGGCTCAAAATAACCTCCAGCATCACCCAGTTTTTCCCTTTGTTTCCTGCCTCAGGTAACAGTGTATGCACAGTTTTATTCACCATTTTTCACTTAATATTCTAGAACATGTTAAATATATAAATATACTCTTTCTTTTTACAGTAATGTGGTGATTCTTAAAAGTCATAATAGTAGTAGTTGTAATAGTAGTAGTGGTGGTAAATGATTTAAAGTACTTCCTGTGTACCCTGCAAGCCCTGTTGTAAGTAATTTAATTCTCTCAACATCCATTTGGGTGGGCACTGTTATAATTCCTTTATGGGTGGAGAAGTAAGATACAAATAGTTTAGATCACTTGCCTGAGGTCATAGACCAAGTGAAAGGTTGAGCCAGGATTTTCTCCTGGGCTAGAGAGCCCAGGACCCTAACCACATGGGCCAAACTGCTTCTTACCACCTAAGAAGGTTCAGATTCAGCAGATCTTTGGTGGAGCTTGGGTCCCATGGAGAGCATTTTGTAAAAAGTTCCTCATGTGATTTTGTGTTCATCTCTGGTTAAGAACTAATGCTTAGCTAGCCAAAGAAAGGAAGTCACAGGAAGAAAAACCACAGCTGCACAATCCATGTTAAAATTCAGTATCACTATAGCAAAATGTTAACACTATTGAATCTAAGTGGTAATATGAGTAGTTACTGTACTCTTCTTTCAACTTTTTCTATGCTTGAAAATTTTCATGTAAAAATTTGGGGAAAAGTAAGAAGAAAAGTAAACTATAAAAAAAGATTTAAAATTCACCATATGTACAAAAAGTACTTGCCATATCTTATTAACTTCAAGATGCCATAGATTTAAAGACATACCACTAAGAAAGAAAAATTGCCACCAGTTAACCTATGACATTGATTGTAAGATGCATCTGGATTCAGAGATGTTAAAATGTGAAATAATGTGCTGCTTGCAATTGATGAAATTAAAGGCAAAGCTTTGCAATTTTAACTGTTTAAATGAGTGATACAGATGACTGACTACTTTAGAAGTTAATAAAAATTTAAGTTATATAGGAAGATCAGAGTAAGCTTTTTAGAAAAGACTGACCTGCCTCTTGAAAGTTATCTAGATTCTGAATATAGCAAAATATGGAACACAGGGCTATGTGGGTGATGGAACATGAAGAAGGGTTTGGAGTACAGAATAGGCAGAGGTTTTAGTGGAAATCGTATAGGCAGGAGCAGAGAAGGTAGTGTTGAAGAACTGTGAATGCAAGCTTTGATGGATACACGGGTGAACCCAGACTGGGCAAATATTTTTAGCTTTTTGTTTTTGTCAAGCTAACCATTCTGTATTTTTCTTTCATTCATTGAGAATGTGGATTCAGTGTTAACTATTGTAACACATGAGTCTGGGAATCATGCTGTTGCATTTCCACCTAGACAGAAATTCTGTAAGTCAGGTACAGTTAAGACTTCATATGATACTGGCCAGGTGTGATGGCTCACACTTGTAATCCCAGCACTTTGGGAGGCTGAGGCGGGAGGATTGCTTGAGACCAGGAGTTTGAGACCAGCCTGGGCAACATAGTGAGACCTTGTCTCTACAAAAAAATACAAAAATTAGCCAGATGTGGTGGCTCGCGCTTGCAGTCCCAGCTACTCAGGAGGCTGAGGTGGGAGGATCGCTTGAGCTCAGGAGGTCAAGGCTGCAGTAAGCTGTGATTTTGCCCCTAAACTCCAGCCTGGCAACAGAGCTGAGATCCTGTCTCTTAAAAAAAAAGTTTATATGATAACTGAAGATCAAGGGTATAAGTTTCGCAGAGTTGATAGAAGTCAGGTATGATGTATAAATAGACGTAAGAAAGACTGAGGTGTCAGGGTAAGATTGTTCTTGGTAACAAAAAGACCAGCAGGTGAGAGTTTAGTAAAAAACTCTCTCTCCAGGAACTCTGATAAAATGAGATTATAGTATCAGCTTTCATATGGCAGAATAATTCTAAAGAAGGTCCGCTCCATAATGTCAAAGCATAAAGGTGGTTTATTGTACTTCTTTCTAGAAGTCTGTCAAGTTGATGAACAGATTGAGAGGCAACATCAGGATGACCAAGATAAATGTCTGCTGATGCAAGTTGGATTTTCTGACAAGAAAACAATTATCACCAAGAGTGCTCGTGACTGTCATGAGTTTGGAAACATACTTCATCTGAGTACAAACCTTGTTGCTTCAATACAAAGACCCGATAAACACGAATCATTTGGAAATAATATGGTAGATAATTTAGACTTATTTAGTAGAAGTTCTGCAGAAAATAAATATGATAATGGATGTGCAAAATTGTTCTTCCATACTGAGTATGAGAAAACAAATCCTGGAATGAAGCCCTATGGCTATAAAGAGTGTGGGAAAGGTCTTAGGCGAAAGAAAGGCCTTAGTCTACATCAGAGAATTAAAAATGGAGAGAAACCCTTTGAATGTACTGCATGTAGGAAAACCTTCAGCAAGAAGTCACACCTCATTGTACATTGGAGAACTCATACGGGAGAGAAACCTTTTGGATGTACCGAATGTGGAAAAGCTTTTAGCCAAAAATCTCAGCTCATTATACACTTGCGAACTCATACAGGAGAGAGACCCTTTGAGTGTCCTGAATGTGGAAAAGCCTTCAGAGAAAAGTCAACTGTCATCATACATTACAGGACTCACACAGGAGAAAAACCTTATGAATGTAATGAATGTGGAAAAGCCTTCACTCAGAAGTCCAACCTCATTGTCCATCAGAAAACCCACACTGGAGAGAAAACCTATGAATGCACTAAATGTGGAGAATCTTTCATACAGAAGCTTGATCTAATTATACATCATAGTACCCATACAGGAAAGAAACCCCATGAATGTAATGAGTGTAAGAAAACTTTCAGTGATAAGTCAACTCTCATTATACACCAGAGAACTCATACGGGAGAGAAACCTCATAAATGTACTGAATGTGGGAAGTCTTTCAATGAGAAGTCAACCCTCATTGTGCATCAAAGAACTCATACAGGAGAGAAACCCTATGAATGTGATGTGTGTGGAAAAACCTTCACGCAAAAGTCAAACCTTGGTGTACATCAGAGAACTCATTCAGGAGAGAAACCCTTTGAATGTAATGAATGTGAGAAAGCCTTCTCTCAGAAGTCCTACCTCATGCTGCATCAGAGAGGTCATACAGGAGAGAAACCTTACGAGTGCAATGAATGTGAAAAAGCATTTTCACAGAAATCATATCTCATTATACATCAAAGAACTCATACAGAAGAAAAACCCTATAAATGTAATGAATGTGGCAAAGCCTTCAGAGAAAAGTCAAAGCTCATTATACATCAGAGAATTCATACAGGAGAGAAACCTTATGAATGTCCTGTGTGTTGGAAAGCTTTTAGCCAGAAGTCACAGCTCATAATACATCAGAGAACGCACACGGGAGAGAAACCCTATGCATGCACTGAGTGTGGCAAAGCCTTCCGAGAAAAGTCAACATTCACTGTACATCAAAGAACTCATACTGGAGAGAAACCCTATAAATGTACAGAATGTGGGAAAGCCTTTACCCAAAAATCAAACCTTATTGTACATCAGCGAACCCATGCAGGAAAGAAAGCCCATGGAAGAGGCCACACTCGGAAGTCAAAGTTCATGGCACATTAGAGAGCTAATCAGCAGTATCTATTATGGACACTGAAAGAAAGTTGTGTCAATTTTACTCACATTTTAAAAGTATATTTTGACTTGTGGTTTAAATATGGGAGTAAATTCAGCCTTTCTTCTTTTCATCTCAGTCATAACCCAAAAGCTACGGGAGAAAAAGCAGAAGTGTAATCTCTGTATCTGACAAAATTAGGAGACAGCTGCAACCCTAATGAGAGGGCTGCCACAGGCAGAGGAAATGAAGCACTGGTGCAGGAGATTTCAGAGTGAGAGTGCTCAAGGCTGCAGGTGCAAGACAGCACTGGTAAGGACTCTTAGCTGAGGTTCGGGATATACCCCGAGGCGCGGAACCATAGATATAACAGTGGTAACAGTGCGTGGGCAGGTAGGAGGTAGGATGTTTCCTAGACCATTTGGGGTCTGAGGAGAAACAGGCTGGGGCCTCGAGAAGGAGTCACTCAGACAAGCCATATTTTTAGAAAGTAGTCTACTGATGGGAGCAACAGTTATGGCATGCTGGGGGAAGAGAAGGGACTTTTCCTTGTGAAGAGCCCTACAGCTGCCCCTATTTACTGACTTGGGAGAAGTAAAGTCAGAAAGAACGAACAGCTGTGGGGGGAAAAAATTCTCAGTTGTCAAAAAAAAAAAAAACTGATCTGCTTAGAATGTGGCCCTGGTTTCTTTTCCCACATGAACCTCCAGCAAATAGCAAGTCCAGGAAAAACTCTTCTCATTCAAAGAGGAATTATTCAAAAGTAATCAAAACCACAAATGCATTTGGTTTTTGGGCCAGCAATTCCACTTCTAGGAATGTACATACTCACACATGTACAAAATGATGAACATACAGTATTCATTAATGCAGCGTTTGTGAAAACAAAAGATTGGAAGCTGTTTAAATGACACCATATCAGGGTTCTGGTTCCCTAAATTGTGGTATATTCATACAGCCTACTCCTGGGTAGACAACAATGAATAAATAAGGAGAACTTGGAAACCATTTATGTAGTGATGTGGGATAACCTTCAGTTTATGTTATTAGGTAGGAAAAATAAGGTTGAGGACAGTGACTGCCATTTGTATATAAAAAGGAGAAAAATGGTAAGTACATAATTGTGAATTCATAAGTTATCTCTGGAAAGAGACATGAGAACCTGGTAACCCTGATTACCTTGGGAGGGGAAGGGGCAGTGGTGGCTGGGGGGATGGAATTGAGAGGGAGACAACTGTATCCTTTCATAGCTTTTGAAAATGTGGGTGTACTATGTACTATGTGGATGTACTACCTTTTCAAAAATAAAACATTTAAAAAGCTATTTTGTTTTACTGTTATAGTAAAGTCACAGTCTAGGTACAGGATTTTATAACATTTAATATAGATATGCTCAATGTAGAGTTTATTTTTGGTGAATAAATTGAAGAACCAAGCAGATAGAACAACAGTTATTCAATCAATTCCAGAGGCACATAGGCATTATTTTCCTGAGGTTGCCAAATGAAGTGATTCTCCGGTCAGCTGGGACCACATTAGGTAACTAAAATAATTGAGACTGGAACATGCATAGTGACATCTGTGAAAAGATCCTGTACTAAAGCCCACCGAGGACTTTCCATATCTTAACGAAATTATTTTTATTACATCATTCATACAAACGCTTTTTACAAGTGCTGCAAAACACGAATCCATAGAGAGGTTGAATAACTTGCTTCTCTAAGGTTGCTCTAGTGCTGGCGATACATATTTTCCAAGGTGATAGACAGATTGAGAGTGATGGTCTGAATGGACATAGTCAAAGCCCACATAACAGGACATTTGCTTCAGAACGAGAGGTCCTGCTTGTGAATTACTGTATTTGTGGCCCTCATGCTTCTGTGGCTTTTCACTGGGGCCATCTCTTTGCTGGAACTGGACAACTTAAGCTGTGAAAAACTAGGGATGGGCAATGTTTGGATTTATCAAAATGGGTGGGTGAGTTAGACCTGAGACCCTGCCTGTGCCCTTTCGGGCCTTCTTTTTACCCTGAGTAATCCTGCAAGGAAACAAGCCGTGGGCTCACTTTATGAACTATTTAAGGTAAACCTATCACATTCAGTGCCTTTCCAGGGAGAGGAAACGTGGGGCAGACTGGCTTGCTCCTGGTGCAGTCTCCTTGAAAGATGCCCAAGGGCACTGGAAATAAAGCTATTTTTCCTTTCTACTTATAGAGAATCTTGCTAGGGTTTCAGGTCCATTGAAGGCCATCCTATAGTGGGGTGGGGGTGAGGGTCAGATCTCACCATTTCAGGTAGATCTTGGACTCCTGCTTCCTGGGACACAAATGGCAAGCTGATGGCCCACATGTGGGTGAATGGAGGTGAGTGAAGCACAGACAGGGGAATGGATGGAGATGAACATCAGCATGTGAATAAAAGGATTGGGATTGGAGGAAGAGAGAGGAGGGCAATGAAGGGCTAAGTGGGGAGTGAATGGAGTAAAGAGGGGCAGAAGGGTGGTGAACAGGGAAGAGTAGGGCGAAATGGGGGAAATATCCAGTGTTGTGAGTTACTGGAGAAGAAACAGTTGAGTGTAAGTAAACATGAGTAGTGTTGGGGAGAGAAGGAGGGAGTAGACTGGCAGTGAGTGGGTGCAGAGTGGAGGAAATTGGGAGTGATATGAGGCACAGTGTGAATGACAGTGGTTAATGGGGTTGGGTGAAGAGCAGTGCAGGAAAGTGGCAAAGCATGGCATGACGCTAATGAATGAAGAGGGGAAGAATGCCGGGCAGTCAAGGTGGGAAGACTGTGCTGGAATGGGAGGCACTCTGTGAGGTGAGTGATGGGGATCTGTGGTGTCAGAGGTTATAGGTTCTTGGGGTCTCAGTGATGCATGACCTTGCGTTGGTGGTGATGGGGAGTTGGGTGGAGGTGGGAGGTGATCCCTGGGGTTTCTGCACAAAGAGGAGCTGCGCTGAAGACCCTGTAGTGACCACAGGTGTATGGGATGGGATCAGCCTGTGTTCTAGACAGTGCTCAATGAATGTCACTTCTGTGTTCCATTCCTGATGTGGTTTGGATCTGTGTCCCCATCCAAATCTCATGTTGAATTGTAATCCCGTGTTGGAGGAGGGGTCTGATGGGAGGTGATTGGATCTTGGGGGTGGAGTTCTCATGTATGGTTTAGCACCATCCCGCCTTGGTACCATATAGTTAGTGACTTCTGGTGAGATCTGGTCGTGTAAACGTGTGTAGCACCTTCTTCCTTTCTTCCTCCTGCTCCTGCCATGTAAGATGCCTGTTCCCTCTTTGCCTTCTGCCATGAGTAAAAGCTCCCTCAGGCCTCCCTGGAAGCAGATGCTTCCATGCTTCCTGTACAGCCTGCAGAACAGTAAGCCAACTTAACCTTTTTTCTTTATAAATTACCCAGTCTCAGGTATTTTAGCAGTATGAGAACAGACTAATACAATCTCCTTGCCATTGTTACTTATATATACTCAGAGGGGGAGAGGGCCCACTGCAAGAGGTGTCCCTGACACCGCCCCCAAATCAGCTCTGTTGTGCCCCCTTGGCCAGCCCTAACTCCCACCCCCACATCTATTTATGCCAGTTACTTAATTTGTCTTACTGCTTTAGCTAAAATGTCTAAAATAAAATTAATTATGGTCCTTCTTCACCTTGTTCTTAGGGCTCCCGAAACTATCCTGGATTCCTAAGATCAGCCCTGTGTCCCTTGATTGACCCTATAACCACCCAGATCAATACTGGGCCCCCAATATTTTAGCCAATTATTTCATATTATTGTCCTATTTCTTTAGGTAAACTCCAAACTTTGAATTATGATCCCTTCTCACTTTATCCTTTGGGGTCTGTTAATGTGAGAAGTTCCCTTGATACAATGATAGTCTTCAATATGCGACCAGGCAAGCTACCCTAGAAGTCTCAGAATAGAAAGGCTCACAGACCAAATTAAAATGCTTTAGTCAGGCCGGATGTAGTGGCTCACGCCTGTAATCCTGGCACTTTGGGAGGCCAAGGCAGGTGGATTGCTTGAGGTCAGGAGCTCAAGACCAGCCTGGCCAACATGGTAAAACCCCGTCTCTACTAAAAATACAAAAGTTAGCTAGGTGTGGTGGCACATGCCTGTAGTCCCAGCTACTCAGGAGGCTGAGGCAGGAGAATTGCTTGAACCCAGGAGGTGGAGGTTGTAGTGAGCCGAGATTGCCCCCAGCCTGGGTGACACAGTGAGCCTCTGCCTCAAAAAAAATAAAATGAAATAAAATGGTTGAGTCACATGGCTTATTAAATCAATTTTTTTGAAAAATGCAAATATATATACATATCCATATATACACACATGTATATACATATGTATACATATACACACATGTATATACATATACACACACGTATATGCATATGTATACATATACACACGTATATGCATATGTATACATATACACACGTATATGCATATGTATACATATACACACATGTATATGCATATGTATACATATACACACATGTATATGCATATGTATACATATACACACATGTATATGCATATGTATACATATACACACATGTATATGCATATGTATACATATACACACGTATATGCATATATATACATATACATATGTATACATATACACGTGTATATACATATGTATACATATACACACGTGTATATACATATGTATACGTATACACACGTGTATATACATATGTATACGTATACACGTGTATATACATATGTATACGTATACACGTGTATATACATATGTATACATATATACATATAGGACAGATATGTATACGTATACATACATATATGTATATATATGTGTATATATATACACGAAGAAGCAAAGAGATGGAGTAAGTTGACAGACTTAGGAGAGGGTACAAACAGGATGAAGGACTACATTTCCTGAGTCCTGTGTTATGCAATATTCATAGACCCTGCCTCTGTCTCTGTCTGTCTCTGTTCCATCAGCCTTATTGGTTATGAGGGCCAGAGTTGAGGTTTGAAAAAGGGCCCCATTCAGACTGAAGGTGCTCAAGGTCAATGACATACCTTGCTTACCTCAGCTTATAGCTTACCAATTAGCCTGAACAGTGATGGGTTTTATCTGTGTTCAGTGGAACAATACTAAGTGTCACCAGTTGGTGGTTAATTTAAGTATAATATAACCAAGGTGGTAGGATACCTTATGAGTTGGTGTTCCTGTCCCTTTCTATCTATAAGTAATATCCTTGTTTGTTCTATCATATTCTATGTATTCTATTTATCTTTAGTGCATCTTACAAGTTACTTGCTTGCTAACTATAACACATCTTATGAATTTTGCCTGTCTCAAAAGCTACTTGTTTACTTATCTATACTTCACACATCCTGTGCATTTTCTTCATGTTTCATAAGTGTCTAGCTTACTTACTATCTATGCTTAGCACTTCTTGTGAGTTTCCTCCTTCACATTTGTTTTCATGACCTCTAGAGGACAAACAATAGCAAAAATCAAAGCTAGTTCTCTAAAAAGATTAATATATGCAAGAAACTCTAGACTGATCAACAAATAAAATACAAATTTTCAAATGTCCATAATAAATGTCCATCACTACAGATTCTATAAACATTAAAAGGACAGGGAATTATGAAAAATATGCCAATAAATTTAAAAATGTCAATGTAATTAATAATACAATTTAATGATATTGTGTTGGATGTATATGAATATATGAATTCATATATTCATAATAATAAATTATATAATCTTAATTTCTCTAAAGAGAAAGGGATTTGAGAAAAATCAACACAATATAAATTCTTAGCAAACTAGAAGTAGAAGAGAACTTCCTTAGCCTGATGAAGGGTGTGTTTAAAAGACGCATGGCAAAACTTAATGGTAACATGGAAAAAATTTCCTCCTGAGATTGGAAATGAGACAAGGACACCTGGTATGCTCACTTCTAATCAACATCGTACTGGAGGTCTGAGGCAGTGCATTAACACAAGAAAAAGAAAATGAGTAATGACTGGAAGTGAATAAATAAGGCTTTCAATTTCTGCAGATGATGTGTACATAGAAAAATCCAAAGCATCTATAGATAAATTGTTAGAATTAATAAGTGAATTTAGCAAAATTGCTAAATATAAGTTCAAACTATAGAAATTGTTTTTCTTTGCATCAGCAACAAACAACTAGAAAACAAAAACAGCTGATATGGTTTGAATTTATGTCCCCACCCAAATCTCATGTCGAATTGTGATCCCCAGTGTTGGAGGAGGGACCTGGTGGGAGGTGATTGGATCATGGGAGTGGATTTCCCCCTTGCTGTTCTTGTGATAGTGAGTGAATTCTCATGAGATCTGGTTGTTTAAAAGTGTGTAGCACCTCCCCCTGTTCTCTATTCCTCCTGCTCCAGCCATATAAGATGTGCCTCTTTCCTCTTCGCCCTCTGCCATGATTGTAAGTTTCCTGAGGCTTTCCCAGACATGCTTCTTGTACAGCCTGTGGAACTGTGAGTCAATTAAACCTCTTTTCTTTATAAATTACCCAGTCAGTTCTTTGTAGCAGTGCGAGAGTAGACTAATACAACACCATAACTTCAGTTTGGGGGAACAGAGAGAAACAACTGATAGGGCCACCTAATGGAGATCCTTGAAAGGAGGAGTTTGGGGTGGGGTGGAATCTGGTTGTATAACACAAGTAGAAAACACCTGAGCCTTTCACAAGAATGAGAAACGGAAGTAGAAGTACAAGTCGCAAATTTGAAAAAGGACAGATCTATAAATGTCTGAGTGCATAAGGAGTGGAGTTGATGACAAGTGGCTGGAGGGAAAGTGAAAAGGGTTAGAGAAAGGGAGGATGACCTAGAAAGGCTTGCTCCAGCTGAAGGAGGCAGGGATCAGATCCTGAGGACAAGGAAGAGAAGCAGGGTTCTTTCTCAAAGCTAAGCAAAGAATGGGGGGAGACGTGGAGATGTCCTTTCATCTGAGGAGCTCATATCCATGTCCTGTAACCACCAGAGACCCACTTCCTTTAAGAAAGACATGGTATGTCAATGGCATGCCAAAGGGGTCAACCTAGACACAATAATCGTAAATACCAAATTACCTTCCCTCCCCAGACACCAGCTGACTGTAATTCTCCAGTATCACGTCTGCACACACAGTCCTCTGAGCAGTGTCCAAGTGCCACTGCTGCCAGGTGAAGTCCTCAGTCTCATCCTCCAATGTCACTGGTCCCTGCATCAACACATGATGGCCCACTGCAGACTGAGGCTTTGAAAGCTACCTTCATTCCTCATCCTCCAATGCCACTAATCCTGCAACAACACATGATGGCTCCATCCCTGGGTGATAAGTAAAAGATATATGGGAACTTCTTTTTCTTCTCTGTTCACACAAAGGATGCTGCACTCAACAGGATATGTTTTGGGCTTATTATAAAGGGTCTGCCACCAATCCTTGGGCTTGAGATACATGTGTGGGCTCAGGTATTGGCTCATCTGTTAACATTATAACTGTAGTGCTGCCTTGATCTCCAGCATCTGAGGACAGCAGGATGCCTTTATTATGAGTACACAAAAAAGTAGAGAGCAAAGATGGCAAAAGATATGTTACGCAAAGACTAACCTAAGAAAGTAGGTATGTTTATACCAATATCAGACACGGAGAAGTGAACCTCCAAATTCAGGATAGCCATGAACTCTATGGAGAGAATGAGGCGAAAGAAGGAAGTTGTATACAGGGAGCTTCAACTGCATTTATCTATAATGGTGTGTGTATATCTATATATGTATGTATGTGCATATATATATGTGTGTGTGTGTATATATCTGAAGCAAATATGGCAAAAAATATATAAAGATCTATCAACACTGGGCAGAGAGAACCTGTCTTAGTCAGCTTATGCTGCCGTAACAGAATACTATAGATTGGGTGGCTTAAACAACAAACATGTATTGCTCATAGTTCTGGGGACTGGGAATTCCAAGATCAAGGCACCAGCTGATCTGAAGTCTGTTGAGGGCCACCTTCCTGGTTTGCAGATGGCATCATCTCGTGTGTCCTCACATGGCTAAGAGAAACAGCTCTAGTCTCTTTCTCTTATAAGCCCACTGTATTAGTCTGTTTTTGCATTGTTGTAAAGGAATACCTGCAACTCGGGTAGTTTATAAAGAAAAGAGGTTTGGCTCATGGTTCTGTAGTCTGTACATGAAGCATGGTGCTCACACCTGTTTCTGGTGAGGACCTCATGATGGAAGGTAAAGGGAAGCCAGTGTGCCACAGGGAGAGAGGAGGAGGTATCAGGCCCTTTTCAACAATCAGATCTTGCATGAACTCATAGAGCAAGAACTCACTCATTATTGCAAGAATGGCACCAAGCCATCCATGAGGGATCCACTTCCATGATCCAAACACCTCCCACCAGACCTCATTTCCAACAATGGGATTACACTTAAATATGAGATTTGGAGGGGACAAACATCCTAACCATATCATTCTGCCCCTGGCCCCCCAAATCTCATGTCTTTCTCACATTGCAAAATACAACTGTTCTTCCCAATAGTCCCCCAAAGTCTTAACTCATTCCAGCATTAACTCAGAAGTCCAAAGTTTCATTTGAGACACGAGGTAAGTCCTTCCACCTATTAGCCTATAAAAATCAAAAACAAGTTATTTACTTCCAAGATACAATGGTGGTACAGGCATTGGGTAAACATTTCCATTTCAAAAGAGAGAAAGCAGCCAAAAAAAGGGGGCAACAGGCTCCACACAAGTCCGAAACCCAGCAAGACAGACATTAAACCTTAAAGCTCCAAAATAACCTTCTTTGACTTCATGTCCTGCATCCAGGGCACATTTGTACAACAGGTGGGCTCCCAAGGCCTTGGGCAACTCTGCATCTGTGGCTTGGCTGCGCTCACAGGTTGGAGTTAAGTGCCTTCAGGCTCAGGGTGCAAGCCACTGGTAGTTCTACCACTCTTGGGTCTGGGGGGCAGTGGCCCCATTCCTACAGCTCCACTAGGCAGTGTCCCAGTGGGGACTCTGCATGGGGGCTACAGCCCCATATTTCCCCTTGGCACTGCGCTAGTAGAGTCTCTCTGTGGGAGTTCTACCTTTGTGGAAGGCTTCTGCCTGGCCATACAGGCTTTCCAATACATCCTCTGAGATCTGGCTGGAAGCTGCCAAGCCTCCTCCATTCTTGGATTTTGTGCACCTACAGGCTTAACACTATGGAGAAGCCACCAAGGCTATGGCTTGTGCCTTCTAGAATGGTGGCAAGAGCAGTGTCTGGGGCCCTTTGAGCCAAGGCTAGAGCTGGAGCAGCGGGGATGTGAGGAACAGCCTCCTGAGGTGGTGCAGGACATTGGTGCCCCGGCCCTGGCCCATGAAACAATTCTTTCCTCCTAGCCCTCTGGGCTTGTGATGAGAGGGACTGTCCCGAAGGTTTCTGAAATGCTTTTGAGGCCTTTCCCCCATTGTCTTGGCTATTGGCACTTGGCTCCTTTTCAGTCATGCTAATCTCTCTAGCAAGCGGGTGCTCCAAAGCCCACTTGTATTCCTCTCTTGAAAATGCTCTTTCCTTCTCTACCACATGGCCAGGCTGCAAATTTTCCAAGTTTATTTTTGTTGTTGTCTGTTTGTTTGTTTTTGAGATGGAGTCTTGCTCTGTCACCCAGGCTGGAGTGCAATGGTGCGATCTTGGCTCACTGCAACCTCTGCCTCCCAGGTTCAAGTGATTCTCCTGCCTCAGCCTCCCAAATAGCTGGGATTACAGGCACCCACCACCACACCCGGCTAATTTTGGTATTTTTAGTAGAGACGGGGTTTTGCCATGTTAGCCAGGCTGGTCTCGAACTCCTGACCTCAGGTGATCTGCCCATCTCGGCCTCCCAAAGTGCTGGGATTACAGGCATGAGCCACCACGCCCAGCCAAATTTTCCAAGTTTTTATGCTCTGCTTCCTTTTTAGATATGAGTTCCAACTTTTAAGTCATTTCTTTGCTCCCATATCTATCCATATGCCTCTTTTTGAATGCTTTGCTGCTTAGAAATTTCTTCTGGAGGAGGTGGAGGTTGCAGTGAGCCAAGATCATGTCACTGCACTCCAGCCTGGGCAACAGAGTGAGACTCTGTCTCAAAAAAAAAAAAAAAACTAACTAAAGATCACATATGACTGAGAAAATATTTGTCATCTCCTTCGATCATATTATCATATTATTTGCTCTTTTTTTTTTTTTTTTTTTTTACTTTTAACTGAAAAGTAAACTTTAATGTTGAAAATGCAAACTTGGGGAAGACAGAAAAGATCACACACAAGGCTGTCACTTCACACTTGGAAGGTTGCACAGCAGCCGGGCAGAGGCGCGCCTCACTTCCCAGACAGTGGGCAGCTGGGCAGAGGCGCTCCACACTTCCCAGACGGGGCGGCAGGCTGGGCAGAGGCGCTCCTCACTTCCCAGACAGGGCGGCAGCCGGGCAGAGGCGCTCCTCACTTGCCAGATGGTGGGCAGCCAGCCAGAGGGGCACCTCACTTCCCAGACGGGGTGGCCAGGCAGAGGCGCTCCTCACTTCCCAGTTGGGTGGCTGGGCAGAGGCACTCCTCACTTCCCAGAGAGTTGGGCGGCTGGACAGAGGCGCTCCTCATTTGCCAGACGGTAGGCAGCTGGGCAGAGGCGCCCCTCACTTCCCAGACAGTTGGGCGGCTAGGCAGCATATTATTTGTTCTTATCCACAAACCAGTAATATGTCTTCTTTACTCTCTTGACAATAAAAGAATCACATTCAAAAAAAAAATTTCTTCTGCTGGATACTCTAGGTCATCAGTCTTAAGTTCAACCTTCCATAAATCCCTAGGGCATGGACACAATGCAGCCAAATTCTTTGCTACAGCATAACAAGGGTGACCTTTGCTCCAGCTCCCAATAAATTCCTAATTTCCATCTGAGACTTCGTCAGCCTGGCCTTCACTGTCCATTTCTATCAGCATTTTTTTTCGTTGTCAAGACTCAACACAATCTATCAGCATTTTGGTCACATTCATTTAACCAGTCTCTAACGTTAAAGTTCCAAGTTTTCCCTCATCTTCCTGTCTTCTTCTGAGCCCTCCAAACTCTTCCAACCTCTGCCCGTTACCCGGTTCCAAAGCTGCTTCCACATTTTCAAGTATCTTTATAGCAATGCCCCACTTCTCAATACCAATTTTCTGTTAGTCCATTTTTGCATTGCTGTAAAGGAATACCTGAGACTCAAGTAATTTATGAAGAAAAGAGGTTTATTTGGTTTGTGGTTCTGCAGGCTGTACATGAAGAATAGTGCCAGCATCTGCTTCTGGTGAGGTCCTGGGGAAGCTTACAATCATAATGGAAGGTAAAGGGGAGCCAGCATGTCACATGGTGAGAGAGGGAGCAAGAGAGAGGGAGGGGAGAGGTGCCAGACTCTTTTATTTTTTTATTTCAATAGCTTTTGGGGTACAAGTGTTTTTTTGTTACATGAATGAATTTTATAGTGGTGAATTCTGAGATTTTAGTGCACCCATCACCCAAGTAGCAAATATTGTACCTACTGTGTAGTTTCTTTTTATCCTTGGCCCCTCTTCCCTCTCCCCCTTCTGAGTCTCTAAAGTCTATTATATCACTCTGTATGCCAGCCTCTTTTAAACAGCCAGATCTCACATGAACTCATAGAGTGAGAACTCAATCATTACCACAAGCATGGTACCAAGCCACTCATGAGGGATGTGCCCCCATGATGCAAACACCTCCCACTAGGCCCTACCTCCAACATCAAGGATCACATTTCAACATGAGATTTGAAGGGGATAGACATCTAAATCATATCAGACACTAACCTCATCATGGGGATTCCACTCTTGTGACCTCATCTAATCCTAACTACTTCCCAAAGGCCCCTCTTCCTAATACCATCCCATTAAGGTTAACATTAAGGGTTTTGACATATGAATTGGGCAGGGAAAGGGGACACAAACATGTGATCTGCACACTACCCAAGTACTTTTCTCTATACCTTTTGGTTTGTTTGAAATATTTCATAATTTTGAAAAATAACTTTAAAAATAAAAAGTTAGGCCAGGCATGGTGGCCACACCTATAATCTCAGCACTTTAGGAGGCTGAGGCAGGTAGATTGCTTGAGCTCAGATGTTCGAGACCAGCCTGGGCAACATGGCGAAACCCCATCTCTACAAAAAAATATAAAAGTCAGCCAGGCATGATGTTGCATGCCTGTAGTCCCAGCTACTCGGAAGGCTGAGGTGGGAGAATTGCTTGAGCCCAGGAAGTTGAGGCTGCAATGAGCTGATATTGTGTCACTGCACTCCAGCCTGGGTGACAGGGCAAGACCCCGTCTCAAAAAAAATTAGGAAAATGCTAACAAAATGAAAAATGGACATAAAATTTGAAAACAAAAACATTAAGTGGGACAAAGAAGGATATTTTAATAATAATAAAAGGTAACATTCATCAGAAGACATGGTGGTAAGGCATGTTTATGTACCTAACGACATAGATTTAAAGTCAGTGATGAACCCTCAATTACAGAGACAGAAATTATCACACATCTCTTAAACAGACAAAAAATAATGACTCATTTGAATAGCACAATTATTAAGCTTGATCTATGTCTGATACATGGATATGGGTATACATACACATATTTAAATCCAATGAGGAATACACAGGAAACATTTACAAACATAGATGACTCAGAGAATCCCAACAAATCATAGAGACACTTTGTTTAGGCACAATGTGATAAAATTAGAAATGGAAAAAGTCTCCCCCCAAATTATTATTTTATTAAAGAAAAAAATCAAAAATAAAAGTATGAACATATTAGAAATGAACAACAATGAGTACACATTAAATATAAAAATATGCAGAATGTGGCAAAAACTGAATTGAAAAATGCACCCATTGCATACATTATAAGTGGAATCTAGAAAGAAATGAACCAAACATTTAATATAAAAACAGCAAAATTAGTCCAAATAATGGAAAAAGTAGGAATTAAGGATAAAATGAGACATTAACACGTAGAACAAAATATTAGGTTTCATTAACAAAATCACTAGGGTAGATTTTAAAAGTAATAGGTCAAAGACATCTGATTAAGAAAAATGATAAAAGAAACATTAGGAATGAGAAAGGGAACATTATTACACATACAAGGAGATTAAAAATAAAAAAGAAACAATCTAAGTCTTCCAATTAAAAGGGGGAATTGGTCACAAACATTTAGTCTTCTCTCTCCCTAGACACAAATATACTGCCCTTAAAATAATATGTATTTTTAAAAATTTATAAACCCACCAGAATGAAGGGATTGGGAGAGGCATTTCCATTCATGGTTTTTTTATTATTATTATACTTTAAGTTTTAGGGTACATGTGCACAAACTAGAAATCGATAAGAACTCGTGTTGCGGGAAGTCAGGGACCCCGAATGGAGGGACCTGCTGAAGTCGTGACAGAAGAACATAAATTGTGAAGATTTCATGGACATTTATCACTTCCCCAATCAATAATCTTATAATTTCCTATGCCTGTCTTTACTTTAATCTCTTAATCCCGTCATCTTCCTAAACTGAGGATGTATGTCACCTCAGGACCTGTGATGATTGCGTTAACTGCACAAATTGTTCATAAAGCATGTGTGTTTGAACAATATGAAATCTGGGCACCTTGAAAAAAGAACAGGGTAACAGCGATGTTCAGGGAACAAGGGAGATAATCATTAGGTCTGACTGCCTGGGAGCCAGGCAGGACAGAGCCATTATTTCTCTTATTGCCAAAAACGGGTAAGAGAAATATTGCTGAATTCTTTCCCCAGTAAGGAATATTAATAATTAACAGCCCTGGGAAAATAATACATTCCCGGGGGGGGCCTCTAAAATGGCCGCTCTGGGGGGGGTGGGTGTCTGCCTTATGCAGTTGAAGATAAGGGATGAAACATGCCCTGGCCTCCTGCAGTGCCCCTAGGCTTGCTAGGATTAGGAAATTCCAGCCTGGCAAATTCTAGTCAGACCGGTTCTCTGCTCTTGAACCCTGTTAAGATGTTTATCAATGACAATGCGTGCACAGTGGGACATGGAAGTTCATTAGTAATTCTAGTTCCACCCTGACCTTGTGATCTCGCCCTGACCTTCTGCCCTGTGATCTTTTGTTGCCCTTGAAGCATGTGATCTCTGTGACTCACCCTACTCATACACTCCCTCCCCTTTGAAAATTGCTAAAAAACTTGCTGGTTTTACAGCTCAGGGGACATCACGGAATCTGCCGACATGTGATAGCTCCCCCGGACACCCAGCTTTAAAATTTCTCTCTTTTGTACTGTTTCCCTTTATTTTTCAGAGCGGCCGACACTTAGGGAAAATAGAAAAGAACCTACGTTGAAATATTGGGGGTTGGTTCCCCCAATAAACTCCCCTAATCTGACAAAGAGTATCTACATAAAACCTACAGCAAACATCATAGTTAATGGTGAATGAGTGAAAGTTTCTCCATAGATTAAGAGCAAGGAAAGAATATCTGTTATTACTATTACCATTTCTGCTCAGCATTGTATTAAAGGTCCTAGCCAATGCAATCATCAAGAAAAAGAAATTAAAAATGTAAAGGATAGGAAGGAGGAAATAAAACTGCCATAATATGCAGATGACATTTTTGTGAATGTAAAAAAGCCTAAAAGTATCTTCAGATGATCTAGTACAATTTATAAGTGAACTTATCAGGATCATTGGATAAAATGTCAACACATAAAACTGTATACATACAACTATATTTCTACATATCAGGAACAACAATAAGAAAATGAAACTTTAAGGCTACTTACTAGAACATCAAGAAATGTACCAAAAAAAAACTAGGAAAAAATTTAACAAAATATGTACAAAACCCACGGTAGAGAAAATTACAAAATATTATTGAAAGAATGTAAAGGCCTAAATAAGACAGTCAAGTACTGGGACAAGGATAGACAAATAGATAAATGGATCAGAATAAACAATCTAGAAATAGAACTTCACATAGATTATTGGCTGAACTACAACAAAGGCCACAGTAAAATTCAACGGGGAACAGATACTCTTTTGGTGCTGGAGCAACTGAATAGCCTTGGAAAAAATAATCTTGACCTCTGCCTCATATTGCAAGAATTAAAGGTTGTTACATAAATGAACCAAAGATGGTCCCTGTATATTGACTCTGTTGTTCACTTCTTCACAGCAGGCTGGTGCCAAATTCAAATTCTTACACATCAATTGCTTTAAATATAGCCCAAGTAATATTTTTAGCCATTCAGAACTTCCCTGCTTTGCATACCCTGCAAAACTGCACCTAGCCTCTGCCTGCCATAGATAAAACAAATTCTGGGGCTATAAAAGACACCAAGCTGCTGCTGCCCCTCAGAGCTCTCTGACACAGACTCCCCATCTTGCTGCTGAGCCACATCACCTTGACACATAACGCCTTCTCCAATTCCCTTCTCCACCAGGAGTTCCATTGCCCTCTTCCCTTTTTGGGCAGTGGCCCCATGCCACTGTCTCAGGAGGTCTCCTGCTGTAGGGAACTTCCCCTCTTGTGCAATGTGTCCTGGTGCCACCCAAATGACAGCTTGTTTTGTAATACTGACATGTCATGATCATGTCTTTTCTTGGATCAGCCCTGAAATCTTCAAACTTGCTACATGGGGTGATAAGGATGGGTTTTTGGCAGTGATCAGGGAATTGGTCAGTAGGATCATCACTTGGCAAATCGATACTGGATGGCTTCAAGTAGTTGGGGCTCAAATCTGGAATGCCTCCATATCAGTTTGGCATGACATTGCTCTGTGCTGTGTTATATTCTCTAAGAATGTTGTGATAATTTTAGAGATAATCTCTAAGTCTCTCTAGGCTGGTCTTGGACTGACTGTGTCTATTCTCCTGCCTCTATTTATTTATTTATTTATTTAGTTTTATATTTATGAGACAGAGTCTAGCTTTGTTGCCCGGGCTGGAGTGCAGTAACATGATCACTGCACTCAAAGTGCAGTGCACTCAAAGCTCACTGCAGCCTCAAAATCCTAGCCTCATGCAATCCTCCCACCTCAGCGTGCTGAGTAGCTGGGACTACAGGCGTGTGCCATTACGCCTGGCTATTTATTTTTATTTTTAGTAGAGACAGGGTCTCACTATGTTGCCTTGGCTGGTCTCAAAGTCCTGGGCTCAAGCAGTCCTCCTGCCTTGGCTTCCCAAAATGTTGGGATTACAGGCATGAGCCACTGCACCTGGCCTGTGTTACACTATTTTTTTGTGGTCTCTTCCTGTGCTTCATTAACCTGGTCATGCCAGTATTTGAGTGAATTCATCTCATTAGAACTGACTTTTGAGGTCAGAGGTGTGATACTGCCTGGGGAAGGAGGTCAGCTTGCCCGCCTGAAGCCCCACTAGGCAGGTGCTGAACACTATAAGGCCTATAGACCCGCACACATAAAGGGGAGGAGTACACATCTCTGGACTGAAGGTGGCCTAACCTCACCCCATGACGGGCTAGAGTGGGAGGAGTTCCCTGTGGCCAGGCCAGTGATTTGGGGTACTCTGAGACAAGAGGACATCCTTACTGTTGGGGACCACTATGCCAGGTACATGAGCTGATCAGGCAGAGATGCCAGGCTGAGGCCATTCCCATATGCACAGCTGGGGGAGATGCCTTTACAAGCAGTTAGCATGCCACAGCTGTTGTGACATTCAGTTATTCTTTTGTGAATGTCATCTTCGTAGCCCCTTTGCAGAGGAATATCGATACCCCAACCCTTGGGCTAAGCCAGATAAAGCATTGCTTAAAGTGACCAAAGGCAGGAAGTTTAAGTCCCAGAGCCTCCAGGCCCTCCAAAAGAGGTGGCTGTCCTATTGAATCCAAACCAGGGGACCCCTGTTGAGCTTGCTCACAGCTGCTTCTCACCAGGATGCCTCACAGAGAGGAGGTGGGAGCCCAACCTCCACGGACAACCAGAAGGAGGAGAGGACCCTGGAGAAGAGGATTTGCACCCTCTAGAGGATAAGGCAGCACAATACTACCATGGGAGAGTGAGGAACTTGACCCTCTCCTTTGCCAGTGATCACCTGCAAAGTCAAAAGGACAGAAGAGACAACAGGGGAGGGTCAAGAAGGAGAGGCCATCTCTTATCTGGAGGAGGACACACCCTCTGTCTCACACGGAGGCCCTGCCTGTCCTTAAGAACCTAGCCCAGGAACCAAATGAAAAAGTGGCTGCCTGGCTACAGAGAATGTATTCGAAAGAGGCAACAGGCCCCTCTGGCAGACAATCAGCCTTTACCACATTAACTGTGGTTTGCCCTCCAGCAAATCAACACCACGGGCCAACATGGGTGCTGGAATCTCCCTCCCCCAGGCAACATTCAAGCTTTAAAGGGCCGTCCCCAGGAGGTGGCCCACTTGGGAGGAAGAACCAGGAAAGCAAGCTCCACCTGACAGGGGCTGAAGTGAAGCACTTGGCTGCCCCAGGACGGTATAGAAAAGTGGCTTCCCTACTAAAGAATTCTGCACAGTTAGTGCAGAAGCTGGGAGTGACCCCCAGGAGGCTTTGCACTGCAGTCCATATACACCTGGTCAGTATGAATTTTGCATTTTTGTGAGTTTTGGTGGCTTGGATAGCTGCCCACCCTACATGAGGCCTCACAACCCCCTGGGCAGACTGGCGGTGGAAAACATTAGCTGAGGCCAAAGATGTCCTCCATCAGCTCTGTACATTCCAGTGGGATTATCTGGTGACAGATGGCGCGGCATGAGGACTCTGTAGTCTGAGGAGGCTGAGTGGAGTGCTGAGCCCACACAGTAGTTTCTCAGGGAGCACCTGACAAGTACAAGTCCTGATTTCTGTCAGCGATGGCTAAGGCTAAACAATCCACCAGGCCATGGCTGCCCTGGATGGAATAGAATCTCATGGAGGACAAACTCACAGCCCAGTGTTGCCTGCAGTTATGAAAACAATGCCCCACCTGGCCTAAATCACAAGGAACATCACCGGCAAGGCCGCCCCCTCGTAGTGCAAATAAACCACCACCAGCCAGGCCCCCAGTTGAGCGGGAACCCTGAGATGCACGGAAGAGGTCATCTATTAGGGTTCTGCAGAGCAACAGAACCAATAGGAGGCGATATGTCTACGTCTATGTGGAGATATGCGGGATTTATTATAAGGAATTGGCCCACATGGGCCCAGAGGCCCACAAGTCCCAAGACCTGTAGTTGGCAAGCTGGGAACCCAGCAGAGCGGGTGGTGCAGGTCCAGTGTGATGGCCAGCAGACTTGAGGCCAAGGAAGAGCTGACGTTTTAGTTCATGCTCCAAGGCGGGAATAAACTGATGTCCCAGCCCCAGCACTCAGGCAGAAGGAGTCCCCTCTGACTCATGCTCTCCTCAGGCCTTCAACTGGCTGGGTGGGCCCCCCCCACATCCGGGAGGGAATTCAGCTTCACTCAGTCTTCCAGGGAAAGGTTAATCTCACCCAGAAACACACTCACAGTCACACCCAGAACAGTTTGATCCAATGTCTGGGCACCCTGTGGCTCAGGCAAGTTGACACGTAAAATTCACCATCCCGGGTTGTATGGAGCCCTAAGGGACAAGAGGATCCAAATTGGATGTGCTCTGATAAATCAGTGCAACAACACAATACAAGCCAGGGTGAGGGGACAGCCATGGCAGGCCTCTGCTTCCAAGGCAGCCACACCTTCAACACCTGCCTTGATCTCTGCCAGTGACAGGGACCCGCCCCACACAGATCCCGTGGTCATGGAAGCAGGTCCCTCTGGCAGACAATCAGCCTTTTCCACATTAACTGTGGTTTGCCCTCCAGCAAATCAACACCACAGGCCAACACAGGTGCTGGAATCTCCCTCATCCCAGGCAACATTCAAGCTTTAAAGGGCCCTCCCCAGGAGGTGGCCCGCTTGGGAGGAGGAACCAGGAAAGCATCATCACCCTCTTCCCTATTCAGGTTGGCCCAGGGTTGCTAAAAGACGTTTCTGTCTTGGTGGTTGTCCCCAATCTGCCCCTTTTCCCATCGCTGGAACGGGCCCTCTCAGTCAGCGGGTGACCTCAGAGAATGGCCTAAGGGTCCTGTGCTATTGCTGCCACTGACAGGTGGGAGCCGGTTAACCAAGCCCCTTCCCCTGCCAGTGTGGGGTTCCACACACCCCATAGCAGCGGAGGCAAGTCCTGCTGCGCTCACTTGGTTAGGGAAAGGGAAGGAACTCCTACCATCTCACCTTCCAGCTCCCCAGTACGAGCTGTGCTGAAAGCCACTACTAACGTATGAGGCTAACTCCAGACTACGGAGCCTTAAACAAGGCTGTCCCCTGGCTTAGAGCACTTCTACCAGACATCTTTGCCTTAAGACGACATTCAAAACAACCTGGCTAAATAGTTTGGAGTTGAAGAGTCTGCTGACATGTTCTGTTCCATGAAAATGTCCCAGGAGACTCACCACAATCGCCTTCCCCTTTTGGGGCCAACAGGACACCTTATACTGGTCGCCTCTGGGGTTGTTCAGTACCCGCTCCCTGGCCCCCGACTGCACACAGGCTTTGCACACAGGACCTGAGTGCTGCCTGCACTCCCAGCAGAACTCGGCTTTGCCATCACATTGGCAACATCCTCCTCACTGAAAGGGACTAAGGCGCTGTCCCACAGGTGGTCACAGCCCTGAGTGTGTACCTCACTGTGAGGGGATGGGCAACTGCCCCTCCAAAAGGTCCATGGCCCCTACCGGTCTGTTGAATTCGGCGGCTACGTGTAGAACTCAGAAGGGCAAACTGTCCCCGATCCTGTAAAAGACAAGTTCCCAGAGCTGCAGCCTCCCACACTGGCAAGGACGCCCAACTGTGGCTGGCATGTTTGGATTCTGGCGCCACCACATCCCCCACTTCCAATATTTGCTGGATGCTATCTGTGGAGTCTCCCTTACCTCTTCCACTCTCTAGCGGGGACCTGAGCAACAGACACCACATAAACGCATGGAGGCTGTTATGTCAGCTCCCCGACCTGTCCTGAGGGCAGGACTCACGAAGTGAGAAGGTCCAGCCGCCTCCAAATTTGCTTCCCAGAGTGTCTGCCCCAAATGCACAGGCGAGCACCTATCCATGGGCTTCTGCCGTAGGCGGCTCCCAGTCTCAGCCCAAAGGTATCCGTCACAAGATAGGCATCACCTGGCAGCACCCTGGGTACTTCTGGAAACGGAAGCCCTTCCTGGGACACAGCCCATTACCCTACACGCCGAGATTCCTAGTATGCCCTGCACAGTGGGAGAAGCTCCCCCTAAAACCGAATCTGCAGCAGAGGACCCCAGGTCAAAATAGAAATGGGCTCCACGGGCTCCACAGGCTCTGGCTAAACTCGGCCCTCCTGGAGTGCCACAAGCCCTTGGGCAAATTGCCACATGCCCTGCTGGTGAGGCAAACTTGCCAAACCTTAGAAATAATTCCACCCCTTACTCAAGGGGGACCAGAGGGAGGAAAGCCAGCACTCTCAAAACAAGAAAAACAACGCTCTTTCTTTATAGATGGAGCGAACACGGGGAATATGAGAGTCAGGCAATGACATCTGCACCCCAGTCCACCAGTCCACTTTCCTTGTCGGGGAGGGGCCCCAGTGCGGGCAGGCTGAGCTGCGTGCAATACTCCTAGCAACAGACCATGCTCTTGGCAAATATTTTCCCAAGGTGTTTCACTGACTCCAGGTCAGAGGCTAATGGGCTGACTACATAGTTGGGGCATTAACAGAATCAAGGCTGAAAATACAAGGCCCAGACATTTGGGATAAAGAGATGGGGTCGGGGGCAGGGGTGGAAATTGCCAGATTCACCCTGCTCTGCCCATGGTTGTGTACCATACCTCCGCTCACATTAAACAAGATGTGTAGGAGGTGCGATACCATGCTGAAGATGAGCTAACCCAACCAGCCAAGCAGGCAGGGCTGCGAAGGAGGGCGAGTCCTCAGACCCTGGAGACAAGCCACCTGACCCCTTCTACAAATGGACACATGAGGTCAAGGCACTTGGGCACCATGAGGTTGTGAAAATATGTTGTTAAGAGAGGAGTTGATCCAGTGGAGGGACATTTAAACAAAGTCATAGGGACCGTACCAGGTGTCAGCAATCCAGACATTGGGACCACCTCGTGGGAGGAAACATTTGGAGAGGAGAAGGGCTACATCAAAACTGGCAATTCAACTCCATTGGGCATCTCCCTGCAGCGGCTGGAACCGTGAAATATGCCTGAACAGTGGTGGATGCCTACACAGGCATCTATTGGCTTACCCATGCAAGGTAGCAGCCTCTATTTACGTTATTGCAGGGTTAGCACATCAGCTTTTACAGCATTTGGATTTGCCACAAGGTGTATGATCAGATCAAGGCTCCTACTTCACCGCAAACAAATGCAGCAGTGGATGTTACAAAATCACATTACTTGGGTTTTCCACCTACCCCATCACCCTAAAGAGGCAGGTATCAAAGAGAGACATGATGGGATTTTATTAATTAATTAATTAATTTTTTAAAGAATTGGAGATGAGGTCTTGCTATGTTGCCCAGGCTGGTTTTGACCTCCTGGGCTCAAGTGATCCTCCCACTTCAGCCTCCCAAAGTTCTGGGATTATAGGCATGAGGCACCATGCCCTGCCCACAGTGGGCTTTTAAAACAAGGACTATTAAGAGAACCTGTAGGAAAATAGCCCCCCAAATGGTAAAAAAAATTACTGCCCATAGGCTTGATCATTATTTCACATGCCTATGCCATAACTACAGCATATTGAAATTCACGATAAATGAGGAGACTGCCAACAGGACACTGCCACCCCTGCTGGTGTACATGCCCACACCAGAGATAGTTACCAGCTTTCACAAGACTCAGGAACCTTGACGTAGTTCCCACAGCAAAGGAACTTTCAGCTGGTACTTTCATCTTTACTTTCTGCCTCCTGGAGAGTGCAGGGCCGAGCCACTTCCCTTCAATCCTGATGAGGATATGCGAGGACCACCCACTAGGACCATCCTCAGCCTGTGTCTCCTCACCCCATGGAGCAGCAAACCACCTGCCACCATCTGCAGAGAGAGGCGCCCTCATCTGCCGCCCACGTCCTCCACTGAAGATACCGTGGGACACACCTGGACCTGTTCCCCACACCCAGGACATGCACTCATCACCTCTGAACCACTAATACCACTTGAGCGATACCCAAAGGACAAACTGATCCCTACTTCTGGCCACAGGTGACCTCTGACTTTAACCCCTACTCTGTTGCTGTGCCCTTTTCTTACCTGAGAAGCTCGTACCCTCGCTAGTGTCAAGTACACATCCACTGATGGAACACCCTACCCTGATCATCTACACCCTACTGCTGACCAAGGTATTTTTTTTTTTTTTGAGACCGAGTTTTGCTCTTGTCACCAAGGCTGGAGTGCAATGGCGCAATCTTGGCTCACTGCAACCTCTGCCTCCTGGGTTCAAGCGATTCTCCTGCCTCAGCCTCCCAAGTAGCTGGGATTACAGGCGCCTGCAGCACGCCCGGCTAATTTTTGTATTTTTAGTAGAGATGGGGTTTCACCATGTTGGCCAGGCTGGTCTCGAACTCCTGACCTCAGGTGATCCACCCGCCTCGGCCTCCCAAAGTGCTGGGATTACAGGTGTGAGCCACTGCACCCAGCCTGAATACTGGTCATCAGGGGCTATCCAGTGATCAATCTTTGGCCAAAATAAAATAACCCCTATAGGGTGTCAAATAGTATCATAATATGTTGAATATTATGTTGAATAGCAAGAGTGGTCTGGTGCCAAGCATTGCCATTTTTAGTAACAGAGACCCTCAGGTAGATCTAAACCTAAAGAACTTTGGGTTGAGTCTATGTAATATGCCTTTTTGACAAGTTGTACAAAAGTGAGGTAGCCTCTGAATATACACCGTCTCTTCCTCAAAGCTTTCTCAATTCCATTTTGGTGAAAGTTCAGTTCTAAAACTCAAAATTCACAAAATATTTCCAAGTATTGTTTCAGTGGAGAGAGCAATCTCCATCTTTAGGGATGATACGATAAGGAGTTTAGCTTTTTGTTCTTCTGGCCTATTGTGTTTGAAATCAAAAAAGTCTCTCAGAGATTGAGTCCAGTTACCTTACAAGTTGGTTGATTTATTACAAGGAGTGTTTGATCTGTTACAAGGAATTGGTTTAAATGGAAGTAAGATGTCACTGAAAGAAGGTTAAGAAAAACCCAACAGGGGTTTCCATATATTGGCTATCCTATTGTGAATAATGCTGCAATAAACATGGGGGTGCAGATATTTCTTCTAGGTACTGATTTCATTTCCTTTGGAATATAAACCCAGAAGTGGGATTGCTGGATCACAAGACAGTTCTATTTTTAATTTTTCACAAACACCCGTACTGTTTTTTATGATGGCCATACCAATTTACATTCCCACCAATAGTATACAAGGGTTCCCTTTTCTCCACATCCTCACCAACACTTGCTGTCTCTTGTCTTCTTGATAATAGCTATTCTAACAGGTGTGAGTAACACCTTATTGTGGTTTTGATTTGCACTTTCCTAATGATTAGTGATGTTGAACACCTTTTCATATACCTGTTGGCTATTTGTATGTCTTCTTTGGAAAAAAATGTCTATTTGGGTCTTTTGCCCATTTTAAAATCAGGTTGATTTTTGCTATTGAGTTGTATGAGTTCCTTAAATATATTAGATATATAGTTTGTATATATTTTATGCAGAAAGGTTTCAGTTTGATGTAGTACCACTTGTTTATTTTTGCTTTTGTTATATGTACTTTTGGTGTCATATCAAAAAAAAATCATTGCCAAAACCATGTCAAGGAGCAAACCCTTATGTTTTCTTCCAGGAGTTTTATGGTTTCAGGCATTACATTAAGTCTTTAATTCACTTCGAGTTAATTTTTGTGTATGGTGTAGGATATGGGCCTAATTTCATTCTTCTGCATGTAATCCCAGCTACTCCAGAGGCTAAGGTGGGAGAATTGCTAGAGCCCAGGAGTTTGAGACCAGCCTGGGCAACATGGCAAGATCCCCATCTCCAAAAAAGAAAGAAAGAAAGAAAAAGATGTGTGATGCTCCAGCTTTGTCTTTCTTTCTCAAGATTACTTTGGCTATTCAGCATCCTTTGTGGTTCCATACAAAGTTTAGGATTGTTTTTTCAATCTCTGTGGAAAATATTATAGTTTTGATAGAGATTGCAGTGAATCTGTAGATCACTTGGGGGTAGTATGGACATTTTAACAATATTAATTCTTCCAATCCATAAGGACAGGATATCTTCCCATTTATTTGTGTCTTCTTCATTTTTTTTTCATCAGCATTTTATAGTTTTCAGCACACAGACCTTTCCCTCCTTGGTTAAACTTATTGCTAAGATTTTATTCTTTTTGACACTATTGTAAATGAGTTTATTTCTTAATTTATTTTCCTGCTAATTTGTTGTTAGTGGATAGAAACACAGCTGATTTGTGTGGGTTGGTTTTGTATCTTGCAACTGTACTGAATTTGTGTATTTGTTCTAACAATTTTGGGTGGCTTTTTAAGGGTTTTTCCTATTCATAAGAAAATGGTATCCAAAAACAGAGATGATTTAACTTCTTTTCCAATTTGGATGTCTTTTACTTCTTTTTCTTGTCTAATTGCTTTGGCTAGGACTTCCAATACAATGTGGAAAAGAAGTGGCTTTGGCATCTTTGACTTCTACCTGATCTTAGAGGGAAAGTGTTCAGTTTTCGCCATTGATTATGGCATTAGCTGTGTAGTTTTCATACATGGTCTTTATTGTTTGAGGTAAGTTCCCTCTATACCCATCTTGTTGAGAATTTTGTTCTATTAATTATGAATAGATGTTGAACTTTGTCAAATGCTTTTTCTGTGTCTATTGAGATGATTATTTTTTCTTTCATGTTGTTAATGTATTGTGTCACATTGATTTAATTTGGAAGGTTGTTGAACCACCCTTCCATCCCAGGATAAATCCCACTTGGTCATCGTATATGATCATTTGAATTCAGTTTTTTAGTATTCTATTAATGATTTTTTGCATCTGTGTTCATCAGGGATATTGGCTTATAGTTTTATTTTCTTGTAGTGTTTTTGTCTGGTTTTGGTATCAGGGTGATGCTGACCTCATAGAATGAGTTTGGAGGTGTGCCTTCTCCTTCTCCTTCTCCTCCTTTTCTCCTTCTCCTCTTTCTCCTTCTCATTCTCCTTCTCCTTCTTCTTCTTTGTTTAAGAAGGATTAGTATTAATTCTTCTTTGAATGTTTGGTAGAATTTACCCATGAAGGCACCTAGTCCTGGGCTTTTCTTTGTTGGGAGGTTTTTGATTACTGGTTCAAAGTCCTTATTTGTAATTGGTCTGTTCAGGCTTCCTATTTCTTTTTGATTCAGTTTTGCTAGGCTGTATGTTTCTAGGAAGTTATCCATTTCTTCTAAGCTACCCACTTTGTTGCCATACAATTATTCATAACAGTCCTTTGTGATCCTTTTTATTTCTCAGGCAATGTCTCACATTTCTGCTGTAATATCTCCTTTTTCATTTCTGATTCATTCATTTGTACCTTCTCTCTTTTTTCTTAGTTATTCTAGCTAAAGGTTGGTTTATTTTATCTTTTCAAGAAATCAACTCTTAGTTTTGTTAATTTTTTCTGTTTTCTAATTCTCTATTTCTGCTCTAATCTTTATAATTTCCTTCCTTCTGCTAACTTTGGGCCTAGTTTGTTGTTCTTTTTCCAGTTTTTTGAGATGTAAAATTAGTTTGTTTATTTGAGATCTTTATTCTTTTTTAATGTAGACATTTATCCCTGCTAGTACTGCTTTTGCTGTATCCCATATGTTTTGGTATGTTTGTTTTCATTTTTGTTTGTCTTGAGATAGTTTAAAAATTTCTTTTGATTTTCTATTTGACCAAATGGTTGTTCAAAAGTGTGTAGTTTAGTTTCTATATATTTGTGAATTTTCTGTTTTTTTAAAATTAATTTTCTGGTTTTCTTGCTATTATTGATTTCTAGTCTCATTCCATTGTGGTCAGAAAAGATACTTGAAATTATTTTGATCTTAAATTTGTTAAGACTTGTTTTGTGACCTAACATGTGATCTATCCTTGAGAATGTTCTGTGTGCATTTGAGAAGAATGTGTATTCTTCTGCTGTTGGGCAGAAAGTTTTATATATGTCACTTAGGTACATCTGGTCTGTAGTGTCATTCAAGTCAGTTGTTTTTTATTGATATTCTGTCTGAATGTTTTATCTATTACTGTAGGTGGGGTATTGTAGCCCTCTATTCTTATTGTATTGCTGCCAATACCTGTCTTCAGATTGGTCAATATTTGCTTTACATATGTCTTAGTCCATTTTGTGCTGCTGTAACAGAATACCTGAGACTGGGAAATTTATAAATAGCAGAAATTTATTTCTCACAGCTCTAAAGGCTGGGAATTCCAAGATCAAGGCACTGGCATTTAGTGTCTGGTGAGGGCCTTCTTGCTGCATCCTCACATTGCAGAAATGGCAGACTAGCAGAAGAGAGAGTGAACTCACTCCTAAAAGCCCTTTTTATAGCAGAATTAATTTGCTCATCAGGGTGGAGCCCTCATGACCTAAACACCTCCCATTAGGCCCCACCTCCCAATGCTATTGCATTGGGGATTAAGTTTCAACATTTTTCTTTTTCTTTCTTTCTTTCTTTCTTTCTTTCTTTCTTTCTTTCTTTCTTTCTTTCTTTCTTTCTTTTTTTCTTTTTTTTTTTGAGACTGGGTCTCACTCTGTCACCCAGACTGGAGTGCAGTGGCATGATCATGGCTCAACCTCCCAGGCTCAAGCGAGCCTCCCATCTCAGCTTCCATAGTAGCTGGGACTATGGGTGCATGCCACTATGCCCAGCTAATTTTTGTAATTTTTGTAGAGACAGGATTTCACTATGTTGCCCAAGCTGGTCTTGAACTCCTGACTTCAAGTGATCCACCTGCCTTGGCCTCCCAAAGTGCTGGAATTACAGGCATGAGCCACCGTGTCCTGCCCAACATGGGTTTTTGAGGGGACAAAAGCATTCAAACCATAGCATTATATTTAGGTACTCTGATGTTGGGTGTGTATATATTTATAATTGCTAAATCTTCCTGTTGAACTCACCCCTTTGTCATTATTTCATGACATTTTATGTATTAGAGACAGTTTTAGACATAAAATCTACTTTTTCTGATATAAGTATCACCATTCCTGCTTTCATTTGGTTACCATTTGCATGAAATATCTTTTTCCATCCCTTCACTTCAGCCTATGTGTCTCTTTAAATCTAAACGCAGTCTATTGTAGAGAGCATATTGCTGGATCCTGTTTTGTATTTTTATCCATTCAGCCACTCTGTGCTTTTTGATTAGTTATTTTAATTCTTTTACATTTAAGGTACTTATTGATAAGTGAGAACTTACTATTGCCATTTTGTTAATTGTTTTCTGTCTATTTTGTAGTTGTTTTGCCCCCTTTTCCTCTCTTGCTGTCTTCCTTTGTTATTTGGTGATTTTTTTTATAGTGACTTTCTTGTATTGTCTTTTCCCTTTATCTTTTCTGAATCTATTATAGGCTTTTTCTTTGTGGTTACCTTGAGGCTTGCATACATATCTTGTAGTTACACCCTTCTATTTTAGGTTGATAGCAGCTTAAGTACAATCCCACCCCAAAACACTGTACCTTTACTCACCCTGTCCCAACACTTTGTATTCTTGTAGTCAGAGTTAGCTTCTTTTTATATTGTGTATCCATTAACGTATTCTTATCTTTTAACTTTTATATCAGGGTTAAAAGCAAATGATGCATCATCCCTAAAGTGTTATATTAATCTGTATATGTCTATGTATTTGCCTTCACTAGTGAGATTTATACTTTGATATGTGTGATGTTGTTTAGCATGTTTTCATTTCAATTTGAAGAACTCCCTTGAACATTTCTTATAAGGCAGGTCTAGTGATGAACTCCCTCAGTTTTTATTTGTCTGGGAAAGATTTTATCTCTCCTTCCTTTTTAAAGAATATTTTTCCAGGTTTAGTATTCTTGGACAGCAATTTTTTTCTTTCAGTACTTTGAATATGTCATCCCACTCTTTCCTAGCTTGAAAGGTTTCTGGTGAGAAAGCTACTGATAGTCTTACGGGAATTCTCTGATATATGATAGTTTACACATACTCTCTTTTCTCTTGTTGCATTCAGAATTCTCCTTGTCCTTAACTTTAGATAATTTGATTATAATATATGTCAGTGAAGATCTTTTAATGTTCAGCCTATTTGGGGTTCTTTGGGCATCATAGACCTACATATTTATTTCACTCCTCTGTGGGATGTTTTCCATTATTACAATCATGTGCCACATAATAATGTTTTAGTCAATGACAGACTGCATATATGACTATGGTCCCATAGGATTATAATGGAGCTGCAATTCCTATTGCCTAGTGACATCTTGATGATCCTGACCCTGTGTAGACCCAGGCTAATGTGTGTTTGTGTCTTAGTTTTTAACAAAAAGTTGAAAAAAAGTAAAATAAAATGTTTAAATATAATAGAAAAAAGCTTATAGAGTAAGGATATAAAGAAAAAATATTTTGTATAGCTGTACAATGTGACTGTATTTTAAGCTAAGTGTTATTTTAAAAGAGTAAAACAGTTCTAAAAAATTTAAAACACAAAAAGTTTATAAGGTAAAAATTACAGTAAGCTAAGGTTAATTTATTATTGGGGGAAGAAAAACTCTTTGAAAAAAATTACTGTGGCCTAAATGTACAGTGTTTATAAAGTCTATAGTAGTATATACTAATGTTCTAGGCCTTCATGTTCACTTACCACTCACTCACTGACCCAATCAGTGCACCTTTCAGTTCTGCAAGCTCCATTCATGGTAAGTGCCCTGTACAGGTATACCAGTTTTAACTTTTATGCTATACTTTTTCTATGTTTAGATACACAAATACTTACCACTGTGTTACAGTTGACTACAGTATTCCTTTTGATTAACTCAAAATCAACTGATCTGTGATTTTGACTATATATACAAAATTCCTTCACCTTTGCTATATTCTTTGGCTAGAAGCAAGTCATGGGTCCTGTCTATTCTCAAGGAGAGGGAATTATGAAAGGCATGAATACCAAGTGACAGGAATCATGAGGTAACCATAGGGTCTATACACCACAAGGTGCACCACATTGTAAATGGTTGATATTTCTTTACATGTATTTAATCTATAGATTCTCTTCTATAATGGTTTTTCTTACATTTTATTTATTGTTGCAAAACCCAGGCCATTTGTCCTGTACAGTTTCCCACAGTATGCATATTGCTGGTTACATTCCTATGATGTTGTCAAACATGTTTTTCTATCCTTTGCATTTCCTACAAATAGACAGTCTTATCTAGAGGTTGATCACATTCAAATTTTATTCTTTTTTTTTTTTAAGACCATCGCATAGAAGACCATTACAAGAGACACATATTGACTGGTGATCTCTCTCTCTCTCTTTTTTTGAAACAGGGTCTCACTCTGTTGCCCAAGTTGGAGTGCAGTGGTGCTATCATAGCAAACTGAAACCTCTGCCTCCCAGGCTCAAGGGATCCTCCCACCTCAACCTTTTTTTTTTTTTTTTTTTGAGACGGAGTCTCACTCTGTCGCCCAGGCTGGAGTGCAGTGGCGCGATCTTGGCTCACTGCAAGCTCCGCCTCCCCAGGCTCACGCCATTCTCCTGCCTCAGCCTCCTGAGTAGCTGGGACTACAGGCGCCCGCCACCACACCCAGCTAATTTTTGCATTTTTAGTAGAGAAGGAGTTTCACCATGTTAGCCAGGATGGTTTCGATCTCCTGACCTCGTGATCCACCCACCTCGGCCTCCCAAAGTGCTGGGATTACAAGCATGAGCCACCGTGCCCAGCCCCACCTCAACCTTTTAAGTAGCTGGGACCACAGGCATGCGCCACCAGCTTGGTTAATTTTGTATTTTTTGTAGAGACAGTGTCTTGCCATGTTGCCCAGGCTGGTCTTGAGCTCCCGGGCTTAAGCGATCCACCTGCCTCAGCCTCCCAAAGTGCTTGGATTACAGGCATGAGCCACCACAGCCGGCTGGTCATCTCTCTTGTTATAATGGTATCACCTGTTGATGATCACTTTCTATATCCATTAATTCACCATGGTGAACTCTAATTCTCTCATTCTTTCTATAACTGTCTCATTTCATTGAAGTATAGTTCACTTAAGAAAGTCAGGATAAATGCTTAATTATTTCCTTTTCAAACCAATTATCAAATAATGAGATGATTCTCTAGCATCCTCCAAAGATGACCAACAATATTTTAAAAGTATCATTGTGAATTCATGAATTTAAACACATTTGGTGTATTTTAATCCATTACAGTTATTATTCCTATTGATGCATAGTTGTTCCATCTTTGGCTGATGGGAACATATTTGGGTTGGCTTCTGAGTCTGACATGAATTTAGTACTTTTTGAGAGTGTCTTTGCTTTCCGATGTTCTATTTTCCAGGTTTATCATGTATCTTTGGTGTCCAGACCTGGAATCCAACATTTCTCCAAGGAGCCTTAGCGAGAAATGATATGTGAGATCACAGTCTGGGTGCTACGCATGCTCATGGCTCTGGATTTCCAGTTCTTTTTAATGAAACAGAGTGAGAAAATATACATTTTAAGAGAAGATATATCATGAATTCATATTAATATTTCTAAATCAAATTTGGGACAGCAAAAATGATAATAGAAAGGATTGTGGGACCCATTCCTAAAGATCCTTCAGGGGACAGAGGCCATGTCCCAATGGTCAGCACAAAGTATCTGTCTCTGAGTGTTTAGCTCCAGAGGGCCAGGACATACTGGGATGGGCATAGATTTAGCTGTGGTTGGCTGGTCCTTGGGGCAGTGTCTTGGGAGCTGGGGGAGTTCCTAGGAGGGCAGCCCTGGATACCTGCACTGGTGGAGTTGGGCCAGAGGGAGAGTTCTCTACAGAGGGAAAGACAGAGGGCAAGTGTATTAGTCTGTTCTCACACTTCTAATAAAGACATACCTGAGACTGGGTAATTCATAAAGAAAAAGAGGTTTAATGGACTCACATTCCACATGGCTGGGGAGGCCTCACAATCACAGCAGAAGGCAAAGGAAGAGCAAAGGCATGTCTTACATGGCAGCAGGCAAGAGAGCATGTGCAGGGGAACTGCTCTTTATAAAACCATCAGATCTTGTGAGACTTATTCACTATAACGAGAACAGCATGGGAAAAACCCACCCCCATGATTCAGTTACCTCCTACTGGGTCCCTTCCATGACCTGTGGGGATTATGGGAGCTACAATTCAAGATGAGATTTGGGTGGGGACACAGCTAAACCATATCAGGAAGGGAATGAGACTTGTGCCTGCAATGAGAAATATCATGCTGGGGTATGTCCTCTGATAGATATAACCACATTGATCTTTATTTTGGGATTTTTCCATGAACCAGAAGTTCTGGCCCTTTCAAGAGCCTTAATTGTTTTTGAGGGGCAAGAGGAAAAGGAACACTGGGACTGAGGGATGTTTATGGTGTCAGGGGCTGAGTTCTCAGCAGTTCAACAGGAGCTACTGGGCTCCAGGAATCCACCCCACTCCCACTACCAGAGCGGAGTTGAGGTGCTTGTGTTCTGGTGGGGAGACAGATGTGGAAAAAAGGTAGGCAGGTGGTCCTGCTGAAGTTTGTCAGGTAATAGTATATGGCCTAGGTGATGGAGGGTTTGGTTAGGAATTGAGTCAAAATAACTGCAGGGAGGCAGAAATGGGTCAGGGATTCACAGATTCAAGGTCTCTAGAAGACAATGTGCAGACCTATCTCCCAGGCTACTCCCAAACAGCCATATCAAGAGGTGGCATTCCCAGCCCTTCTAGAGCCTCCTGTTGTGACATCCATCGCAGGATATTTTCAGGAGTCTGTCCAGACTTACTCAAGTCCAAGTCGCATTAAACAGACTTGAGGTGCAGTAGGTAACATTTGCAGACGTGCCTATGAGTGATCATGGACAGAGGGAGGAAAAAAGCAGCGGTCAGCAAGAAAGTTGGGTGGAGTCCACCTTAGGAGCTTTCAGGAACAAAGATGGGAAGTTGAGGCATGACTTCTCCCAGCCCGGCTTGCCATCTGCCTCTAGCAGAAGACAAGGATTATCTCAGAGAGCATCTACGTCTCTTGATTCTCAGAGGCCTGTGAGGATGGGGAGGGGATCTGGACCCTGTGTTCCAGTGGAGGAAGGGACACTGATCTAGTTCCCTGAACACAATGGCCCCATCTCTGTTAGTGTTTTCTCTCCATAAACATTCATCAGGAAGCCCAACAACAGTGGATTGTAGCCTGGGTGGGGGCTGTCCATGTGAACCATATTCTTGCTGTTTAATCCTCCCTACAACTCACACCTATAACTTCCTAACTAAGTGGGAAACTGATGGTGGGGGAGTGTTTTTGGAACTCTAATAGCTTCTCCCACTCCCCCCGCACTAGGGTTATACTATTTTATTTTTCTTGAATAGGTAATACATTGGTAATACATTTATGTGGTTCAAAAAGCAATGTGATATAAAAATACATAAGTTAAGTCTAACACATACAGACATGCGTAGATCCTGGTAAAATTTTACTTCATTAGCTCATGGGTTTACTTGAATTTCTTTTTGCAAATATGTATAATTTGCAAATAGATAAAAATATATATTTATAAATGTATATTGCATATATATTTAACCCATATATATAGATATATAACCCCCTTTCTCACACAAAATTGAGCTTACTACACTGTTCTATACCTAGTTTGGTTTTCTCTTCTCAATATATTCTAGAGATCTGTCTCTACATGGTTTCAGTGTATTCCAATGTGTATATTGCCATATTTTGTTTCTATTGATGGGCAATTAAGTTACCAGTCTTTTAATAGTATAAACAGACAATGCTGCAATATAACTATGTCTATATTTTATTTTTTCATAGACTTTATTTTTAGAGAAGTTTTAGGTTTATAGCAAAATTGAGCAGCAAGTACAGAGAGTTCCCATACTCCTCCTGTCCTCCCCCACAGCTTCCCCTTCTATCAATATCTCTCACCAGAGAGATACATCTGTGAGAACTGACGAACCTACATTGACACATTATTATCACTCAAAGTGCCTCATCTACATTAGGATTCACACTTTATGTTGTGCATTCTATGGGTTTGAACAAATGTAAAATGACATGTAGGCACCATTATACTATCATCCAGAGTAGTTTCACTGACCTAAAAATCCTCTGTGTTCTGCCTATTCATCCCTCTTTCTCCCCAGCTTCTGACAATCTGATCTTTTTACTGTCTCCATAGTTGTGCATTTCCAAAATGTCATATAGTTGGAATCATACAGTACATAGCCTTGTAGACTGGCTTTTTTGACTTAGTAATATGCACTTAAGTCTCAGCCTTGCATTTTCATGGCTTTAATAGCATCTTTCTTTTTAGTGCTGAATAATATTCCATTGTCTGGATATACCCCAATTCATTCATTCACCTACTAAAGGACATTTTAGTTGCTTCCAAGTTGGGGAATTACGAATAAAACTGCTACAAACATCCATGTGCAGGTTTTTGTATGGACACAAATTTTCAAATCTTTTGGGTAAATACTAAGGAGTACAATTGCTGAATCATATGATGAGAGTGTGTTTAGTGTTGTAAGACACTGCCAAACTGTCTTCCAAAGTTGCTGTACCATTTTGCCATCTCACAAGCAATGAATGAGAGTTGCTCCACATCCTTGTCAGCATTTGGTTTTATCAGTGTTCTGGTTTTGGCCATTCTAACAGGTGTGGTGGCATCTCATTGTTTTAATTTGCAATTCCCTAGTGACATATGATGTAGAATATCTTTTCATATGCTTATTGGTTTGCCATCTGTATATCTTTTTTGGTGAGGTATCTGTTGAGGTCTTTTGCCTATTTTTAAATTGGGTTGTTTGTTTTCTTACTGTTGAGTTTTAAGAGTTCTTTGTATCTTTTGAATAATATATCTTTTGCAAATGTTTTCTCAGAATCTGTGACTTGTCTTTTTATTCTCTTGACAACTTTTTTTTTTTTTTTTTACATTGTACACCTGTAGGATGAATTTCCGGAAGTGAGAGTGCTTAGTCAAAGGTAAATAATTTTCTGATTTTGTTAGAAGCACTAAATTAGCCCCAAAAGAGCTGTAATATTTTTATTTTGCACTTCCAACATCACTGTATGAGACTGCATGTGCCCCCTCTCTCATCAACTGGGTGTTTTTGTGTTTGTTTTTGTTTTTGCCAACGTTATAGGTAAAGGATAATATCTCAGTGTGGTTTAACTGAGTAACAAATTACCCCAAAACTTAGCAGTTTAAAATAACAAATAGTAATTATGTCACAGTTTCTGTGGGTTAAGAATCTGTGAGTGGTATAGCTGGGTGCCTCTGACTCAAGGTCTCTCACGAGGCTGCAGTCAAGATGTCACGTGGGGATACAGTCATCAGAACGATTGACTGGACCTGGAGGACACACTTTTAAGCTCATTCACATGGGTCCTGAATGGAGGGCCTCAATTCTTTGTGGGCTGATGAACTAAGGATCTTGGTCCTTGCTACACCATATGGACCTCTTAATAGGGCTATTCAAAACATGGGATCTTTCTTTTGCCAGTGCAAGTCATCCAAGCTAGAGTACCCAAGACAGAAGCCACAATCTTTTCATAACTTAATCTTGGATGTGTCTTCACATCACTTTTGCTATATTCTCTTCATTGAAAGTTAATCAGTAAGTCCAGTCTACACTCAGGAAAGGGATTACACAAGAGAGTGAATATGAGGAGGTGGGTATCATTGTGGCCATCTTAGAAGCTGACTACCATAATACACATTGATCTACCACATGTTGGTGAAGATGTACAGCAACTGAAGCTCCCATAAATTCCTGGTGGGAGTGTGAAATGGTATAACCACCTCGGTTGAGCAGTTTCTTGTAAAGGTCAACAGTTCAATAGTTAAACAGTTTCTTGTAAAGTTAAGCATATACTTACCATGTGACCAACAATTCCACACCTAGATTTCTTAAATCATGATCATTCATGAACTTTTATTTAACTGTTTATTTTGAAATACTTTTAGACTTATAAAAAAGTTGAGAAAATAGTACAGAGTTCTTATATTCCCTTCACCAAGTTTCCCTTCATGTTAACATGTTTTATAACTATGATATAATGATAAAAAGTAGAAATTGACATTAGAACAATATTATTAACTGACTTACACACTTTATTCCTACTTCGCCAGTTCTTCCACTAATGTCCCTTATTCAGATCCAGGATCCAATTCAAGATACCACATGGAATTTAGTTTTCATGTCACTTTAGTCTCCACTAATCTGTGGGAGGCCCTTCCTCTTTCTTTATCTTTCATGACCTTGACACTTTTGAAGAGTACTGGTCAGCTATTTTGCAGAATGTCCTGTAAGTTGAGTTTATCTTATGTCTTTTTTTTTTTTTTTCTTTTGAGACTGAGTTTTGCTCTTGTCGCCCAGGCTGGAGTGCAATGGTGCGATCTCAGCTCACTGCAACCTCTGCCTCCTGGGTTCAAGCGATTCTCCTGCCTCAGCCTCCAGAGTAGCTGGGATTACAGGTGCACACCACCATGCCCAGCTAATTATTGTATTTTTAGTAGAGACGGGTTTTCACCATGTTGGCCATGCTGGTCTTGAACTCCTGACCTCAGATGATCCACCCATCTCGGCCTCCCAAAGTGCTGGGATTACAGGTGTGAGCCACCGCACCCAGCCTGTCTTCTTATTAGATTGAGGTTACACATTTTTGGCAAGAATACTACAGAAGCAATGTGTCCTTCTCAGTGCATTATATCAGTGGTCACATAATGGCTACATCATCTTACTGGTGATATTAACTTAGATCACTTGATTAACCCAGTGGTATCTACTAGGTTCCTTCACCATAAAGTTACTATTTTTTCCTTTGTAATTAATAAATATCTTGGGAAGGTACTTTGAAACTATGTGAATACACTTTCTCATCAAGGTTTTACCCACTAATTTTAGCACCCATGGGTCAATCTTCCCTGCAACAATTATTACTGTAGTATTCTAATAACAATTTTCTACTTCCCTCACTCTTTCTACATTTGTTAATTAGAATTATTCAGTAAGGAAGAGTTGTCCCTTTTACCCCCATTTATTTATTTATTCAATTATTTATTTACAACAATTTAGACTCACACATATTTATTTTAATCTATGGGTTATAATCTATCATTATTTATTTTCTGTCTCAAATTATTCCAGCTTTGGCCACTGCAAGCTCTTTCAGTTTAGTTTATGGTGCTCTTTTGATATGCCTCCATCTTTTTAAAAAAGCACTTCATTACCTTTTCAGACTAGAAGGTGCTCCAATTCAACTACTTTTTCATGGAACCCTGGTTCCTTTTATTAGAGAATGGTATTTAAAAACCAAGATCTGACTGCTATATGTGCTCACTGGTACTGAGTTATTATTGCTTCTAGACCCTCTCAGCTAACTTGAAAGCTTGGAAATATATGTATATATATTAACCCATGCATGCACATATATTCATTCTCATTCTCTCTCTGTCTCTCTCTCTCTCTCCACCTCTGATTCCAATCCAACACCACAGGATTCATTCCAGCCTTTCCCATTTCCTTAATTATAACAGTGAGAAATCTAGCTCTCACTAACTATGATATATTTACTTACTTGTTCAACTCTAGTATTAACATAAAGAACTTTCAGAATTGCTAACTCATACCCCTGAGAACAACAAATTTACTAACTAGAGAATAATGTTTTTTGTCTATACCCTTACAGTATCCAATAAAAGTACTATGTCCTAAGTTATGTATTTCTGTCTTTTCTGCCCACCCCCTTCAGTGTAGTGTTATTAATTTATAAGATAGTTGGGTTCTTTTTTCTTTTTTTTTTTGAGATGGAGTCTCGCTCTGTCACCCAGGCTGGAGTGCAGTGGCACGATCTTGGCTCACTCCAATTTCTGCCTCCCAGGTTCTAGCAATTCTCATGTCTCAGCCTCTCGAGTAGCTGGGACTACAGGCACGCGCCACCACGCCCGGCTAATTTTTGTATTTAGAGATGGGGTTTCACCATGTTGGCCAGCCTGGTCTTGAACCCCTGACCTCAAGTGATTCGCTTGCCTCGGCCTCCCAAAGTGCTGGGATTACAGGTGCGAGCCACTGTGCCTGGCCAAAGATAGTTGCGTTCATTTTTTAAAGTTTGTGTTCCACTTTGGGTTCCCCCCCAAATCCTTTCTAAAAATTTTCCATATAGTCAAATCTGCTTCTTTTGGTATACATTTCTATGGGTTTTGATAAATGTGTGGAGCCATCACCACAGTCATGATACACCAGTTGAAGGGCGTTTGAGTTCTTTCCAGGTTGACAATTGTGAGTAAGACTGCTTAAAACATTCATGCACAGGTTTTAGTGTGTATATAAGTTTTTATTTATCTTGGGTGGAATACCTAAAAATGGGATTGCTGAGTGGTATGATTAATTTTATATGAAACTGTGTAATGTATAAGAGCTCCAGTTGGCCCACATCCTTTAAAGTACTTGGTATGGTCAGACTTTTTTATTTTAGCCATTCTAAGAGGTGTGTAGGGGTATTTAGTTGTGGTTGTAGTTTGCATTTCCCTAATGACAGATAATGTTGAACATATTTTCATGTGCTTATTTGTCATTTTTTGGTAAAGCATCTGCTCAAGATTTTTGCCCATTTTTATGGGTTGTTTACTTATAGCATTTTGAGAGTTGTTTTACATATTTTTTTCAGACAGGGTCTTGCTGTGTTGCCTATGCTGGAACGCAGTGGTACAATCATAGTTCACTGTATCCTTGATCTCCTGGGCTCAAGATCCGCTTGCCTCAGCCTCTCCAGTAGGTACGACTACAGAAATGCACCACAATGCCTGGCTAGTTTTTTATTCTTGTAGAGATGAGGTCTCACTATGTTGCCCAGGCTGGTCTCAAACTCCTGGCTCAAGCAATCCTCCTGCCTTGGCCTCCCAAAGCGCTGGGATTAAAGGCATGAGCCACCATGCCTGATCTACATATTCTTAATATGAGTCAGGTATATGTTTTGCAATTATTTTACCCTAGTCTTTGGCTTGTTTTCTTTTAATACAGCACAGGGTTTTTATTTAAAAATCCAATTTATCAATACATTTTAATGGATTGTGCTTTTCCATGTCATATCTAAGAAATCTTTGCAAACCCAAGATCATGAGGTTTTCTTCCTTGTTTTCTTCTAGAAGTTTTACACTTTTATGTTTTACATTTAGATCTATGATCCATTTTTTATTGTGGTCAAATATACATATAAAATTCACCATTCTAACCATTTTAATGGTTATTCATTTGGTATATTCACAAATTTGAGCAACTATCATCACTATCTAATTCCAGAATATTTTCATCACTACAAAAAGGAAACTCTATACCCACTAAGCAATCACTTCCCACTCTCTCACCTCAGCCCTTGGCAACCACTACTGCTTTCTGTCTCTACAGATTTGCCTATTCTGGATATTCCATATAGATTAAATCATAAAATACTGTGGCCTTCTGTGTTTGGGTTCTTTCACTTAGCATAGTTTTAAAGTTTATCCATATCGTGGCACATATCCATGACACAATCCTTTTTATAACTGAATAATATTCCATTGTATAGATATACCACATTTTGTTTATCCATTCATTGGTTGATGGACACTGGGTAGTTTCTATCTTTTGGTTTTTGTGACTAGTGCTTCTACGAATGTAAGTGTACAAGTTTTTCTTTGAACACCTGTTTTCAATTACAGATGGTCCCCCAACTTACAACGTTTCAATTTTACAATGGTGTAAACATGACACATTGAGTAGAAAGTGGTATGACAGTCTCTCACAATGCTGGGCAGTGGTAGCGAGCCACAGCTCCCAGTCATTCATGTGTTCACAAGGGTATACTGTAAGAATTAAAGAAAGAGGAAAGAAACATGAAAGGTGGCTCAACAGTCAAAGACAGGTTCATTTTAGAGAAATACACCTGAGAGGGGTAAGAGTTTTTAAGGATTTAGGGCAGGAGAGTTTATCAGAGACTTTGACTGCTTTTGTGTCTCTTAGTTGTGCTTATCTGGGAGGGAGACTTATGTGTCTGTCCCCATACATCTTCCTGCAGCTGCAGGCATACCGCCGCACCCCTCCCCCCGCCCCCCGGAGAGTCTGCTTTTAGCTTCCCTATCTTACTGCACCTGAAGGGGAAGGAATGTGCTTATTAAGACCCACTGTTTCATGGGGCCCATTGTATGACGGTGAAGTTTGGCAGTTACCCAAGAGACATCCCCCGCCGCCCGCCCCTGCCGCTGCCCGCCCCAGCTCAGTGCCTGAGCTGTCTTATCTGTATTTTACTGTCTGCTCTTTTCTGGTTGCTTGCAGTTAGGAGAGAAGTGATTTCCTTGAAATGCATGAGGATAGAAAGGGAGCTGGAACTGAAAGTGGCGGTGTTTGTCTGAGATGACAGTACTCCTGCTCTGTCATTGCAGACCCTATAGTTATAAAAGGACAAGGGGCGATGTGTTCTTTCTGGCTACTTCCTGCTGAGGGGTGGGGCGGAGAGTTTCTTGGTCTCGGATTGACTGCTGGAGCAACACCATCTGTAGATGTTTTTGGGTACTTGCCTGTGAGGTGGCCGTGATCCTGTCAGTTAAAAATCTTTGAAAAATGTTAATTAGGCAGGGCAAGAACATTAGTCCTAGGCATATTATTAGGAGAGGGCCCAGGAATGGGTTGACCCATGCTGTGATTTTGTTTTTAAACCAATAATTTATTTGGTTGTTTTGGTATTTCCTTAGCTCTTTAGCCCCCCTTTTATTATTATTATTTTTAGTTTTTCAGCAGCACGTTTTACTGGGCCCAACTGGTTGAGATAGAAACATTCCTCACCCAATGAGAGGCAGAGCCGCATGTTTGGAAAGGCCCGTGTGTTATTTTTTTGTTAGTAACTGTTATTCCTGCTATGAGGCTAATAATTAAGCAAAATGCTACAGTAATTGAGATTTTCTGATATTCCACCCTGAGGGTGCTACAGCATATAGTCCTACTGCAAATAGTAGAGTGAGTAAAGCAATTCCCACAAGGGTGGCATAGTAAATAATTTCCATTAAAAAGGTTTTAATATTTGGCTTAAAAGGAGAGAAACGACAAAAAGTATTTGTAGGGGTGAGACTGAGTAAGATGAGTAATTCTCACTCAGTTACTTATTTTTGGGATTTTCAGCTTAAGATTTCTTATTTCTTTACATTGATATTTAGGATGTTTCTCTGGGCTGTTAGGGGTTGCTTCCTTAGCTTTTCAGGCTTTGACTTGAGTGTGATGTAACCAGGAGTTGGTTTTTCTAAAGGATATAATTTAAACTGTAGCAAATGATAAAAATTGAAAAACATTACGCAAGGCTAGAATTTAACAACAGGTGTGCTACAGTTTTTGAAACATAATTTTCATTCTCCAGTTTCCCATTTTATTAAAAGACAAATTATGGTAGGACTGGTTTGCTTTATTATACTTGGCTTAATTATTTGTATACAGTGCAGCAAGAATAATTATTTGCTATATAGGCCTTTTAAATTGGCTTTGATGGAACTTTGTTTCATAGAAGGAATTTGGGATAAGACTTTTTAAAGCCGAGCCCAGCCATGGATTTGTACTATCAAATACCTATGAGTTGGGCAAATTCCTTTTCTCTTGAGGTTTTAAGATAACTTGGGGTTCCTGGCCTGTTAGAAAGTGACATTCTTTACTTACTACAGATCACAAACCCTGTACAGGGACTGTGTACACAAAATATAAGGCCAGTTTTCCAAGGGCTTTATTGGTTCCATAAGTTAAGTTTGATTCCTTAAAGGAGAGCACACCATTCCAGTCAAAGCCTTGGTAAAACAACCAGTTTTTCCCATTGCGTTCTGTTACAAAAGAAAACAGAGTCTTATTGCACTGATGCAAACAACGATATTGTTGTAATTTAAGAAAACTTATAACTAGTTTTCAAATTGTAGAGGAACTAGGTAGAGAGAAACAAACACACTTTAAATCCTATTTACAAGAGTATAATTTACTTAGTTGTTAAAGGCTGTAGCTAGCTTAAGACAAGTTTTCTTGACTTCGAAAAGTAAGATAAGGATTAGCAGTGTTCTAAGCAAAAGGTAAAAACTTGTTTTTGCTTTTTATTGGTTTAATCAATTTTATTAACTTTTGTTTTGCTTGATATCTTGATATTTATAAACATTTTCGCTTTTTATGAGTTCTGTACTTCTTTTGTGTGTGTGTGTTGTTGTTGGAAACCTGCATTTGAGAGCACCTGTTAAAGTCCCACAGCTTGAATATAAACCATGTTTTGAAGAGAATTAAAACAAAATAACAATTGTCTGTAAATAACAAAATGTCCAGTTTGGATACAGTTAGAAACACAATTGACAAAGAAACTTGGTTATTTTTGTGGTTTACAATAACCCAACATATACAACCAATACTCTATTGTGTTCTATGTTGCCAGATAATTTTGCCTAACTGTAGGCTAATGTAAGTGTTCTGAGTGTATTTAAGGTAGGCTGGGCTAAGCTGTGATGTTCAGTAGGTTAGGAATGTTTAAGTGCATTTTTTACTTGTGATAGTTCAACTTATAGTGGGTTTATCAGGACATAACCCCATCATAAGTCAAGGAGAATCTGTATTTTGGGTATATACCTAGGAGTAGAATTAATGGGTCATATGATAATTCTACACATTTGATTGATTGAGGAACCACCAAACTGTTTCCTCAGAGGCTGTACCATTTTACGTTCCCACAAACAACGCATGAGAGTTCCAATTGCTCCATATCCTTGCCAAAATTTCACAACACATAAACTCTTCCAGAAAAAAGAGGAGGGAACACTTCCCAATTCATTTTATTAGGCCAGCATTGCCCAAATACCACAACCAGAAAAAGATACGACAGGAAAAAAAACTGTAGACCAATATCCCTCACGAGCATGACATAAAAATCTTCCCCAAAATATTCGTTTTATATATAGATATATGTAAATATGATTTTATATATAGATATAAAAACATATCACAACAAAGGGGTTCATGCCAGGAATGCAAGGCTGTTTCAACATTTGAAAATCAATCATTGTAATTCACCATATTAACAGGCTAAATACAACACATCGTATAATTATCTCAGTAGATGCAGAGAAAGGATTTGACAAAACTGAATATCCATTTGTGATTTTTAAAAACTCATAGCAAACTAGGAATAGAATGAAAATTATTTAACCCAATAAGTGGCATCTACAAAAACCTACAAGTTATATCATACTGAATGAAGAGAAATTGCATGCATTCTCCCTAAGATCAGAAGCAAGGCAAAGGTGTCCTCTTTGATCATTCTTATTCAACATTATGCTACAAGTTCTAGACAGCGCAATAAGATAAGGAAAAGAAATAAAAAGCATTCAGATTGGAAAAGAAGAAATACAACTCTATTTCCAGACGTTATTGTCTATGTAGAAAATAGTACAAATCTACAAAAAAAATTACCCAGAACTAGTAAGTGAGCTAGCAAAGTTACAGGATACGTTGTCATATACAAAAGTCAGTTGTATCCTATGTACTATCTATGAACAATCAGAATTTGAAATTTTAAAATATAACATCTACAATATTGCCAAAAATGAAGTACTTAGGGGTGTGTGTGTGTGTATACATAAATATGTGTGAGATCTATATGCTGAAAAATTTAAAAAAGAAAAATAAAAGATCATCTAAATTAAGCTTGTCCAACCCACAGCCTGCGGGCCACATGCAGCCCAGGATGGCTTTCAGTGTGGCCCAACACAAATTCGTAAACTTTCTTAAAACATTGTGAGATGTTTTTGTGATTTATTTTTTTTGGCTCATCGGCTATCATTATTGTTAGCGTATTTTATGTGTGGCCCAGTACAATTCTTCTTCCAATGTGGCCCAGGGAAGCCAAAAGATTGGACGGACACCCCTGATCTAAATAAATGGAAAGACAGACCATGCTCATGGAGTAAAAAATGATGAGTTCATGTCCTTTGTAGGGACATGGATGAAGCTGGAAACCATCATTCTCAGCAAACTATCGCAAGGACAAAAAACCAAACACTGCATGTTCTTACTCATAGGTGGGAATTGAACAATGAGAACACATGGACACAGGAAGGGGAACATCACACACCGGGGCCTGTTGTGGGGTGGGGGGAGGGGGGAGGGATAGCATTAGGAGATATACCTAATGTTAAATGACGAGTTAATGGGTGCAGCACACCAACATGGCACATGTATACATATGTAACTAACCTGCATGTTGTGCACATGTACCCTAAAACTTAAAGTATAATAAATATATATATATATATATAGTTGAGATAGCAATTCTCCCTAATTTTATCTATAGATGCAACATAATCTCAATCACATTCCCAGAAAGCCCTTTTGAGGTACCAACAAGCTGATTTTAAAATTAACATGATAAAATAAAGGAGCAAAAATAGCCAAAACAATTCTGAAAAGAGAAAACAAAGTTGGAGAACTTGAACTACCCAATTTCAAGACTCACTGTAGAGCTACAGTAATGAGGAAAGTGTGGTATTGACAAAAAGCCAGAAATAAAGATCAAAAGAACAGAATAGAGAACCCCCAAATAGGCCAACACAAATGTAGTCAACTGTTTTTCTTTCCTGACTTATGGAGAAAGAAGTAAAAATAAGCAAGGGCAGGGAGAAGGCTAGAAGGAACCCTGTAGTGCTGGGTTTGAGCTGGAGATGTCAGTATGAACTTATGTTTTTTTAATTAATTAATTAATTAATTTATTTATTTATTTATTTTGTTTTTTTGAGACGGAGTCTTGCTCTGTCACCCAGGCTAGAGTGCAGTGGCATGATTTTGGCTTACTGCAACCTCTGCCTCCTGGGTTCAGGCAATTCTCCTGCCTCAACCTCCCAAGTAGCTGGGATTACAGGCGACTGCCACCACACCCGGCTAATTTTTGTGTTTTTAGTAGAGATGGGGTTTCACCATGTTGGCCAGGCTGGTCTCTAACAACTGACCTCAGGTGATTCGCCTGCCTTGGCCTCCCAAAGTGCTGGGATTACAGGCGTGAGCCACCGCGCCTGGCTATGTTTATATTTAAATGTGTACAGATAAATAGCTAAAGAAATAAAAATAGGTATGTGTGCACACATGGATTAGAATACATACATGAATTTCCTAGCTCTGTGACATTCCTAGCAGCGACACACCAGTAACAATGAACACACCTAATCTTAAGAGCTTGATTTCCAAATGCCATTTTCCAGCAAAAGGAACCAGATCTCCTTGGAGAAATAAATAGCGAATTCTTTGTCTGGGACAAGGAAAATACAAGATGAGCCTGGACCACCTTATAGTTCCAGGAAGTAAGAAAATGCCCCCCGCAACTACCAATAAAAGGATGGGGTCATGTAAAGGGAACACAAGAACCAACCTGAAAGATCTAACAATAGCCAAACCTGTAACAATTTGTGCCACATAATTAATAATGTACTATTCGATTATAATACAAAGAATAAAATAAATGTCCCTTCATCCATACTGACATAAGTAAATGACTGAATAAACAAATAAGCAGGGGAGACAGGACATATCTTCCTTACAGAAGAATCCCAATTAACAATTGTGAAAGCAATGAAGGAAACAGAAAATCACTATTAGAAAAACACAGTAGTTGCTGAAGGCACGATTCACTGATGAATGCTGAAATTACTGGGCAAAACTTTTAAGGAGAAACAGATTATCTGTGTAACATCAAAGCAATTCCCCTGTGGTAATTTTAAGATATGACCACAAAGTCTTTGATACCCCTCTGTCCAGAAGGTGGAGCTTAATGCCACTCCCCTTTAGTATGAGTGGGACTTTGGCTCACTTCTGATGAAAAGTATGGAAAGAGAAAAAGTAATAACTTTGCAACAGAAAAACTCAGGAGACAACATCATAACAAAGTGATAAAGATTAACATTACTAGTAATAAATCATGTTGACATAATCTTGTTTCCTGAAATAATTCAATAAGAAGGGACTAAGATTTGGTGATATCCATCCCTCAAATTCATAACCTCAATCTGCTCATGATAAAAAAAAATCAGATGAAACCAAATTGAGGAACATTCTACAATATTCATGACTATTCCTCAAAAGCATCAAGGTCATGAAAGAGAAAGACCAAGAGCTGTCACAGATTGGAAGAGACTAGGGAAACATGACAACTAAGTGCAATGTGATATCCTGGATTGGATCCTGGAACAGAAAAGGTCAGTATGCAGTAAAGGATTAATCTTGCTCAAAGAAGTTTTGGTTTTCTGTTCCTGGCTCCTAGGAGGTAACCTCTAAGCCCTTGGAATGTCCTGCTTGATAAGAATGTCCTTGGTTACCTGGGGGTCTTCAGCCATGCAGTATCGCTTAACCTCTGGAGGATCTGGAGAATTAAGGTCAGCAATGCAGGCACTCAGTCATGTCTATGTAACCAACTCCCAATAAAAACTCTAGACATGGCTCAGGTAATCTGCCTGGTTGGCAATATTCCATGTGTATTGTCATACATCATTGCTCATAGAAATAAGTGCTATCTGCATTACTCTACTGGGAGAGTACAACTAGAAACTCTATGCCTGGTGTCTCTTGGACTCTGCCTGATGTGCCTCTTCCCCTTGTTGATTTCAGTGTGTATCCTTTCACTGTAATGAACTGTAACTGTCAGTACAGTGGCTTTTCAGAGTTCTGTGAGTCTTTCTAGTGGATTATTGAATCTGAAGGTGGTCTTTGGGACCTCCAAACTCACAGTCAGTAATAAAATAACAAGGGAAATCTCAATGAAGTATGTAGTTTAATTAATACTATTATTAATTTTGAGAAAATCTATCAGGATTATGTATAATGTTAACATTAGGGGAATATGACTGATGGGTATATGGGAACACTCTGTTATCTTTATAACTCTCCTGTAAGTATAAAATCATTTTAAAATAAGAAGATATGTAGATAGTAGTGGAAAAATACATACTTGCTAAAACTGAGAAAAAGAAAAATGGAGTGGCTATTGTAATACAAGAATTTTACCAGAATAGTGTCATTCCATAGTGATAAAAGTGTCTACTTAACAAGAGGACTTAACAATCCTAAATGCTTGTGTACTCAATAACAGAGCTTCAAAATAGACAAAGTATAAACCGGTATAACTAAAGGGAGAAATAGAAAAAATATAATTTTAGTTAGAGATTTCAATACCTCTCCCTCAATAATCGATAGAATAAATACAGTAGTCCCCCCTTATCTGTGATTTTGCTTTCCATAGTTTCAGTTACCCACAGTCAATTGCAGTCCAAAAATATCAAAGGGAAATTTCCAGAAATTAAAAATTCGTAAGTTTTAAGTTGTGCACAGTTCTCAGTAGCATGATAAAATCTTACACCATCCCACTCTGTCCTGCCTGGGAGTGAATCCTCCATTTTTTCAGCATCTTCATGCTGTATATGCTATCCACTTGTTAGTCACTTAGTAGCCATATTGGTTATCTGATCAGAAAAACAGTATATAGGGTTCAGTACTATCCATGGTTTCAGGCATCCACTCAGAGTCTTGAAACATATCCCCCGTGGATAAGAGGGGGACTACTGTATAGGAAAATCTGTAAGTCTATAGAAGGCTTGAACCACACTATCAAAAATCTTGACTTAATTAACATCGATCATGCCATACAATGATAGTAGAATACATATTCTTTATAAGTATGCATGGAACTTTTTAACAATACAGACCATATTCAGGGCCATAGAGGAAATCTCAGTTAATTTGTAAGTATCCAAGTCCTATAAAGTATGTTCTCTGACCACAATGGAATCAAATTATAAATCATAGGGAAAAATAAGTAAAAAATACTCAAATATTTGCATACTGAATAATACACTTCTAAATAACCTATGGGACAAACAAGAAATCCTAAAGTAAGTTAGGAAGTATTTTGAATGAATGAAAATGTAAAAACAATGTAAAAATATCGTTACAATACAGTATCAATGTAAAAATGTAAAAACATCAAAATATATGAGTTGCTACTAAATGAGTGCTTAGAGGATAATTTATATCACTAAAAATTTATACTACAAAAGAAGGAAAATCTTAAAGCAGTGACTGCAGCTTCAACCATAGAAACTAGAAAATGAGCACTTCTTTTTGTTTTTTTGTTTTTTTTTTTTTGAGACAGAGTCTCACTCTGTCGCCCAGGCTGGAGTGCAGTGGCGTGATCTCGGCTCAGTGCAACCTCCGCCTCCCGGGTTCAAGCAATTCTCTTGCCTCAGCCTCCTGAGTAGCTGGGATTACAGGCATGCGCCACCACACCCGGCTAATTTTTGTATTTTTAGTAGAGACAGGATCTCACCATGTTGGCACAGCTGGTCGTGAACTCCTGACCTCAAATGATCCACCCACCTCGGCCTCCCAAAATGTTGGGATTACAGGTGTGAGCCACCATGCCTGGCCGAAAATGAGCACATTTAAGTCAAATAAGCAGAAAAAGGAAATAATAAAGAAAAGAGCATAAATCAATAAAATCCAAAATAGAAAAACAATAGAGAAAATCAAGGACACTAAAAGCTTCTTGAGAAAATCAATAAAATTGAGAAACTGTAGCCAGACTGATCAGGAGAAAAAAAGTGAAGACACAAATTACTGATATCAAGAATGAGAGAAGAAACATCATTTCCAATGCTACAGATAAAAAGGGGATGTGACAAACAACTTCACGTTCCTAAATTAGACAACTTATGTAAAATAGACAAGTTCTTTGAAATATACAAACAAAGCTTAATGAAGAAGAATATGACAACCTGAATAGTTTCCTAACTATTAAGGAATTGAAGTTGTAGTTAAAAGCCTTTTCACAAAAGAATTCTAGGACCAAATGACTTCACTGGAAAGTTGTATCAAACATTAAAAGGAGGCATAATACCATTTCCACACTAACTCTTTCAGGGGAGGTACCACTTCCCAATTCATTCTGTGAGCCCAGCATTACCCTGATACCAAAAGCGGACAAAGAAAATACAAGAAAAGAAAACTATAGACTAGTATCCCACATAAACATATATGCAAAAATTCTTAACAAAATTTTTAGCAAAGTGAATCTAGTGAAATATAAAAATGGTAGTACGTCACGACCAAGAAGAGTTTAATTCCAGGAATACTAAATCTATCAATAGTCAATGTAATTCAAAAAATTAACAAACTAAAAAAGAAAAACTATATGATAATCTCGATGGAGAAAAAACATTTGACAAAATCTAACACCTATTCCTGATAAACTATCAACAAACCAGGAGTAGAGGCAACTTCATCAACCTGATAAAGATCATGTATGAAAAACATATAGCTAATATCATACTCAATAGTGAAAGACTAAATGTTTTCTTCTGAAGATCAAGAAAAGGGCAAAGATATACACTCTGACCACTTCTATTCAACATTATATTGTAGGTTTTAGTCAATGCAATAAGACAAAAAAAGAAAGAGCGCCTATAGTGGAAAGGAAGAAGTGAAACTATCACACTTCACAGATGACATGATTGTCTGTGTAGAAAAGCTTACAGGATTTACAAAATTACTAGAAATAATAAGTGAGTTTAGCAAGGTTATCGTATACAAGATCAACACATAAAAGTGAATTATATTTCTATGTACTAGCAAAGAAATATTGGAAATTGAAATTTAAAAATAACTGGTACCATTCAAAAGCATAGATATGAATTATTTAGAGATGAATTTGACAAGATATGTCTAAGGCTTGTACACTTGAAAACTACAAAGCACTATTTTTTGAGACGGAGTCTCGCTCTGTCGGCCAGGCTGGAGTGCAGTGGCACCATCTCTGCTCACTGCAAGCCCCGCCTCCCGGGTTCACGCCATTCTCCTGCCTCAGCCTCCCGAGTAGCTGGGACTACAGGCGCCCACCACAATGCCCAGCTAATTTTTTGTATTTTTAGTAGAGATGGGGTTTCACCGTGCTAGCCAGGATGGTGTCGGTCTCCCGACCTCGTGATCAGCTCGCCTCGCCTCCCAAAGTGCTGGGATTACAGGCGTGAGCCACCGCGCCCAGCACTACAAAGCACTTCTAAGAAAAATTAAAGACCTAAATAAATGGAATGATATGTCCTGTTTATGGATATGAAAACAATGTAATTAAGATGTCAATTCTCTCCATATAGATCTATGAATTCAGTTCAATCTCAAAATCCCAGCAGGCTTTTTTTTAATAGTAACTGACAAGGTGATTCTAAAATTTATATAGAAATTCAAAGAAAAACCAGAATAGCCAAAACGTGTGAAAAAGAGGAATAAAGTTAGAGGATTTGCATGATCTGACTTCAAGACTTATGAAGCTACAGCAAAGAGTAATGCTACAGTAGTACAGAAGCTACAGTAGTACAGAAGCTACAGTAATGGTGTAGTACTGGCAGTAGTGGTACTGGCATAATAGAAAACTAGAGCAGAAATAGAACCAATCAATTAATTTTTTGATAAATATATCAAGGCAATCCAATGCATTATCATTTTCAACAAATGGTTCTGGAACAACTGGACAGCCATATGCAAAACAAAATCAACCTAAATCCTTATCTTTGGAAAGGATTTACATCATATGCAAAATTAATAAAAATGGATTAGGTAACCAAATATAAGAGCCAATATTATAAAACTTCTAGAAGAAAGCATAAATCTTTTTAAAAACTTTTATCTTAATGACCTTGAGCTTTGCAAAAATTTATTAACCATGACCAAAAAAGCATGAAGTATAAAAGAAAACAAAAATGAATTGAGCTTGTTAACATTAAAAACTTTTGGTCTTCTGTTATTTAAATGAAAAGGCAAACCTAGAAGAAACTGTTTACAGAATGTACATCCAACAAAGGACATATATCTAGGATATATAAAGAACACTTACAACTCAATAATAAGACGAACAACTGAGTTTACAAATTGGCAAAATATTTAAGAAGACACATCAACCAAGATGGTATACAGATGGTACATAAACACAAGAAAAGATGCTCAACAGCATTACTTATTAGGGAAGTGTAACCTAAAACCACAGTGAAATACCACTACACTCCCATTAAATGACTAAAATTAAAAATAATAATCATACCCAATGAAGCAACTGCAGCACTTATATACTGCTGGTTAAAATGTAACATAGTACAACCACTTTGGAAAGCAGTTTGACAATTTCTTAAATAATTAAGTATATACCTACCATATGACTAAGCCATTCACTCCTATGCATTTACTCAAGAGAAATGAAAACTATGTCCACACAGACTTGTAAACAAATGTTCACATCAGTTTTATTTGTAATAGCCAAAAGCTGGAAATACAAATTTCCATCAAAACATGAATGGATAAACAAATTCTGGTATGTCCATATAATGAAATAACACTTAGCAATAAAAAGGAATGAACATAGACGCATATAACAACATGAATGAATCTCAAACTTATTATGCTGGATGGAAGGAGCCAAACAAGAGTACCTATAGTATTATTCCATGTGTATAAAATTGTAGGAAACGCAAACTAATCTATAACAATAGAAAACAGATCCATGATTGCCTGTGGATGTGGGAAGAATGTGGGGAAAGGGGGCTGAATGACAAAGAGGCATAAGGAAACTTTTTTGGGGTGATTGATATGTTCATTATTTGTATTGTCATGATGGTTGGAAAGGTGCACACGTCAAAACTCATCAAATTGTACACTTTAAACAAGTTCCACTTTCTGTATGCTAATTCTACCTCATTAAAACTGTAAAATATGTTTTGGGGACAATGGGAGAAATTTGGAAATGGACTGGATATATCATAGAATTAGATTGATAATGATATTCCAGGTATGTGGGAGAATGTCCTTATTTTTAGGAGATGAATGCTCAATTATTTATGGTTATAATGTTATATCTATAACTTACCACTGGTATTTCAGGAAAAATTACATATAAATTGTTAAATCTAGATGGATGTTATATAGGTTGTACTGTGTTTTCAATATTTCTACATGATTGAAAATACACATAATTAAGATGTGAGGGAAATAATGTTATATTGTTTTATTGTCCATCCTCTTCTTTGGGTATATATATATATAATCTTTATTAACCTGGAATGCAACCAAATCTTCTCTGGGAAAGTCTCCAGGGAGGGAGACATTCTCTATCTTTACTATCCTGGAATGTAAATAAATCTGAGCAAATTGCTTGTTAATGTCTAAACATGAAGAACATGAGATTCAAGGAGAATTGTCTCTGAAGACAAGGCTAGAGTCAATCACACAAAACTGAAAAGAATAATGATGTGAAATGGATGTTGATTGGTAGAAGATGAATGTAGAAGGTGACAAAGACATCTTACATATGCATAATTGATGTCCCTGAAGAAGAGAAGAAATGGATCAGAAAAAATGTTAAGCAAAATAAAACTTCCTTGAAATGAATGATTGGAATGGCTCACTATAACTCAGGTAAAATTAATACACAAAGATCAGGACCAAAGCATATGCTTCCATAGATCCTTAACTTCAAGAATAAAAAAAGAATCATATGGCAGAAAGGCACATTATATACAAGAAAAAAGAGAGCAAGTTTGTCTAAGACTTCTTAATAACATCACTCAATTTTAGAAGAGCAGCATCTACCAAATTCTCAGGAAAAGAAAGTATAAATATGTCAATCAGGGAAGCATAATAACTATGAGCATTATGGAATAAGGGATGCATGCACAATTTATAGAGGTAGCTGGGGAAGGTTTAGAAGGGGGAGTTAGAAGACTAAAGAAATCACTAAACCAGCCCTTTTGAGACATTAGCATGGGTGGATAAATCAGAGCTTTCAGGAAAATCTGAGAAGCCAGGCACATCTAGCTGCTGATGTGGGACTGCCATGAGAAGCTGGTGGAGAAGTCCATGAGAAGCTTTTGTGAGCCTGCAGCCAAGCATCTGGTGGTAGACCTGGGGCTACTGTTGGTCAGCAGGGCTGGAAGATGGAAAGAAGGGCTGGATATAGAGTGGAAGATAGGAAAAACTGGAACCTGCTGGGTACCTCTGCATCTGTCCTTCACTGTCTCTAATTTCAAAGACTTTCACAGCAATAGTTGCTCCTTCCCTTTGACCTTCCAAATCTCATGTAATTTCTACTTTAGCCAACTCTTATTTCTCAGTATAACCCAAACGACAGAATAATCTAGTCCAATGGCTTGATATTTTTCTATGAGAAAAATTGCTTCATGGTGAAGTAACACCACCTGAATTCAGAAATTCCTCTGAGTTTGCTCAATTGCTTTGTTTAAATTTACTTCCAAAATAGCATTCATCAAAGCCAACAACAACCTCTGTGTCATAAAATCAAGAACCAATTTTCCATCCTCATATGAATTGATGTCTAATTTGGACAAGTCCTCCATTAAAACACTTGTTGGAAACACTGTTCTCTATGAGCCCCTTGCTCACCTGGTATGTTTTTACCTCTCTGGCTGCTCCTTCTCATTATCTTCTATAGGCATATCCTTCTCGACCCAAAGCACAAGCTTTGGTCTTAGGCCTGCTTTTCCTGTTACTCCCTACATTTTCTTTAGATAGCTGGATGACACTAAGATGCCGGAAACAAGCTCTCAAATCCCACCTCAGTGTCCCAAGCACAGAGAGTTGTAGGGGGACCTGTGCGGGCTCAGGAAGTGAGGTGTATCTAATACCCATTAAGAAATTCTCTCCATGCATAGTTCTAAGAGCTCTACACAATATGCATTAACTTCTTGTTAATGAACTGTGTACCTGCAAAAAAGATACGTGGAAATCCTAATCCCCAGAACCTCAGAATACAATTTTATTTGGAAATAGAGTACAGAGGTAATTAAGTTAAAATGGGGCCATTAAAGTGAACCCCACTCCAATATAACTAGTGTCCTTATAAAAGGGGAAATTTGGAAAGAGAGCCAGACACACAGAGGGAACATGATGTGAAGAAACACAGGGAGAAAACAGCCATCTGACAGGAATAATGCATCTATAAGCCAAATAACACCTGAAGCTCTCAAAAGCTAGGAGAGAGGCATGGAACCGTTCCTTCCCTAGCACCTTCAGAGGGAGCATGACCCTGCTGACACCGTGATTCGGATCTCCAGCCTCAAGAACAATGAGACAATTTCTGCTGTTTTAGGCTGCCCAATTTGTGGTACTTTGTTATAGCAGCCCGAGGAAAGAAATATGCTTCTTAGTCAAATCTATGATAGGTGGTAGTGTGTACATCTTTTATAGATGAAAACCATCAGGACAGAGGTTAACTAACTTTCCCAAGGTCACATAAACTAGTAAATTGGTAGAGCCAGGATTGAAACCCTGGCAGATGGGTTCCTGAGCCTATCTACCTAACCACTATGCAAACTATCTTTTAATATTTTTAGCAGCATTGTTCCCAGTGACAAAAAAGGGTTGAAAATGGGAGTGAATAAATTTTAACAATGCAAATAGTTTAATACATTATTGTACATCCACCCCATAAACTATCATGCAACCATTCAAAACAAATATTGTTGAATAATAATAAAGCAAGCTGCAGAGATGGTTGTATGTTATGATCCCATTTTTGAAAATCAAAGGAGGAAACAATCTTATATAACTTCTGATTACAAGCATGGGAACGTATGTATGTCTATATATGATTATGAGCACAGAGCAGAGATTAAAACATGAAAGTGTTCACAGTAGTTTATTAGTATTGGTCATCTGTTAGAGAAGAATAGTGGAGGAAGAAATGCAATAAATAATCAATGTATCAGTTAGCTTTTTGCTGGGTTGTTATCATGCTGCCCAAAACTTAGTGACTTAAAACAGTTAACGTTTTAATCCATTATTCTGGTAGTTGTTTGGGATGGCTGGGATGGATGGCAGAACCTTCCTAATCTGGGCCAGTGTATTATTAACCTATTACTGTGTAACAAATTACCCTAAAATTTAGCAACTTAAAACAACATTTATTGTCTTGCAGTTTCTATGGGTCAGGAATTCGTATGGCTCAAAAGATGCCTCTGGCTGAAGGTCCCTCATGAGTCAAGCTATCTGGCTTACAGTCAAGCTATTTGGCTGTGGTCCTCATCTAAAGGCTAAACTGGGGGAGGATATGCTTCAAAGTTCACTCATGTGGACCTTTCCACAGGGCTATCTCATGATGTAGCAGCAGGTTTCCCCTATGATGAGCCATCTGAGAGAGTAAGCAAGCACCCAAAATGGAAGCCACAGTCTTTTTGTAACCAATCTTGAACATGACATCCCATTACCTCTGCCTCATTCTATTCACTAGAACCAAGTCACTAATTCCAGTCCAAACTCAAGAGGAGGGGATTATATAAGAGTGAGAATACCAGGAGGTGGGGATCATTCAGGGTCATCTCAGAGACTGCCAGCCAAAGTTGCCTTGACCAAGACTGCATGCCTAGGATAGCTTCATTCATATGTCCAGCAGTTGAAAATCTGGTTGGTGTAGGGTATCTCAACTGGGATGGCTGGTCTTTGCTCCATTACTGCTCCATGTGATCGCTCTCATTTTCCAACAGCACAGTTCAGGCTTTTCCACACATGGGTTCAGGATTCCAAAGAGCTGCAAAAGTGGGCAAGCCTCATTGTGCAGGCACTTCTCAAGCCTCTGCTTGTATCATACTTGTTAATGTCCCATTGGCCAACAAAATAGCCAAGCTCAGTTGCAGGGGTTGAAGAAATAGATTCTACCTCTTGATGGGTGAAGTGGCAAAGTCACACTGAAAAGGGCACATATTCTGATAGTAGGAGACCATGGAGACTGTCCAGACTTCTAGTTTCTGCCTAGCATGTAGACATCTGGAAAGAACACTGCTCCCATCTTTATAACAAGAACAAAGCTGGGTAATCTGCAAAAACATAAGTTTTCTCGAACCCATCAGAGAGCTAAGATTACAGAGCAACCAACTAGCTTGAAATATAATAAAAGACAAGTGCCTCTCCTGGGCCATCTGTGGTACAGCAGGAAGGAAGATGAGGCCACTATACAAGCAGTAAGAATTCAACAAGAATTTTTAATGAATTGCTAAAGGCTGAGTGCGGGAGACTCATGAGAGCTGTAGACCTAAGGGTAGTTGGTCTCTGCTTGCAGGCTCTTCTCCATAGTCATCCACTGAGTGCTCTCAAGAAACACGGGGACAAGGAAGAAGACTGGAGAAAGCCTACCTCCATGGGGTAGGCCTGCAAGGGGGCTGCTGTTAACATAGAAATGGCACAAAGCTCCAATGAAACCCTACTCCCCTACAGAACAAAATCCTTAAGCCACTAAAAGAAGTGCAGCAAACCCTGTTGCCCTCAGGACACAGTTAAAGATTCACTGTGACTAGAGTGAGGGAAATGGAAAAAAAAATTCCACCCATGATAAAAGGGCAGGAAATCATCCTGGGCCCAGATCATTAAAGGCCTTCTACCAGTGGAAGAGGGCAGGATCACTAAAAAATCCCACCCTCAAGACCCAGGGATTCATGGCCTGACAAAAACTGAGGCTGGCCCAAGACAACCCCTGCCCCCCAACTCACCAGGTCAGCAAGAACCAAGTAATAACAGTTGTCTACTACTAACATAGAGGCAACAACATGGAGAGAGACCCTCCCTGAGATGCAGGCACACAGGAAAGGCCTACAGGCCTAAAGGCAAGTGTGGTCTGGGAAAAATAAAAATTCTCTGGGCAAACCAGTGCCTACCTCAAGCATAAGATAACAATAGAGGAATTTTAAGTCTATGGTACAGCAAAGGTAACACTGGCAACAAAGAAACACAAACTCAGCCCAACTCCTGATTAGATGGATTCAATCTCCCCATGCTAATGGCCTATCAAAAGGGCAACCATGGCTGTTTCCAGGAATAATTACTATTTACCTCAGTTTCTACTGTCCTACATACAACATCTGTGACATTCAGCCAAAAATTATTAGATGCAAAAGAGCAAGAGAAGACAACAACAGACCTAGACTCAGTTGACCTAGTAGTTGGAACTATCAGACAGGGAGTTAAAAATAACTATGATTAATATGTTAGAGGGTATTATGGGCTGAATGATTGCATCCCCCCCAAAATTCATATGTTAAAATCCTAATCCTCAATGTGATGGTATTAGGAGGTGGAGCCTTTGGGTGGTAGTTAGGTAATGTGGGTGGAGAACTCATGAATGGGATTGGTGCCCTTATAAAAGGGATCCCAAAGAGTTCTCTAGCTGTAGACATGGGAAAATGCAAGAAGTGAGCAGTTTGCAACCTTGAAGAGGGCCGTCACCAAGACCTAACCTTGCTAGATTCTGATCTCAGACTTCCAGGCTCCAGAACTGTGAGGAATAAATTTCTGTTGTTTATAAGCCACCAAGTCTATGGTGCTTTATTATAGCAGCTCAAACTGACTAAGACAAAGGGTAAAGGGGAAAACATGAACATGCATGAAAAGATGGGGAATTTCAGCAGATATATGAAAATTGTAAGAATCAAATGGAAATATTACAAATAAAAATAAAACATAACTGAGTTGAAGAATGCCTTCAATGGGTTCAGCAGTAGACTTGACAAAGCCAGGGTGAGAGAAAAAACATCAGTGAATTTGAAGACAGATCAATAGAAATTATCCTAACTGAAACACAAAGAGAAATAAAGACTGAAGAAGGACACATATACAGGGATGAAGACATCTGTAGCATTTTTCTACCTAACACAGTGTGTCTTCTGGTCACAAAGTATTCACATTACCACCCCATGCAAAATGTGTTCACCCCTATTCCAGGACCTCCAAATTTCTCATCCAAAATTGTGGCATCAAGCTCCAATCCAGAATCTCAAGTCTTCTGTATCAGGTTCAGGTGTGGCTGAGGTTCCTTGGGTACAGTTTTTCAGTTTCTTGATCCAGATACCTGTGAGCTAAATGACAAGTTACATGCCCCCCAACATACACCCAATATATACAATGGTGGGATAGGTACAGGATAACTGTAATAGACACTCCCATTCAAAAAGAGGAGGACCATGAGGCACATATCAGTCACTGTTCCATAACGATTCTGAAATCCCACAGAGCAAATGTTGTCGGTTCCCTTGGCTCCAGGGGCAGATACGTTTCTTGATTAGGGCACAGTTCTCCCTGGGAACGGCTCCCCAGCTCATTTTAATATATTGTTCTTGGGTCTTCCCTCTGAGATGCCCTTCATTTTCCATAAGAAATGGACCGTGTTTGCATCTGAGTAACTTTCTCAGCTTGTATCCTATTCATAGAAGTTAGGGAGGGGAATCCAGAGGCCACTTTTCATTTTGAACTGTTTCAGTCCCTGGAAGTCCAACCTGGAGGTAGTTTTACTAGTAAAACTCTATTAAAAACTTTGTGAGTTTCCTATGAATCTGGTTTGGATCTACTCCTTTCCCCAAATGCCACATCAGCAATTCTTTTTAAGATAGGTCTCTCTCCACTTTGAGTAGTATGTCAGGCTTCTATGGGACAACGTCATGAAGATTTTTAGAAGCCCTTAAGTTTAGCTGAGATGGTCTCCTAAGCACCAACTGAACTATTTCACACACTGTAATAAAGAGTCTTACAGACACAACCATGATTTGATCTTTACCCTGAGGCCATTTTTTACCTTGCGAATAGTTAGATAGCTGGAGAGACTAGTGATGTGAAAGCATTATTTTTCAACCCAGCAATCCTTGGCTTTTCCATATTTCTTCTGAATTCTGCTTGCCAAAGAAACAGTTATTTCTTTAGTTCATTTCTCTCTTTCTGTATCGTATCATATGCAGCTAAAAGAAGCAAACTGATACTTCCCATATTCTGCTGCAAATCTCCTTAGCCAGATCCACCAGTTCGTTTGGTCCATTCTCTATCTTCCCACAGAGTATGGTGATGACTGTTTTTCTGTATCTTTCCCTACTAAATAACATGGGTTGCCAACTATCCAACCTTTGTTATTTGAGGAAAAACAGTTTTCCTCACTGTTTTTCCAGTTTCTACGTGCCACTCAGACCCAAAGCCAATGCCACTTGTCACGTTTTGGTCCACTATGCCCCCTCCCCCAAACATATACTTTCAAATATTACTTAGCATTTTCTGTACAACAAACTAACCCCAAAACTCATGTTGCTTAAAACTATCATCATTTTATTTATCTCACAATTCTGTAAATCAGCTGGAATAACTGGTATGGCTCTTCTGGGCTAGGCTGGCTCAGCTGGGGCTAGAGGTCTTGGAAAACCTCACTCCCAATTCTGACAATTGGCAGGCTACTTGGTCTAAGGGGCCTCAGCAAGGCTGGCTCACCACTGCTCCATGTGGTGGCTCCTCACCCCCGAGTAGGGCAATTTGAGATTCTTCAGGTTTGCAAAGAGCAGCAAGAGAGGGTAAGCTTCAAGGCAGGCTTTGCACACTTCTCAAGCTTCTTATTGATTCTCTTTGCTAATTTCCATTGGCCAAAGAAAGTCACGTGGCCAAGTTCAAAGTCAAGTAGTAGACAAAGAGACGCTACTTGGGATGGGAGGAATCTGTGGCTACTTTGCATTGTACCACAATGAAAGAAAACAAGATACTATGTCATGGAAACCAGTACGAATGACAGGATTATATTTGTGTGTTCTTATAAAATTATATCTGCAGATGTGTGTATATATAAAACCAAAGTGACTTTTAAATTGTGGATTCACTTGATAGAAATATTCAATAAGAAACATATTTGATAGACATATTCAGTAAGAAACATTTGATGGACATAATTATTCTAAATTTGAAAAAAAATGTAATATTCCTCCTGTTCTGCACTGTGTTCTGCCACAAACACCCTATGGAACTGAAAGTAGGTCTACTCACCAGTTATATTATTTTGCTGCACTACCTTTCATTTTGTTATCACTTTAAATTGCTTAATATAACACAGTAAACCTGACCATCATTTACATAATTTTGCACTCTCCTTCCTATAAAGAATTTGGTAACAATTTAACTTATAATACTTTCTATAGGAAGGCTTTTCCTAACACACCAAACTGACAACATTTTTCCCAGTATGACTTTTACTATATTTCATGAGGCTGTGCAAATTCTCTCTCCTTCAATGCATTTTTAAGAGAGTTTCTTCTGAATAATTTTTTTCCATCTCAAGTGAGATAGCCTGATGCTTTTCCTTATACAATGTATTCATATAGGATCTGTCTTGGATGAATTTTATAATATATAGTTAGACCTGACTTTTGTCAGCCTTATAAGGCTCTCATTTTCAAGAAACAGGATTACTTTCATGTATGAATATTGCGATGCATACTGAGAACTGATTTCTGGGTGAACCCCTTTCCACAGTCGCTGCATTTATACGGTTTATCTCCAGTATGAATTGTCTGATGTTTATTGAAATTTGACCTATCAGTGAAGGCTTTCCCACATTCTGCACATATATATGGTTTCTCCCCTGTGTGAATTCGTTGATGTACTTTGAGATGTGGTTTCTTGGAGAAGGATTTCTCACAGTCAGGACATTTATAAGGCTTCTCTGTAGTATGAATTCTCTGATGTGTAATCAACTCTGACTTCTGGATGAAGGCCCTCCCACAATCAGCACAAACATAGGGTTTCTCTCCAGTGTGAATGGTCTGGTGTTTATTGAAATTTGACCTGTCGGTGAAGGCCTTCCCACATTCAGCACATATATAAGACTTTTCTCCAGTATGAGACTTCTGGTGAGTATTGAGATTTGACCTGTTGGTGAAAGCCTTCCCACATTCAGTGCATATATAGGGTTTCTCTCCTGTATGAATTCTCTTATGCATCTGGAGTTGTGACTTAGAAGGGAAAGATTTCCCACAGTCACTGCATTCATAAGGCTTCTCTCCAGTATGAATTCTTTGATGTGCAATCAAGTGTGCCTTCTGGATGAAGGCCTGCCCACATTGAGTACAGATATAGGACCTCTCTCCTGTATGAATTCTCTGATGCATCCTGAGTGTTGATTTTTGGGTAAAGGCTTTCCCACACTCACTGCATTTGTGATGTCTCTCTCCAGTGTGAATTTTCTGATGTATATTGAGGGCTGAGTTCAGGGAGAAGCCTTTACCACATTCACTGCATTCAAAGAGTTTTTCTCCAGTATGAGTTGTCTGATGCCTGAGTAGAGATGACACCTGGAAAAATGATTTCCCACATTCATTGCATTTATAGGGTTTCTCTCTAGTATGAGTTTTCTCATGCATAATTAATTCTGAATTCTGGATGAAGGCCTTCCCACATTTAGTACATATGTAGAGTTTTTCATCTCTATGAACTCTCAGATATATACTGAGTAGTGGCTTCTGTGTAAAAACATTTACACATTTGCTAAGCTCATGAGGTTTTTCCACAGTATGAATTTTTTGAGGAGCAAAGAAATGTGACCTCTGGGTGAAGATCTTCCCAAATTCAGTACATGTGTTTGCTTTCTCTCCAATGGGAAATTTCACATTTTGACTGAGTGAGTGTTTGAGGCTGAGGACTTTTCCACATTGATTACGTTCACAGAACTTCACTCCTGTATGTGTATTTTCGTGGTGACTATAAGAAGAGTTCTGGGTAAAAACTTGACCATGCCCAATAGTTTTATCCAGGTTCTTTGCTGCATTGCTTTTATTATGAATATGTAAGTCTAAATTATGCTTAAAACTCTTCCCAAATGAATCACGTTTATGGGGTCTTTTCTGTGAAAGAATGAGATTTGGGCTTGGATGAACAAATTTTCCAAAGTCTTTATATTCATAATCCCACTCTGTATTCAATATTTTCTTATTGAGGAAAGTAGTGCGACTCAGAAGTTTGTTGTGTTTTTCCTGACATCTCTTTATCTGTTCAGCATCTTGCCACAATTCTTCTAAAATAGAGTATAATGAATCATCTCTTGTGTCTTCACCCTCCATTTCACTATGAAATGTAGATTTCCCAGAAATTCTCCTCTGGGAAGGCTTAATTCCAAATTTCCCATCTAAAAAGAGAAAGAAAAAGTAAAATTGACACAAACAATAGACCGCAAGAGATTAAAAGGTACACATAAGCTAATACAAATTGAACACATGGAAATCAGTAAATCTCATGATGACAATGATGACAGGAAATACATATATAGCACTTTTATGTGCCAAACTCTTACACGACACTTACAATATTCCAGGCACCATTCTAAGAAATATATGCAGTCAAACATTGCTTGACAACAGGGGTACAGTCTGAGAAAGCTGTCATTAGGCAATTTCGTTGTTGTGCAAACATCATAGAGTATACAGTACTTATAAAAACCCAGATGGTATAACCTACTACACATCTAGGCTATATGGTATAGAATATTGCACCTATGCTACAAACCCATATAGCATGTGACTGTACTGAATACGGTAGGCAACTATAATACAGTAGTAACTATTTGTGTATTTAAACATATCTAAACATAGAAAAGGTAATGCATTGCACTACAACGCAGCAATAGCCATGATGTATGTAGGTGATAGCCATTTTTCAATTTCATTACAATCTGAAGTCACTCAATATCATTATGTGGTACATGACTGTACATATGAATTCATTTAATCCTTTCAGAGGTCCTATGAGGTATCTATTATTACTATCCACCTTTTGTAGATAAGAAAAGTGAAGCTCATGACAGTTACATAATTTGCCATAAAACATGGTTATTAAGTGTTGGAGGCTGGCATTCAACATAAGCAGTCTAGTCCTATTTTGGTAGGAAGCTTGGCTATTAGGTAGGGTGGACAGAAGATTGATAATAAAAGAGTTTTCAGGGGAAAGATCTAGGAGGGCCTAGGCTTGGAGTTTAAGTCCTCATTAGCTTTCAATTCTTTTTTTTTCCACTAATAGATGATACTTATATTGAATCCTGGTATGTGTACAAGTCCAAAAATGCATACACATGTATCTTCTTGCCTAAATATTAAATATAACCATCAGCTTACTTCTGACATTGTGTTTAAGAGTGAGAACCCTGATTGACAAGGATGAGTGTTCACACTTTGAATCTTGCTCTCTGCAACAACTCTTCTCGATGGGTTTCAATTCTTTAATTCTGTGGGGCTTCTAATATAGGTAGGTCCTTTGCTATGTGCTTAAAGGTTTTCTTCATAGGGACTAAAGGTGCATGTCTTACTTTGTTGACACCACACTGTTCTCCTAACAAGCACTGCTTGTAAAAGATAACAAAAAATGTTTATTGAATTTAATAGAGGGGGTGATAACTACAAATTTAAGTGGTCCTATTACTGTCTTTCATGGAGCTGGCTCAATACATAGTGAAGAATGAATATGATCAAAATACAATAAATGAATGAATTTTACTTCACCTTGATGACAAAATTCTCCATATTTTTCTTTTCTTTATTCTTTTTGAAATAGAGTCTCACTCTGTTACCCAGGCTGCTGGAGTGCAGTGGTACAATCATAGCTCATGGCAGCCTTGTACTCTTGGGCTCAAATGATCCTCCTGCCTCAGCCTCCCAAGTGTTGGGGACCATACCCCACCAAGCCAGCTAATTTTTACATAATTTGTTTTTAGACAAGGGGTCTCACTATGTTGCCCAGGCTGGTCTCAAACCCCTAGCCTCAAGCCATCCTCCTGCCTCAGCTTCCTGAGTAGCTGGGATTGCAGAACTTTTTTTTTCTGTTATAACAAATGCTCTGCTATTTATACTCATTTTCAATTCTAAATCCTCACTAATCTTGCTTATCAGCAAACATCCAAAATTTATGTGATAAAAATAATTTATTCATGTCTATAAAAATATTGTAGTCATAGCCATCCTAACCTATACAAACAATAAATAGATGTCTATACTCCAACTCTACATCCAGATGTAATTGTTTTCTTGGACCTACATTATATATATATATATCTAACAAAAAAATAGCAGAAAAGACAAGTCATCTCTGGTAGAGACTGAAAGCTACCCACTAGAATCTGTTTCCCCATTCTTTTGCATTTAACAGAGTAGCATCCAGGCATATGGATGCCCAGTCATAGAGCATTTCTTAGCCTCCTTTGAAATTAGTGTGGCCATGTGACAATGTTCTCATCAAGAGAATTTGAGAGAAAATGATGGTGCCACTTTCAGATGGGAGCACTGAGACCACAGGCATGTTTTCTCCACACCCGCTTCTACCTTCTTGCTTACTAAAACCTGAACTTGGCAGAAACACAGAGTCAAGCACGCAGATCCCACAAAAATCCTAAGAGATGGTGGAGTAATGTGTGTTGGAAGGAGCTTGGATTCCTGAACAATCATGAGCAATGAGGTTTCCTATAAGAGGGAAATACAATTCCTTACTATTTTAGTCACTATATTTGACAATCTATTGCTACAAATTAGCATTAGTATAATTCATACATTATTCTTGCCCAGAGTGAGAATTACAGATGTTTCCATTCCTAGTACAGTGCATGAGACATACTAGATTACTGATAAATAATTTTAACATGAATAAATTATACCACTGACTTTTTCAATAAGAGATTTTTAGATACTGAGAATGCTCTGAGTCATCAAATCCACTTATCCCCTTTTAGTCGGTTTGATACTGTACTTCAGACACATGTCCCATCCAAAATCTCATCCTCCTATTCTTAGGTTGCATTTGTATTCTCACACATCTGGCTTTAATTTATTCTGGAGATACTAAGCACTGGATTCCTAGGCATGGCTTCAGAAGCAGTTCTACTTTTTACTTTATTTAAATTATAAATCCCTTGCTGTACCAGACAATTATTTTTTATGTCACTAGTACCAATGTTCATCATAAAAAATTTGCTCCTGCAATAAAAAGCTTCTTTATACCTCTCCTGAGCCCCCGATTCTATGAAGAGTACGTAAATGAAGAGTCATCACTCTAGAAAAAAGAGCTGCTCACGTGAGCTTACATTCTACTTGTCACACACAAAGATGCCTCAAAAGAGTCCAGTTTATTTTCAAATCAAAGGACATATTCATGTCCTCTTTCCCCATTAAGCCTGCTTAGCATTTTCTTTTATGCCATTAAAAAAGGTATGTGTGCTTCATCAAGCAGATTAAGAATTTTTACTTAGAAAACTAATCTAATTATATTGCTAGTAAGTTTTTTTCTTCTGAATGTCAAAAGCAGGCACTCTCTATGCTATTCATTTTGCTAATCCCTGTAATAGACTCCTAATTATAACAGAAACACAATGTGTAAGAGGGTAAACTTTTAAATATTTGGTGCCATTGTGTTTACTTTCCAATAACAATCTTCGTTGAATTCCTCTCAGTATAATTTTTTAAAATCCCTCTAAAACACAGCAAAATTCTATTCTTATCCCCCACAAATTCAATTAGTTAATATTGGTAAGTATTTTCTTCATGCTCAACATTTGAATGATGAAAATAAGATACGAGCTCTTACTTTCAGAGACTTTCAAAAATTACTGGGGGCAAAAGCATCTGGGACATGGGGAAACAGAAATAGGGAAGAATAATAAATAATGGAGTAATAAATCTGGAGTAGGTAAGGGCCATTTCATGGAATAGATGAAAGCCTGAACACAAAAGGAAAATGTCTATTACCTGGACGGCAGAGCACAAAATAATAAAAAGCCCAGATACACAGACACACTTCATATATGACAGGCATTAAAGACCAGGCAAACAATTTGAAGTAAGCATAAATTAAGGAAACCGTACAGATAAAATTTTAAACTGGGAATAATGGTAATCTTATAGATGGCACTGAGAGAAAAGTTATTGGTCATGTGTTATATAATATGGAGTAACTGTAAGACTACTTCATGAAGCTAATGGCAAAGATAAATGCAATGTCTTAGGTAATGAAATCTATCAGTAGCATTTCAAAGATTAACTAGAAACAAGAATGGAATCTGCAGCTTCCATTAGGAACAGAATAATCCAAGCATAAGAAAATACAGACCTGTTTTGGAGTGATGTTACTGGAACTAGATGAGAGACTAAGTAGCATTCTTTAAAAAAGAAAAAATAGGAATTGCAGTAGTAAGAAAAGACAGCTAAGAGGGAAGAAACAAGAAACAGCAGAATCTGACAAAATTTGGAATGTGAGGATTCCTGATTTGGGTAATGATGATCCCAATTCCTCCCATATTGAGGATGAATAAAGTAGAATATTCAATGGGAATTGTGTGGTATGCAGGTAAGTAAGTACTAGAGCACTATTATAATACAGCACCTAGTGGTGTCAACATGGAAGTCATCAGAATACAAATAAAAACCTTAAGTGTTCCACCAACAGTGTAAAAGTGTTCCTATTTCTCCACATCTTCTCCAGCACCTGTTGTTTCCTGACTTTTCAATGATTGCCATTCTAACTGGTGTGAGATGTTATCTCATTGTGGTTTTGATTTGCATTTCTCTGATGGCCAGTGATGATGAGCATTTTTTCATGTGTCTTTTGGCTGCATAAATGTCTTCTTTTGAGAAGTGTCTGTTCATATCCTTTGCCCACTTTTTGATGGGGTTGTTTGTTTTTTTCTTGTAAATTTGTTTGAGTTCATTGTAGATTCTTGATATTAGCCCTTTGTCAGATGAGCAGGTTGCGAAAATTTTCTCCCATTTTGTAGGTTGCCTGTTCACTCATGGTAGTTTCTTTTGCTGTGCAGAAGCTCTTTAGTTTAATTAGATCCCATTTGTCAATTTTGGCTTTTGTTGAAACTAGTTCAACCATTGTGGAAGTCAGTGTGGCGATTCCTCAGGGATCTAGAACTAGAAATACCATTTGACCCAGCCATCCCATTACTGGGTGTATACCCAAAGGACTATAAATCATGCTGCTATAAAGACACATGCACATGTATGTTCATTGCGGCACTATTCACAATAGCAAAGACTTGGAACCAACCCAAATGTCCAACAACGATAGACTGGATTAAGAAAATGTGGCACATATACACCATGGAATACTATGCAGCCATAAGAAAGGATGAGTTCATGTCCTTTGTAGGGACATGGATGAAATTGGAAATCATCATTCTCAGTAAACTATCGCAAGGACAAAAAACCAAACACCGCATGTTCTCACTCATAGATGGGAATTGAACAATGAGAACACATGGACACAGGAAGGGGAACATCACACTCTGGGGACTGTTGTGGGGTTGGGGGAGGGGGGAGGGATGGCATTAGGAGATATACCTAATGCTAAATGACAAGTTAATGGGTGCAGCACACCAGCATGGCACATGTATACATATGTAACTAACCTGCATATTGTGCACATGTACCCTAAAACTTAAAGTATAATAATTAAAAAAAAAGAAAAAGAAAAAAAAGCCTCAATAAACTAGGTATAGAAGGAACATACGTCAAAACAATAAAAGCCATGTATGACAACCTAAAAAACAAACAAACAAACAAACAAAAAACCTTAAGTGTTCCAAATGGAAGACCCCTTTAAGTTAATTACTATTAGAACAGATATCCTGAAGACAGAAATGGTACCCCTAGCTAGTGCATCTTAGTGGGAAAAAAGCCTCTATGAAAAGTACATGAGACAAAATAGGAACAAGCAATTAACAAAGGGGAAACCTAAATGGACAGCAGATACTAGAAAGGGGGGAAGATAACACAATACCACTTTACATCCATTATATTGGCCACAAGATAAGAAATCTGAACGATGCTGAGTGTTGGCATAAATGTGGTAAAATAGGCACACTTGTGGATTGCACATATGATCCAGTGATCAACCAATACCAATTCTATATAAACATACCTGAGGAATAATCTCACAGGCTAATTATTTTTTATTGAGGTATAATTTATATATAGTAAAGTGTAGATATTAACTGTAAAGCTCAATGAATGTATGCAAAGCTATATAGTATAGATCTTAGCTATAAAGCTGAACTCCAATACTCATATGTATACACCCATGTAACCACAACTCAGATGAAAGTAGAAAACATTTTAATTATCCCAGAAAGTTCTCTGGTGGCCCTTTCCTGTCAATAATTGACTCTCAGCGGTAACCACCATTCTGACCATAGATTGCCAATCACTTATCAATATTATCACAATCATAGATTAGTTTTGCTTGTCCTTGCTTGAACTTTATGTAAATTGAATCATATAGCATATACCCATTTGCATGTCTGGCTTCTTTTGTTCAACAAATTTTTTGAGGTTCGCCCAAGTTCTTGTAACAGCAGTTCATTCTTTTCATTGTTGTGTAGTATCACATTGCAAGAATATAGCATAATGCTCATCTATTCTCCCACTGATGGACATTTGAGTGGTTTCAAATTTTGAGCAATTACGCTAAAGCTGGTATGAGCATTCTTGTACATTTCTTTTAGTGAATATATTTGCTTGTTTCTCTTAAATATATGCCTAGGAGTGGCACTACTGGGCCACAGAATTGGTGTACATTTAGTGTTAGTAGGTAATGCCTATCTTCCAAAGTGGTTGAAAGAATTTACACTCCTACCATCAATGAATGTGAATTCCAGTTGCTCTAAATACTCATCAACATTTGATAATTGTCAGTCTTAAATTTTAGCCCTTTTTTTTGTATGTATGTATGTGTGTAGGGCTGCCACATTGTGGTTTTAATTTACATTTCTCTGATGAGTAATGATCTTTAGCACCTTCTCATATATATAATGCCCATTTGAATACCTCTTTTTTCAAGTGCCTGTGTCTTTTATCTATTTTTTTCTCTATTGATTTGTGAGAGTTCTTTATATATTCTGAATATAAAGTCATTTGTCAAATATATGTATTGCAAATATCTTCTCCCAGCTTGTGGCTTCCCTATTAACTTTCTTAATGATGTCTTTCAAAGAAGAGTAATTCTTTATTCTAATATAGTTCAATTTACTATCATATGAGATATGAAGTATTCTCTCTTTATTTCCTTCAAAAGAACATGAATAATATTGGTATTATTTCTTCTCTAAAAGACCAGAGTTCACCAATGAAGCCATGTGGGTTGAGAGCTTTGTTTGTGGATAGGTTTTAAATTATAAGTTCAATTTCTTTAATAGATAGAAATACTACTAAGATTTTGACCTTTTTTTCTTGTGACATTTCTGGTAATTTCTGTTTTTCTAAGACTGTTCATTTCATTTTGGTTATCAAATGTTGGGGGATAAAGTTGGTCATAATATTTTCTTAGTATCCTTTTAAGGCCTGTAAGATTTGTAATGATGTTTCTTTTCTCATTTATGGCATTGATAATCTGTGTTTTCTTTCTCCTCCTTGATTGAGCTTGCTAAATTTATCAATTGTGTTAATCTTTCAAAGAAGCAAATTTTGGCTTTGGTAGTTTTCACTTTTGTATGTCCTGAGGTGCAAACTTATATGGCCAATTTTTTTTTTCTACAAAAAATGCTTTATTTAAAAATATGATCTTTTTAAAAAGGAGACAACTTTTATACACACTTACTTTAGAAACAGTCAAAAACACAACAGAATCAATCCAGATTTAGAAATGATGATTTGTAACATACAATATTGGTATGCTGAACAAGACAGTTTAAATGTATGATTCTTTTTGTCCCTTCACATTTCAATAATTCACATTTGTTAAAACTAGTGGTTGGGACTAAAGAAAAGGTCATATCTGAATCCTTTCCCCTTCAGAAATCTGTCACCCTTCTGGGCAGTTACAGAAATGGCAGCAGCTAGGCAATGTTTGTATTTCTTTGGGTGCCTCTGTGTCAAAAAATATATCTCCGCTTTTATTCTTTTTCTATGAAATTTATATTTATGTGGCTATAGGGCCTGGTCGTATGTCCCACGCCTTTTAAAATCTAAATTTCTAAAAACAGACACTCCGTAAGGGCAAGGAGCATACACTGCTATGACCTCACTGGACTCAGAGCTTAATGCTCTTAGGTTATCAGCAAGAGACATGATTTTGATCTTCCAGTTAGCACTCCAAGCTGCTATCAACCAATCTTTTTCAGCACAGTAGTGAAATATTTCAAACCATATTCAAACATCTAATATAGATTTATAATAAAACAGGAAAAATGGCTTGCCAAATTAAAGTGCTATGAGCTATTGCATTCAAGAGGTTATCTTGATTTTATTTTATTTTTTGAGGTGGAGTCTCGCTCTGTCGCCTAGGCTGGAGTGCAGTGGCATGATCTCAGCTCACTGCAACCTCCACTCCTGGGTTCAAGCAATTCTCCCTGCCTCAGCCTTCTGAGTAGCTGGAATTACAGGCGCCAGCCACCATGCCTGGCTAATTTTTGTGTTTTTAGTAGAGACGGGGTTTCACTATGTTGGCCAGGCTGGTCTTGAACTCCTGACCTCAGGTGATTCACCTGCCTCAGCCTCCCAAAGTGCTGGGATTACAGGCATTAATTATTAAATGTATCTGATGATAACTTGATTTACAGATAATGTTGATGACATTGACCCTTTGTTTAAAAAAAGAAACTGTAAATTTGACATAATTTCATTTGCAACTTCATTTTGTTTTTTATAAATGTTATTTATACAGAAAGTGGCTACTGACTTTCTATTTGACAAGTAGTTATAATTGGCAAGCAGCTTGAGTTTATACTCATGACATACTGAAAGCATCTCTTTGGGGTCAAGAAAGAATCCCTAGTGGATTTGGGATTCTAGAGGAGGTGTTATAATTAATTATTCAGAAAAATGCATGTATTTACCTCTTCAACCAAAAGGGCAGTAAAGAATAGGGATAATATATTTTAATGTAAATTTGGAAGAAGGATAAAATCACCCACAGTTACTCTCCCTATTATTTTCACTGGGTCAAGTTTTAATCTTTTGGCTTCATGAGTTCCACTCCCTTTGATGATATATGTTGTATATTTTTAGTTGTAAAGCAGTAATCTTTAACTGTAGCATTCCTCTAATTATAAACAGTGAAAAATCAAAATCAGTCCAGAGTTCTTTTGTTGACTTAATTCCTGATCAGTATAGACAGGACTATATATATTTAATCAGAGAATTACATTATATCTGAAGATGGAACTCAGGAGAATGCACCAAGACTTTGAATTGTATTTACATTCACTGTCAGTAAAGATCTGGCTACGCTTTGAGAAATCAGGATCTCCTAGGTCATTGCTTCGCAGCTGTAATTACTGAAATTCTCCTCATAGGAGATAAAGTACGAGGGGTAGAGTCCAAGATGTCAACTTGTAATTTCTTTGAAGTCATATGTTTTATCTTTAAAATTATTCTTATTTTACCTGTGAATATATACAACAGGACTTTTTAAGATTAAAAAATTTTTAAACTTCTATGTCTGAAAAAAAAAAATGACACTCCTGGAAGATGGCTAGGGTTCCCCAGTTTGAGAAGCAGTGGCCATGGTGAAAAATAGTTTTTGAAAACATCAGATTATAAAATCAAGATAGGCCAATTTTTAATCTTTTTAATTTTCTGGTAGATATATATAAAATAAGAAACTTTCATCATAGTGCTTCAGTTTCATCTCACAAGTTCTTTTTTTTTTTTTTTTTTTTTTTTAGATGGAGTCTCACTCCATTGCCCAGCCTGGAGTGCAGTGGTGCCATCTTGGCTCACTGCAACCTCTGCCTCCTGGGTTCAAGTGATTCTCCTGTCTCAGCCTCTCGAGCAGCTGGGATTACAGGCACCCGCCACCACATCCAGCTAATTTTTGTATTTTTTTTTTTGGAGTTGATTTTTTTAAAATTTTATTATTATTATACTTTAAGTTTTAGGGTACATGTGCACAACATGCAGGTTTGTTACATAGGTATACATGTGCCATGTTGGTGTGCTACACCCATTAACTCGTCATTTAGCATTAGGTATATCGGCTAATGCTATCCCTCCCTCCTCCCCCCACCCCACAACAGTCCCTGGTGTGTGATGTTCCCCTTCCTGTGTCCATGTGTTCTCATTGTTCAACTCCCACCTATGAGTGAGAACATGTGGTGTTTGGTTTTTTGTCCTTGCGATAGTTTACTGAGAATGATGGTTTCCAGCTTCATCCATGTTCCTACAAAGGACATGAACTCATCATTTTTTATGGCTGCATAGTATTCCATGGTGTATATGTGCCACATTTTCTTAATCCAGTCTATCGTTGTTGGACATTTGGGTTGGTTCCAAGTCTTTGCTATTGTGAATAGTGCTGCAATAAACATATGTGTGCATGTGTCTTCATAGCAGCATGATTTATAATCCTTTGGGTATATACCCAGTAATGGGATGGCTGGGTCAAATGGTATTTCTAGTTCTAGATCCCTGAGGAATCACCGCACTGACTTCCACAATGGTTGAACTAGTTTACAGTCCCACCAACAGTGTAAAAATGTTCCTATTTCTCCATATCCTCTCCAGCACCTGTTGTTTCCTGACTTTTTAATGATTGCCATTCTAACTGGTGTGAGATGGTATCTCATTGTGGTTTTGATTTGCATTTCTCTGATGGCCAGTGATGATGAGCATTTTTTCATGTGTTTTTTGGCTGCATAAATGTCTTCTTTTGAGAAGTGTCTGTTCATATCCTTTGCCCACTTTTTGATGGGGTTGTTTGTTTTTTTCCTGTAAATTTGTTTGAGTTCATTGTAGATTCTGGATATTAGCCCTTTGTCAGATGAGTAGGTTGCAAAAATTTTCTCCCATTTTGTAGGTTGCCTGTTCACTCATGGTAGTTTCTTTTGCTGTGCAGAAGCTCTTTAGTTTAATTAGATCCCATTTGTCAATTTTGGCTTTTGTTGTTGCCATTGCTTTTGGTGTTTTAGACATGAAGTCCTTGCCCGTGCCTATGTCCTGAATGGTATTGCCTAAGTTTTCTTCTAGGGATTTTATGGTTTTAGGTCTAACATTTAAGTCTTTAATCCATCTTGAATTAATTTTTGTATAAGGTGTAAGGAAGGGATCCAGTTTCAGCTTTCAACATATGGCTAGCCAGTTTTCCCAGCACCATTTATTAAATAGGGAATCCTTTCCCCATTGCTTGTTTTTCTCAGGTTTGTCAAAGATCAGATAGTTGTAGATATGCGGCATTATTTCTGAGGGCTCTGTTCTGTTCCATTGGTCTATATCTCTGTTTTGGTACCAGTACCATGCTGTTTTGGTTACTGTAGCCTTGTAGTATAGTTTGAAGTCAGGTAGCATGATGCCTCCAGCTTTGTTCTTTTGGCTTAGGATTGACTTGGCGATGCGGGCTCTTTTTTGGTTCCATATGAACTTTAAAGTAGTTTTTTCCAATTCTGTGAAGAAAGTCATTGGTAGCTTGATGGGGATGGCATTGAATCTATAAATTACCTTGGGCAGTATGGCCATTTTCACGATATTGATTCTTCCCACCCATGAGCATGGAATCTTCTTCCATTTGTTTGTATCCTCTTTTATTTCATTGAGCAGTGGTTTGTAGTTCTCCTTGAAGAGGTCCTTCACATCCCTTGTAAGTTGGATTCCTAGGTATTTTATTCTCTTTGAAGCAATTGTGAATGGGAGTTCACTCATGATTTGGCTCTCTGTTTGTCTGTTATTGGTGTATAAGAATGCTTGTGATTTTTGTACATTGATTTTGTATCTTGAGACTTTGCTGAAGTTGCTTATCAGCTTAAGGAGATTTTGGGCTGAGACAATGGGGTTTTCTAGATATACAATCATGTCATCTGCAAACAGGGACAATTTGACTTCCTCTTTTCCTAATTGAATACCCTTTATTTCCTTCTCCTGCCTAATTGCCCTGGCCAGAACTTCCAACACTATGTTGGATAGGAGTGGTGAGAGAGGGCATCCCTGTCTTGTGCCAGTTTTCAAAGGGAATGCTTCCAGTTTTTGCCCATTCAGTATGATATTGGCTGTGGGTTTGTCATAGATAGCTCTTATTATTTTGAGATACGTCCCATCAATACGTAATTTATTGAGAGTTCTTAGCCTTAAGGGTTGTTGAATTTTGTCAAAGGACTTTTCTGCATCTATTGAGATAATCATGTGGTTTTTGTCTTTGGTTCTGTTTATATGCTGGATTAAATTTATTGATTTGCGTTAATTTTTATATTTTTAGTAGAGATGGGGTTCACCACGTTGGCCAGGCTGGTCTCAAACTCCTGGCCTTAGGTGATCCACCCGCCTCGGCCTCCCAAAGTGCTGATTACAGGTGTGAGCCACTGCGCCCGGCCCCACAAGTTCTGATGTGTCGATTTTCACTATCACTTCACTCAATACATTTTCATTGTGATATCTTTTTTGACTTATGGGATATTTGGATGTGTGTTGCTTACTTTTCAAACATTTAGATATTTTTTAATTGTTTTTCTATTCAGAGTTTTAATTTAACAGTGGTTAGAGAACATACAGTCTATGACTTCAATCCTTTGAAATTTGATGCAAACAGCTTTATATCCCAAAATAGTCTATTCTGGTGAATGTGCCATGTATACTTGAAAAGAATGTGTATTCTGTAGTTGTTGGATGTAGTAACCTATGTATGTCGATTACATCATATTGGTTTATCATGTTCTAGTCTTCTACCTCTTTAGGGATTCTTTTGTGTGCTTGTTACAACAGTTAGAGAAATAGGTGTGTTAAAATCTCCAACTATGATTGTGCATTTTGTCTACTTCTCCTTTTAATACTGCCAGTGTTTACTATATATTTTGAGGCTATGTTATTAAGTACATAGAAAATTAGGTTTATATATATATATTCCTGTTGAATTGAAATTTTATCAACTTCAGAGAAAGAGAGTACATTGGCGAAGATACAAGACATTAAAGTGACAATACAGAAGTATTAATGAAAAAAACTTATGTCGAAATATTGACATCTTAGATGGAATACACGAACTCCTTGAAGGAACAAATTATTAAAACAAGAAGAAATAAAAAATCTGAATATTCCTATATTAAAGAAACTGAATTTGAAATTAAAGACAGTCCCACAAAGAAAACTTCAGATGACCCAGATGAGTTCACTGGTGAATTTTATCACATATTTAAGAAAAAGAAATTTAAAGTAATCTTATACAAAATCACAAGAGACGTGAACACTGAAAAATTCTAGCAAATATAGCAAGTTTACACAAACTCTTTCAGAAAACAGAGCAGGCATGAAATTTCCAAACTAATTTTATGAAGCTAGAATTAACATGATACCAAAATCAAAGATATTATAAGGGAACCCCCCCCCGCCCACAAAACTAAAGACCAATCTCTCTCAAAGACATGGAGATTAAGATCCTTACCAAATATTAGCGAATCAAATCAAGAAATACATAAAAAGATAATACACCATGATGAAGTAAGGTTTATCTCAGGAATGTAAGTTTAGTTTGACATCTAAAAATCAGTAAAAATTCACCATATTAGTAGGATAAAATGCACTTTTCAATAAATACATAAAAAGCATTTGGCATTTAGAAAATTCAACATCAATTCATGTTTAAGACTCTCATCAAACTAGGAATAGAAAGAAATTGCCACAAATTAATAAAGAGCATCTAAGAAAAATCACAGCTAATACACCTAATGGTGAAAGACTGAAAGTTTTTGCCTTCAGATTGGGAACAAGATAAAATAAAAATAAACAGCATATAGACCAAAAAGGAAATGACAGAAAGGCATGATAATGTTTGCAGAAAGTTTTATGGTATTTATTCACAAAAAGACCCACTAGAATTAATAAGCAAAATGTAGCAAAGTCTCGGAATACAAGGTCAATGTACAAGAATCAATGGTAAGAGTTCTACTTCCAGTATGGAGAAGTAAGCTTCTGAAAAAGACCCTTCTACAGATAGTAAATGTAATCTCTAGAAAAACAAACAAAAATAAAAAAACAAACAAAAATAAAAAAACAAAAGCAGGCAGATTTTGTAGGGGGGTCAAAAGTTAGAGGAAGTGACTAGCACGTAGTGAGTTCCCCTTTTCTCGGGTTTCTGTTGAGAGTAGCTGCACTCCTAGCAGCAATGTGGAGCAGCTAAAATTCTCATAAAAGCTTGTAATCCTTTTGCGAGAGGAATCAGGGGAAGAAGGCCTGGGTACCCGGGGCCACTAGAGATTAAGGGGGCAACTCAAAAAGAAAGAATCAAAAAAAGCAAATTCCTAATTCTGTGTATAAAATCTGCCTAAGTCTCTGGCTGACCCCTCAACTTTGCATGGGTAGAGCAAAATTAAAGCAGGGCTGAAGTGCACCTGAGTTGCCACTCGCCTTAGGTGAGACAGCATTTCCAGTGTCAATCTAACCTAGTTAATTGCCTGCTGTGATAAGAACACTGACATTCTTCAGAACAATATAACAGAATACCATGTTACCATAAACATTGATAATGTTCAGGACGCAATCCAAATTACTCAAAATATGATGGAGCAGAAAAATGTTCTTTTGATCACTTTCCAGCATCTTCAGTAGCTAGTTTTAAAAATATGCTTTCCAGGGTTAACAATTTTTTATCTGTCTGGCAGGTTATTTCAATATAAACAATTCTATAATACTAGAACTTGAGTTAATTTTTGTATAGGATGTGAAGTATGGGTCAAAGTATGAATTTTTCCCCCAATACTGACATCCATTTGTTCCAGCACAATTTGAAAAGACTTTCATTTCTCCCTTCAAATTACATTGGCACCTTTGTCAAAAATCAGTTGTCTATATATTAATGGGTCTATTTTTAGTCTTTCCCTTCTGTTCCATTTATATATTAGTGTGTCTTTACACCAATAACATACTGTCCAGATTGCTATAGCTTTAAAGTAAATCTTAACATTTGGTAGTGTCAATCCTCCGTACTTTTTCTTCTTCCTCAAGACTGTGTTGGTCATTCTAGGTCTTTTGCATATCCATATAAATTTTTAAATCTCTTTGACAGTTTTAACCCCCCCAAATTACAAATAATTGAATGAACAAGTAGAAGACAAATTAGTAAGGCATTAGAAGATTTCAACAACATGGAACCAACCTGAGTTATAGATTATAGAACACTGTACCCATCAACAACTGAACATACATTCTTTGCAGGGACACACAAAACATTCCCCTAGGTAGACCATATGCTGAAATCATAAAGAGTATGCTCTCAGACCACAACAGGATTAAATTGGACAACATAGAGGAAATAGACAAAATTCCTTGAAAAGTACAACTTACTATGTCTGGCAAAAGATGAAACAAAAAATCTGAATAGCTCTACATCTATTTAAAATATTAAGTTTGTCATTAAATCCTTCCTGTCAAGAAAATTCTAGGTCCAAATGGCTTTCTTGGTTAATTCCATGAAACATTAAAAGAAATAATAATCTCACACAAAGTATTTCAGAAAATAGAGAAGGGAACACTTCATAACTCATTTTAGTAGCCAGTATAACCATAATATCAAAACATGACAAAGACATTGAAAAAAAAGAAAACCATGAACCAAATCACTCATGAAAAACGCAAACTTTTAAGTCAAATATCAGTAAGTAGAGTCCAACAATATATAATAAAGCTAATACGTCATAATCAACTAGTATTTATCTCAGAAATACAAGGTTAATTCAACATTTAAAAATCAATGAATTCACCATAATAACAGAACAAAAAATGCTGATATATATAATATCTCTCCAATAGATGCAGAAAAAGCATTTGACAAAATTCAACACTCAATCATGATTTAAAAAAAAAAACTATGAAACAAGCTAGGATTAGAAAGGAACTTACACAGCCTGTTAAAGGGCAGGTACAGAAAACCTACAGCTAATATCATAACTTAATGGTGAAAGACTGAAGTTTTTGCCCACAATATCAGAACCAAGACAAACATGCCCACACTCACCCCTTCCATTCAACACTGAACTGAAAGTCTTAGACAGTAAAATAATGAAAAGAAATTAAAACATGAGTTTGGAAAGGAAGATGTAAAAGTGTCCCTATTTTTAGGTGATAATGATTACTTATATGAAAAATCCTGAGGAACTTACAAGAAAACTAATAGGTAGATTTAGCAGTGCCTCAGGATACAAAGTTAATGCACAAAAATCAATCACTAGCAACTTATACTAGCAATAAACAATCTAAAAATAAAATTTAAAAAACTTTATATTAGCAATGAAAATCAAAAAATAAAACTAAAACAATGCCATGTAAAACAGAATCAAAAGCATCAAGTACTTAGGGATAAACTTAATGAAGGTTTCCTATGACCTCTATGCTGAAAACTATACAATTCTGCTAAATGAAATTAAAGAACTAAATAATTGCAGAAATATGCCATTTTCATGGGTTAGAAGGCTCAATATTGTTAAGATGTCAATTCTCCTAAAATTGATCTACAGAGTTAACTGAACTCCAAACAAAATCCCAGTAGGCTTTTTTGTAAAAAGTACAAACTGATTATAAAATGTATATGAAAATGCAAATGACCTAGAAGAGCAAAGTAATTTTTAAAAAGCAAAGTTGAAGGACTTATACTCCCTGATTGAAGATTTACTGTAAAAACTACAGTAATAAAGATAGTATGGGTTTGCTAAAAGGATAACGTATTAACTATATTTTCTTATTTTCTGTACCCTTGATGTTCTGGCATCTGGGGCTTAACTGATCCTGGAGAGACTGCCCACTCCCAGTGATAGCTAATTCTAGAGATTAGGAAATAACTTGACCTTGAGGATGCCTTTCATATGCAAAGCAGCCAATACACAGCCCATACCCACAACTGCCTCTTTTATTGAGCTCTCACAGGTTGAGCCACTATCCCCCTGCTCTAATCACCCCAGGGCCAGGTACCAAGCAACTGGGGAGAGTCCCTATACCCTAGAGCCCAGTGGAATTATCCAAACTAGCCAATCTTAAATCTGCCTAGCCTTCTGACCTTGCCTAGTCCATTCCTTCCCACAAAACCTAAATAAAGGCTCTGGCCTATGCTTTCCCCTCACTCCTTCTAGATCCCAACTGACCTTGGTGCTTCCACATGTGTGGTATGCATGGCCCTGTATGGTGTGGTATACCCCCGCCTCTTGGGAATTATAACAAACTGTCTTTCCAATGGCAGTTGTCTCCTGATCTGTTGGCTTCATCGAACCTAAATAATAATAAAACCTATCTTTTAAAGCAGACAGACAAATAGATTAATTGAACAGAAATGAGAGACCAGATACAGGCTCATACACATAAAGTCAATTGATTTTGATAAACATACCAAGGAAATTCAATAGGAAAAAGAAAGCCCCTTCAACAAATGTTTCTGGAACAATTAGATATCAGTATTGAAAAATGAATCACAGACCTAACTGAAAAAGTTAAAATGATAAAACTTATAGAAGAAAGTATGAGAAAATCTTTGTGCCTTGTGGTAGGCAAAGATTTCTTAAACAGATCGCAAAAGGTACTAACAATAAAACAGATGATAAATTGGACTTCATCAAATTAAAATGTTTGCTCTTTGATGGGCACCAAAAAGAAAATGAAATTTCAAGCCACAGATTGGAACAAAATATTAGCAATACATATATCTGGCAAAGGAGTTGTATCCAGTAAATATATTAAAACTCACTAATAAGAAGACAAACAACCTGATTAAAAAATGAGAAAGATATCTGAGTAGATATTTCACACCAAAAAATGTACAAATGGTCAATAAGCACATAAAAAGATGCTTAACATCATTATTCTCATAAGAGAAATGCAACTTTAAATTATAATATCCGCTACAATAGCAAAAATAAAAGAGTTTGATGATAACAAGTGTTGACGAGGATGTAGAGCAAGAGGAATCCTTATGTATTGCTGCTGGGAATGTAAAGTGGTACAGCCAATTTGGAATACAGTTTGGCAATTTCTTACAAAGGTAAGTATACACTTATTACATGACCTAGCAGTTCCAATCTTAGGTATTTACCCAAGAAAAATGTAAACGTATGTTCACACAAAGACATACGAGAATGTTCACTGCAGCTTCATTCATAATAACCAAATATTAACCACCTATCCATCAATAGGTGTAGAGATTAATGAATAGTAATATATTCATTCCATGAAATACTATTTGTCATTCAAAAGGAATAAACCAGAGATATACTTAATAACATGGATGAATTGCAAAATGATTATGCTGAACAAATGAAGCCAGACCCAAAAGAGTATGTAAGGTATTATTCCATTTATATAAAACCCTAATAAAGATAGATCTAATCTAGAGTGACAAAAAGCATGTCAGTGGTTGCCTGGGGCTGTGTGTACTGACTGCAAGGGGCATGAGGGAGCATTCTGTGTGAAGGAATGGTATATATCACAATAGGGGTGGTGGTTACACTGGTGTATATCTTTATCAAAACTCATCAAACTGTCCACTTAAAATAAATACATTTCATTTTGTGTAAATTCTACCTTAATAAAATGGATTTTAAAAGAAGAAATGCTAAGTGATAGTGACCATAAAGTCAGAAGATGGGAGAGAGGTACTAGGCCATGGGAAGGTGGAGAGGAGTGAGGAATCTGAAGGTGATACTTACAAAGGCAACAGGAGGTGAGGCTGGTTGTAGATGAGAGTTTGTTGGTACCTTAGAGTGAGAAGGTGAGAACAAAAGAAAGAATAAAGTGCAAGAGTGCTAGGAAGAACAGAAGTGAGGCAACCAACGGATTTTCAAAAAGTCAAATCCAGTAAAACTGAAATGTATGTGATAAGAATCTAAGACTCTGGGGTGTGGTTTAAGGAATTACACATAAAAATGGGACTGAAGGAAGGAAAGAATATCCAAGAAAGCAAGACCGCTAGTGAGGAAGACTGGCATGTAATCCAGAGTATAGGAATTGGGGCAATTCTCCTGGAAGAAAGCCAAGCAAAGAAGACAGGTGATAACAGTAAGAGAAATAAAAGGAGAGAACAATTTGGCACCCGAGAGGCCAATGCTACCTATCCTCAAGCAATTTATAAAGTTTCCAACCTTTAAGCAATAACAGCATTTTAAAGGCATCGGTCTTCCTTAGGGAAAAAAAAAATTACTTCGTGTCCCCATCTGCCTGGGTCACACCCACTCACCTGAACAGCTCTGATGTGGGGCTTCCCCTTCCAATGTCCATGGCCCCTCTCCTTGCTCCAACTTGAAGATGACCTCTGGTTTAGGAACTTCGAACCCTGTTAACAGGACACGATAGAGAATTGGGTCCAGCAAATTGCTTTCCATTTGTTCTTTGGAGAAGTAACCACATTTCATGGGGAACTGAGTAATAATCACAGAGGTGAAAAGGGACTGAAGAATCTCAGACAAGTCAAGGAGGACATCATCATAGGGTTCTAATGTCCCAGATAGCTCAGTGGTGGTGAAGGGAAACACAACGAGGCTCTGTATTGGTGTCCTAAGGCTGCTATAACACAGTACCAAAACCTGGTGGCTTACAACAACAGAAATTTATTGTCTCTTATGTCTAAAGGCTGGAAATCCAAAATCAAGGTGTCAGCAGGGTCATGCTCTCTCTGATGGATCTAGGAGAGAACCTTTCAGCATCTTCTAGTTTCTAGTGTTTGTTGGCACTCTTTGGCATTCCTTGGCTTGTGAATACATCACCCCAGTGACATGTCTGTCTTCTACCTGCGTATCTTCTTATTGTCTTCCCTCTACGCATGCTTGTAGCAGCAATACCCCAATTTCTGCCTTCATCTTCATATGGCATTCCCCCGTGTCCAAATTTCCCCTTTTTATAAGGACATCAGTCAGATTAGAGTAGGGCCCACCCTAATGACCTCACTTTAACTTGATTACCTCTGCAAAGACTCTATTTCCAAATATGGTCACATTCTGAAGTATCGAGGGGTAGGATTTCCACATAGTTTTGGGGGAAGACAAAATTCTACCCACAAGAGTCTGCCCTCTAGTCCCCCAAAATTCATTTCCTTCTCACATGCACAATACATTCACCCCATCCCAACATCCTCCAAAGCCTTAGTCATTCTAACATCAACTTGTAAGTCAAAAATCACATCTCGACATCGTCAACTAAAAGTCTCAAATCTCATCATCTAATTCATCCAAATAAGTTATGGATGAGAGAGGATATAATTCATCCTGGGGAAAAATTCCTCTCTATCTGTGAACCTATGAAACCAGACCACAAGTTATCTGCTTCCAAAATACAATGGTGGGACAGGTATAGGATAGATATTCCCATTCCAAAAGGGAGAAACTGGAATGAAAAAAGAGATAATGGGACCCAAGTCTGAAACCTAGCAGGGAAAATTCAATTAGATTTTAAGGCTTGTGAATAATCTCATTGTCTCCATGATCTGTCCTCTGAGCCCACTGGGTGGCAGGTAGCCCTGGGCCAGGAATGACACCCCTATTACCCCTAATGGTCCACTAGCAAAATTTTTGCTACCTGTCTCTGTGACCTTATGCTCTGCTGTTCTAGAGGTCTTAATTCCAAAGGGAGAAATACTTCCACCAGGAGACACACAATGATTCCACTAAACTAAAAGTGAAAACTCCCACCCGACCACTTCGGGTCCCTCATGCTCCTGAATCAACTGGCAAACAAGGGAGCTATGGTTTTGGCTGGGGTAACTGATCATGATTACCAAGGGGAATCCTGGCATTGCCTAATTTTAGCAAGATTCCTGTTAAGTCAGTTTAGCTAGAATCTCCCAGCCTCAATATCTGATCACCCTTGATATCTGATCAAATTCCTCATCTTGTACTATCCCCCACGTAATATTTGATCACCCTCACCTGCCTTCAGCAAGAATCTTGTCAGGTCAGTTTAGTAACAATCCCCCTTTACCCCTGATGTTTCCTCGCATTAGTCATTTTCCATCGACTGGCCCCACTCTGCTCCTGGGCTATATTTATAAATCCCCACTTGTCCACGTTGTATTTGGAATTGAGCCCAGTTCTATACCGAAGTATCTTTTCCCCTATTGTAATAGTTCTGAATAAAATCTATTTTCACTGCTTTAACTATTGTCCAGCTCTGGTTTTCTTTGACAGTTTTGGTGCTACAACTCGGATAAGATCAGACTGATCACTGGACCCCAGACTTCTCACTCAGAATCTGAAGTATGCACCTTCGAAGCCTTTGTCTTCACTCCTGACTGATTGGGGACCCATTGATGAGTCCAACTCCTGAGCCTCTGGATGACAGTCCACTGAAGCACAGTAAGGACAGATTTTGATTTTTTCTTTTTTTTTTTTGAGACAGAGTCTCACTCTGTCACCCAGGCTGGAGTGCAGTGGTACCATCTCAGCTCACTGCAACTTCTGCCTCCTGGGTTCAAGTGATTCTCATGCTAGAAGGTAGGTTAAAGTTCCAGGTAAGCAGCTGTTTATAAGAAAGTAAGTTAGAGTCTCATGCAAGGAAAGGCTGGGTTAGTCTCCTAGGTTTCTCTTTTTGTAAGAGGCTGGGTTCTGTAAGGAACAGAAGCTGGGTCAGAGTCCCAAGTTTCTCTATTTATAACCATAAAAGTACTATTAGTTAAAAAACATGGGAACTTCTCAGTCTACCAAAATATCCATTTTTGAACCCCTGCTGGCTATATGCTCCACCAACTCTACCTGTTTCCTGTCTTGTTGGCATGATTTTACTAAGGATAATTTGGAACTTCAGGGGTTTCCTTGGGAAACTTTACATCTCCCCCAACTGTCTCCTCCAAAACCTCTCCCTTCCCATTGCTTCTGCTCCTCCTTCTTCCTTTTACCACCTTTGATCTTCCCTTTAAGCTCTCTTGAATCCTCGCATAGGTCACTCTTCAAACTCCTACCTCTTCCACCCCTCTATCCATTCCTGCCAGACCTTTCCCTTCCTACTTCAGTCTCTTAACTCCCTACAGTCACTTGAACTTTGGGACCCCTCCTCCCATCAGGGGCTCTCAAGAGACTGAGGGAACCCTAAAAGCAACCATCTGAGACTAAAAAAGAAAAAAAAACTAATTGGAAATAGACTAGACATTGAACCTTTAAATTCTTGAGTCTCCTTTGCCAGTAGAGGCAGCCCTTCTACCCTATCTGAGAAGGTTAACCCTACTTTGCCTGAAGCACTTTCAGTGGCTTCCCCTGAGGTACTTGCCTTGACAGGCACTGCCAATTCCCTTAAGAGCCTATGCTCACCACCCTTCTTTGCTTTTAGACATATAACTGGACTTAAGTCAAAGCAGGTCCCAAAAGGTGAAGTACAAAGAATGACCCATGAGGATGTGTGTACACCAAAAGAACGGCACGATTCATTTAATTTATGCAGACAAATCTAAAGACTATACATTGATATGGATATCAAGGGTGTATGATAAAGGTGGAAGAAACAAAAAGTTGGATCAGGCTGAATTGATTGGTATGGGCCCACTAAGCAGAGATTCTGAATTTGATATTGCTGCTGGAGGGGTTAGAAAGGGCTCTAACAGTTTGGTTGGCTGGTTGGCTAAACATGGACCAAAAGGTGGCCTACACTAAATGAAGTTGAAATGCCAGAACTGCCTGGGTACTCTGCAGAGGAAGGTATCCAAAGAATTGTACTGTTGGAGGGGATTTATCTTGTGATACCTGTTCATCTACTCTGGGAGGGTCCAGAGGACACACCTGTCACCAATGTGAGAAACAAATTTTTAAGGGGAGCCCGAGCATCCTTGAAGATGTCCAAGTGCTCTTGTCTGTAGGCTGGAACTTACAGTGGGAACTGCAGCCACTGAGTAGGGAAACCTAAGTGCAATGGGGGTAGTTGGATCCTGGGGTGGCAGGGGTTAAAGGGAGGTACTTAATCGCCAAATGCAAGGTGAACATGGCTACCACAATGGACAGCAGAGTCAAAGCAACAATCAGAATAGTCTGATTCACAGAGACCTATGGCACTGGCTAGTTGATCATGGTGTCCTGAGAAAAGAAACAGATAGGCAGTCTACACAATAATAAGTTGATCTGTATAAGTAGAGGAATTCTAGGTCAAGTGAACAAAACTCTAACTCGAATCATAAAAGCACAAAGTCACAGCCCTTCAATCAATTCCCAGACTTGAGCCTATTTACAGACTCAGACCCAGAACCCCTTGAATGAAGGGGAAGCCAGGTTCCCTTAGGGAAGGACCCTGGTACACTGTCAAAAACTTATACTATGAAATCTTTCTCCCAGTGTTCCCCAAAGGGACCTATGGCCTTTTATCAAGATAACTATGTATTGGGAAAAAAGAATAATCAGACATTTTGGGAATTACTGGACACTGGCTCTGAACTGCCACTAATTCCAGGAGACCCAAACACCACTATGGTCCACCAGTCAGCGTAGGAGCTTACAAAGTGTAGTGGTTAATGGAGTTTTAGTTGAGGTCCATCTCACAGTGCATCCAGTGGGTCCCTGAACCTGTCCTGTGGTTATTTCCCCAGTTCCTGAATACATAATTGGAAGGACATATTCAGCAACTGGCAGAATCCCCATATTAGTTCCCTGACCTGTGGAATGAGGGCTCTTATGGTGGGAAAGGCCAAGTGAAGCCACTAGAGCTGCCTCTGCCTAGGAAAATAGTAAACCAAAAGCAATACCACATTCCTGGAGGGATTGCGGAAATCAGTGCTACCATCAGGGATATGAGGGATGCAGGGATGGTGATTCCCACCACATCCCCATTCACCTTGCCTATTTGGCCTGTGCAGAAAATAGATGGATTTTGAAGAGTGACAGATTACTGTAAACGTCACCAAGTGGTGACTCTAATTACACTTGCTCTTCAAGATGTGGTTTCATTGCTTGAGCAAATTAACACATTCCCTGGTACCCTATGCAGCTATTGATCTGGCAAATGTTTTTTTGTGATACTTGTTAGTAAAGACCACTAGAAGCAGTTTGTTTTTGGCTGGGAAGGCCAGCTATACACCTGTACTGTCCTACCTCAGAGGTATATCAACTCTCCAGACCTATGTCATTATTTAGTCTGCAGGCATCTTGATCACCTTTCCCTTCCACAAGATATCACACTGGTCCATGACACTAATGAGATAATGCTGATTGGACCTAGTGAGCAAGAAGCAGCAACTACGCTAGACTTATGGGTAAGATATTTACATATCAGAGAGTGGGAAATAAATCTGAAAAAAAATTTAAGGGCCTTACACCTCAGGGAAATTTCTAGGGGTCCAGTGGTATAGAGCATGTCGAGATATCCCTTCTAAGGTGAAGCAAAAATTGTTGTATCTGGCCCCTCCTATAAGAAAAAGAGAAAAGGCACAATGCTTACTGGGCCTCTTTGGATTTTGGAGGTAACACATTCCTGATTTGGGTAAAGCTACTCTGGCCCATTTATCAAGTTATCCAAAAAGTAGCTAGTTTTCAGTGGGGACCAGAACAAGAGAAGACTCTACAACAGATCCAGGCTGCTGTGCAAGCTGCTCTGCTGCTTGGACCATATGATCCAGCAGATCCAATGGTGCTTGAAGTGACAATGGCAGACAGGGATGCTGTTTGGAGCCTTTGGCAATCCCCTATAGGTGAATCACAGTGCAGATCTTTAGGATTTGGGAGCAAAGTCCTGCCATCCTGTAGTAGTGGATAACTACTCTCTTTTTGAGAAATAATTTTTGGCTTGCTATTGGGCCAGAATTTACTCACCCACTGAATTTAAGCACACTAGTTAGTGGAGAAGAAACTTAACAAGGATTCCCTCAGTAACAGCAAGTGAACATGGAAGAGCCCAGTGCTAAACCTCTGCCCCACAGTGGGGGTGTTGGAAATGTGGCATAGAGAAGACCCACTCCCCACTGCTGCTTATAGCACCCAAGTCCTTCTGATTGAGGCCCAGCCTGATGATGGTATAAGGCCAGCAGCAGGCTCTGGTGCACTGGGCCTGGGCATTATTGGGGCCATGTTGCTTGAGAATGTACCCCAAAGTGGGTAGTAAACTCCATCTACTAAGGCTAAATACGTGCACAAAATTGATAGTCAACAAGAACCATAAGGGAAAGTTAAAAAGATATATATATTTGGTCTTCATCACCTGATATGGTTTGGATCTTTGTCCCCTATAAATCTCATGTCAAATTGTAATCCCCAGTGTTGGAGATGGGGCCTGGTGGGAGGTGACTGGATCATGGTGGCGGATTTCTCAGGAATGGTTTAGCACCATCCCCTTGGTGCTGTTCTCATGAAAGTGAGTGAGTTCTCGTGAGATCTGGTTGTTTAAAGGTATGCAGCATCTCCCCCTCACTCTTGCTCTTGCTCCCACCATGTAATATGCTTGCTTCCCCTTTGCCTTCCGCCATGATTGGAAGCTTCCTGAGGCTTCCTCAGAAGCAGGAGCCACTATGCTTCCTTTACAGCCTGCAGAACCGTGAGCGAATTAAACCTCTTTTCTTTATAAATTACCCAGTCTCAGGCATTTCTTTATAGCAATGTGAGAACAAACGGACTAATACATGGTGTAACTAATACATGGTGTAACCTCAGATCAGACATGATAACCCTGCAACCTTGGCCCTGCCCCCTCAGCCCTGAAAACAGATGGCCCTGTTCTCTGAAACTAAGGAGGCAATGGGTCCCCCCATCTCCCCAGCCTGTGCCTTCAGGGCCTGTGGTGGCAGCTGCAGCCCTACTAGCTTCTGAACTATCCTCAAAGTCATTCTTCCCTTTTCTTGAAGGATGACACATGTTCACAGTCGAAATAGCTTTATCATCACATTTCCTGCTTATAGAATCCCAGAAGTCCAACAGCCTTCCTTCATTTTCTCCTGTCTCTGTCCCCTTCAGTCCAACCTGGAAGCATTTCTAGTGAGACAGTTGATTGGATCCACAAGTCACACACCTAATCTCTTTAGTAATCGGTTGTCCAGACACACCCTTGGTGTTCTTTCCAGAGTACACTTTCTGAATTTTTGCCATATGGATAGGCTGAAAATTTTCCACATCTTCAAGTTCTGGTACCTTTTTCCTAACAATTCTTTCTTCAATTTATCTCTTTCTTCTCACATTTTACATAAGCAGCACAGAGAAACCAGGCTGTGCTTTCAACACTGCTTGGAAATCTCCTCAGCTAAATATTCAGGTTCATCACATACAAGTTCTACTTTTCACCCAACAGAACGCAATTCAGCCATGTTCTCCGGTACTTTATAACAAGGATCGCTTTTCTTCCAGTTTGCAATAATATGTTCCTTATTTCTATCTGAGATCTCACTAAAAGTACCTTTAACATTCATGTTTCTACCAATAGTCTCGTTAACGCAATCTAGGCTTTTTCTGTCAAGCATATCAAAACCTAGCCCCTAGCTCCAGCCTCTACCCGTTACCCAATTCCAAAGCCACTTCACATTTTTAAGGTATTTATCACAGCCACACCCCATTTCCAAGTGTAAAACTCTGTATTAGTTTCCTAGGGCTGTTATAACAAAGTACCACAAACTAGGGGGCTCAAAACAAGAGAAATTTATTGTCTCACAGTTCTGGAGGCCAGAACTCCAAAACCAAGGTGTTAGCAGGGCCATACTCTCTTTGAAGGTGCTAGGGAAGGAACTGTTCCAGGCCTCTCTTAGCTTCTGGTGGCCTCAAGTGTTTCTTGGCTTACAGATGTATCATTCTAGTCACATTCCATCTTCTCCCTGTGTATCTTCATATTGTCTTCCCTCTGTGTGTGTGTTTGTGTGTGTGTGTGCGTGCGTATGTGTATATGTGTCTGTGTCCAGTTTTCTCCTTTTTATAAGGACACCAATTATATTAGATTAAAGCCCACCCTAATGATCTCATTTTAGCTTGATTACTTCTGTAAAGACTCTATTTCCAAATAAGGTCACATTCTGGGGGGCTGGGGTATTAGGACTTCAACATATTTTATTTGGGGGCACAATTTAACCCATAACAGGCTCCTCACAACTTCACAGGATGGTTGTCCTTACCCACTGAGAGCAGGTGGCTGTAGTTCTCCAACATTACATCCTGGTACAGGCGTCTTTGAGTAGAGTCCAGTTGCTGCCACTCCTCTCTACTGAAGTCCACAGTCACATCCTCAAATGACACTGATACCTGTAACAACACAATCTTGTTCAAGGCAACATGATCAGCACTGGAGGATGGAGAGAAAACAGATAGGAAGCTCTTTTTGATACTTTTTCATCATAATATACGATATGGTATGCCCATTAAATACTTAGTTTATATATATACACATATGTAATATTGTGTAGAATATAAAAATCTAATCATAAATTTCTGCTATTTATTATGTATGACATTTACTCTTCCATTTATTAAAAATTATAATTTTTAGTAAGGATTTGACCTTGATCCTATTTTGTTGCTCATTTTTATGAGAAATTTGTGCCCTATAACTTGTAGAAGGAAGCACATATATCCCTTCCATCCCAATTTTTAAAAATTTCACATAGCTCCCTCTCCTGTTGCTTTCATTTACTCTTCAAAAATATGGCCTCTTTCTCTTGATGCCCTGTTATTGCTCATTTCTAATTTAATTCCGTCATGGTCAGAAAGTATACTCTGTATGATTTCAACATATGGTCTATCTAGGATAATGGTCCATGTCTCCCTGAAAAGAATATATATTTGGCTATTGATGGCTGTATTGTTCTGTAATGTATAAATCAAGTTGGTTGAGTGTTGTTGAAATTTCCTGTTGCATCACTGATTTGTTTTCTACTTGTTTAATCACTTATTTGTCAAGATTTTGGTAAAAACTGACAAATGTTAAAGTTTATATGGCTATGCGAAGGACCCAGAATAGCCAAAAGCAAGAAAAAGTATGAAGGATTTATACCCCCTAATGTTAAGATTTACTGTAAAGCTACAGTAATACAGGCAGTATGGGATGATGTATGCACAGACAGATATATCATTAGAACAGAATAAAGTCCAGAAACAGACCCACACATGTACGGACAATTGTTTTTTGACAAAAGTGCCAATGTGATTCAATGGGCGAAAGTGAAGTCTTTTCAACAAATTGTGTTGGAAGAGATAGATATCAGTATTAGGAAAAAAGCATAAACCTTGACCCACGCCTCACACCATATACAAAAATTAACAAAAATTAAGTTTCAGTATGACTGCATTGCTTTTATCAGACCAACCTTCATACACATAACAACTATAAACTCTGAACAAAAAATATTTTAAAAACTATCTAAAGATACTAAGGAGCAACCCAAGTCAGGCATCTATGGGAGGAGAGCTGACACTTAGAAGAGAGGCTGGCACTTTAGCTTGTGAATAGGCCCAGTCAGTGCCACGTGGGGTAACTAAAATTCCAAGAGAAGTGGTACATGCCTGTGGTCCCGGCTACTTGGGAGGCTGAGGCGGGAAGACTGATTAAACCTGAGAGGTCAAGGCTCAGTGAGCTATGATTGTGCCACTGCACTCCAGCCTGGGTGACAGAGTGAGACCCTGTCTCAAAAAAAAAAAAAAAAGAGAGAGAGAGAAAAGAAAAGAAAACCACCAGTGTTATTGACTTGAAGAATTGAAGGGGAGTTCTGCAGTCATCACTACCATTGGAAAATCAAGGGGGAATCCAGAAAGGCATTGAAAGAGAGAAGGGTGCCTAAATTCTGTGAATGAACTCTGCCCAGATCTCTGATTGACCAGCTGAATGAACTGGAATTTGAGCTACCACATACCACAGAGAAAACATTTCCTAGTTTGAGTCTAGCCAAGTTAAGTGCTCCCTACACAAAGCAAAACAAAAAAATCAACAATAGTCAGAGGAATTAAACAGAATCAAGCATCTCTAATGTATGTTTCACAACAAAGATACAATCCAAAACAACTCAACAGAGAAAGAGACAGAAAGGTGTGGAGAGAAAGGGAAGAGGCTCAAGAGAAAATGCACTCAGAGACTGACCTGAGGTGATCCAGATGCTAGAATTAGCAGAAAAGCACTTTAAATCAGTTAGTTATAATTATGCTCAAAAACATACAAATATGTTCATAATGAATGATTAAATAGGATAGGCCAACTAAGAAATATAAACTATTTTAAAAAACTGAAAAATACAATCTGAAACTAAAAAGTTCACTGGATGGGCTTGACAGAAGAATAGAGGTAACTGAAGAAAGAGGTAATTAACTTAAACATAGACCAACAGAAATTATCCAATCTGAAAAGCAGAGAGAACAAAATTGAAAATAAAAACAAACGGAGTCTCAGGGATGATGCTATGGTTTCAATGTTTGTTGTCCCTCCAAAATTCATGTTGAAATTTAATCCCAATGTAACAGTATTAAGAGGTATGACCTTTGGAAGTTATTTAGGTCATGAGGGCTCATGAATGGGTTAGTGTTCTTTTAAAAGGGCTGGAGGGAACTAGCTACATCCTTCCTTTTTGACCTTCCACACTTTCCACCACGTGAGGACACAGAATTCACCCCCTCTGGAGGACACAGCAACAAGGCGCCATCTTGGAAGCAGAGAGCAGCCCTCACTGGACACCTAAGCTGCTGGTGCCTTTATCTTGGACTTCTCAGCCTCCAGAATTGTGAGAAATAAATTTCTATTGTTTATAAGATACCAAATCTCAGGAATGTTGTTACAGTAGGACAAACAAACTAAAACAGATGAGTAAGACAAAAATCAAAAGATCTAACATACATGCAATTTAAGACCCAGAAGGAGAGAAGGGCAGAAAAGGTATTTTTAAAAATAATGTGCAGAAACTCCTCAAATTTGGTGAAAGACATACACTTATAGATTCAATAAGTTTTGCAAATTCCAAACAGAATAACCCACATAAAACCATTCCTAGGAGCATCATAGTCAAACTATTGAGAACCAAAGAAGACAAGATTTTAAAAGCAGCCAGAAAAGCCAAAAACAAACAAAAAATCCCCCCAAATATTACATACAGAGAAATGGTGATTCAAGTGACCACTTACTGCTCAACAGAAGAAGTGGAGGCTAAAACACAGTTGGATGGTACTTTTAAAATGCTGAAGAAAGTAAAGTATTATCTGACTGGTTAAATGTTAGGAGTTCTTTGATTAGGTCTCGAGGCCTAGGAATAATTCTTCATGGCTTTTGGTTCCACACTCTGGGTCCTTGGCACCACCATCTGAGGTATCCTTCCTTTTTCATGAAAGGCAACAAAAGAGTTTGCTCAACCTGCTTCCTGCCAAAGAATTTTGGGGGGCCAACATGTTTTTCCATTTTTTATTGTTTATATCCCTTTCAGTCCAAAGTGGTAGTATTTCTGCTAATATAGTTTGCTCTAAAATTTTATTTTCTGTGAATCTCACTGGGTTCACACCATTAGACAAAAGCTGTACACCCATAGATCTCTCTGAAATTTAGGATTTCTCTAACATTCTCCTTAAAATCTTTTCCAGCCTCCACCAACTTCTCAGTTTGAAGGACACTCCCACATTTTCAGGCTGCCCCATTCCCAGTACCAAAATCTGTGTTACTTATCTATTTGATGCATAGCAAATCACTCTAAAACTTAGTAAGTTAAAACAACTGAATCACTCAGCACAACAGCCTGCAAGAAACTGAATCTTACCAACAATCACTTGAGTAAGCTTGGAAGTGGATCCTTCCCTTCAAGATGAATGCAGCCCCAGCCAACATGGACTGCAGCCTTGTGAGAGACCCTGAGTGAGAGGACCCATGTAAGCCACACCTGGATTCCTGACCTACAGAAACTGTGAGGTAATAGATGAGGGCAGCTCACAACATGGCACCTTCCTTCATCAGAGCAAGCGAGAAGAGCCAGAGAGAGTATGCCAGCAAGCTATCTTACAATCTCCTTTTTTTTTTTTTTTTTTTTTTTTTTAGATGACGTCTCGCTCTGTCGCCCAGGCTGGAGTGCAGTGGCGCGATCTCAGCTCACTGCAACCTCCGCCTCCCTGGTTCAGGCAATTCTCTGCCTCAGCCTCCCGAGCAGCTGGGATTACAGGTGCCCACCACCACGCCTGGCTAATTTTTGTATTTTTAGTAGAGACAGGGTTTCACCATCTTGGCCAGGCTGATGTTGAACTCCTGACCTCATGATCCACCTGCCTCGGCCTCCCAAAGTGCTGGGATTACAGGCATGAGCCACCACGCCCAGCCACAATCTCTTATAACCTAACCTCAGAAGGGCCATCCCATCACTTTTGCCATATTCTATTTATTAGAAGCAAGTCACTAGGTCCAGCCCACACATAAAGGGAAGTGGATTACACAAGGGTGTGAATACTGAGTAGTGGGGATCACTGAGAGCCATTTTAGAAGGCTGCTTACTACAGTGTATCAAAATTTGTGAAAAGCAGATAAAAGACAAATTTACAAGGAAATTTATAGCTTTAAACACTTATATTACAAAAGTCTAAATCAGTGTCCTCAAATTTACCCTCAAGGAGCCATTAGCTAATAGAAAATGAAGGACCAAATAAACCTAACAGAAGTAAAAGAAAGGAATTACTAAAGAACAGAAATAGAAAACAAATCATAGAAAAAGTTAACAAAAAATTAACTTGAGCTAGATTATAGACCTAAACATAAAAGCTGAAACTAAAAATGCCCTAGAAGGAAATGTAAGAGGTTATCTTTGCAACCTTGACGTAAGCATGGATTTCTTGACATAGTAGAAAAAGCCCCAGCCATAAAAGAAAATCTTCAAAAACTGGACCTTATCAAAATTAAAACTTCTGCTCATCAAAAGACGCTATTGAGAAAATGAAAAGTGAAGCCACAGACTGGGAGAAAATATTTACAATACATATACAAAACACCCATATTAAGAATGTAGAAAGAACTCCTAGAAAGTAGTAAGAAAAAGACACACAGCCCAATTTTTTTTAATGAGCAAAATACTTGAGCAGACACAAAAAAGATATACAAATGGCCAATAAAGCACATGAAAAGATGTTCACCATCATTAGTTGTAAGGGAAGTGCAATTTAAGCTATATTGAGAAAGCATAGACACTCACTAGAAAAGCTAAAATTAAAAAGAAACTCAAAAATTGCTGGTAGGAATGTAAAACCAAGCCATCACTTTGGAAACTTGTTTGACAATTTCTTTTTTTGTTTTTGTTTTTGTTTTTGAGACAGAGTCTTGCTCTGTCACCCTGGCTGGAGGCAGTGGTGTGATCTTGGCTCACTGCAACCTCTGCCTCCTGGATTCAAGGGATTCTCATGCCTCAGCCTCCCTAGTAGCTGGGATTACAGGCGTGTGCCACCACACCCGGCTAATTTTTGTATTTTTAGTAGAGACAGAGTTTTGCCATGTTGGCGAGGCTGGTTTTGAACACCTGGCCTCAAGTGATCCGCCCACCTCAGCCTCCCAAAGTATTGGGATTACAGGCCTGAGCCACTGTGCCAGACCTTGTTTGACAATTTCTAATAAAGTTAAACATATACCTACCATATAATTTAGCAATTCCATTTCTTAGTAGTTACTAAAAAGAAATTAAAACATACATCCTCAGAAAACTTATATAAGAATGCCCATAGCAGGCTTGATTCATGATAATCAGAAACTAGACACATTCTAAATGTTCATCAACACATGAATGTCTACACAAATTGTGGTGTCTTCATACAATGGAATACTCAGCAACAAAAAAGGAAAAATCCACGGATAGACACAACAACCTGGAAGAATCTCAGAAGCATTATGCTATTTTACAAACAGAAGCCAAACACTGAAGTCAGACACAGATGGTTTGATTCCATTACAAAGACAGGACAATCAAGAATTTTAATCTACAGGGATTTAAAACCTTAACAATGGTTGTTGCCTCAAGGGGAGAATACTGACTGGTCAAGAGGGAACTTTCTATATTTTAATTTGCATGGATGTGTATATATATGTACATATATGTGTGTATATGGGTGTGTATATATATGTACATATATATATACACACACATATACTTGTCAAAACTCATCAAACTATACATTTAAGATCTGGGCAATTCAGTATATTTCAAATATGACTCAATTTCAAAAACCACAAAAAACAAAAGGGCATGTTAGAAACATATTCATGCCTATAATCCCAGCACTTTGGGAGGATCGCTTGAGGCCAGAAGCTTGAGACTAGGCTGGGCAACACAGTGAGACCCCACCTCTAAAAAAAAATTAAAAATTAGCCAGGCATGGTGATATAAGCCTGTAGTCCCAGTTGCCTGGAAGGCTGAGGAGGGAGGATCGTTTGAGCCCAGGAGTTTGAGGTTACAGTGATCTATGGATGCACCACTGCATTCCAAGCCTGAGTGACAGAGTGAGACCCTGACTCTAAAAATAAAATAAAATAAAATAAATATATTGAAATATATTCAGGGTACACCGTGGGCCCCAAATAGAAAACAGTCAATTCTACTGGGGATGTAAGTTTAGGTTCCATAAAGTTGGTGCAGTTTAAATTGGCTCTTGGGGAAAAAAATTAATTGAAAAGATAAGTGGGGGAAATACTTTCCAGAAGAGACAAGGAAAATAGTGTGGAAACAGGAAAATACATGGTGAATTAAGTAAAGAGCAAACAGCTCTGTAAAAAAGAGAGAATACTATTTATATGTCAGTCCTATGGTTTGAATATCTGTCCCCTCTGTCATAGGTAGGCAGCGACTATCTGGGGCCGGTGGCACAGGGGTAAGAAGAATTTACCAAGACAGTTGTAGGTGAAGAAAGGCAGATTTGTTAGAGAAAGTAGGAAAATATGTTGCAAGGGTGCAATGGGCAGACCAGCAAGAGAGGAGCTAACTGCAAGGAAAGAAAGGCTTGCTGGGGATTTTATAGAATGGTGTTTATGATGTATGCTGAAGAGGGCTTTGTGCAGTACTGATAACATCAGCTGAAGGCCTGGTAATAGTTGGGAGCAGGAAGATTGCGAGTTATTTGTGCAGGAGGGCTATGTGTCCTGGACCATGAAGAAAGGCAGACTTGTAGCTTATCTGCTTTATCTTTTTGTTTCCTTCAGTCCCACTAGCCCAACTCCTTTTCCCTAATTAGGACTCCACACCCTCCAAAATGGATTAGTCCATTCATAGATTAAGGGGTTATCACAGGAATGGAACTTGTGGCTTTCTAAGAAGAGGAAGAGAGACTGAGCTAGCACACTCAATCCCCTAGCCATGTGATACCCTGCACCACCTCAGGACCCTGCAGAGTCCCCACCAATGAGAAGGCCCTCACCAGATGTGGTCCCTTGACCTAGGACTTCTCAGCCTCCATAACTGTAAGAAATAAATTCCTTTTCTTTATAAATTACCCAGTTTCAGGTATTCTGTTATAAGCAACAGAAAATGGAAGTAAGACAATTAGGGAGGTGATTATGAGAAAAACATTCAGGTAAGTATGCTGGAGTCTGATCATGGAAATAGCATGAATTCTTTTAAGTAACAGTTTGCCAATGAAGTGTTTTATATATCAAGAAAGAGGTATTACTGAGTTTTATATTAAAATTATTATCCCACCCACAAGTACTTCATTTCAGGGTACACAAATAATTGATTTTGGAAATTTATTCTTTACAGAAGAATTCCAGCTGAGAAATGCTAATAAAAGCAATGATCACGAGGCCAGGTGCAGTGACTCATGCCTGTAATTCCAGCACTTTGGGAGGCCAAGGTGGGTAGATCGCTTCAGCCCAGGCATTTGAGACCAGCCTGGGCAACATGGCAAAAACCCATCTGTACAAAAAATACAAAAAATTAACCAGGCATGGTAGTGCACACCTGTAGTCCCAGCTACTTGGGAGGCTGAGGTGGGAGAATAACCTGAGCTTGGGAGGTCGAGGCTGCAATGAGCTGTGATGCATCACTGCACTCCAGCCTGGATGACAGAGTAAGACCCTGTCTCAAAAGAAAGCACTGATCATCAATGGCTGCTGAAACTACTGAGTGAAAGACTGCAGAAATTTTATAATGTATGGACCAGGCTGAGAACCCCTGAACACACAGACATATTTGGTATTATGTGCCTCCTGGAGGGATGAATTAGCAAGTGTGTTCAACACCACCTATGAAGTATTCTTGCCCAAAAAAATTAAATCTGAATTGATCAAGCCTCTAGATTCATCAGTTCATATTAATATAAAGATACAGGAACACGTTAAATAACACCACAAGAATACAATTAGCAAATTCCAAAATGTGGGACATAGCACAGGGCAAATGGCCCAGTTTCTTCAACAAATAAATAGCAAGGAGAAAAACAAGAGAGAGGAGAATCTGGGAGATTTGCCATAGATTAAAAGGGACTTGAGAGGCTGTTGGGAGATGGCTCTCCACAGGTCTCTGCACATCTTGAAAGCAGACTCACTGACTGCCTTTTTTCCAACTTATCTTTTCAAGCCTGTTAATACAGCAAGCAGCCCTGGAAGACAGAGTCTCCCTCCAGAACAAAGGGCAGGTTATACTAGAAATTATACTAAACGTAATTTCTCCCTTCAGGACAAAGGAGAGGCAGATTTATTGCCCATTATAAAAGATCTGGAGTCCATAAACTTAGGCTTTCTCTCATATAATGGAACCCACTGTATGTGCAGGTATCATCTAGCCCTCTGCATTGCCTTGTGGAAACTGAGGCTTAGAGAAGCAGCACAACTGCTAACACTCCGGCTACCACAAGTATTATAAAGTCCTTTATCTCTTACTGAGGAGTCTTGTATTTTTTGCCAGCATCCATGATACTGTGCTGGGTTTTTATCTTGCAAGTAGGGTAATATCTCAGACTCTTCACAGTTCTTGAAGTTCTGGTGATTAGGATTGGCCACTCACAGAGATGTAGCTTTCTGGAAAAGGAAAGATGAGGGCCTTGTCGACCCCTGGAAGGAAAAAATAATCCCCCAAACTCCCTGCCATGGATGTCCATCGTCTAATCCCTGGAACCTGTGAATATATTATACTACATAGCAAAAGGAAATTAAGGTTGCATACGGTATTAAGGTTTTAAATCAGCAGACCTAAAATACTGAAATTATCATGTATCATCTAGGTGGGGCCAATGTAGCCACAAGGATCCTTAAAAGAAGAAGAGTGAGGAAGAAGAGAAGGTTAGAGTGACCCAATGTGAGAAGAACTGGACTCACTGTTGCTGGCTTTGAAGATGGAGGAAGCAGCCACAAGCCAAGGAATATGGGTGGCCTCTAGAGGCTGGAAAGGGCAAAGAAATGGAATTTTCCTTAGAGCCTTGAGGAAGGAATCAGCCTTGCCATCTTGATTAATTTAGACCAGTGAGAACCATTTTGGACTTCTGAACTACAGAACTATAGGATAACAAACTTCTGTTATTTTAAGCCACCAAGTTCGTGGCAATTTGTTACAGCAGTGATAGAAAACTAATATATGGGGCAATTAAGAGGATTTAAGGTGAATCAGCAGTGAATATGTTGACTAAATTGTATGGTCAACTGTGCAATAAATGGTCCTCCACTTTATTGCTTGTCATTGAGGAGGAACTGGGGAAATTCTTACACACTAAGTGCCAGGAAGTAGGTTTAAAGAGTCTCCTAGTTATTCCAAACTCTCATCCAGGTGGAGGACTTCCTCACCAATGTGATGGTCAGTCTCAGGTTCCCCCCAATCGGGGGATGTCATTGAGGGGAATGCCTGATACAGAGGTCTGGGCATACTGAAAACATGAGAGGTTCACTAGGTTGAGTCCTGAGCAGCTGCTGCATTGCTTGAAACTGAAAGTAAATGGGAAGACTTGCTTACTGGCATGGCGCCGCACCATCTCACTCCATGCCTGGTCCCTCTGTCCCCTTCTACCCTTAGTAACAACCAGTATTGAGAATCATTGGTGGGAGGGGTGGAGGTGCAGTTCCCAACCCTTTTGCAGACAATAGTTACAGAAAAGAGCATCTACACTCAAGACAAAAAGAGGAAAATTCATGACTGGTAGGCACAGAAACCAGGAAAATGGTCAGAACTTTGGCTGGTCTGGTTGCACGACAGGCAGGAGGGGATGTAAAGTTTGTTAAGGAAGAATGGCAACAGCTGGGATGTTCACGGCTCGGCCCCTCCTACAGTCGATCATGCCAACCTTAGAGCCCTTCAGAAGCAACAGGAAAAGGTCTCAGAGGTTTTTTGCAGTAGATCCTGGCTGCTGTTATTAGGCCTATAGTTAGCCCTCTTGGTAAGCTGCCTGAGACGAACTCTTGTGGGAAATCACAGATGAGGCATTGACTAGCATTGGGCTCTTACTGCCCCGTATTGGATCTATAATGCTAGGAAATGAGAAACTGACCCAAAGAATTCAAGATTTTTTTAGGTCAGCTCACACTGTCCTGGAAAACTCCCCTCGTTTTTATGTTTAAAACTAAGCAACAACTTAAGGTATGCTATCAGGAAAATGAGCAGCAAATGTGCCAGCTTAAAATGGACATCTTAAAAATAAGAAGTTGCTACTGTGCTAGTAAAGCCTGAGTTCACCAGTGGGCATGACCAGAAACCAATGTGGCCATGGCTGTAGAACTGAGGCATCCCCAAAGTCGAAACAGATGGTGTCAGTAAGGCTGATCTTGCCGCCCGATACAGAGTTCTGGGCATACTAAAAACATGAGAGTTTCACTAGGTCGAGTCCTGAGCAGCTGCTGCATTGCTTGAAACTGAAAGTAAATGGGAAGACTTGCTTACTGGCATGGCACCGCGTTCTCTCACTACATGCTTGGTCCCTCTGTCCCCTTCTACCCTGAAATCAGCTGTTTTTAATAAATTATTAGAGAGGGGACAGAGGCCTCCCTGTTTCCAAGAGGGACCAAAGGCCACCATACACGCCCCTCTGAGTGTGCTGGAGAACTTCAGGGAAGGGAGGGACTCAGACTTCTAAGGCTTGGTTGGATACAGTCGCCCAAGGGACCATCCTATCTGATCTCAAGGTGCGGGGGGGTGCACCCAAATTCAACTGATGGGGTTTAGGCAGGGATTAGTGAGGAAGGTAAACTAAAGTGACCTTGTGGATAGGGCCCTTTGGGCCAATTCAGTGTATGGTTATTGGGGCTTCCATGGCTGAGTGTATCACTGGCATGATGTTTTACATGCTTGTGCTGTGAATGCTCATCCAGTCCAAAAGGGATTCTCCTGTTCAGGGACTCCCATATGTAGACACATGGTAGTGAGACATGCAAGCCACTCCCCAATCCATCTCCCTTCCTCTCCCAGGTGGTCCAACAAAAAGGAGAGAGAGAATCCCTGGAGGACAAAGAGCAATCACAGCTTCAATTAAGGACAGAAAGGCAGCAGGTATCATGAGATATGTAAGATGTCAATACAACAGCCCTATATGGCCAGTGAAAAAGAGTAGCAGGAGCTGGAGGCTGACAGGGGATTCCCACCAACTGAATTCAGTTGTTTCTCCCATTGTCCTGGCTGTTTCAAACATAGTGACTATAACAATACACTGCACAAGCGAATGACACTTAGGACACTGTGTTGGACATTGCCTATGCTTTCTTTTCTACCCCACTGGAGGTAGAAGACACTTCCATGGGTCTCTTGTGCTCCTACACATCTTGCTGGGTATGACTACACAGCAAGGCCCGGACTGCTCTTGACCTGGACACGTCTCAGGCTTATATCTGCATCAAGCAAGTTTGAGCCTTGCTTACAGGCGGCTGTTCAGTAGCAGGTTCCCTGGGCTTGTTCATTTCCTGTAGTGCACCTCACTCACTGCATGTGCAGGCACTCATCAAGGACAATCTGAGCCACCCCTGTGGGAATTGGGATTTGGAGAACCCCTAGCCTATAAGGTTAAAAAAGAGTTGAATTTTCACTGTTGCCAAGGGGGAAAGATGCCTTTTCTCTTCTTCCCTTTTCTAGAGCATTTCCTTGAGAAGATTTATATTCTCTTCAATATGTACATAAATCTTTTTAAAAGCTAAATAAGTTTTTTGTCAGCATTACAATGCAGGAATGTTTTTCTTAAGAGCTTATGAGCCATCTCTTTGAATACAGATATCAAGAATCCTATCTCCTAGCTCCCTGTAACCCTGGAGTTTAGCCTAGGCACCAGGCTCTAAGTTGTAACTACCTGCTTATCACAGAGACAGAAGTTTGACTTTTGCCTTTGTATAAAGGCAATTAACTAGCATATGTGGCCACTCCAATTACCAAGTAAACAGGATGAACTATAAAAGAATGTATAACAAATGGTGCTGTCAAGTCATCTCACATGAGGATGAGTTATCATTTATCATGAGAACACGTATGTAATGGATTGTATCTGCTTGGCTATATAAAAGGGTGAGATTTCCTGCTACCTTTGCAATCTCATTAGCAGATTGCCTGTGATGCAAATCAGTGGGCTTAATGCTTATTCAATAATAAAACTGTTTTCTTTCTTCCCTACATTTGTAGTCAGGATTTCCTGTGTTGCCAGATTTTACTTTTAATTTTCCCCTAGCAATCTGCTGATGAGGATGGGATGGCCTGGAAGTTCCTGAATCGAGCAGACCAGCTGAAGGTGAATTATAAAATGTCTCCCTTCTAGCTCTGTGCTATTTTCAAATACTAGCCAGACAAATCATCTTTTCCAAATTCCAGATTTTATGATTGAGAAGCATGTGTAATGCAGAACCTATAACTCCATCAGGATCACCACTAGCTTTGATGGTAGAAAAATATGGGAAAGCCTGCAGGGCTTTCTCTTAAAGGGCTAACATATCTGTACATAACATTTGGAATGAAATCCATCTGTAATGAGAATCCAGTCTTATAGTGTGACCTGAGGATGATTCCTTTTATTTGGGTGAATTAACTTATTTGTGGTGATTCTTAGAAGGACCTCATTGCAAGCAAATGCATTACTCATGTTTATGGGATGAATGTCATTCTAAGAAGAAAGCTAAAAATTATTTGGAAGGATTGAGGAAAACAGAAGAGCAAATGGGAGAATGAAAGGTACTTTCTCTTTCACCAAACCCTCCTGCTCCTCCTTGCTCTGCTGTCCCCATTCACTCTGTTCCCCTTGCATCGACCTCTTTATCTCTACCCACCCCCACCCCCGTGGCCTCAAATTGATTCCTGGTAAGAAGAAAGCCATAATCTTTGAGATGGGTGGTTCCCTTAGGGGGTTTCCCTGCAAAGAGGGACAAAAGCCCAACTGTTTTCACCAGCAATGAATTATCTGCCCTGTGTGAGGTTTGTGTGCCCTGATTCCATTTCATGCTTAGCCTAGATTGCACCTCCAACAGTCCTTTATTATCCACATACCATATAGCTAGGGAAGCACAGGTAATAAAGCAACATCATCAGGGAATAACTGAGATACAAGACTGTGTCCCCATATGCAGGTGACAAGATGGACAGCAGTTGCAGTAGCTACTTGGAAAAGACAAACAAAAAAGGTGTGTTAGGCTGATATATACCAATATGGAAAAGGAATCCCAAGTGCTATCTAATTCTACATCTTTCTTGACTCAATGAGAGGACAGCAGCCCTTCCTATCTGCATCACCAATAAGGCTGATGCCATCACAAAGCTACCCCAGACCTACACAAGGGGAACCTGAAATGGTAAGAATCTATATGCCTTCAACTCAGCCAGTATTACTCACACAAGGACTTCCTTTCCTGTGCCCAGGCAAGAGCCACAGAAGTTTGCACAAGAACTTGGCTGTGTGTTTCCAGTTTACAACCCTGAATATGGGGATGTACCCTGGCTCCTGCATGGAATTCTGCAACCAGCAGGCTGTGCTTATTTGATGGAACAGGCATGTTAGGGATTGGAAGATGACCTGTCACAATAGGAGGAATAGTGGCCAAAAGACTGCTACTATCTGCCATCCCCCATGGCCATGGAAGAACAAGGACTTTAGGGACCCATTAAAAAGGGTTGCTAATGCCCATACTTGAACCCCTTTCTGCTAAAAGTGAGCTGGCAGAAATTACAGCAGTGAACCTAGAAGATGAGTGTGTTCCTTGTTGACTCCTCTCAGCAGTTTGTTGAGGCTTTCTCAAAATTTACCAGTGCAAATCCAGGGACAGATCAAAACCACTCTCTGGTCCTGTCTGCCTTTGTCTCAGCCAAGGACGGATTATTACTCAAATCTTAGCAGCAGCTACTTAGTTTTGGGACAAGTTAGAGAAAGATGAAGAAGAGAAGCAATTAAAACCCACTGTAAGGCCAGGCATGGTGGCTCACACCTGTAATCCCAGCACTTTGGGAGGCTGAGATGGGCAGATTGCTTGAGGCCAAGGAGTTCGAGATGAGCCTGAGCAACATGGTGAAACCCTGTCTATACTAAAAATACAAAAATTAGCCAGGCATGGTGGCACATGCCTGTAGTCCCAGCTACTCGGGAGGCTGAGGCAGGAGAATCACTTATACCCAGGAGGCGGAGGTTGCAGTGAGCCGAGATTGTGCCGCTGCACTCCAGCCTGGGTGACACAGCAAGACTCTGTGTCAAAACAAAACAAAACAAACAAACAAACAAACTCCACTGCGTTAACTGTTCAGTTACAACTATTTTCCAAAGGAATCACGCTACCCTGGACAATATACAAAGGGAGCCAAGGACAAAGAGAAAACTGTCATTAGAGTAAGAAGCCAGGACATTGGAAGAGGGATTATAGAGACCCCAGAGGATGCAGAAATTGCAGGAACAGAGAGACATCAGAAAAGCCCCGGAGAAAACCCTCCACTAAGGAACAACTGGCAATTGGCTCAAAACTGGCAGATTGAGGGAGTTTCAGGGGTGGAAACTAGTGAACAGCAAGTGTCAATAACTTTCCCTCAGGCTAACCTATGTTTGCCTTTTCTGGTAGATACTGGTGCTACTTATTCTACAACTGCCTCAAATTTCTCACTTGCCGTCTGGTGACAGGTTAATACAGGCTGCTGACATTTCAGGTCAGCCTTCTACTTGTTTCTTTCCCTCCACAGTTCCCATAAAGATAGGTCCTCTGATAACGAACATGCTTTCTTACTTTCTCCTGATCCTCCTGTAAAGCTATTGAAGAGAGACTTCCTTGCAGATTTGCTGTGCAAAATAAAGGCTACCATATTCTCTACTCCAGATGGAGTGCTTGTGGAGATGCCTAGAGGAAAAGGCACCTGATCTGGTTACTAGGTGCCTTTAGAAAGAAAAGGGGATGGCAGAGGGTAGCAATCTCACACCGTGCTGGAAAAGTACCCCAAACTGAAACAAATCAATGGGCCCCACAGAATAATGATACTGGTTTAATTCAAGATATCGAATCAATAAAAATAGCTTACCAAAAAGATAAGCTATGGCCATGTATAACACAATAACCTTTGTTGAGAGCTCAATCAGAAGGAATAAAACCATGTATAAAATAATTAGAAAAACCAGGAATAATTTTAAAAGGGCACTCACCCTGTAATAGTCCCATACTTCTAGTCAAGAAAGGTACATTTGATGAAGACGGACAACCACTATATAGATTTATACAAGACCTTAGGGAAGTAAATACATTTGTTGCTCCATTAACCCCATTAGTTCCTAAGCCTGCAACTACTCTGACTTCAGTGCCATTGTCTGAAAATTTTTCCTGTGTAGTTTATCTGTGTTCTGCATTTTTTTTCTGTTCCTCTAGCTAATGAGTCTAAATTCTAGTTTGGTTTTACTTATGATGAAGTTCAATATTTATGGCAAATGGTCTCTCAAGGGTTTCCGGACTCTCCTACTCTTTTTCTCGAGCCACTCACAGGAAAACTTAGGGAAATCTGTCTCACTGGAGGGATCTGTAATTATTCAATATGTAGATTATTTGCTGGTAGCCTCTAAAACTGAAGAACAATGCAAAACTGATACTTTGGCTTTGTTACAATTCCTTGCTTGGCTGGGACATATGGCCTCACTAAACAAACTCTAATACTGCCAAACTGAAGTGAAATATTTAGGGAATCTATTGTCAGGTAAAGGCTGCAATTTTGCAGATGAAAGGGCCTACTACAATAAAACAACTGAGACCATTTTGGGAACTGCTAGGGGACTATAGAGCAGGGGATTCCAGCTTCTGCAAAGAGCAGAAAACCTCGGATGGAGCAACTGCATGGTAATTCTCCAAATGTTCTGATTTGGTCCCTAGAATCCGAAGAGGCTTTTGAATAACTAAGATTCGCTATGGTCTCTCCCCTAGCTTTGGAGATTCCAAAATTTTTAAAACCTTTCCACTTGTTTTATCATGAAAATAAAAGTGCTGCTAGTAGAATTTTAACTCACAAGGCGGGGTTAGGCTATAGACCGACAGCTCATTTCCCAGTTCTTCTGGATGCTGTTGGGAATGTCTGGATGCCCCCGAGCAGCAGCAATAGCTGCCACACTTAGTGAAAAGGCTCAAACCCTTACCTTGGGTCACCTGACTCTTCTGCATACCCTTCATGCTATGACAACTATCTTACAAGTGCATAAGACCCAGCATTTATCGGTGCACTATCTTATTAATTATGAATCAGCATTATTACCCAATCCTAATCTTGTGCTTGGAAGATGCAATCTTCAAAAACCAGCTACTCTTTTACCAGATCCTGGTCAAATAGATGATCATGAGTGTACAACAGTAATAGAAGATACTAGGCAGCAACCTGATTTTTCTGATATTCCCGTTCAAAATGCATATTTGATAAGGTTTACTGAGGGGCATATACCTGGGATGAGAAGGGCCACCTTCAGGGTTCTTATGCTGTGGTGACTGCTCAGGAAATCTTGAACGCTTATGTTTTGCCTGGAATTAAATCAGCACAAGCAGACAAGCTAATAGCAGCTACTAGGGATCTACAACTCTTGGTTCAGGACTTAAAGTGAATCTATATACTGACAATAAACATGTGTTTGGTGTCTGTCATATAATAGGGGAAATTTGAAAAAATGGATTCTTGACTTCATGGGAACTAAAATATCTCATGGAAAATTAATATCCGAGTTATGAGAGGCTTCACAACTGCTGAGTAAGATAAAATAATCCACTGTAGAGACCACATAGTGCAGAAAAACAAAATTTCTAAAGGCAATGATTCTGCTGATAGGGCTGTAAAAACTACGGTTAACACACGGCTGACACCCAGCTCAGAAGCCCCAATTCTAATACAAGAAACTTTCATTTATTTTCAAAAATATGCATTCCAAAAGAAAATGGGCAAATGGATTAAGGAAGGGGGGCTGTACTATGGGAATTAGCTAACAATACAATTCCTACTCCTTGGTCTTTATTTACTTGGTTAGTATTGTGTCAGCAACAAAATCAGCTACATAAAAGATGGATTTTAAAGGTTTCAGACTCTCACTATGCCTACCAAAAAGATGAATTTATTCAAAACATAGTAAAGAGATGTGCTATTTGTCAGCAAAAGTCTTCACAGACCACTCCCAAGGTAAGCACAGGAAGTTTTCCCCAATCAACATACCAGGAACCTGGTGGCAGCTGGATTTCATAGAATCAATGCCCGCAGAAGGTAAGAGATGTTTGTCTAGTTATGGTGTGTATCAATGCCCTGAAGTTTTGCCCTCTTCAAAAGTCATTGCTCAGGCAGTGGTAAAGTTTTCCTTAATAAACATAATTCTCACTTTGGGGATACAAAAGCAGATTGAATCAGAGTAAGACCTTTTATTTTCTGTTGTTCAGGAATTATGCAAATGTTTGCAGAATCCTATAAACTATTATATGCTCTATCAATCATTTTCAGTCCTCTGGACAAGTGGAGCAAATGAATCAAAGTCTAAAAAAACTCATTGGCCAAGATTCACTGACTTTCTGAATTAAAATGGCCAATGGCTTTACCACTAGCCTTGTTAAAAATTAGAGCAACCCCTGCTAGCAAGCATGGTATCACTCCCTTTGAACTTATGTTTGGCAGACCTATGATGTGGGTCTGAGACCATGTCCTGTGCCTAACTTAATTGAATCTTCTTATAATCATATTCAATATTTAGAAGAGTTCCTCTCTTCCTTAGGAACCCTAAGATATAAAGTCATAAAGATCTGGATGGACCTGCTGGAAGAAGTCTGCCACCTTTTTCAACCAGGAGATTTCATCTACATGAAAGTGTTCCTGGGAAAAGACAGGCCGTCGCTCACCTTTTCAAGTGCTGTGATCACCCACTCTGCTATCAAAGTAAAAGAAAAATGCAGTTGGGCCAGGTGTGGTGGCTCAGTCTTGTAATCCCAGCACTTTGGGAGGCCGAGGCAGGCAATCACTTGAGTCCAGGAGTTTCAGACCAGCCTGGACAACATGACAAAACCCTGTCTCTACTAAAAATACAAAAATTAGCCGGGTGCAGTGGTGCACATCCATAATTCCAGCTACTCAGGAGGCTGAGGCACAAGAATCACTTGAACCCAGGAGGCGGAGGTTGCAGTGAGCTGAGATCGCACCACTGCATTTCAGCCTGGGCAACAGAGCAAGACTCCATCTCAAAAAAAGGGAAAACAAAACAAAACAAAACAAAATAAAAAAAAACAAAAAATACAGTTGGATCCATGCTTTCCTTGTGAAGCCAGCACTGACAAAAGACTTGAAACTTAAGTTTTCCAAAGTAACTTACACTGGTATTGAGATTCGACTGAAAAGAGGTATTCTGGAAAATGTATTACTACTATCCTCAGAGACTGCCTTGCTCTCCTGTTCTTAATAGGCTTATTTTGATTACTTAGGAATCTCATTTTACTAGAAAACAAATCTGTTATTTGTTATGCTGCTTTTTTTTGTACTCCCAGTAATGGTCTCCACAATTACACAGACCATGTCCTGTGCCCACGCCATGTCCTGTTTTTCCTGATGAACTCCGTATTATATCCTCAGAATACACATGATCTGGACTTTTAAGTCCAACAGTCAAATTATTGGCAGAGTAAAGGCAGAGCCATCTTCACTAGTAATGTTTGATAATACTAAAGTAACTTATATGCATCCAGATACTCAAGCCCTAAATTTGATACAAAAATGTTTTGTTAACTGGTTTGACTGGAAGGATCCTTAGAGGGAAAAAAGGAATCTGTTAACTATATGACAATCAAAATACCTATAGGAGTAAGCCTTGTGATTTATTCTCTCACCTTTACTATGGTAGAGGTTTGGTTCAATAAAACTACTGATAGTTGTAAAGACATCGATGGTAAATTACATCCATACTGGTGGGAATCCTTTCAACAGACTCCTCAAGATGTATATAAGAGAGATCCCCCCCACCCCCCCGCCACTATGTTTGGAACATGGCAATGCCCTGAGCCTATTTTAATAGCCCCCAGGATTATAGGTAGATGGTTTTTCTTGAACTGTCTGAGGCTGCTGTCAGTCTTCACAGCTAGACATGTATCCCTTGAGCCTTCCCAATATAAAATTTATTAACAGGCCTGTTCGGGGACAGCCAAGGGCAAAAGGAGACTTATTAGAATACAGTCCTGGGAGGAATAGGGACAGGTACAGATATACCTAACTCTTTTGAGATTGAGACTTTGAATAATAAACATAGTGCTTTGGGACAACTACAAAAGCACATAATACAATCACAAACTGGATGAATCACATCATGTAAGATATTTTAAAGCAAGGGGAGCTCAATAGGAGTGGAAATGGAAAACAGTATAGAATTGAACTATTTGGAGTAATTTAATGACGGAACCAAAAATCACCACGAAGGTCTCAGAGGTTCATTTGCACAGTCCAAGGCAATTGGTTATAAAATAGTCCCAGATACCATCACTAGTTCAGAATCACAGGGCTGTTCATCTTTAAGGAAATAGATAGGCATTAGACTATGACTATACCAGAAGAGACAGAAGAATAGTATAAAAAAAAGCATCTACTTAATAGACAAACAAATCTGGCAGTCACAGATAGAGACTGAAGAAAACAGGTTTAATGTCATTGGATTAATTTAGGATGCAGATTCTCTCCAGTCCCAGAGATAAACTGGGACAGATAAACACAGGTGGATGCCTGTTACTCATGGGGACTGACATGCCTGGTGTTACTATTGATTTAGACTAATGCAAGCAATGACCCACAGATTGGGGTTTTCCTCAAGACTTAAAACAATTAGAGCCAAGCACATTAAGCACTGGAAGTTCAATCTGTACCCTTCAAAGAATGCCTCATAATAATAAACTCGATAATAGCCAGGGGTATCTTTGTGTTCTGCATCTTGGACATATTATTTGAGAAGATGGAACAAGTACTACAGGGCTACGTTTTATAAATGTGGTGTTACTTATTGATTGACAGGAACTCAGGAGAAATTTATTGGGTGTTATAAAACTCTAAATTAAAAATTAGAATATCAGGTCCCTGGAAAGCTACTCCTTAGACTTGGATTGGGTAAGACTTCCTAAAGAACTACAAAATAATACTTAAACAATCATCTTAACAAGCAATACGGACAACACCAGCAATCTGTAAAAGTAATATATCAGGAAATGAGAATTTCTGCACGTTGCTAATCAAGAATGTGCTTTAACCATTCACCACTGGTAAGACATACTTAAAGGATTTTCCCACAATGCAAATGTTGCACTGACATTTTAAATTCATCCTATGGTAATTTTCATAATTGCTTGCTCTGCATTTTACTATGGATTTGCTGGATCTTTAGATGTCTAACTGCCCAAAGAAAGGTAGAAATGGTGAGTGACAGAGAAAATTAGAAAACCGTAGTGTTATTATAAAAGAAGGGGAAATCATAAGGAGAAAAAACATTTAAATTTTCCTTATTACCAAAAGGAAAAGAGACCTTCCTCCCTCTTCCCTTTTCTTAGAGCATTTCCTGAAAAAACTTGTATTTGTAAATCTTTCCTCTGCTCTTTTGATATGTGTATGAATTTTTAAAAGCTAAACAAGTCTTCTGCCTGTATTACAATCCAAGAATGTTTTTATTTTAAGTTCCAGCATACCTGTGCAGGATGTGCAGGTTTGTTACATAGGGAAATGTGTGCCATGATGGTTTGCTGCACCTATCAACCCATCACCTAGGTATTAAGCCCAGCATGCATTAGCTATTTATTCTGATTCTCTTAGCCTCCCCCTAACCCCCCACAGGCTCCAGTATGTGTTGTTCCCCTCCCTGTGTCCATGTGTTCTCACTGTTCAGCTCCCACTTATAAATGAAAACATGTGGTGTTTCATTTTCTGTTCCTGTGTTAGTTTGCTGAGGATAATGGCTTCCAGTTCCATCCATGTCCCTGCAAAGGACATGATCTTGTCCCTTTTTATGGCTGCATAGTATTCCATGGTGTATATGTACCACATTTTCTTTATCTAGTCTATCATTGATGGGCATTTGGGTTTATTCCTTGTTTTTGCTGTTGTGAATAGTGCTGCCATGAACACACGCATGCATGTACCAAGAATGTTTTTCTTAAGAGCTCAGGAGCCATCTCTTTGATATATAAACATCAAGGATCCTATCTCCCTGTCACCCTGGGAGTTTAGCCTAGGTGCTATCTCCCTGTCACCCTGGGAGTCTAGCCTAGGTGCCTGGCTCTAGTCTGTAACTACCTGCATGTCATATATAGAAGTTTGATTTTTGCCTTTGGATAAGGGCAATTAACTAGCACAGATGGCCACTCCAATTACCAGGTAAACTTAGGATGAATTATGAAAGAATATACAGCAAATGGTGCTATCAGTTCTTCTTACATGAGACAAGTTATTTATCTTGAGAACATGAATCCGCCCGGCTACATACAAGGGTGAGATTTCCTTCTGTCTTTGCAATTTCATTAGCAGATTTCTTGTGATGCACACTGCAGTGTGGTTTAGTGCATATTCAATAATAAAACTCTTTTCTTTCTATTCTATATTTGTGGAGAGGATTTCCTGGGTTGCCAGGAATTTTATTTTTAATCTTTTCTCCAACATGCAGCCAAGCTGATGCTGGCTACGTCTTTTTCTCTGAGTAATGGTCTTTTATCACTGACTCAGGAATCTGGTGACTTCCGCCAGCACACTTGCAACTGTGGCAAGCCCAATTATTAGCTTATAAGTAGGGTAAAATCTCAGGTCTTGACACCAAGGGCCAAGATCAATTTTCATTCATGTGGCAAAGGCCTTCAACACAGGTTTGCAGTACTCTCCCAGGGGCAATGAGTACCCTGTCATTTAACACCAGTGAGTAGGTTAGGCTTTAGTGTGACCACCTCTACCCTCTGATGTACAAAATTTTCACTATAGAGATCAGTCTTCTTGGTTGCCAAGTCAGAAGCTTCCATCTCAATGGCTCTGACGGTGGTATTAGCACACCTTTGCCATCAGAGGTGGCTGGTAAATTCTGACGAAGTTCAGGGGCCTGCTCATCAAGTAAAGCATCTGGGACCTCTGGGTGGATTCACAATGTTCTGTCCCTCTTTCAGTCAAGGAAAAATCTCCATCTCTTTGAACATCACACCTAAAAGAAAGCCCCAAAAGAGACCATTCTGGATGCTTTAGGTATGGGAGACATTATGTGCCTCACTTGGACATTCTACTAGATCCTTTATATTGGATAAACTGCAAACCAATGTCCTTTGAGTGGGGCCCAACCCAACAGGCAGTGGAGGATGCTGTCCAGCAAGCTGTGGCACATTCTCTGCTCCTTACCTTCAGGGTCCCCAAAGCCTAAATGACCCTGTTGAGCTACTAGTGTTTGTAACTGGTGATTTTGCCTAATGGGATCTCTAACAAAGGGAGGCAACCTCCACCCAGAAGAGCCCTTTGGGTTTTGGATTTTTCATTGTCCTTACAGAGTCACCAGCAACACCCCTTACGAAAGATAGCTATTAGCTTGCTACTGGGCCCTTGTCGAAACTGAACACCTGACCAGTGGAGGCCTTGTGACTCTCCAGCTTGACTGACATTCCCACTTTGGGGTCGGCTGATTCAGACTTGATGACTAACAAGGTAGGAAGGGCCCAATAGTATATTCAAGAGTATAACTGGCCTGTCCCCAGTGGCATCTCGGTTTTACATGAAAATGGGACAACTACCCCTTTGGGGGTAAATTTATTTCTCACTCTGCCAACTAGAGCAAGGCTGCTGGGCTTAATGGGGCCCTCAATTCACAAAGGTTCCCCTAAAAGCCTGGACCTGATCCACTAATGGTCTGGCTAAGCTGAAACCTGATGGTTTCCACTGGGCCATGTGGCTGTTCAACCTCAGCAGAACTGAGAATGGATGTGGGTGCTCTGCTCAGCAGGCAGAATGCAAGGCCACTGTCGTAACTCTGCTCAATATTCTCTTTTATATTTCTTAACTCTTGAGCTATTGCCAATGGCATAGCTTTTCAGTCTCCCACTTGGAAGACTACAGACTGAGATCAGTCAGCTCTTTTTGGAACCATGGACTGTAGAAACAAATTGTAGCTACTAGCTGAGTGGTTTGGGTCACCCCATAGATGCCTATGGTAAGGATCCGCTCTCTGATGAAACTGAGTGAAATCAAGCTGCTGATTCCATACTATTCATACTAAAGTCACTGCTGCCTGGATCCATCATCCATTGGTGATGGCAATGCATCCATTGTCACAGACTGGGCACAAATTACAAGATTCTTAAGTTTCTGATGCAGAAGCTACCACTGCATGCCAAACTTCTGACTCCTTCTAAAAGATTACCCATTGTGATAAGAAAGGTCACATCACATGACGTGTGGCCCCACTCACTCCTGGCAAATTGATGGCATCATTCCTTAAGCCCATTCTAAGAGCTTTCACTGAGGTTGCACCACTGTTGACGTCTCCTCAGGTAAAAGTGGTGCTGTTTCAATCTGCTCAGCCAGCTCTGGCCTCATAATTGTGGCTATTTTCAGTTTTCTGGACTATTCGCAGCCTGAAAATGGTGTACCTTTTATTGCAAAATCCATGTGACAATGGGCTGATGTCAAGGTATTCGACAGACTTCCATATTCTCTACCGTCCACAGGCATCTGGTATTATTAAGCACTGGAAAAGCCTCCTCAAAAACTGACTCAAAAGGACTTCAGAGTCTACCTCCCTTGCCTCCTCCTGGTCCGCAAACCTTAGTAAGGCAGTTTGGTCATGAATATGCCTGACCCCAGAAAGGGATCATTTTCTTTCAGCTTCTCCCTGGGTAATGATCAGAACAAAAAGTGTCGAGGGTCATATGAACATGTTTTGAAAATCTGAAATTCTGTCTTGAATATTTCTGGGTATTATCTTCTTTCTTTCCCCTAACAGCAATCCCTGACTAGAGTGTTTGGTAACCCTCTGGGTGGCAGTGATTTTCTCTTTATGCACACTATAAGGATCATTTTACCCACTCAAGGAATTACGCAATTAGAAAAAGTAGCTCCAAATCTCTCCAAAACCCTTGCAGAAGTAATAAATGATATGATACTACCTCTGCCCTACAACATAGCAAATAAGTTGAAACTCACTGGCTCAAATTAGTACAATCATGTAGCTCTTGCCTTCCTCCCAGCTGGTCAAGGAGGTGTCTGCACCATAGCTAACACCTCTTGCTCTACTTGGATGAACACCACAGGCCTTGTAGAATAGTCAATCACTAAACTCCAGGGAAAGGCTACTTGCCTCTCTAAGGTTCACATGAACGGCCTATGGGGCAAGTTCTCCTGGCCAGAATTTGGAAGTAGAAGATCTTAGCTTTCAGGTAGATGGCAGGGATTACTAATCCTTCTCCTGTGTATAATCTTACACTTTGCAATTGGGGATACAGCCTGCCCAGAGTCTTAGTGCCACACTGCAGCCAGTCTCGACAAATGATTCAACATATCACAATCCAGCAGACCTGACAACAAATGCATTGCCAACTGACTTCGTGCCCAGAGGCCAAATCTGAGCCAACAAAGTTACATGTGGAGATCAAATCTAGACTGACAATGGTGTAGACCTGGTATCCCCAGTAGCCTCATTTCCAGACAGTTGTTCAAGGACAACCTTATAGCTGCCTTGAACAAGAAGGGGTCTGACAATGTTGAATTCCACCAGAACTCTGAAAATAGCAACAGTTAAGAACCACCCTCCCCGTTTCATGTTTTGGAAACACTGTCTGCAAAAGACCCCTCTCCCCCACGTGGCTTAGATAAGGCTTGCTGTCCACTCTTTCTCATGACTCCCGGGTTTACCTGTGAAAAAGCCAAACACAGACCACTCTCCTTTTGCCTGAACCTGCCAAAACACCTGAGACAGACCCTCTAACGTCCTGTTCTGTGTCTCATGAATGATTAACTGAGATTGGAAGCTTGTTTTCCTGAAACTAGCTAGCCACAAAGATAAACATTTCCCTGTTCAGCTGACTAGGACTTCCCCTGAATGCAAAAACAACAACCCACCTCCACACTGGAACTCTCCCCACTCAAACCTATAAAAGTAAGATTCAAAACCACCCCTCCCAGACACTCTGATCTCCAGATCTGAGGCACTCTCCTTTTGCAGTAGCCTGAATACATTCAATTTCTTACACTGCTTGGATTTTATCTTAACTAATTAAAGACTATCAGTGGGCTGTGAGATCACATTGGAGGTACTCTCACCCTGTGTCCCTGGACTGCTGTGGTTCCTACTTAGGGAGCCCCCTCAGTTTTAAACAACACTTTCTTCCCAGGGTCACCCTGAGATTGTAGTTTTCTTTTTTCTTTTTCTTTTTTTTTTTTTTTGAGACGGAGTCTCTCACTTGTCGCCTGGGCTGGAGTGCAATGGCATGATCTCGGCTCACTGCAACCTCTGCCTCCCAGGTTCATGTGATTCTCTTGCCTCAGCCTTCCGGGTAGCTGGGATTACAGGCACCTGCCACCACGCCCGGCTAATTTTTTTTTGTATTTTTAGTAGAGACGGGGTTTCACTATGTTGGCCAGGCTGGTCTCGAACTCCTGATCCGCCTGCCTCGGACCTCCCAAAGTGCTGGGATTACAGGCATGAGCCACCGCACCCGGCCGAGATTGTACTCTTTGTGTGTAAGTCAGACATTAACTTGTTCCCTCCCAAAATATGGTGATTTGCATCTTGAGTGGGGCTCATTAGAGACCTGCAAGTGTGTAAGGAATCACTACCAGCGGTTCACGTAACCCTCAAATGACTCTTGAGACCTCACCAAAACAAGGCTACCCATTGTTGCTAGGAGGAACTTCCTAGAGGGATAAACTGGCTTGTTATTTATGTGTACCCTGCAAGCAGTTATTCCCATGATAGGAATCATCCAGTTAGAAAAGGTGGTAGCAAATCTGTCCCTGATTTTAGCCGAGGTGATTAATAATGCTACCTTGGCCCTGGAAACATTCTGGTCAGCCTCAACTTGCTGTCCAAGGTCGTTATGGATAATGAAATTGCCCTTTGGGGTCAAGATAGAATTTATGCGATTGCTAATATTAATACATCATGTTACCTGGATTAGGCCTGAAGCCAAGTAGAAAGGTCAAGCCAGAAAGTTAAGGAGAAAAACACCTGGTTTTATCAGGGAGACAGACCTTAATGGTTTATGGGATTTGTTCAGCTGGTTGGGCCTGGAACCCTAAGGGTTACGGTTGAGGAAAATACTGGGGATTGGCCCGGTGTTGCTGGTATTGGCCCAGTATTGGCCAGACTGCTGCTTGGAGCACTGCTGATCAACCCTTAATTAAGTGCTGCATGAGACAAATTGCACAGATTTGGCCCTAGCCTCTGACAGAATAATTAAAGTAACCAGTGGAGTAGTGTACTCATGGGAACATGTGCAGAATCAAAGACAGTGTAGAAACAAGGTGGAGATGTGAGACAGTTCTCTACGGGGCTCTCACATTTCTGCAGATCTTGTGAGGACAGGTACTGATTGCCTGAAAAAGGGAAAAAAACAACTGTTTTTCCTTCCACTCACACAGAACACTTCTGACACCAAATGTGTGGGGTTTTCCACACCGAGCAATTCTTTGCAGACTCTAACAGGTGTTCCATACTTTAATACTGAACTAACTACCCAGTGTTGGAACAGACACTAACAGGTTAAGGCCCAGCCACACAAGACTGTCCCCACTTCAGACACCAATCAGAAGTCCAGGTCTCCTGTACTTCCCACTAATTGGCTATAAATTGGGGATTCCCACAAACTCCTCCTCGGGTTCAATAATTGCTAGAATAGCTCATAGAACTCAGTAAAACACTTATTTACATTTACTGGTTTATTATAAAGAATATTACAAAAGACACAGATGAACAGCCAGATAAACAGCCTGATTAGAACAAAAGATGCTCCTATCACCCAGGAAACTGCATGGGATTAGGAGCTCTGTGTCAAGAACAAGGGTCAAAGACCAAATGTTAGAACAGCAGATGTTCCTAGCACCCCTATCCACATACATAGGGCAAGGTATGTGGGAAGGGGCGCAGAGCTTCTACGTCTTCTCCGGGCGTGCCATCCACCCAGCACCTCCATGTTCACCAATCCTGAAGCTCTCCAAACCACATCTTTTGCAGACTTCAACAGGTGTTCTACAATTTAATACGCCCACAAGTTAAGGTTCAGTCCCACAAGACTGTCCTACTTCAGACACCAATCACAAGTCCAGGCCTCTGTACTTCTGGCCAATTGGCTATAAATCAGGGGTTGGTTTATAGGGATTTTTATGGATACATCATCACATAGGCATGATGATCATCTCAATCTGCAGCCCCTCTTCCCTCCCCAGAGGATGAGGGTGAGGCTGAAAGTTCCAAGCTTCTAATCACAGCTTGGTCTTTCTGGTGATCAGCCCCACTCCTGAAGCTATCCAGGAGCCCATCAAGAATCATCTCATGGTCAGGAGATTGAGACCATCCTGACTAACACGGTGAAACCCCATCTCTACTAAAAAAAAAAATATGAAAAATTAGCCGGGCATGGTGGTGGGCGCCTGTAGTCCCAGCTACTTGGGAGGCTGAGGCAGGAGAATGGCATGAACCCAGGAGGCGGAGCTTGCAGTGAGCCGAGATCACGCCACTGCAATCCAGCCTGGGCAATACAGCGAGATTCCATCTCAAAAAAAAAAAAAAAGGTCATCTCATTAGAACAAAAGATGCTCCTATCACCCAGGAAATTGCATGGGATTAAGAGCTCTGTGTCAAGAACTAGGGTCAAAGACCAAATATTAGAACAACAGATGTTCCTGGCACCCCTATCCACTCAGGAAATTACAAGAATTTTCAGAGCTCTGTGCCAGGAACCAAATATATATATTTTTATTATGCCACACTGCCTTTTGTTCCAGGCCATCTTTTCGAGGATGTTTGCAGAGCAAACAGCCTTGGAAATATATATTGTGTCTCCCTCCAGAGCAAAGGACAAGTTTGCTTACTACTCAGTATAAAAGACTCAGGATACCTAAGCGACCCACTGTGCATCACCTGGCTCTCTTCACGTCACCCTGTAGGAATCAGGACTTGGGGAGCTGGCACAAATGTTAAGACTCTAGCTACCACGACTGCCATGAGTAATAAAGTCCTTTTCTCTAGCCCAGAGTTTCATATCTCTTTTGCCAGCATCCAGGACACTGTCGCAGGCTAACATTAGCTCACAAGTAGGGTAAAAATCTCAGACTGTTCACAGTTCTTGACAGAGTCATAGGAACAAATGTGTGGACCTTATTTGGATTCTGATTTGAAGTCATCAACTTTGAAAAGACATTGACATGACCATTTGAAGTGATTAAAAAAACAAAAAATCAATACAGATATGAATGTCTTTAACAGTTCCTGTCAAAACAGGTAGGAACAAAGAAAGGATTATGGCCAGTAAACAAAATGAAGTGGAAATCAACAAATACTTCAAAATATAATAGGGAAAAAATGACAGAAATATGGAAGAGAGGAAAATCAGTATATAATTTGTTCTTAAAAATTGACCCAGGCAAGTTGAACTGATAAGCCTTCAAATACAAGGCTGAAGGAAAACTAATAAAAGAATTATTGAAATAACATATACAAATCTTGTCACTACTCAAGGTGGACAGTTAATAGTGTTATAATAATTAGAATATTAATTATAATTTATAAAATTAATGTTATAAAGGTAACCACTTAAAGAACCAAAAAAAGAATTTAAACCTTTCTTTTCCTTTCTTTTCTTTCTTTTTTTTTTTTTGAGACGGAGTTTGGCTCTTGTTGCCCAGGCTGGAGTGCAATAGTGCGATCTTGCCTCACCGCAACTTCTGCCTCCTGGGTTCAAGCAATTCTCTCCTGCCTCAGCCTCCCAAGTAGCTGGGATTACAGGCATGTGCCACCACGCCCGGCTAATTTTGTATTTTTAGTAGAGACGGGGTTTCACCATGTTGGTCAGGCTGGTCTCAAACTCCCGACCTCAGGTGATCTGCCTGCCTCGGCCTCCCAAAGTGCTGGGATTACAGGTGTGAGCCACCACGCCCAGCCGACCCTTTCAAATTATTAGAAAGAACAAAAAACAAAGCAAAATAGAGCATATAGTGAAACATATTAAAAAGAAACATTAAAATTAGAAAGTATAATATAAAACACATCTTTCACATATTATATAGAAAAATGAACAAAGATTCAGAATGATGGTAAAAGGATAAGCAAAGGTGTATCAGAAAAAGCCAAAAGAAGGGAAGCAAGGCCTCCATCTTAATATCAACCAGAGTAGAATTCCAGGGCAAAAGAATGAAACAAGACAAAGGAAGACACTTTATAAAGATAAAAGACTCAATCTAAAATAAAGGATTCTGAACATCATCAGTGTATAAGGAAGTCCCAAAAGAAAGGAGGCATGGTCTCCATCTTAATCAGCCAGAGACGAATTCTGGAAAAGTATAAGACAAGACAAAGGAAGATGACTTATAAGGGACTCATTCCCAAATGAAGAGTTCTGGCTGTTCTTAATCAGCCTTCACTACTTCAGTGACAATCCCTAGGGTGAGTTTGGGGAAGGAACTGGAAGTGTGGGATGCTTGACTTTGATACTTTTTAAAATCAAGAATGGATGTTGAAATTTTGTGACATTGCTTTTCTCTGATGATATGTTAATATGGTGGATTATAGATTTTATAATATTGGACCACGTGGTCAGAATGAGTGACTTTTAAAGGAATTGATGGATTCTGCTTGATGATATTTCATTTATAACAGTTCCATCACTATTCATGAGTGAGGCTGATCTGTAAGTGCTGATGTTCTCTTTGGCAGGCTGTTATACCACAACATTAGGTAAAAAGTATGAGACCCTTGGTAGTAAGAATGGCAGCTTACAGAATAAAAGGGGAATAATTGAGGGTCAGGGGTTGGCATAATTGAGATTCCCAAGACCTGCAAAGAAGTGTACCACAGAGATTATAGGAGAGTAACCCCCAGCCTCGCCCCAGTTTGAGGAAATGTGTCCCTGGCCCAAAACCCACCTAACAGGAGAAGACATTAAACTGTTTTGCAAGTCACAGGTTTTGTCAGTGAGCTTGCAGGAATTACTTATTCCTCTGGTGAAACGCCTTGGCTGGGAGTGGATAAGGGGTCAAGGGCAGATTTTTTCAGATGGAAAATATTTCTGCATGTTGCATGCTTGTGAGAATGGCCCAGCATAGAAGGGGAAAAGTGATGTGATAGGAAAGAGAGGAGATAACTGGAAGGGAGGGGAAAGGGTTCAGTGGAAAGATCATTTCTAACAGGAAGGAAAGTTCATGGGTATAGGAAAGGAATAAATGGACATTCAAATCTATAATTTTCCGTCCACCTGTAAGTTTAGCTTTACTGCATAAACCTTGAAATGTGCCTCTTGATGTTTACTTGTATGTATTTTGTAAGGTGATTTATGCTTTCTCTTTAAACATATTTATGTAAAATATTTTAATGTGCATAGGGAATATTTATTTTTCACTAGCTGCTTACTTTTTATTTTTAATTTCATGCTTTCATGCTCTGTGTGATGATCCATATTACAGCAAAGTTTTAAAATTTTTTTTTCTTTGCTTCATCATCTAGTTTCTGAAAAAGGCTGGGTTAAAGTGGCTAGTGGTACAATTAACTATTTCACCTAGTTTAAATTTTACATAGTTTAAGGATATATCATTAGCTATATATGTGTTGATAAATGTTATAATTCTTGGTATTTCACAGTTTGAAGAACCATCTACTTTCATACCTTGCAAAGTTTTTCACCTTATATTCCCTCTGCTCAGGTTTTAAAATTGCAGCCACAGGCTTCTATTGGTGTTTTTTGGCCAAGTCTATCATTTTCTGTCCCTTCATTTTCATATTTTCTGGGTCTTTTAATTTTTTTCTTTTTTCGAGAAGGAGTCTCGCTGTATCACGCAGGCTGCAGTGCAGTGGCATGATTTCAGCTCACTGCAACCTCTGCCAACCTCTGTCTCCCAGGTTCAAGCAATTCTCCTGCTTCAGCCTCCCGAGTAGCTGGGATTACAGGTGAGCACCATCTAATTTTTCTATTTTTAGTAGAGATGGGGTTTCGCCATGTTGGCCAGGCTGGTCTAGAAATCCTGACCTCAGGTGATCCACCCGCCTCGGCCTCCCAAAGTGCTGAGATTACAGGTATGAGCCACCGCGCCCGGCTGGGTCTTTTAATTTCAAATGTAACTCACATTTATAAAATAATGCTGGACCTTTGGGAATTTTTCAGTTGTTTTTTCCTATCTGCTGACGATGTTTTTCTTTTAATGAATGATTTTAAGCCATATGTAATTATTGGAACACTAGGATGGATTTCTGCTATTTAAATATTTCTTTTGGTTTCCTTTAATTTCCTTGGCACATAAAATTTTTGGTGTTTTCCCCCTTAATGCTCATTTGAAAATTACTATTCATTCTACATTTAGTCTTATCACTCATCCCAACATAAGACCAGAATTCTATGCATGTTTCTCTCCCAAAGTCTATCAATATCTATATTCTTCTGAAAAAGAGTAAGAGAATCATAGGATTCTTTGCTTTTCCTTTCACTTACTTTCTTTCAACTATCTCTTCTGTGGGAATAATTGTAATTTTAGTTTCAATTTATAATGATATACATTCATATATATTTGCATTTTTTCCATTTAGAAAATAGAAACAAAAACTGATGTCAAAACATTTTTGAAGAAAATGTTAACACATTAACGGGAAATGCAAAGATTACTTGAAAAAAGCAAACATACTCAATTCTTTTTTTTTTTTTTTTTTTTTTTTTTTGAGGCAGAGTCTCACTATGTCACCCAGGCTGGAGTGCAGTGGCGTGATCTCGGCTCACTGCAACCTCCACCTCCTGGATCCAAGTGATTCTTGTGCCTCAGCCTCCTGGGTAGGTGGGATTACAGGCGTGCACCATCACGCCTGGCTAATTTTTGTATTTTTAGTAGACACAGAGTTTCACTGTGTTGGCCAGGCTGGTCTCAAACTCCTGACCTCAAGTGATCCACCTGCCTCGGCTTCTCTAAGTGCTGGTATTACAGGCATAAGCCACCACACCCAGCCCATACTCAATTCTTTAGTAGGAAATCTGAATTATCATAAAGAAGCAAATGGCCCTATCTTAGATATAAGTTTAATGCAAGTTTATTTACAATGGCAATATAATTATTTTTAAATTTGGTAAGTAAATTATAAATTGTGTACAAAAAAGAAAACAATCAAGAAAACAGTAAATTCCTGAAAAAAAGGGTAATCAGAGACAGCCCTACCATCTATTAGAAGAAATAACAAATATAGAGGAATTAGAATAATAAAGATTATGACTATTAGCTCAATGGAACAGGATAAGGTCCAGAAATATACCCAATATACTCAGAGTTATATCTTGGAATGTATGTATAGGCATACATGGTTTCATTGCACTTTACTGCACTTCAGAGATATTGTGTTTCTCGTAAACTGCAGGTTTGTGGCAACCCTGATAGAGCAAGTCTATTGGGACCATCTGTACAACAGCATGTGCTTACTTCATGTCTCTGTGTCAGATTTTGGTAATCCTCACAATATTGTAAACATTTTCATTATTATTATATCTGTTTCTTCTCTTTTTTTTAAGGTGGAAGATTTGGGGGTTTTTTTATTTTTATTTAATTAATTAATTAATTTATTTATTTTTTTGATTGTTAGAATTTTTTTTATTATACTTTAAGTTTTAGGGTACATATTTTTTTAGTTTGAGACAGAGTCTCACTGTGTCGCCCATGCTGGAGTGCAGTGGCATGATCTCGGCTCACTGCAACCTCTGCCTCCCGGGTTCAAGCAATTCTCTGCTTCAGCCTCCCGAGTAGCTAGGATTATAGGCACCTGCCACCACACCCGGCTAATATTTTGTATTTTTAGTAGAGACGGGGTTTCACCATCTTGGCCAGGCTGGTCTCGAACTCCTGACCTCGTGATCTGCCCACCTTGGCCTCCCAAAGTGCTGAGATTACAGGCGTGAGCCGCCGCGCCCGGCCTATTATTATATCTGTTATGGTACTCTGTGATCAGTGATCTTTGATGTTACTATTGTCGTTGTCTCAGGGCACCACGAACCATGCGCATAGAAGATGGTGAACTGAATTGATAAATGCTGTGTGTGATCTGACTGCTCCACCTACTGGCCCGTTCCCTGTCTCTCCCTCTCCTCGGGCCTCCCTATTCCCTGAGACACAACAATATTGAAATTAGGCCAATTAATAACCCTCAGTGGTCTCTAAGTGTTCAAGTGAAAGGAAGAGTCACATGTCTCTCCCTTTAAATCAAAAGCTAGACATGATTGAGCTTATTGAGGAAGGCCTGTTGAAAGCCAAGCTAGGCTAAAAAGCTAGGCTTCTTGCACCAGTCAGACAAGTTGTGAATGCAAAGGAAAAATTCTTAAAGGAAATTAAAAGTCCTACTCCAGTGAACACATGAAAGATAAGAAAGTGAAACAGGTTTATTGCTGATATGGAGAAAGTTTGAGTGGTCTGGAAAGAAGACCAAACCAGCCACAACATTCCCTTAATTAAACCAAAGCCTACTCAAAAGCACAAGACCTGAACTCTCTTCAATTCTGCGAAGCTTGAGAGAGGTGAGGAAGCTGCTGAAGCAAAGTTTGAAGCTAGCAGAGGTTGGTTCGTGAGGCTTAAGGAAAGAAGCCATCTCCATAACATAAAAGTACAAGGTGAAGTAGCAAGTGCTCAAGTGCTAACATAGAAGCTGTATGCAGCAAGTTATCCAGAAGATCTAGCTAAAATCATTGATGAAGATGGCTACACTAAACAACAGATTTTCAATGCAGATTAAACAGCCTTATATTGGAAGAACATGCCAGCTAGGACTTTCATAGCTAGAGAAGAGAAGTAAATGCCTGAAGTAAATGCCTGGCTTCAAACCTTCAAAGGACAGGCTGACTCTCTTGTTAGGGATTAATGCAGCTGGTTACTTTAAGTTGAAGCCAGCCAGCCATGGTGGCTCACACCAGTAATCCCAGCACTTTGGGAGGCTAAGGTGGGAGGACTGCTCGAGGCCAGGAGTTTGAGATCAGTCCTGGCAACAGAGCAAGACCCCATCTCTTAAAAAAAAAAATTTAAAAATTAGCCAGGCATGGTGGCACATGCCTGTAGTCCCAGCTACTCAGGAGGCTGAGGTAGGATTGTTTGAGCCCAGGACCTCAAGGTTACAGTGAGCTATGATAACGTCACTGCACTCCAGCTTGACTGACACAATGAGACCCTGTCTCAAACAAACAAACAACAACAAAAAAGGTGAAGCCAATGCTCATTTACCATTCTGTAAATCCTAAGATCCTTAAGAATTATGCCAAATCGGCCGGGCACGGTGGCTCACGCCTGTAACCCCAGCACTTTGGGGGGCCAAGGCAGGCAGATCACGAGGTTAAGAGATCGAGACCATCCTGGCCAACATGGTGAAACCCTGTCTCTACTAAAAATACAAAAATTAGCTGGGCGTGGTGGCGTGTGTCTGTAGTCCCAGCTACTCGGGAGGCTGAGGCAGGAGAATCGCTTGAACCCAGGAGGCAGAGGCGAGGTTGCAGTGAGCCGAGATCGCACCACTGCACTCCAGCCTGGTAACAGAGCGAGACTCCATCTCAAAAAAAAAAAAAAGAATTATGGAACAACAAAGCCTGGATGACAGCACATCTGTTTACAGCATAGTTTACTGAATATTTTAAGACCACTGTTGACACCTATTGCTAGAAAAAAAGATTTTTTACAAAATATCACTGCTCACTGACAATGCACCTGGTCACCAAAGAGCTCTGATGGAGATATACAAGGAGATTCATGTTGTTTTCATGCCTGTTAACACAACATGATTCTGGAGCCCATAGATCAAAGAGTAATTTCAACTTTCAAGTCTTATTTAAGAAATACGTTTTGTAAGACTATAGCTGCCACAGATGGTGATTCCTTGGATGAATCTGGGCAAAGTAAATTGAAAACCTCCTGTAAACGGTTCATCATTCTAGAAGCCATTAAGAACACTCATGATTCATGGGAGGAGGTTAAAATATCAGCAATAACAGAAGTCTGGAAAGACTGGATTCCAATCCTCATGGATGACTTTCAGGGGTTCAAGACGCCACTAGAGGAAATAGCTACAGAGATGGTGGAAATAGCGAGAGAACTAGAAGTGAAGCCTGAAGATGTGACTGAATTGCTGCCATCTCATGATAAAACTTTAACGGATGAGGAGTTTTTTCTTATGGATAAGCCAAGAACATGATTTCTTGAGACAGAATCTACTCCTAGTGAAGATGCTGTGGACAGTGTGGAAATGACAGCAAGTGATTTAGAATATTACATAAACTGAAAGAAAGCAGGGGCAGGGTTTGAGACGATTGACTCCAATTTTGAAAGGATTTCTACTGTGGGTAAAATGCTATCAAACAGTGTTGTATACTACAGAGAAATCTTTCAGGAAGGAAAGTGTTCATTGATGTGGCAAACTTCATTGTTGTCTTATTTTTAAAAATTGCTATAGCCACCCCAGTGTTCAGCAACCACCACCCCGATCGGTCAACAGCCATCAGCATCAAGGCAAGACCTTTCATCAGCAAAAAGATTATGACCCACCAAAGGCTCATGTGATTGTTACCATTTTGTAGTAGTATTTTTAAATTAAGGTATATACACTGTTTTTAGACATAATGCTATTGTACACTTAATAGACTATAGCATACTATAAACATAACTTTTATGTGGGAAGCCACAAAATTTGTATGACTCTCTTTACTGAGATACTCGCTTTATTGCAGTGGTCTGGAATCGAACCCGCAATATCTCCAAGGTATGCCTGTATATGCTAATGTAGTATTGCATGTTAGTGGGGAAAATATAGATTATTCAATAAATGGTATTGGGACAAATGTGTAGGCATCTTGAAGAAAAATTAAGACAGATCTCTGGCTAAGGCTTTACAACAATAGCAAAAAGAATCCAGCTAGTTGCAGCAGTAAAAGTAAAAAATAAAAACAATTAAGTATTAAACAGAAAATGTAAGGGTTTTTTTCCCAAATACAGCTGAGCAATGAGGAACAATGAGGAAGGCTTTTCTAGTTGATACAAAACTTGGAGAACAGAAAAGATTCATAAACAATGCACAGAGAAAACACTAACATTTTCATTTAAAAGACAAATGGGAAGTTGGGGAAAATAACTGGGACACATGTAACATCCTTCCATAAATAGCAACACCCTAATAGAAAAATGGGAAAAGGAAATTTTAAAATGTCTCAGAAAAAAATCATATAAATGGCTCTTTAAACACAGTCACATATATTCAACCTCAGCCATAAGAGAAATGTAAATTAAATCTATACTGAGATACTGTGTTGTAACCTATCAGACTGACCAAAAAGAAAAAATGAATATGACAAGACACTGTGTTGCTTGGGTATGGTGAAAACAGACACTCATACAACTGACACAACCCACGAGGCAGGCAATTTTTCCATATCCATTAAGAATAAAAATGTGTAAACAAAACAAAACAAAAAGAGTAAAAATGTATATATCATCTGTCCTGGGAATTCTACTTGGAGAAATTTCTCTCTAAACATACTCTCTCTTGTGTTAACTAAGATTTGTATAAGGATATTCATTGCAGTGTTGTGTACAATTGCAAAAGATTAGAAACCATTTAAATGTCTATTAATAGAAAACTGGTTAGCATATTTTGATATATTCATATAATAGAATAAGACGTAGCCTTGTAAAGGAATGAGGTAACTCATTACATGTAGTGACACTGAATAATCACCAAGCTTTATTGTTAAGGGAGAAAAGCAAGTGCTGGAAATTTTGTATGCTAATATTTCAGTTTAAAAATGGATATAGGGGTGTTGGGTTGTGTGTGTGTGTGTGTGTGTGTGTGTGTGTGTGTGTGTGTGTGCGCGCGTGCCTGTGAATGAGTGCACGTGTTTGTATGGACAGACTATCTGTAGCTGCCTTGGGAAAGAATATATAGGCCACTGGGGTCAAAATTGGAGGGTACTTTTTTTCTTTTCAAAAGATTATTATTATTAAATATAATATTCATGCAGAAAAACATATGAAACAAATATTCACCTTAACTAATCATTTGAAGCAAATACCAACCTAATTACCACCACAATCTGGAAATAGAACATGGCCAGCTCCCTGGCCGGAAGCCTTACTCATGCCTCTTTCCCTCCCTCCCTGCAACGCCCCTGGTCAAGGAAGCCACTATTCTGCCTCAGATGGTGAGCACTTCCTCACTTTGCTTTCAAGTTTTATCACCTACAAATGTACCCCTCTATACTATATGCTTTTGCTTTTCCTGTCTTAAAACTTCATATAAATTGAAATAAACACAACAAATTCTTTGGTGTCTACCTTCTTTCACTCAATATTATGTTCAATGTATTTATCCATTCTATTTTTAAAATTTTTCTTTCTTTTTTTTTTTTTTTTTTAAGAGATGGGTCTCATTATGTTGCCCAGGCTGGTCTTGAACTCCTGGTCTCTAATGATCTTCCTGCCTCAGCTTCTCAAAGTGTTGGGATTACAAGTATGAGCTGTCACACCTGGCCCCACTCTATTATTGATGGTCATTTGCATTATTTCCAGTTTCTGGCTGTTACAAGTAATGCTACAGTGAGCATTTATACATGTGTCCTGGTACATCAGCCAAGGATTTCTGGTGGGTGTTTTCCTAGAACTGTTTCCTCATATGGTCTACATATGTACGGATGAATAAGGCTAAAAGGTCCCCAGAGATTGTGTCAATTTACATTCTCATGAGCAGTGCTCCTCCTCCTAACACTTGTCATTGTACTTGTCATTGTCAGTGTTCTAAATTATAGCCATTCTAGTGGTGGTGGTAAGGGGTAGTTGTATTACATTGTGGTTTAAATTTGCATTTCCCTGATGAATAATGAGATTGAGCACTGTCTCACGTGTCTATTAGCCATCTGAATATCTTCATCTGTTACATATCTGTTCAAGAAGGCCTCTGACTAGTGGGTATTCTGCTTTTTCTTGTTGTTTTGTTGTTCTTGATATATTCTGGGTATAAGTCCTCTGTTGTTTATATCTTCTCCCACTCTATGGATTGCGATTTTCTTCTTCTTCTTCTTTTTTTTTTTTTTGAGACGGAGTCTCGCTCTTGTCACCCAGACTGGAGTGCAGTGGCGCGATCTTAGCTCACTGCAACCTCCGCCTCCTGGGTTCAAATGATTCTCCTGCCTCAGCCTTCCAAGTAGCTGGGATTACAGGCACCTACCACCATGCCTGGCTAATTTTTGTATTTTTAGTAGAGACAGGGTTTCACCATGTTGGACAGGCTAGTCTCGAACTCCTGACTGACCTCAGGTGATCCACCCGCCTCAGCCTCCTGAAGTGCTGGGATTACAGGTGTGAGCCACCGCGCCCAGCTGTGATTTTCTTCTTAAAGGAAGTGATTATCATAAAAGTCAGGGTAGTAGTTAGCTCTGGGAGTAGAGGGATTGTGGAATGCTAACTATGGACTCTTTCTAGGCCTATGGAAGGATAACTCATTCGGCCATACATGTCTGTTCTGTATGCTTTTCTGTATGTATGTTACATTTCACAATAAAAACGTTTTTAAGACATAACTATGACCCATTAACTTCACCCCCCTGTATATATTTAAGAGAGGGTATACACATGTGCATGGAGACATGAAGAATGTTCCTAGCAGCATTGCTTATAATTCATATTATATTTCACTGAAATATTTTAAATTAACAAAAATTGATAAAAATTTCTTTAATTGGCTACCTTCTGTGACATAAAAAGGAGAAAATAAGAATGTGTTCTCAGCTGCTGTTATCTGCATAAAGAAACCCTAATCATACAGAGAAAAACTAACCTGGTTTTATGTATTAGAGAGAGCTGAGCAGACAGGAGAAAGATGGGTAAGAGAATTTAGACCATGGAGCTTGAGTAGCCCTTATCCGAAATGCTTGGGATTAGAAGTATTTGGGATTTTGGACTTTTTTTTCAGATTTTAGAATATCTGCATTATACTTAGGTTGGGCATCCCTAATCTGAAAATCCAAAATCCAAATGGGCATTTCCTTTGAATGTCATGTCAGTGCTCAAAAAGTTTTGGATTTTGAAGCATTTTGGATTTTGGATTTTTGGATTAGGGATACTCAACCTGTATAGCTTTTTATATGTCTTTAATTATTTGAGCCATTTTTTCTATATTACTATTCAAAAAATTAAGTTGTCAAAAAAACTACTACTAATGTCTTTAGAATGATATGATGCTGCATCCATAAAACAAAAATAGCACGGGAATATTCTGAAGACAAAAAGAGCTACTTAAAAGAAAAAATATAACAGCATTAATGAGAGACACAAAAGAAGATTTGGAAGATAAAGTTTTTAAAAAGTACTACTAGAAGGAGGAACAAAAGAGATAGAAATGGAAATCAGTAAAGCAAATAATTTTTACAAAGGAGCATCGACAACCAAATAAAAAGAGTTTTAGAAAAGCAGAGAAAATGTACATGTGAGTAGAAAAGGCCTAGGAAGACTTTGGAAACAGGCTTTCAAATTGGGCATAAAAATGATTTCTAGGCCGGGCATGGTGGCTCACGCCTGTAATTCCAGCACTTTGGGAGGCCGAGGCGGGCAGATCACGAGGTCAGGAGATCGAGACCATCCTGGCTAACACGGTGAAACCCCGTCTCTACTAAAAATACAAAAAAATTAGCCTGGTGTGGTGGCGGGTGCCTGTAGTCCCAGCTAGTCGGGAGGCTGAGGCAGGAGAATGGTGTGAACCCAGGAGGTGGAGCTTGCAGTGAGCCGAGATTGTGCTACTGCACTCCAGCCTGGGCAACAGAGCAAGACTCCGTCTAAAAAAAAAAAAAAATTATTTCTAATCTAGAATTCTATTCTCAGCCAAAAAGACAAATTTAGTGTCAGGATCAAATAGGTATATTTCCATGGCATTCATATTTATATTTCTACACATAAATTTATACAGTTATATGTATTCAGTAAATATATTTCTGCATGACATTTTCAGACATGCAAAGTTTCATAAAATGTACCTGTCATGCATCCATTTGCAAGGATGTGCTCCCCACAAAATGAAGGGGTAAGCCAAGGAAGATGAAGACACAAGCTCCAGGAAACAGATCTGACCCAAGAGAGAAGTCAAGGGGATTTCCTGGGAGATGGTGAAGGGAAGACACCAAGGTAACAGCTCTGTATCAAACTGAGAAAGACACCAGTCCAGACTTTAGCAAGTCAAGCTCCAGGAGAGATTTCTTCAAAGAGAAGACAGTGATGCCCAGAAGTGAGAGCAGCCCCACCTATTACTGGCTATTTACTGTGTAAACCTGGGCCAAATGGTTTTCCCCTATGCCCCAGTTTTCTCCTCTATGACATGGGGATAATAATGGCACCTACTGGGCATGGCGGCTTGGACCTGTAGTCCCAGCTACTTGGGAGGCTGAGGTAGGAGGATCACTTGAGCCCAGGAGTTCGAGGTTGCAGTAAGCTATGATCGTGCCACTGCGCTTCAACCTGGGCAACAGAGTGAGACCCTGTCTCTAAAGATAATAATGGCACCTACTTCATGAGGTTGTTGTGAAGATGGGTGAACACACGTAGAGTACGTGTAACAGTGCTTGGCATGCAGTAAATGTTGTATGACTGCTTTTAATTATTATCACTGTGATTAATACCTAATATGTTTGAATATATAGAAAGGAGATTTAACACCAGGGAAGAATTTGGAGTTAAATGATTGATGTGTATATAGTAACACAAACAAATGACTGAGACAGAAAATTGTTAATTCCAGGGAAAAGAAAAAAGTTGTGCCGAAATAGTCATCACAGCATAGATACCATGGGATTCAATGATCAACACTGACCATGAATCTCACCAAAACAATGATATACCTGTCTTAGGGAGGTGGAGTTAGGAAATGTGTATGTGAGTAGGGGTGTAAAGAAAAGCTCAATCTCTATCTTCCATAGTGGAAAGCCAATAGATAACACCCAAAACATTCTTTAAAACTATTAAAAAGAGTAAGGGTGCTTGCTTCTGGGCAGCTGGAATCTGGTGGAAAACAAAGCATGGAAGAGCTTTTTTTTTTCTTTAAACAAGACTTAGAGAACTATTTGATACCTTTACCACTTGTAAATGAAACTAAGAGCTAATTGCAAATTACGAAGTGACAACAAATATTCATAAAAATATGCAAGAATGATAAAGGGCTATTAACCTAAATATTTTCAAAAGCCTCTTTTAAAATCCATAAGCTAAGATAAATAAATCAGCAATGGACAGGAGAAGGAAATTCACAAAAGGGAAATAAATGACCAATAAAAATGAGGGTGGGGGGAAATTTTCCTGCCTGCTAAAAAAAGTACTAGAAATGAAAACTATGAGGTAGTATCTTTCCTTCAGGGCTGTGGATGAATTCCAATCCCTGGGCACCTCTTCCTCCTCCTCACCTCACAGGCACTGCCATGTTCCCCTGGCTGGGGAGCGTCCTCGTTAGCTGGCATGTTCCCGACGGACTTGGACTTCAGCCCTGGGGCTTTCTTGCTGACAACTTTATAATTCCAGTGGGATCGGTGGACTCAACGGGGACTGCTGGGGTCAGAAGGAAGATCCTGCAGCTTTCACTGTGAGATCTGGCCCAGGGACTCCGCAGAGACTCCAAGAACTCTGGAAAGACAGTGTCCATATGATCAGAGGCAGATAGCACTTACTACACAGACATCTCCTGGGGGAACCAAAGTACAGTTCACTGCACTGGATACTGTGAAGTAGATAAAGTCCAAGAAACACATATTCTGCTTATCAATTAAAATAGAATATGAGCAAGAGCATGAGATTTGGACTAAAATTAATAAAGGTTTAAATTCTAGCTCTGCCAACTTTTAGCTATGAGAACATGAAAAAGCTGCTTCAGGTTTATTTTTCAAAATGAATTTGAAATATTTATCTCAAGTGGTTATGAAAATTAGATGAGATTATGTTTCAATGGTACTTAGCGCTGAACTGGCCCCAGGTAAACACTTAATACATGTTACCAAGTATTGTTATAAGGAAGCATGTAATAGCAGGTAATTTACACAACAATCCTTTCATCTGTGTGTTGTTATAATCATTATTATTTCATTTTATGCACACAGAATTAGAGGTTTAGTGGTGTTAAGTCAAACCCAGTCTACCAAGGCTCCAAAGTTCACGCCCTCAAAGTTATATCATATGATACCTTTTCCATGGTAGGTTCAAAATAAATGTGGTTCTGTTTAACAGATGTTGAAAATATGACCCTGAATTCAGAATAAAAAAGTTAAGTAAAATTTCTTGAAACAGAAGAGACATGCTATAAGAAAAATATTAATAGCCTGGGACTAAAGTTTTTTAATTAACTCAAAAATATCCAGAGGTAAAACTGTTTCCTCGTTGAGGGAACTAGGGAGGAGAGGGTGTCTCTGTGTCCAAGTTGAGGTACAATTTTATTCTGATCAATTATTAGAGGCACTGTAGATTTAGTCATTCTTGTTAAGAAAGGAAAAATATCTACTTAAAAAAGAGGAACTTAAGACAATGGAAGTAAGAATGGGATGAAGAGGAAAAGAGAAAGTAAAATAAATAAAGAGTAAAATAAAATAAAAGGCATGAACAAGTTAAATTTTAAAAACATAAAAAGGATGTTATACCAAAACAAGAGGGAAAACATACTTTATTCTCTTATAGTAATGGAACTTTTACAAAATTCCTTCAAATAACTTGGCCACCAAAAAATCTGATAAATGTTTTAATGTTGGGAATTGACAGGTTTACATTCTCTGATCGTAACATAAGATGTTCAACAACATCAGTCATTAGGAAAATGCAAATCAAAACCAAAATCTTTCATGTATTAGGAGACCATGTCACATCCACTAAAATGGCTAACATAAGAAGAAAAGACAGTAACAAGTGTTGGTGAGCTGTGAATAAATTGGGGCTCTCATACATTGCTGGTTGGATTGTAAAATGGTGCACTCATTCTGAAAAACAGTTTGGCAGTTTCTCAAAATATCAACCATAAAGTCACCATATAACCCAGAAATTCCACTCATAGATATCTATGCAAGAGAAATTTTTAAAAACCCATGTCCATTCCAAAACTTGTATACAAATATTTACAGCAGCATTATTCATAGCAGCCAAAAAGTAGAAACAATCCAAATGTTTGATGTCAATTGATGAATGGATAAACAAAATTTCGCATATATACACAATGGAATATTATAACATTTGGTAATACAAAAGAAGTACTAATACTTACTACAACATGGATGACCCCTGAAAACTCTACCCTAAGTGAAAGAAGCCGGTCACAAAAGACCACATATTTTGTGATTCCACTCATGTGAAATATCCAGAATAGGCAAATCCACAGAGACAGAAATAGAAGAGTGGTTGCCTAGGGCTGGGAGTATGAGGTGGCATGAATGGTAAATGTCTGCTAATGAGGACAGGATTTCTTTTGGGTGTGTTGAAAAGGTTCTAAAATTAGATTGTGGTGATGGCTGCACAACTCTGTTAATATACTAAAAACCACTGAGCTACATACTTTAAGTGGGTGAATTTTATGGTATTGGAATATACCTAAATAAATCTTATTTTTTAAAAGGGGAAGAAAACTTTTTCCTGAATAACCCAGGATCAAAGTGGGAAATCAATACAGAAGCTATACAAATTTTACCAGAAGTTACGGAATACAGCATTGTATTTGGAGTGAAATTTACTGCTTTAAATAGCTTTGGTTTTAATTAAAAATAAATACAACCCAAAAATGAGCTATATATTCAACCTAAAACATTAGAATTAGAAAAAACAAAATTAAGCAAAACAAAAACCAAAACCAGGAAGTAATTAATAAAACCTTAACTAAATCAAATAAATATAGGAGGTTTAAAGAAAAAAAAGAAATGAAATGACCAATGTAGCCAGGCGCAGTGGCTCATGCCTATAATCTCAGCACTTTGGGAGGCCAAGGTGGGAGGATCGCTTGAGCCCAGGAGTTTGAGCCCAACCTGGGCAACATGGTGAAACCTTATCTCTACAAAAAAATAGAAAAATTAGCCAGGCATGGTTGTGTGCACCTGTAGTTCCAGCTATTCAGGAAGACTGAGGTGGAAGGATTGCTTGAGCCTGGGAAGTCGAAGATGCAGTGAGCCACAGTTGCATCACTGCAGTCCAGCCTGGATGACAGAGTGAGAAACTGTCTCAAAAAAAATAAACAAATGGAAATGACCAATGTCATAAAAAAAACTCTCTAGCAAATCAGATAAAGGAGTCAAGAATGTGTGTGTGTGTGTGTGTGTGTGTGTGTGTGTAGATATAGGAATAACATAAGATAATTATCATCATCAGTCATTAGGAAAATACAAATCAAAACCCAAATCTTCCATTTGATTAGGAGACCATGTCTATGCAAGAGAAATTAAAACATATGTCCATTCCAAAACTTATACACAAATAGTCACAGCAGCATTATCCATAATAGCCAAAAAGTGGAAATAATCCAAATGTCCATCAAGTGATGAATGGATAAACAAAATTTGCCATATATATACAATAGAGTATTATTTGGTAATAAAAAAGAAGTACAGATACCTATTACATCATGGAAGAGCCTTAAAACCATAGAAACCATACACACACATACACATATACATATATTCAAAATGAGAGGAAAATCTTTCCCAGATAGGAAGGTGTTTAAAGCAGTTATTGCAGAACATTATGCATAACTGTATAGCAATGCATTTTAATACTGCCATAAAACAAGTGCTTCCCTAGTAAAATGCAAATTAACAAAGTTAATATAAGAAAAGAAAAGAAACCGAGTGTGGTGGCTCACACCTGTAATCCCAGAACTTTGGGAAGCCAAGGCTGGCAGATCAGTTGAGGCCAGGAGTTCAAGACCAGCTTGGCCAACATGGTGAAACCCCGTCTCTACTAAAAGTACAAAAATTAGCTAGGCATGGTGGCACGCACCTGTAATTCCAGCTACTCGGGAGGCTGAGGCAGGAGAATCGCTTGAACCCAGGAGGCAGAGGTTGCAGTGAGTTGAGATCACACAAACTGCACTCCAGCCTGGGTGACAGAGTGAGACTCTATCAAAAAAACAAAACAAAACCAAAACACAGAAAAGAAAGAAGAGGTTAGTACATGTAGAAGAGACCAGAAAAAAAATTAAAACAACAAACACAAATCAGAAGACTCTGAAAGGTAGAAAGGTAAGGAGGACAGCTTGCAGACCTCAGGACTTGAACAGCACAGTGGTTGAGTTCCCTGGGTTTTCCTTTATCCTCCCATATATCATCAAAAGGTACTGCAGAAACTTACAACTCAGAACCATCAACAGGAACAGACTCCCCCCGCCAAAACAATATGGCTCCAAGAAAAGCCATTCCTGTTAACGGACCAGGAAAAAGGTGACTTCGCTGAACAGAAAACCTTTTTGAAGATACACAGCCTTCTCCAGCCAAACACTAATGGAATGCACCTTCCTTTCAAGCACCTGCTGAACATTCTCCAAATAGACCACACCGGGGGTCATAAAACACCTCCACAAATTGAAGTCGTACAGAGTATGTTCTCTGATTATAATAGCATAGAACTATCAATCAACAACAGAAAGATAACAGGAGAATCTCCAGATACTTTAAATAATATATTTCTATATGATCCATGGATCAAAGATGAAGTCCCAAGGGAAATTAAAATGTGATGAATGAAAACGAAAAATGTAACATATCAAAATCTGTGGGGTACAGATAAAGCACTGTTGAGAGGGAACATTATAGCACTAAATGTTTATATGAGAAAAGAGGAAAGGTCTTAAATCAATAATCTAAGCTCCCACCTCAAGAAACTAGAAAAAGAAAACTCAAACTAAGCGGAAGGAAGTAATAAATACAAGAGCAGAAATCAATGAAATTGAAAACAGAAAAACAATAGAAAAAATAAATAAATCCAATAGCTGGTCTTTTGAAAAGAACAATAAAACTTGTAATCCTCCAGCAAGATTGACAAAGATAAAAAAGACACGACTAGAAAGATGGCAGAGCAAGAGCAAAGAAAAATCCCTTTGGTTCCAGAAAATCTCCTGAAAAAAGAGGAAGGTTTATCAAGCCCTCAAAGCCACCCAGGCAAAGCAGGCACTTTTGGCAAAGAAGGAGCAGAGGAAAGGAAAAAGGCTTAGGTTTAAGTGACTGGAATCATTCCTACATGATTCCTGGCGGCAGAAACGTGACAAGGTGCGTCTCAGACGACTAGAAGTGAAACCTCATGCCTTGGAATTGCCAGATAAACATTCCTTGGCCTTTGTCATACACATCGAAAGGATTGATGGCGTGAGTTTACTGGTGCAGAGAACCACTGCAAGACCGCCTAAAGAAAATTTTTAGTGGTGTCTTTGTAAAAGTTACCTCCCAGAACCTAAAAATGCTGCATATAGTGGAACCTTATGTGACCTGGGGATTTCCAAATCTGAAGTCTGTCCGGGAACTCATTTTTAAACATAGACAAGCCAAGGTCAAGAATAAGACCATCCCTCTGACAGACAGTACAGTGATTGAGGAGCACCTGGGGAAGTTTGGTGTCATTTGCTTGGAAGACCTCATTCATGAAATTGCCTTCCCAGGGAAACATTTCGAGGAGATCTCATGGTTCTTGAGCCCTTTCCACCTGTCAGTGGCCCGTCATGCTACCAAAAATAGAGTAGGCTTCCTCAAGGAGACGGGCACACCTGGCTATCGGGGTGAACACATCAATCTGCTCATCCACCAGCTGAACTAGACCCAGGTGCCAAACTGCAGTAAATTTGTATCAATGAAGTGGAAGCATGTGTTTTTATTTTTGGGGGGAATTTTTATCAAGTATCTTCAGAGAAGTTTATCTCCTGCTTTATCTTCAAAAACTGGAAAGGAAGGGTCAAAGAAAAGACAGTAGCTCGCCGGGCGCGGTGGCTCATGCCTGCAATCCCAGCACTTTGGGAGGCCAAAGCGGGCGGATCACCTGAGGTCAGGAGTTCAAGACCAGCCTGACCAACATGGAGAAACCCCGTCTCTACTAAAAATACAAAAATTAGCCGGGCATGGTGGCGCATGCCTGTAATCCCAGCTACTCAGGAGGTTGAGGCAGGAGAATCGCTTGAACCTGCCTGGGAGGCGGAGGTTGGGGTGAGCCGAGATTGCGCCATTGCACTCCAGCCTGGACAACAACAGCAAAACTCCGTCTCAAAAAAAAAAAAAAAAAGAAAAAGAAAAGAAAGAAAGAAAAGAAAAGACAGTAGCTTATGTTCATGGCAAGCACCTCTCATCACAGTCCAGTTTCAAGGAAAAATTCCAGCATTTTCTACATTGGCTGCGGCCTCATCTGAAATCAGCACATTCCACGGAGGAAGGAGTCCTGCTTTGCTGCATCTTCTATCCTAGGGTTTAATGTTGGTTAATGAGTAACTCTAGCATTTGTATAATGCTTCCTAAGAATCCTGCAGCAGTCGACCAAGCCCAGGGACATAATTGAATCTGGAGATTCCTGGGGACTTGTTTTGAAAAAGACTCGAAATACACATAGGAAGAAAGGCACAAAAATAAATGTTCACTTGTCTCTGCAAAAAAAAAAAAAAAAAGAGAGAGAAGACATGAAGACACAAATTACCAATATTAGAAATGAAACACAGAGATGTAACTGCAGATCCTGCAGCCATTAAAACAGGGGTATCTAATCTTTTGGCTTCCCTGGGCCCCACTGGAAGAAGAATTGTCTTTCACCACACATAAAATACACTAACACTAACGATAGCTGATGAGCTTTAAAAAAAATGCAAAAAAAACTCACAATATTTTAAGAAAGTTTACGAATTTGTGTTGGGCTGCATTCCAAGCTGTCCGGAGCCACATGTGGCCCACGGACAGCGGGTTGGACAAGCTTGCATTAAAAGGATAGTAAGGGAATACCACAACAACTTTGTGCACATAAATTCAACAACTTGGATGAAACAGTCCAATTCCTTGTAAAATGCAAAGTACCACAATTCACCCACTATTAAATGCAGGTTGAATGTCTCTTATCCAAAATGCTTGGGAACAGAAGTGTTTCAGATTTCAGTTTTTTTTTATTTTGGAATATATGCATATACATAATAAAGTATCTTGCAGAATGAGACCCAAGTATACACACAGAATTCATTTATGTTTCATGTACACTATGTTACCTTATAACATAGCCTGAAGGTAATTTTATATAACATGTTTAATAATTTTGTGCATGAAACAAAGTTTTCACTGCATTTTGACTGTGACCTGTCACAAAATCAGGTGTGAAATTTTGCTTGTGGCATTATGTTGGCACTCAGAAAGTTTTGGATTTTGAAGCATTTTGGATTTCAGATTTTTGAATTAGGGATGCTTAACCTGTAGTCTAAAATGATATTAAATAGATAATCTGAATAGTTACATAACTATTACAGACATTGAAGCCATGATCAAAAAGCTTCCAAATGGAAGTTTCCAGGCCCAGATGGCTTCACTGGAGAAGTCTACCAAATATTTAAATATTTAAATAAAAATTAGTACTTATTCTACACAGTCTCTTCCAGAAAACAGAAGAGGAGGAAATAGTCCCCAACTCATTCAATGAGGCCAGTATTACCCTAATACTAAAACCAGACAAAGCCAAGAGCAGTGGCTAACACCTGTAATCCCAGCACTTTGAGAGGCTGAGGCAGGAGGACTATTTGAGCCCAGGAGATTGAGACCAGCCTGGGCAACATAGTGAGACCCGGTTTACAAAAAATAATAAAATTAGTTGGGTGTGGTGGCGTGTGCCTGGAGTCCCAGCTACTCAGGAGGCTGAGGTGGAAGAATCACTTGAGGCTGGGAGGTCAAGGCTGCAGTAAGCCATGGTCACACCACTGCATTCCAGCCTGAGGAACAGAGTGAGAGCCTGTCTCAAAAATAAAAAATAAAACCAGACAAAGATAGTATAAAAAAGAAAACTATAGACAAATATTTCCCATGAACTTAGATGCAAAAATCCTCAAAAAAGCATTAGCTAATCAATTCCTTCAATATATCCAAAGAATTATACATCACAACCAAGTAGGGTTTATTCCAGGAATGTAAGACTAGTTCAATATTCAAAAATCAATCAGCATAACCCTCCATACTGACAAGCTAAAAAAGAAAAAAAATCACAAGATCATCAAAATTCAGAGTGTTGATGAAATTCAACACCCATTCACGATAAAAACTACTTTTGAAATTAAAAATAGAGGGGAACTTCCTCAACCAAAAAAGAGGGTCCAAAAAAAGAAAGCCCTACAGCTAAAATCATACTTAATGGTAAAAGGTTGAATATTTTCCCCCTAAGACTGAAAACAATGCAAAGATGTCCACTCTCTTATTCAACATAGTACTGGAACTTCTTGCCAGTGTAATAAGGGAAGAAAAGCAGAGGTATAAAGATTGGAAAGAAAGAAATAAAACTATCCCTGTTTGTATATGACATGATTGCTCATGCAGAAAATCCAAGGAATCTGCCAAAAAAGGTGTAAAACCTAATAATTGAGCTCAGCAAGATTGCAGGATACAAGACCAACAGACAAAACTCAATTGTATTCCTATATATAAGCAACAATTTAAAAGATAACACCATTTATGACCACTCCAAAACAATTAAATACTTAGGTATAAATTGAATAAGACATGTACAGAACTTGGGTGATGAAAATTAAAATACACCATTTATAGAAATTTTAAAAGATCTAAATAAATAGAGAGACATACTATGTATATGGATTGGAAGACTTGGCACAGTTAAGACTTAACTTCTTCCCGAGTTGGTATACAGGTTTAATGCAATTCCTATCAAAATCCAAGCAAGATGCTTTGTAGATAGAGACAAGATTTTCTAAAATGCATATAGGAAAGGCAAGGGAACCAGAGGCATTAAAACAATTTTGAAAAAGAATAAAGTGAGAGGAATCACTCTATCCAATTCAAGACAGCAAGGTAGTACTGGCAGAGGGATAGACACATAGACAATGAACTGAATAGCAAACCCAGAAAGAGCCCACACACAAGTATGGCCAACTTATTTTTGACAATGGTGAAAGACAAGTCAATGGAGGAAAGATAGTCTTTTCAACAAATGGTGCTTCAGTCTGGACATCCATAAGCAAATTAATGCACCTCGACCTAAGTCTCATACTTTATACAAAAAGTAACTCACAGAGGATCACAGACAGCAGTAAGGAGACACAGACAAATCACCATCACAGTGGAGAATTTCTCTCTCCTCGAAGTAATAGAAGAAGCAGACAAAAAAGGATAGATTTTCTATGACACAATTGACGACTAAATAATTAAATATTATTTTCAAGTTATATATAGAACGTTTCTAAAAATTCACCACGGACTAGGCCATAAGTCTCCTTATATTTCAAGGAATGAGCTTCACGTAGATATTTTTCTAACACAGAAAACTAAGGTTAGAGATCCATTACAGAGATAAACTTTTGCACACTGAAACCCCACTTTTGAATAACTCCCGGGTAAAAGACAAATGAATACAAGTTAACACTCTTAAAAAACATAATGCTCCAAACCCAATGGGGCTTAGAATGAACTTTAAGACCTTAACGGTGATGTTAGAAAAGAGAAAAGCCTGCAAAATGATGAGTGAATCATCCAACTCAAGTTAGATAAACGATTCCATCACTGGCCACACAGAATCGCCCAGCACTCACCCTCCCCGGCCCCCCATCACCTCCACATCCCTGGGCACTGAACGTCGAATCCTCCTGACAACTATCAAACCCCGGCTGAGAACCGGCGAGAACCGCAGCCGCTTCCGGTCACTACCCCTAGCACCGCCCTTTTTCGGGGTTTGGGACTTCACATGAATGAGGGAAGCGGAGGTTCCGCGCGTGCGCAAAACCACCTTTGAAGCTGCTGTTAGCCAGGAGTCAACATGGAGAAGTTACGGAAGTGGGTGCTTTGGGACGTTCGGTACCCCTCGGCGGCGTGGTCAGGTGGGGAACATGGCCGCGCCCACGTCGCGCTTCCCCATGGGATACACCATGTTGGAGGAGTGTCCATCCGTATTGAGGATGAGGACACCTCTGAACTCACAGAGCAGGCTGTGAGTTTAGAGCTGTCTGCTCTAAACTCAGGTGGAGCTGTCCCGCTGGTGGCAGGGAGCACGGGTGGGGACGTTTCTCTGGGCGGGCTAACTGGAGGAGGGGGTCTTTGGACCTGTAGTCTATGGATCTGTGTGATACCGCTCCGAGAAACTGAAGGGCCTCTTGGAAAGAATCAGGGGCGGCCGCGGCTATCTCCTGGCAGATACCACAGGATGAGAAGCGGGGAGATGTCAGGCTGGTTACAGGCTTCTCCTAGGACATACCACAAGGGGAGGAGGAGGAGGAGAAATCATGGTTATGCAAGCCCTCCTAGGATATGCCATGAGGTGGGAAAAAGGGAGAACTCAGAGTGCTGGGTTCCCCTCCTGCTGTGCCTGTGGGGCTTGGATGCGAGGTTTGAATGCTGCAGCAATTTACCTTATCTCCCACTCCATCTACCCCAGCTAAAAAGGGACTACGTAGTACCAATACTAATAATTTTTAATGTGTCCTTAGTCCAATGCAATATGTCAATAAAAATCTTTAGGAAACTTTATTATTTTTATTTCCTCATGAAGTAAAATATATGTGGTCATGGTGCCCTTACTTTGGAAATGTAGCTTTAATACAAGGCTCTGCTTCTACCCTTCAACCAGTTTGCTGCTCCATATCACCTCCAATGTGTAAATTCTGGAGATGCCCCTGCCCTCTGGGAGATGTCACTGGAGCAGAAGGGGAAGAAGTCGTGCAGTCCTTCACCTAAGAATGCCTATTCATCCTTCAAAATCAAGTTCAAATATCTCCTCCTCCAGAGAATCCTGACAGAGCTAGAAGCCTGTGTGCCCTCCTGAAAGCCTTTCTGAATCCTCAGGTGAAAAAAATATTTTGAGAGGACCTGGTGTAGGCTGAAGTGTGGACTTGCTGGGGGCTCTCAATCCAGTCTTATCCCCTCTGGCCCTCGGTTTAACAATCTCGAAGGTTAGAGGTGTCCTAGTCCAATTAGCCTCAAACTAATTTTTAGTCTGACAGATCCAGCAATCAATAAGGGAGACTGCACACCAGGGGCACCATGGGCAGCTCACTAAGCAAAGGAAAAGATAGAGTTCTTATAGGATTTTGAGGAATAGTGGAGTTCAGATGAAATTAAATGAAGCAGTGTTTTAGTGGGCTCAAAGGAAAGCAGGGCTGTATGTAAAGGGTAATTGTCAGGTCTGGACTGTGAAGTGAACCCAGAGTGCTGTTTCCTTGGAAACAATTTAGATGTAGAATTTTGTGTCCCCAGATAACTCTTGCCTAAAGCTTTGCACCTGGGTTGAAAATTGAATCTTGCTTCTCTGTCTGGAAGTGACTTAGAATCTCCCATGAGAATCAGATGTTTCCCTCTTACTGATATCATTTCAAACAGCAAAGTTTCTGATAGTCTATGATTGTAGAGAACAAAGTTTCTCATTGACCAAGAAAGCAATAGGCACTTAAAGTAGGGGTTCTTTATGGCATTACAACTGCAGCCTGTCCTTAGAAGAAATAATGTTTCCTGTGAATTTTGCATTTGGCTTTATATGTGTCTGTTCTTCCATCCTGATGAATAGCAAGGCAGATTTTTATAGTCCGATTTTCATTTTAATTTTTTTAGAGAGTTGGTATCTTTGTCCATTTTCTGCTACTGTAACAGAATATCACAGATTGGGTAATTTATAAAGAAAATAAGCTTATTTGGCTCATAGTTCTGGAGATTGGGAAGTCCAACTTGGTGCCAGCATCTGGTGAGGGCCTTATTGCTGCATTATTCCATGGCAGAGGACAAGAGGGCAAGCAAGTGTATGAACAAAGAGAAAGCACAAGGGACTGGGCTCACTTTATAACAACCCACTCTTGAGGTGACTAACCCATTCCCTCAGTGACAGCATTAATCAGTTTATGAGAATGGAGCCTCCATGACCTATTCACTTTTTAAAGGCCCCACCTCCTAATACTGTTACAATGGCAATTTCAATATGAGTTTCAGAGGAGACAAACATTTGAACCATAGCAGTTGAACTTTGATTATCCCAGCTTGTCATTCTGCCCCTGCATCCCTGGTCTGGGCAAATGTTTGTTGAATGAATAAATGAAAGAAGAATGGAATCAGTGGAAGCATATTTGGCATGCATACACTTCTAATAGAGTGCCAAGAATCACTGTTAGTGTTCTTGGATGTCATAATAGTACCAAAAAAAAAAAAAAAAGAAAGTTCTGTTAGACCACTTCAGAGAAGAAGGAGATATAGAGCCAGCAAACATATAAAGAGATGTTCAAAGTCATTTGTGATAAGGGAAATACAAATCAAGACATGATAAAAATGACATTTTATACCCATTCAAATTGCAAAAACATAAAAGTCTGACAATACCAAGAGTTGGAGAGTATGTGGGCCAACAGGATCTTTTTGCCCTGTTGAAGGAATGTAAATCAGTGCAACCACTTTAGAAAATATTTTTGCATTTTCTCCTACAGTGAATATATACATACCTTAACAATCCAGTGAGTCCACTCTCATGAATGTAACCAAGAGAAACACTTGCACAAGAAACCTAGGATATGCATGTTTCTTAGTCTGTTTTCTGTTGCTTACAACAGAATACCTGAAACTGGGTAATTTCTAAAGAAAAGGAATTTATTTCTTACAGTTACGGAGGCTGAGAAGTCCAAGGTTGAAGGGCAATAACTGGTGAGGGCCTTCTTTCTGGTAGGGACTTTCTGCAGAGTCCCAAGGTAGCACAGGGTATCACACAGTGAAGGGGCTGAGCATGCTAGCTGAGGTCGCTCCTCCTTTTTTTTTTGAGACGGATTCTTTCTCTGTCGCCCAGGCTAGAGTCCAGTGGTGCGATCTCGGCTGCCTGCAACCTCTGCCTCCCGGGTTCAAGCGATTCTCCTGCCTCAGCCTCCTGATTATAGGCGCGCGCCACCACGCCCAGCTAATTTTTGTATTTTTAGTAGAGACAGGGTTTCACCATGTTGGTCAGGCTGGTCTCGAACTCCTGACCTTGTGCTGGGATTACAGGCATGAGCCATTGCACCTGGCCTCTCTTCCTCTTCTTATAAAGTCACTAGTTCCACTCCCATGGTAACTCATTAATGGGGTAATCCATTCATGAGGGCAGGGCAGAGACCTCAACACTCAATCACCTCTTGAAGGCCCTACTTCTCAATACTGCTACATTGGGGATAAATTTCAACATGAGTTTTGGAGGGGACAAATATTCAAGCCATACCAGCATGGCATCCTGTTCACAACAGCAAAACCTGGAAAAAAAAATGGATGCTCATCAACAGGAGTCATAATGAATGAACTAGAACAACACCCAACAATATGGATGAATATTAAGGGGGAGGAACTGTAATCCCAAAAGATTATATAAAGCATAACACACTTTTATAAACTTAAAAGCTACTAATATAGGCTGGGCACAGTGGCTCATGCCTGTAATCTCAGCACTTTGGGAGGCCAAGGTGGGATGATCTCTTGAAGCCAGGAATTCAAGACCAGTGTGGGCAACAAAGTGAGATCCCCGTCCCTACAATAATTTTAAAAATTAGCCAGGTGTGGTGGTTTGTGCCTGTAATCCCAGCTACTCGGGAGGCTGAGGTGGGAGGATCCCTTGAGCCTCTTGAGGAGTTCAAGACTGCAGTGAGCTATGATAGTGCCACTGCACTCCAACCTGGGTGACAGAGCAAGACCCTGTCTCTTTAAAAAAAAAAAAAAAAAAGCTACTAATATAAAGGATATGAACTATTTAGGATTTTGTGTAGTTGCAATAAAATTACATTAAAAAGAAATTTAAAAACGACGAACTTGGGATTCAGGATGATATTTACCTCAGTTGAGGGTGGGGGCAAGGCAACAAATTGGGGGACTCCATGGATAGATAGAGGTTATCATCAAGTCCGTACCTTTTCTTTTGGGTGGTAGGTGCATATATTCATTCATTCATTCATTCATTTTAGAGACTGAGTCTCACTCTGCACCCAGGCTGGGGTGCAGTGGCACGATCATAGCTAATTATATTATTAAAAGTAACTACATATTTAAATTAATTGGGAAAATTAAGATGTTAGATAATGTGATAGTTAATACTGAGTGTCAACTTGATTGGATTGAAGGATGCAAAGTATTGATCCTGTGTGTGTGTGTGAGGGTGTTGCCAAAGGAGATTAACATTTGAGTCAGTGGGCTGGGAAAGGCAGGCCCACCCTTAATCTGGGTGGGCACCATCTAATCAGCTGCCAGCGCAGCCAGGATATAAAGCAGGTAGAAAAACGTGAAGAGGCTAGACTGGCTTAGCTTCCTAGCCTACATCTTTCACCCCTGCTGGATGCTTCCTGCCCTCAAACATCGGACTCCAAGTTCTTCAGCTTTGGGGACTCGGACTGGCTTCCTTGCTCCTCAGCTTGCAGATGGCCTATTGTGGGACCTTGTGACTGTGTGAGTTAATACTGCTTAATAAACTCATATATATATCACCTACTAGTTCTGTCCCTCTAGAGAACCCTGACTAATACAGATAAATATCTAACTGATAAAAAGAAAAAATCTGTATGGAGAAAAGTGGCATCTCTCCCTTTAATGGGGCAAGAAAACATTTGGCTGCAGCCCAGAGATGCCACCTAGTGGTGGGATGAACAGGGAGGCAGGTGCTCCATGGCCTTGACATTTACTGCTGCCCCTGGCTCCATGGGTCACTCTATCGAGTCACTTACCTGCTCAAATGTCTCTTCTTCAGAGGTCTTTCTTCCCTGGTCTATCCCAACACTTGAGCTCTTCGCCAGGCTTCAGTTTTCTTCATAGCCTTCCTTTGTATCAGAAATTATTGTATTTGTTTACTGTTTGCTCATTTACTTGTTCATGCTGATACTGCAGTGATTTCTGCTTCTTACATATATGGAGTAATCAACTGCTTTATTTCTAGTATCTTTATTATACAATGTAGAGGGCAGCAAAATACGCACTTCAGAGTCATTTTCTTAAAATATTAATGATTTCCCCAAAAGACTCTGCAGGCATCTCTGGACGACATGACTGCTATAATAAAATTAATTTGGTATAAGTAATGTATGAAATACCAAAGAGATGGAGAACTTATAAATACTTGATGAATTGACCATCCGGCACTGTTCTTGGTACTTGATGTTTGGTTCAACAAAACAGCCCCCAAATCCCTAACTTCATGGAGTTAACATCCTAGCAGGGAATAGAGGCAATAAGCATTTTAAAAGAGCAAATTACAAAGGTGACAACCGCTAAAGAGGGTATGTTATAGGGGAGTGGTATGAGTTGGAAATGCTGGGAGAACTGCCACTTCATGTTTTTAGTTTTTATTTTAAAAAAAAATTTTTGGCTGGGCACAGTGGCTCACACCTGTAATCCCAGCACTTTGGGAGGCTGAGGCGGGTGGATCACGAGGTCAGGAGTTCAAGACCAGCCTGGCCAAGATGGTGAAACCCCGTCTCTACTAAAAATACAAAAATTAGCCGGGTGTGGTGGCGGACTCCTGTAATCCCAGCTACTCGGGAAGCTAAGGCAGAGAATTGCTTGAACCCGGGAAGTGGAGGTTGTAGTGAGCCAAGATCGTGCCACTGCACTCCAGCCTGGGCGACAGAGTGAGACTCCATCTCAAAAAAAATTATGTTTTAAATTATGTTTTAAAATGCACAATTAAGTTATTATTGACTATAGTCACCCTATCGTGCTATCAAATAGTAGATCTTATTCATTTTTTCTAACTATATTTCTTGTACCTGCTAACCATCCCCACCTCCCCACCAGCCCCCCATTATCCTTCCCAGCCTCTGGTAACCATCCTTCTACTCTCTATCTCCGTAATTGTTTTGATTTATAGCTCCCACAAATAAGTGAGAACATGCGATGTTTGTCTTTCTGTGCCTCGCTTATTTCACTTAACAATGATCTCCAGTTCCATCCATGTTGTTGCAAATGACTGGTCTCATTCTTTTTATGGCTAAATTGTATTCCATTATGTATAAGTACAATGTTTTCTTTATCCATTCATCTGTTGATGGACCTTTAGGTGGGTTCCAAATCTTAGCTATTGTAAACAGTGCTGCAACAAACATAGGAGTGCAGGTATTTCTTCCATATACTGATTTCCAGAACTGCCACTTTAAATAGAGAGGTCAGTCGGGATTCTTTACATCTATGTGGGTACCCAGTTGAAAACCAAGAAGAATGCAGAGTTCGAGTATTTTTATATCTGCAGCTAAGGACATAATGATGAGCACCTGTGTCCTAGAGCAGATGCAAAAATTAATCCACAGCCAAGGTCTCCTGGTCACTCTTGTCTTGTGTGCCTCCCTTTAGTAGGGGAAAACATTTTACAAAGTCTTCCACTGACAGAAGTCAAAGAAACCTTTGTGAAAAGTATCAGGTTCAATGGCTGAGCAGGGACCTCAGGACCAATAACCACAACCATTTACATACTTCAGTAGATAGCAAGCAATAATACCTTATTTATTTTACACCCAGCTTTTTAATGGAAAAATTTCACACCTACACAAAAGTTGAAAGAATTGCACTATGAATATTCAAATACCTTCCACCTAGAAGTAACAATTGTTCATCTATGTCACATTTGCCTTATATTTCTGTTTGCATATATACAGGCCCCATCATTTAAAAACAGAGTCAAAAGAAAATGATTGAAGTGACTGCTATAGAGCTTAAAGGCTTTATTCAGCTGAGGTGCATCAGGTGATGTCCTGATTGAAGCAGGGTCAGGGTTTTTATGAGGGAAAGTGGAATATGTGTTCTTGCTTTTGGCTTAGGTAGCTGTATGTGTGTATACACACACACACACACACACACACACACACACACACACACACACACACACACACACACACACTAGAGAGAGACGGGGTCTCGCTATGTTGCCCAGGCTGATACCAAACTCCTGTCCTCAAGCGATCCTCCTGCCTCAGCCTCCCAAAGTGCTAGGATTATAGTTGTGAGCTACCATGCCTGGCCTGGATAGCAGTTTTTGACTTTAAGTGAAACTCGTAGTTGGTGGCAGGGTCGTTCCTGTTTTTGTGCCCCTTGCTCAATCAGAACCCTTCAGGACAGTATTTTTAGAGGATTACTTTTGCAAACATTGTGGCTTATCTGCTAGTCAGAGCTCATGGGGGCAGGGGAGAGATAGCAAAAAAGGATGAAAGGTGCAAGGTAGAAGGCAACAGAGAAACTGAGGACTCCACCGTGTTTGTTTTACAATACCTTTGTACAGTAAGCTGCAGACATCATGCTCCTTATACTCAGCAGGATATATACTCAGCATGTATCTCCTGAGGGACTGAATATACAAACAGGCAATGGCCAGACCATATATAACAATAGAATCCTGACCTACAACCTCTACAGCAATAAGCATGGGAAGCCAAACCACAACCTCAGTAGCAATCAGCCCAGATGGTCAGGATTTGATTGATGACATCTAGCTTCTCAATTTTTTTAACCCAATTTCCAACTCAGGGCCAACCAGAAAAAGCCAAATCTACTTCCCAAATCAATCGCATAGGATGCCCCACTTCAGTTAGTCCACCTCCAGCTTGTGCACTCCAACACCCTCCAATCAGGACACACCTGAAGCCTTCCCCTTTTTCTACTACATATAAAGCTTTCCCATTCTTCTGCCTGCCTTTGAGTCTTTGACAAACGCCAAGTGATAATGGCCCAATACCTTACTGTAGTAAGCTCTGAAAAGTCTCTGCTTTTTCTCATTGGATCATCTGTGTAGATTTCCACTCTCCTAAGAACAAGGACATTTTCTTGCATAGCCACAAACCCATTCTCACCCCTAAGAAATTTGAGAGGTTTTTTTAAACGATTTAAAATTTTATGTTTAAATTATCATATAGTAACATTGACTTTTTGGTGTACAGTTTAATTAATTAATTCCTTATTTATTTATTTTTGAGATGGAGTCTCGCTCTGTCACCCAGGCTGTAGTGCAGTGGCCTGATCTCAGCTCACTGCAACCTCTGCCTCCCGGGTTCAAGCCATTCTCCTGCCTCAGCCACCTGAGTAGCTGGGATTACAGGTGCCCACCACCATGCCCAGCTAATTTTTGTATTTTTTTAGTAGAGATGGAGTTTCACCATGTTGGCCAAGCTGGTCATTAACTCCTAACCTCAAGTGATCCTCCTGCCTCAGCCTCCCAAAGTACTGGGATTACAGGCGTAAACCACCATGCCCAGCCTAATTAATTTATTTTTAAGTGGAGGTCTTGCTCTGTTGCCCAGGCTGGAGTTCAGTAGCCTGATCATGGCTCACTGCAGCCTCAAACTCCTGGCCTCAAGCAATCCTCCTGCCTTGGCCTTGCAAAGTGCTGGGATTACAGGCATAAGCCACCACACCCAGACCAGTTTCATAAATTTTAATTCATGTGTAGATTTGTGTAACCACCGCCACCATCAGCATACAGAACAGTTCCATGACACCTCCCCCCAAAAAAAATCTCATCACACCTAAGAAATTTAACAATGATACAAAAATATTATGCAGTCCAAATTCCATATGTTTCTAGTTAGCTCCAATTTTTTTTTTACAACTAAAAAAAAAAATCCTGTATCCAAACAGGGTTCATGCATTGCATTTAGTTGTCGTATCTCCTTAGTCTCTAATCTCTTCTTTAGTCTTAATCTATAATAGTTTCCCAGCCTTTTTTGTCTGTCACAATGTTAATATTTTTGAAGGGCTTATGTCAGTTGTTACAGATGGTTACAGTTACAGATGGTTCTGCATTTCTGTTTTCTCAAAAACGGATTCAGGCCAAACGACTTGGAAAAGAAAACTACATGGGTGATGTGTCCCTCTCGGTAAGTCATATCTGGAGGCATGTGTCACTTCACTCTGTTGGTAATATTATACTAAGTTTGACTTCTTGGTTAAGGGATGGACCACCAAATCTCTCCATTGCAAAAAAAGCCACCTCTGCCCTTTGTATTTAGCTGTGGGGTCATTCTTTGGGAACCCTGTGAATAATCTGTTCCCCAAGAAGCATTCACAAAAATGGTTTTAGCACTTATAACTGACAGGTCACATTTAGCAGGCTTCCAAATTAACCCACCCAGGGAAGTCTTAGAATTCATGGCTTACTTCCTGTCCCTGGAGTAAAAAATCTTATAAGTTCCTCAAACTATTGACAAACTGATTAATACATAACCTACTGACACTAAAAAGGACACTAATTTGTTTCCAAATCATGATGTTTTACAAATTTTTTGCTAAGTCATAAAGTTTTACTGATTGTCTTACGTGTAGAACATTTTAGCATATGTGTTATAATCTATAGTTAATGATTATAACCTCTATATTACACCCTCCAATAAAAAGGACAACTCTGACATGAAGAGTCCTTCTCCCTTCTTCTAAATTTTCCCATAAAAGCCCTTCAGCCTGTGGCAAACTTGAACATGATCAACTTTGTTGGTGTGTCTTCCTGGGTTGATCCTCACATTTGGCTTCCAGTAAAACTTTTGCAAATTATTTGTACCTCGACAACCTTAATTTGGGTCCATTGATGATCTTTGCCTAAAATAATCATTAACTTTAGGGTGGCAAAATGTGCTTCTCTAATTCTATTATTTTTCTGTATTAGCTGGCATTTTTTATTAAAGAATTTTCCTTCCCTGTGCATGTAGGGTTTTTTTTTAGAATAATTATAGTCATGTCCCAGCATCAGATTTACTGCTTTTCTGATTGCAGATACATTGTATAACACACAATTAGTGCTTAAGAAATATCAGTGCAATGAATAAATGATAAGTACTGCTATAATATTCTACTAGAACTCCTGGACACATAATCTGTACTCATCAATTGCAGTTTTCTTCCCCAATTGCAGTATGTCAGATATACTGGTCCTCAGATGTTTGTCTTGGCTCTGAAACCACATTTTTTTCTTACTTCTAATCTAATATCTTCATGCTTCTTGATTCTAGTGACTGGAATCATGCTGATGACTTGATTTCATTAATTTATTTGAGCTCTACTGAGAAACAACTGAACTATTGAATATTGCCATATTCATCTCCATAGGATTGTATTGTTTTGACTCACCCCAGCAATAGATGAGAGTATTAGTTTTCTCATAATTTCACCAAAAGTATGGGTTGTTAAGCTTTTAGATTTTGCCAATCTGGGAGGTGGGAAATGATATCTCAAGTGTAGTTTTAATTTACTTTTGTCTTAGTATGAGGGTGGTTGAGCATGCTTTCATGTTATTAAAATCCTGTGTATTGGTTTTTCTCTCAATGAATTTTGCCTATGTTTAATTCAGTTAACATGACATTAATATACTGCCAAATTTTAAAACTTCCCTTTAACCCTAATATAGTCCTACTTAGTTATGATGTATTATTCTTTAAAAAAATTATTGATATATAATAGATGTACAGATATATTATTATTATTTTAATGTACTATTGGATTCTATTTGCTATTATTTCATTTAGGAATGTTTTTGTTTAATGTTCCTAAATTAGAATGCTCTAAACTTAGTGTTAGCAGGATATACCTTTCTTTATCCCCTTTGCTTTTAAACTATCTGTATATTTATATGTAAAGTGGGCTGCTTATAGATTGGCATATAGTTGGGTCTTGGTTTTTTATGCACTCTGACACTCCCTGTTTTTTAATTGGTGTATTTATAAGATTCACATTTGATATGGTTTGGCTATGTCCCCCACCCAAAATCTCATCTTGAATTGTAGTCCTCATAATCCCCACAGTCAAGGGAGAGACCAGGTGGAGGCAATTGAATCATGGGGGTGGTTCCCCCGGTTGCTGTTCTCATGATAGTGAGTGAGTTCTCACAAGATCTGATGGTTTTATAAGTGTGTGGTAGTTCCTCCTGTGTTCATTCTCCTTCCTGCCGCCTTGTGAAGAAGGTTCCCTGTTTCCCCTTTGCCTTCTGCCATGATTGTAAGTTTCCTGAGGCCTCCCCAACCATGCTGAACTGTGAATCAATTAAACCTCTTTCCTTTATAAATTACCCAGTGTTGGGCAGTTCTTTATAGCAGTGTGAAAACAGACTAATACATTTAAGGCGATGATTGATGTAGTTTAATTATCTACCATCTTTTAAACTGTTTTCTATTTATTGTACTTGTACTTTTTCCTTTTTTATCTTCCCCTTTTTTCTGCCTTCTTTGGTTTTAATTAATCATTTTATATGATTCCATTTTCTCTCCTCTCTCCTCTATCAATTACACTTTTTAAAAATATTTTTTAGCAGTTGCCGTAGACTTTTCAATATACATTTACAACTAATCTAAGTCCACTTTCAACTAACACTATACTGCTTCATGGGTTGTACAGGTACTTTATAGCTGAGCATTCCCAATTCCTTCCTCTCATCCTTTATAATGTTGCTGTCATTTATTTCACTTATAAATATGCTATAATCGTATATATAATACATTACTTTGAACAGTTGTCTATTAGATCAATTAAGAATAAGATAAGAAAAATAAAATATTTTAACTTTAATTATTCTTCCTCTTCCTTCCTAGTAGATCTGAGTTTCTGACCTAGATTATTTTCCTTCTCCCTGAGGAACCCCTTTCAACATTTCTTGCAAGGCAGATCTACTGGCAATGAATTTCTTCAGTGTTCGTTTATCTGAAAGTCTTTATTTCTCCTTCATTTTCGAAGGATAATTTCACTGGATCTAGAATTTAGGTTGTTGGGTTTTTCCTTTTGACACTTTAAGTGTGCCTCTCCACTCTCTTACTGTTTTCATGGTTTCCAACAAGTAGTCCAATGTAATTCTTAATCTTGTTCTTCTAGTGGTAAGATTCCCTCTCCTCTGGATTCTTTCAATATTTTCTCTGTTGTTGGTTTTCTTCAGTGCGACTATCATACGACTAGTGTAGATTGTTTTGGTATTTATCTTGTGCTATGGTTTGGATGTTTGTTCCCTCCAAACCTCGTGTTGAAATTTGATCCCCAGTGTTGGGGGAGGGGCCTAATGGGAGGTGTTTGGGTCATGGAGGTGGATCCCTCATGAGTAGATTAATGCTCTCTCTCATCGATGAGTGAATTTATACTCTATTAGTTCCCAGGAGAGCTGGTTGTTAAAATGAGTCTGGCACCTACCCACTCTCCCTTCCTTCTTCTCTCACCATGTGATCTCTGCACATGCCAGCTTTCCACTATGAGTAGAGGCACCCTGAGACCCTCACCAGGTGCAGATACCCAATCTTGAACTTTCCAATCATCCAAATCATGAGCCAAATAAATCTTTTTTTCTTTATAAATAACCCGGCCTCAGGTATTCCTTTATAACAACACTAAGTGGACTAAGACATCCTGCTTACTGGATCTGCAGTTTGGTGTTTGCCATTAATTTTGTAGAATTCTTGCCATTATTTCTTCAAATATTTCTCTTCTGCTCCTTCCTCTCTTCTCTTTTTGCTTTCCAATTATGCATATTTTACACTCTTTGTAATTATCCCACAGTTCTTGGAAATTCTGTTGTGCTTTTTTTTCATTTTTTCTTATCCTTGCTTTTCAATCTGAGACGTTTCTATTGACCTTTCTTCAAGCTCACTGATTCTTTCCTCTGCTATGTCCAGGCTACTTACAAGCCCACAAAAGCCATTCTTTCATTTCCGTTATAGTGTTTTTTTATTTCTAGCATTTCCTCTTGATTTTCTTAGAGTTCCTATCTCTCTTCTTAAATTACCCATTTGTTTTCACATGTTGTCCACATTTTACATTAGAGCCTTTAACATATTAATCATAGTTCTCTTAAATGCCCTACATGATAATTTCAAAATCTGTGTCATATCCGAGTCTGGTTCTGATGCTTGCTTTGCCTCTTCAGACTATATTTTTTCTTGTCTTTTAGCATGGTTTTATAATTTTTTGTTGAATGCTGGACATGATGTATCAGGTATCTAACAAATACAGATCTTTAGTATGAGGTTTTATGTTAATCTAGGAGCTGGTCTGTGTTTAATGTTTGCTGTAGTTCTAGATGCCAGAGGCTTCAGGTTTCTCCAGTGTTCTTATTTTTTCCCTCCCCTGGTGTCTTTGAGTTTCCCTAAGAACGCCTTCATTAAATAGGGTCTGTGTCTTGCAGCTCTTTCAGTTTTAATTCACTGTTATTATACTGCAGTAGTAAGGAGTGAAAGAGAGGAAATGTTCCATTATCTTATGATTAAATCTCACTCTTTTTGTGGGCCTTAGTCTCTGGGCTGTGACCTTCAAAAGTATTTCTTAGCCTTTTTTTCTCCCCTTAGATTATACAGGATGTTTTTGACTGGGTGCCCTTCACCCAGGTAGACAAGTCTCTGGAAAAATTTCTTCCCCTAGAGAGCAGTCCTTCGTTATAGAGAAAGCTCTGAGTGTGTTTCAAAATGGCAACTTGAACCCTCTTACCCTCCTGCCCTCCTCTTGCCAGAAACGTGAGGGGATTGTCTTTAGATCTTCATCTGAGGACCTTCTTGGCTTTCTGGAGGTAAAACCCAGGAAAGCGTGAGACCTCCATAAGAGGTTTCTCATTCTCAAGCTATTCATATTCAGCCTCTAGCAATTTGTCAAAATCACCAGTGAAGTGTTCCTATCTGCTTAGGGATCCAGCAGCTTCTGCTCCAGGTAAAGTAAGCTGATCTCAGCTGTGATTCTCTGTATTTGTCTGTCTCTCCAGATTTGGGGGTGGCAGTTTGCCTTGTGACCTAAACTCTCTGACGGCCTATGAAAAGTCATTGAGTTTCAGTTTGTTCAGCCTTTATTATTTTTGCAAGGATGGGAGTGATTACTTCCAAGCTCTTAACATGTCAGAGCTGAAACTAGAAGTCTGTGTTCACTTGTTAAATCTCATCAAATAGTGCACATAAGATTTGTGTGTTTTACTGTGTGTAAATTTTGCCTTAGAATATAGACAAATACTAAACTGTAGTTTATGATATGCATGTTGAAACTTTAGGGGTGATGTGTGCTGATGACTGTAACATAATTCGAAATGCATCAAAAAAAGAAGATGCGTTGATGAATGAAAAGAAAGATATGTGTATGAATAGATATGAGATAAAGCAAATATACTGAAATATTTGTTATAGATTTTTAGGTTGTGGTTTTGTGCATACTCACTTTAAAATTCTTTTAGCTTTTCTTTATGTCCCAAAATGTTCATAATAAAATGTTGTAATGAATGTATCATACTTTATATAATCTTTGGCAATTTACACTTTTTCACTTAGCATCCCTTTGTGTTGTTAAATATTACTGTAGTTTGTTCATTTTTACTCGTTTGGTGAGCATTTGGTTTGTGTCCAGGTTTTTATGACATGAATAGGCTTTCATGAATGTCCTTTTACATATTTTGTGGGGCACCTGGGCAAGAGCTTCTCTTGGGGCTATTTCTGGGAGTGGACTTGCCGTGTGATGAGGTGTATGAATGTCCAATTATAGAAGGAAATGCTAAACTTCTTTCCAAAGTGGTTTCCCTAATTTACATTCCCACCAAAACTGTATAAGAGATCCTTACCAACATTTAATCTTGCCCAACTGCTTTATTTTTACCAAATGAATGGATATAAGAGAGTATTTCATTATGTTCTCAATAGGCAATTCCCTGATTAGTAATGTTTTGCTCATTATTTTATTAATTTCTGTTTTTAACATTTACTTACTTCCTTTGTGGGTATTTCATTTTCCTTTCCTACAGTGTGTAGTAAAAGTTTAGATAATTCATCTTCAGAATTTCTTGCTTACTAATAAATGCATTTTATGATATAAATAATCTTAAGTATATTAATTTTCCCAGCCCATAGATGTTATATGTAGCGCTCTCATAATACTAGGTAGTTGGTAATCCATTTTAATTTCCTCCTTAACCCAAGTATTAATTGTATGTGAGTGCTTTTAATGTCCAGGTATTTGAAATATTTATTGTCTCTTTGCTTTTACCTCCATTTTTATTTCATTGTGGGTTATGAATATTGCCTTGTGATATCATTTTAAAGATTTATTATTTTGTTGCACTAGTGCAAGGATTTTTAAGGGTGTCTTGTTCATGTTTAAAACATGTGCATTCTCTTGAGTACAAAATAAAGATTGAATATAGCTATATCAAATACCAAGTTTATTGATTGTATTATTCCAGTCTTTGTGTCTTACATATTTCATCTATTTGATCTTGTCAGTTTCTGTGAGATATATTATTCTTCCTTTGTAACTGAATACTCGCAAAATTTTCCCCATTTGTGTCAGTTTTTGTTTTATGTATTTCAAAAGTACATACACACACACACACACATACACACACATATAAATGCTCACGATTGGTGCGTCTTCTTGGTGGCTTGCATGGTTTTAAATTAAGAACTTCCTCTGTTTATCCCTTTTTAAATTCTATACTTCAAAATATATTTTGTCTAATGTTAATATTGTTACTTGTGAATATTTCCATCCATTTCTTTTCTTCATTTAAAACCTTTTCACTGTAAACTTTTTGTATATATACACCAAAGTAGATCAAATAGAATAGTGACTTCCTATGTACCCAAAACTCAGCTGCAACAGTTATCAACGTTCTATTTTATTTCCTCACTTCTCCACCCCTAGTTAAACAGCCCCATTGGTTGAGTATTTTAAAGCCAATACCAGACTTCATATCATTTCATCCATACACTTCAGTATAAACCTCTAACATAACATTAGGATACTTTCCTTTTCTTTTTCTCCTCTTCCTCTCCTGTGCCTGAAACATTTTTAGATATGTATACGTGTGTTAGCAAGCTTCCACTGATTCAATTTCTTCTTTTATTTGTTCACTATATTAGTCTGTTTTCATGCTGCTGATAAAGACATACCTGAGACTGGGTAATTTATAAAGAAAAAGAGGTTTCATGAACTCACAGTTCCATGTGGCTGGGGAGGCTTTACAATCATGGTGGAAAGCGGAATGCAAAAGGCACGTCTTACATGGTGGCAGACAAGAGAGAATGAGAGACAAGTGAAAGGGGAAACCCCTTATAAAATCATCAGCTCTCGCGAGACTTATTCACTACCATGAGAACCATATGGGGGAAACTGCCCCTGTGATTCAATTATCTCCCACCAGGTCCTTCCACAACACATGGGAATTATGGGAGCTATAATTCAAGATGAGATTTGGGTGGGGACACAGTCAAACCATATCATTCACCAAATAAAAAATTATCCAATCCAGGGCTGTAGGAAAGACAGGGAACTATGTGATAATTAGATTCTAACCCTCTAATGTCTAGAATGTTGAACTGGGCTCCAAAAAGGGTGTGACTGATCTGAGGGCACAAAGATAGAGGACACCAGAGCTTAGGAACAAGCCCTTTAAAAAAGTCTTCCCTACTTGCTGGGTCAAAAGGTTCTTCAGCTAGCATAGAGTCTCCTACCACAGTCAGGTAGGGCTTCTCATAGGAGGTACTTGAACTGGGTGTTGCAGAATATGTAGCAGTTCATCCATTGAGGGGATATATGGATTCTTATTACCTCTGCCCCTCTGACATCTCCCAGAGGGGCACTGGCATCTCCATAATTTTCTATTTGAGGTGCTAAGAGGCAGCAAACTGGTTGTGGGGCAGGGTCAGAAATGTGTCTTAATGCTATGCTTCCATAGGAATTATGAACAATAAAATTTTCTAAAAGATGTTTTTGTTGACACATATTAAAGAAAACAACTAGTAGCCATATCAACTTAAGACTTATTTAATTGATACCTATTATTATTTCAGTTGAGATGGCTTGTGGGGGAGCTGATGGAGATTATGAGGATGTTTAGGTTCTTACTCCAACCACATCGCTCTCCTCCCATCACCAACACAGTGGGACTGGACAGTACCACTCTGATTTATCTCCCCTCTCTCCTCATGGTATCTCCTGGATGGGGACTGTACCACTCCCACTGCATCCTTTCACATCCAGTAGTATCACCAAGGAGAGGATGAATCTGTCCACCAGGAAGTCTACCCAAAGAAGTGTTACTGGCAGTGAGTCTGGGCAGGGTCTACAGTCCTCAATTCTTGTCTTCTTGAGAGAAAGAATTCAGCTGAGAAACAGAAGTAGATTTAAGGCAGAAATGAGAGTTTATTGAAGCAAAGTACACTTGAAAGGAACCAAGCAAGCAACTCAAAAGATGGAACGCCCCACCTGATTGTTGGCTCAGGGCTCTTATATAATAATTATAATATAGAGTTACTATTTCCTGATTCTTCCCAGTCTCATCCTTCCTCTTGGATAGGCTGTTGGCTAATCACCACAGGCACAGTGACTTGCCAGTATCTGGGAGGGGCGGCATGAGCCATTTAATTATTGAAGTTATGTGCATGCTGTCTTAGGGCAATTTTCACTTACTGGTCTAGTGCCCCTGGAGGAAGATCATATATAGGTCAGACTCCACCATTTTGCCCCTTACTGTGCATGCCTGGACATGTTCCCAGAGGAAGATCAAACTTTGCCATTTTAAGTTCTTATTGGGAAATTGTTGCCAACAAGCTCAAGATGTCTCTTGTTTGTTAGGAAATTTTCCCCTCCCTGTTACCAGCCACCTGACAACCACCTGACAGTCAACTGAGAGTCACTTGACACTCTTTGGGGCCCTATCCTCTTCTGCTCATATCTGCCTATCTACCTACTCTAACAGCAGTGCAGGCCATTTCTTCCCAGGGAAGCACCACTGTTCTGCTCTGTGAGGTGGGAAGCCACAACTTCTTTCACTGTATAGCATGAACACCCTTCCAATGATATCATCTGCAAATAAAAATGATTACCTCTCCTTTCTTAATATATAATCAGTTTATTTTATCTTCATATTTCATCGCATTAGCTAGAGCTTTTTCAAAACACCGTTGTGATAGGAACAACTGTATGTCATTACTAGTTTTACTGGTAGCAACTTCAGCATTTTACCTTTTAGTAATAGGCTTCCTGGTGATTTTGAGCCTGTAATCTTTTCTGAATTTTCATATTCCCATTTTAGTCTGGTTTTAGTTTGAGAATACTGCCAAATTGTGTCAAATGCTTTTTTAGTATCCATTGATGTGATTTTGTCGTTTTCTCCTTTATTTCTTGATGTAGTGAAATAAACAGATAGATGTATTAACATTAACCATCTTTACCTTGAAGTTGAAGTAGGAGACGTAGTCAAGAAAGTAGCCATGTCTATCAGGATGTGTTAACACAATGCTTGCTTTGTGGTCATGCTCCTCTGGCTTAGGCAAGACCTAACTTCAGTGGGGACTTCAGCCAGTAGAAAGCATGCACTTTAATTTTACTTGTCCTTGGACTGACTTTTTGCTCATTATACTAGTGAAAAACACACTGCTGGGTGGAGATTTAAGATGCTAATGAGATGTGATGTATGAACAAACATGTACAGTTACCGAACATGTGCACCTAGAGGACCACCCATAACATACTTACTAGCAATGCCCTTTCCCACCCTCTTAAGAATAATCATGTAAAACTCCCCTAAAGGGAGCTTCCCTAGTGTCAGCCAGGGGTGTCTCACTCTTGAGCAGCCCACTCTGACTCAGCTCTCAGAGTGCTCTTTCAATTTTGTAATAAACTGGTTTATGGCTGTATCTCCCTTGCTGTGTGTCTCTTGCTTAAATTCTTTAAACCAAGAAGACAAGAACTGAGGACTCACAATCACCATCAACAGCCTTACTGGAAAATCCAATTTGGTCATGGGGTAAATTTTTCTTTCCATACTTGCTGGATTCAAATTGCTAAAATTTTATTTAAGATCTTTCCATCCACAAGACAAAAAAAAAAAACCTCCAGATGTTAGAGTAGATAGATAGATAGATGATAGATAGATGATAGATAGATAGATAGATAGATAGACAGCAGGACAGACAGACAGACAGACAGACATGAGCAGGAAAGGCAGCCTCAAAGTAAGGAAGCCCTGGAAACCTTACCCCACTAGCAATCAGAAAAAACAATGGCCATATCTGGACTTGCAGTTAGGCTTATCTGGCCCTAACTGGGACTTATCTGGCCCTGGCAGGACATAACTTCAGTAGGGACTTTCCCCAGCAGTAAGCATGTGCACTTCAACTTGGCTTGCCCTCAAGGTAACGTTTTGCTCATTTTAATAGTAAATATATATACATATATATACACACACACCCCTGGGTGGAGATGTAAGACATGTAACATATATACTAGCATGTACAGCCACAACGTATGCACACCTGGGGACCACCCAAAGGTGAGCATATGTTGCATCCCATTTTTTATTGTAACATCCCATTTTTTATTGTAAAAAATGCATAACATAAAATTTAGCATCTTAACCATTTCGAGGTTTATAGTTCAGTAGCGTTAAGTATATTCACATTGTTGTGCAACTGTAGCCACCTGAGGGGTTCTTCCTGCCCACTGCACAAAGAAAGACCACAGTATTGCAGTAAAGAAAGAGTTTAGGCCAGGTGTGGTGACTCACACCTGTAATCCCAGCACTTTGGGGGGCCGACGCGGGCAGATCACGAGGTCAGGAGATTGAGACCATCCTGGCCAACATGGTGAAACCCCGTCTCTACTAAAAATACAAAAATTAGCTGGGCATGGTGGTGCACACCTGTAGTCCCAGCTACTCAGGAGGCTGAGGCAGGGGAATCGCTTCAACCTGGGAGGCGGAGGTTGCAGTGAGCTGAGATCACGCCATTGCACTCCAGCCTGGGCGACAGAGCGAGACTCAGTGTCTATTAAAAAAAAAAAAGAGTTTAATAGTCACAAGGCGGGCCACGGCATATAATAGACAGAGTTATTATAGTACTCAAATCAATCTCCTCCAAAGCTTGTAGGTTGGGGGTTTTTCAAAGGCAGTTTGGGGGAAGCAGTGGGGGTGGCTAGGCTTGCTGCTAATTGGTTGGGGCAGAGATGAAATCATAGGAGGTGAAAGCTGTCCTCCTGCATGCTGAATTGCCTCAGGGTGGGGCCACATGAGTGGGATTGGTGAGTCTAGGTGGAGCCATGGGTGTCAGACATGCAAAAAACCTGAAAAGATATCTCAAAAGGCCAATCTACAGTAGTGGTGTTATCTGCAGGAATGGCTGGCAATCTATGTCTAAAACTTAGCAGAATCAGGTTCCTCTCCAACCCCTAGCCTGATGGCCTTCCATTAGCTTTACAATGATTTTTGGGAAAGAGCTATTATCATTTAAACCATAACCTAAATATCTTCCAAAGTTAGTTCAGCCCCAAAGCCCAGGAATAATTAAGGAAAAGGCAAGAGGGATGGTGGGCTAGATCAGATCTCTTTCACTGTCATAATTTGCTCACTGATATAATTTTTGCAAAGGCAGTTTCACAACTGTAACTGAGTACTCCCGTTTTCCTAAGCAACAGTTTTTTTCTCTTTTCGCCTTTCCCCTTTCCTCCTACTTTCCATTTAGCCCTTTTTCAAGTGCAAAATAACTTCTCACCTCCCCCTCTCCAGGCATTTCCTACAGGGCAAGTTCATCTGTGTGCTCCAAGAGGGAACTCCCACCTCCAGGGTGTTGCCTCAGGAGGACATGCCCAGAGCATGCCCACTTAGCCACTTTTACAACTTACTTCTGCCCAGGAAGGTGGCAACACAACGGCCCAGTAGATAAGGTACAGATAAGGCTAGCAGAAGAGCCCTGCCCTTGCTCATTTCCTCCCCTACATTATATAAATGCCCACTTTTTCTTCCAAAGGTGAAGCAGTACATTTAAAGCTGGACACTTTGTGCACTCCCCCAAACTAGCTTTGGAAATAAAATCACTTTTCTGGAAAGTACCAGGACTCACTCTTGTTAATTGGACTCTACATTCAGCAAGCAACTAACCCACTTTTTGGTTGCAATTTTTGGTGGCCCATACAGGGACATGCTCTGTGCTCCAGGTAGGCTTCTGCCTGATCACCCAATTTCGCTATCAGATGAGACATGGGGTCACCTGTGAGTGCCAGCTGCTCATGGCTATCAGGTCCCACGATGAAAGCATTAGGGAGCTTCCCAGCAGCTGCAAAAAATGCTTTCTTATGGGGAAATTTCCCTTTTGCTCCCCACTCCCAGCACAACATTTGCTGCCTTCAATGCATTGCCTGTGCAAGGGAAATGAATTCTGGGAGAAAAAGAGAAAGAGCTGACAAACTTTGGAACTGGGTAATTTGGTTGGCAGTGCACCTGACCACCCTCTGTCTCTTTTGGGGTGTCACTGAAGCCCTGCTCTACTTAAGACCTGGCTGTTAGTGACATCATTTGAGCATTTTAATGCATTTGTATTTATTTGTATGTGCGGCACCATGGGACCTGTGCTCGGACTGGACTTAACAGCCCATGGAGCCATTTGGAACTGGGGAGAGGGATTCAGGACCTCACCCAGCCCCCTTGGTTGGGGACTCATGTGGAAGCATGCTGTCTATTTGCATATATGAATATATGACTTTGTGTATGGGCCCTGATTTCTTTCCTCTCTACCTCCAACTTCACCCTTCTATCTTTGGAGAGCCGCTTACAGCTTTACTCTTCTCAGCTGCAGGCAGCTCTAGCTCCCTCTGGCTGGAAACAGTTTGCCTGACCAGTGACTTGCAGAAGTAGGAGGAACCCATCCCACACTGTGCAGACTTAGGGTGCTGAGGCTCTCCCTGATGGGAGATAAATGATGGTGGTGGAAGTATCAACCTCACACCACTCAATGTCTGCAGGAGGGCTCCTGAGCTCCCTTTCCATTGCTTTATTCTCTCATCTCTTTCTTCCCCTCTCTCCCCCTACCTCATGCCACCCTTGCAGAAGGCAGCCAGGTGATATCTTCCTCTGTTTATTTTCGGCCTGCTTAATATGAGTGTGTATGTGTGTGTTTATGCATATGTACATGTATTTTGTTATGTATTGTGGTCACAAGGAACCAAATTCCTTAGAGTTAAGACGTACTCATAAATTAAGTAAAATCTTTAATAAATAAGCTGGCTTTACATTATTGGTAAAATAATATTATAAATATCTTAAGAATTGTCAACATACATTTTCATTTGAGTTTATTGATCAAGCGGTTTCATATTTATCTCTGCCAGATATCATTAGGTGCCAAAATTTGGCATAAGAGTTACAAAACTATAAACCCAGCCCAAGACAGAATGATCTTTGTGTAATTTTTGATAAGACATTTAATATTGTTTGAGGAAAATAGCTAAACCTTCTGAGTTATCAACAAAATGCCTATGTGTTTTAACTTTAAGGTTCTTACTTAGATGAACACATGATGTTCACAAGCTTTAAAATGGTTAACAGGGAATTAACTTTCAATAATGACTACCTCTGTGGTAAGATCTCAGTTTTCAGAAGTAATCTAAGTAAACGGTTAAAAATGGGAGAATTATATGCATATAAATGAGATAAATGCTTCTAAGTAAAACTTTTTTGTATGATTTAAGTTCTTAAAATCATTGTAGATGCTTGTTGAATGTCTGGGTCATTTCCAACTAAGAAAGGGTTATTATATAGGAAACATGTTCCAAAATTATGGACTGGTTCTCATTTATAAAATGGTAATATCTGATAGGCAGTTCAGAACTTCTTGCTTCTGGCTGCTGTGCCAATGGAGTAGCCATTCTTTATCCCTTTATTTTCTCAATAAACTTTCACTTTACTCTGTGGACTCGCCCTGAATTCTTTCTTGTGTGAGATCCAAGAACCCTCTTTTGGGGTCTGGATTGGGACCCCTTTCCACTAACATCTTCCTGGTGAACCACAAAGGGACTCTACTGAGGAGACCCCCTGATCCAGAGGAAATAGACTGCAGCACCAACTGGCTGATTTTGGGTAAGTGGTGGGGTATATTTTACCTGGGTAAAGGGTGGGATTGAGTTAGAGGCCCAACTTAGGATAGACTCTCCTAAGATAGAGAGGGTTAAAGGCCCATCTTAATAAAAGGCAAGGCTTCTTGACCAAACTTGGGTCTCAGGCCCAATTTAGGAAGGTTAGAGTCCTTCCTAAGATTTAGAGGGTTAAAGGCCCCTCTCAGTAAAGTCCCTCTTGGTTAAAAATGAATTTGGCATTATGGATTAATGCCACCGCTATTCTCTTCGGATTAATCTGTCTTATACTCTTTGCTGACGACTGTGGGTGACAGGATTAGGCATATACAAGACCGTGGAACATGGGGAACTTTTTCCTTCCCAAAAGGGGAAACTTGAGAGCTGATGGGACTGCTGGAAAAGATCCCTTCACAACTGACAAGTGGCCATTTGAACTTTTGATTCAGTGTTGCTTCAATGAGTAGGTCTTTCTCTGGCCTCCCTGAGCTCTTCACCTTCCCCACCGCAGGGAATGCTTTCTCTCTCTCTCTCTCTTTTTTTTTTTTTTTTTTGAGACGGAGTCTTGCTCTGTGGCCAGGTGGAGTGCAATGGCGCGATCTCGGCTCACTGCAACCTCTGCCTCCCGGGTTCAAGTGATTCTCCTGCCTCAGTCTCCCAAGCAGCTGGGACTACAGGTGTGCGCATCATGCCCAGCTAGTTTTTTTGTATTTTTAGTAGAGACGGGGTTTCATCATGTTGGCCAGGATGGTCTCAATCTCTTCCTCGTGACCCACCAGCCTCGGCCTCCCAACGTGCTGGGATTACAGGTGTGAGCCACTGTGCCTGGCCCTCTCTCTCTTTCTCTCCTTTCCCTTTCCTATATTTTCTGTTACTCAGAGCAACCATCCTGCCCAAAGACCACATGTTGAAACTCCTGGTTGTAGACCTGTGAAACAAACAAAAAAAACTGGATGAAGTTTCCCTCTCATCTTGTTTTATGTCCTTGGGAGCTTGACTTTGTAACCAGGTGGGTGGTACTTTCTCTTGGTCTCCACCATCAAGGGAACAGGAATTTTGGAGTTCATGTTATAGTTAGCCTTAAAAATTATCCAGAGCAGTTAAAAACCTTTGCAAGCTCAAAATTGGCTGACTCTAGATTCCTAGGAAGAGCAATGAAAACTGCTCAGTGCTGTAGCTCAGTAGCTAAGGCTTTGCCATTTTACAGTGGTAGCCCAGGCTCTCAATTCCCGGTCTAGGGAATGAGTACTTTTTGGTTGATATCTGTGTGACCTTTGCCACTTGTTGATTCTCTTCCTCTCCATGAACAACTTCTGACTTCCCTCTTGAATTTTCCTTTCTCTGAGCACCTGGGAAGTTATCTTTGGTAAAGTTCAAAAGCCAGAAATATTGACCATTTTTCTTGGCTAAAAGTTGGATAATAAGAAATTTTAAAAGACTTTTTTAAAAAGAGCACTATGGTTAAAAGTCAGCTTAATTAAAAGTGGATATTCAAGCTATGGGTATATTGAAAAGGCCTTTATGGTTTTTTCTCAAATCTTGTTTTTCTTGAGAAAAAGTTTTTCTTTTCAGTCAACTGAAAAGTCATTTTTCTCCATTTTGTTTTCTTGCCACTCTTGATGCATACATGAGAGGACCTAAGAAAATTTCTAACAGGCTGGGACTCTTTGGGGAAAACAGAGGAGGTGCCACACACGCTGTTTGGGGAAAAACCTCTGTTTTCCTCATGAAACCCCAGGAATTGAAAGTGGATAGATCTCTCCCAAAATCTAAGGCCCTGTTCTGTTTTACATTGTGTTGTCTGATGTTTTTGACATTTGGGGGTATCAGAAATTACTTCGCATTATGAGAGAACTTTGGTGTCTAATTACTAAGTAGGAAATATACTTTTAGGGCTGGCTAATGGCAGTTATGGGCTTTTATGGGAGATGGACTGATTCCCTCCTCTTTGGGATCTAAGATCTGGTATAAAAATGGGACCCTTAATTTTGGGGGATCTGTTTTGCCTTCCAGCTGTGCCTGCTTACTAGGCCCTTGAAACTGAATGGTTTCCTGGCCCTGTTCCTCAAAGGGCTCTACCCTGAAGCCAGTAATCCAATTGAGAAACAAAAACTGGCAAATGAAAAATCTTACAACTACAGAATCTTCTGACTGTTTGTGTATTTATATGTGTTGTGTGTGTGTGTGATGTGTGATCAAATATTTTGTTAGAAAAATAAAAACTGTAATGCCTTTTAGTTCACATAACTTTAGTAATCTTTGAGAAATAAAGATAGTTTTAAAGATTATTGGTAAAATAAAAATGTCTTCAAAATTTAGACATTTGGTCTAAATTAGGCAGGTCAGATATTAGGTTTGATGAATGCTTTAAGGTCATAAGTTATTTCTTTGACTTTTGAAAATTGTTCAACTTACCTGCTTTAGAGCCATTAGTTTCTACATAAGGCCTGGGGACATGTGGAGTTAGCCATAACCCCTAGCAATGCTGAAAAGAGTCAGACTTTATCTGCACTTCTGTCTGGTGTCCTAAGCCCCACACCTAGTACATAATTAAAATTGCTTACTTACTAAGTTTTTCACCAAAAATAAAAGTTACTAAGAGTTAATATTGTAACATGTAATTGAAACTACTGAGGAAACAGTTTTACATGCAAGGTGTGTAAGGAAAGTAAAATGTGTTTTTGGTAAAAGATTATAAGAAGGCATGGGAATGTGGATTTTTTTTTTTTTTTGCCTAGATTAAAGGGTTAAAGTCTTGTTTTAAGTTTGATAGGAAAAAGCTAAACTTTTGAGCAACTTATGGAAGGTTTATGAAGGATTAATCTTGTAAAAGAAATTCTATGTGTGAACACTGGCTAAAGTTAAAGGGGTATTCAGTTTTTTCATAAGTTGAACATTGGAATAAAAGCACAATAGGTTTTTCTTAGAGCACTGATCTGTTCTTTAACAAAAATCTGTAAAGGGTTATAAAAAGTTTATGAGACTCTTACCTTACGGTCAGGCATGAAAATTGGATAGATTTGTCTATAAGGTTTTATTAAGAATTGGGGTTGACATTAATAGCACACCAATGCAAAGGGTGAAATTGTCTTTCTCTCTTGAACAAGATTTTCATGTTATATTAAAAATATTGAAAGATTCTTGTTTGCCTTTTGAATAAATTATAGTAAAAAGAGAGGAAAGGAAAGAAACAGATTGTTTGGAAAACTAAGTCTTCCCTGTATTAATGAGTAAAGGTTTTATTTATTTATTTATTTATTTATAATAAATATGTTATTGGTATGTGTTCCAAAATTATGGAACCTCAAGAGGAGAGGAATTTACCTGACTCGTATAGGCATTTGACAGTACAAACCCATGGCTGGGGCTCAGCTTTAAAAAAGGTCTTATCTGAGATTCTTTATGGAACGAAGTTTCATCAAAGCCAATTTTTAAAAAGCCTATGTGAAAATAATTATTCTTGCTGCACTTTATACAAATAAACAGGCCAAGTATAAGACTAAAGCTGATTTTATAAACAAATTAGCCCTATTATGATTTGTTTTTAATAAAAATGAAGACTGGAAAGAGAAAAATTATGTTTCAAGAACTATGGCACACCTGTTATTAGATTCTAGTCTCATCAGTTGTTTTTGTTTTTTTTTTTCCTGCAATTTAGACTAACCCTACTTATTCCTGTGAATCAACCAGTGATCTTTAACTGGAGCTCAGAAGAAACAAGAGGGATGGGTACTGTAGAAATCTGGATCAATATTCTAATTCTGGGCACATATTGGAATTGGCTAGCAACCCCATATCAGTTTGGTCCCAACAGCTGCCCAGTTCATTGAATGCCTTATTTTTTTCATTTACTTAGAATAATTTTGCTTATTTTACTTTACTGTTGTGGAATATATTCCTGCTGTATTCTGTGTAGAAATGCTGGATAGGTAAGCTTACTCAATGTTTTCTTAAATTGAACACATACCAATCTTCCAGATATCACCTTTGATCAGAAGTCGGAGTTATGAATGGCCCTCAGTGTAATGATGTTTTCTCACTGAGCTCCTCTCTACCCTGGATACAAGACACCCCAGTAGTTAGGCAGGAATGTCATCGCCCTGTTTGGCCTGAAAATTACAGAAGATGGATCTTTGTCCCTCTACAATTGCTAGGATTAAGGGTTCCCTTGTAAAAGGGAGGGGGGAATATGTCAGAGGTGTTCGAACCAGAGTAACTCCATCTTGAATAGGGGCTGGGTAAAATAAGGCTGAGACCTACTGGGCTGCATTCCCAGGAGGTTAGGCATTCTTATCTCACAGGATGAAATAAAATGTCCACACAAGATTCAGATCACAAAGACCCTGCTGATAAAACAGCATACAGTAAAGAAGCCAGTCAAAACCCACCAAAACCAAGATGGCAGCGAAAGTGACCTCTGGTAATCCTCAGTGCTCATTATACGCTAATTATAATCCATTAGCATGCTAAAAAACACTTCCACCGGTGCCTTGACAGTTTACAAATGCCATGGCAATGTCTGGAAGTTACCCTATATGGTCTAAAAAGAGGAGGACCCCTCAGTTCTGGGAAATCCCCACCCCTTTCCCAGAAAACTCATGAATAATCCACCCGTTGTTTAGCATATGATATGGTTTGGCTCTGTGTCCCCACCCAAATTTTATCTCTAATTGTAATCCCCATAATTCCCACCTGTCAAGGGAGGGACCTGGTGGGAGGTGACAGGATCATGGGGGCAGTTTCCCCCATGCTGTTCTCGTGGTAGTGAGTGAGTTCTCACAGGATCTGATGGTTCTATAAGTGACGGTTTCCCCTGCTCTTTTCTCCCATGCCATCTTGTGAAGAAGGTGCCTGCTTCCCCTTCTGCCATAATTATACATTTCCTGAGGCCTCTCCAGCCACGCAAAACTGAGTCAATTAAACCTCTTTCCTTTATAAATCACCCAGTCTCAGGGAAGTTCTTTTATAGCAGTGTGAAAACGGATTAATACAGCATATAATCAAGAAATAACTATAAATATACTCAGTCGAGCAGCCCATGCCACTGCTCTTACCCATGAAGTAGCCATTCTTTATTCCTTTACGTTTTTTTTTTTTTTGTGGCTACAAAGACTTTATCAAATTATTTAAAATGTTGGCATTTAAGTATTCATGTGTATACAGTTACATGGAACCTTCAGGTCAGTGGGGCACAAATGTGGTATACACACAATGAGCCTGGCAGGGAAGCAAATGAGACCAGGCTTGGAGCTACAGGGCTTTAAAAAAATTGGATGTCTTTCGGAGGGTCTGAGAAGAATAGGGCAGAAGAGGAAAGGGTCACTTTAGGGGTCTGGCTTAACCCACTGCCCAGATCTCCAACTGAAGAGTTCCTTTCCCTTCCTCAGGGGAAGAGGGCCTGTTTTCAAACGGCATCCCTACTACACATACACCCCTTCCCTAAAATCTTGTTGTGGCAAACACACCCAAGAACCCACTGGAATACGTCCTTATAAATACGTTTGTATCAGAGAAAACAAGGCACTTTGGGAGCATTATGGCTTACTCTACTACATGTACATCATTCTAGACAGAAGGTAAAAATTGGTTAGTTCCTCAAGTTAATTAACTGGATAAACTTAATACAATGACAAAATTATTCCCTAACCCACACTGAGGCACAGTTAAAGTGAACACGGCAGGAGGCACAGAATGAGGCACATCTCTGTGCGACACCTGGTGCCAGGTCAGCTGGACCCCAGCAGAACTCAAAGCCTGATGCCTCCAGGAAGTCTGACATCTCTCAGGAGCAAAGTCCCCTGGCCTTGGGGAACTGGCTCCCTCCCTCCCCATGCCCTGAGGTCAGGTGAGGGGCCGCAGTGGGAGGCAGTCCTAGAGCAGAGCTGGGACCCGGTGGGAATGCTTAAGCAGAGTCAGCAAAGCCACAGAGACCTCAGTCTGTCCAAGCTGGTGCTGCAGAGTCGGAGGATCAGCGCCACGGGAAGAGATTTCACATTAGCCCTGACAACACCGCCTCGGCTCTGCGGTGACATTGGCCAGGGTTGTTTCTGACAGCGCTCGGGCTTCCACTGGAGGCGAGCTGGAGCCTGGGCCAGCTGCTCTGAGCCTCCAAGGGCTGGCTAAGCCTGCCCCCTCCCCCGGGCTGCTCCTTTAGAATGTACCCATCTCACAACCAAGGCAAAGCCACAAGTCACTTCTGACACTATTGGAAGCTGGGCCCCAGGGCCATAGGAATGGGAGCAGGTCCCCTGGGCGGGGTGAACCAGGAAGGGAGGAGGCCCCCTGGCTTCACCGCTTAGGAGTCATTATGGGCCATTGTTCCACACTCTCACTAGCTTAGGCCCAGATTAAATAATCACTAAATTTAGCATTCTACATTACATGAGTCCAAAAACAGGATTACCTGCATTGGGTCCTTTATCATCTTAAAGGGCTCTGGGTCTAAAGAAGCCTTTTTTTTTTTTTTTTTTTTTTGGTGCATATGCATAAGTGGAGCCCAGAGGGCCTCCCAGCTCACTGGGTCCCCGGCCCCCCGAGCTGAGGAGGCTTCGCAAGGCCGGCTGTGACAAAGTGCTGAGCTTGGCTGCATAGATTTTAATGAGAGCATCAGGCAGAGCTTTGCTGTTGCTCTCCGGGACTTGCAGATCATTACCAAACCAACTGTAGGATGAGAACACAGCACATCGAAACCCTAGGAGGTCACTGAGCTAATGATCTAATCCTACCTTCCGCAGGCAGTGCCCCTCCCCACCTCCTCCTGCCCCCAGCCCTTTCCACGATGGACTCAGTCCATTCCAGAAGCCAGGCCAACACCGCCCCCTTCAAGGTCAGAGCAGAATGACAGTGAGTGGCTCTAGCTCTCCCTTTTCCAGAAAGGAGGAGGATGGGGGTAATTCAGTCAAAGCCATTAGGCCCAAACCCTGGCCTGGCCAGGCCCCAGGTCTCCTATTTGGGAGAACCACTGCCCTCTGCCTGCCTCTCCAGCTACTGCTGGGCTGCGGCCCAGGCGCCTTCAACGGCCATTTTAGGATTCTGATGAAAGCACCTTCGGCTTCCAAGGTACAGGCTGGGAAACAAGGTGGGGGCCCACATAGCCTGGTGTCTCAGCATGGAGCTTGGTGCCAAGTCCTGTGCTAGAGACACCTGATCTGGAGAGAGGGAAGAGGGCACACTTGGGAGTGGCCACAGCAGGAGGGCCTGCTGGCCCCTACAGGCTCAGTCCCCACACCCTGAGTTCCAGGAAAGAAGGCAAAGGGGAAGCGGCCAGCAAGGGCACAGAGGCAGAACTCATGACTATACACTGTCTCCTCAAGCCGGAGGGCTTTACGAGGGCTTTGGCAATTACTACAACCATTTGCTGTGCTGGGTAGGGACAGATCCTGTTTCTCTTTGTTTCAGGGCTCTGAAAGCCAGATAAGCCGGCAGAAGCCAATTTCAGCATAAGAGGCTACACAATAGTTAGGGCAGAAGAGAAGAAACCTCACTGTTGGTTAGAGCTGACCAGTTTTTTTCTGAATAATAGCACCTGTGTATTAGCTCTGGGAAAAGTGGGGAGGGAGGGAGCTTCACCATGTGCAGTGAGGGGAGCTGGAAACAGGACCTGGAGCCCCTCTGCCTTTCAGCCTGCTTCACGACTGCCAGGCCCCCCCAGGCAGGTACCAGCACAGCTGCCAGCCTGAGGGACTGAAGTTTCCACAGTTGGCAGAATCTTTGTTTAAATTGGGGAAATAAAAGGGGGAGGAGTTGCAGAGGAATTGAAAACAGCACCTGTCAAAGCTGCCTATCCCCTTCCTTCTCTCACTACTTCTGGTCCCCCAGAGGGGCTGGTCCCAAGGCTATGTGGTTGGTTGGTGACAGAAAAGGGGCAACAAAGAATGACAAGAGAGGCTATGAAGGTCTGAGCAGCACTGACAGGGCTGGCACAGACCCTGAGCCCTCCTACTGGGACCCCAACCTATGATGAGGTCTGGAGTAGCAATACAGCCAAGAAAGCTCTGCCAAGACTCCAGCAGGTGCCCATTCTTTGGTCCCAGAAAGCACAGGTGACTTGGAATCAGGAACTCTGGGCTCTAGCTATGTCACTATCCAATTGTGTGACCTTGAGCAAGTCACTTCCCATCTCTAGGCCTCAGCATCCTTAAAGGGTGGGACCCACGGGGCTCCACTGTTCTTCCAGTCCTGCAGCTCCAAGTCTTCAGGCTTTGCTCCTGACAGCCAGAAGAGGCCCCTGTCCTTATGTGTCAGGGATAGTTTGGTCATGGATACTAGAGGTTAAAACTGGGCCGTGTTGCCTGAAGGCATGTAGAGGTGGTGCTGGTGCATCCTGAACACCACACTCACCAAAGGGATCCTGGGAGGGAAGCAACAACACCAGCCTACAGAAGAGCATCATTTTTGGGCAGAGGAGATGAGACATTCTTTAGAGGCTTAATGTCTCCTGGAATAAAGGGAATCCCAGGCATAGAGATCGCTTAGCAAAAGGCAGGCCCACCCTGCTGATTAGGGCAGAGGGTGAGGCAGTTTGGCCGTTGGAGCCTTAGGCCTGCTCTGCCCTTTCAGTGTACGGGAAAGGGGCCAGCTGTGTCCATTCAGGCCACTCCCTCTGCTTTAGAACCAGAAGGTGGCTGGCATTATTCGAAGTGGCTGAGGGCACAGGTTTTAGAAGACTGTAGTTGAATATGGCTCCTAAGGGAAGGCCCCATCTCCAACGGAAACCCAATCAAAGGAATCTGCTTTGGGATTTCTCCTTCCTTTAAACATGCAACAGGCACTTGAAGGAAAGAGGGAACATCCCAGCTACTGAATCTCAGGAGCCCCACAGGGCCTGACAATGGGAAGAGGAAATACATGTGACTTGGAGGAAGCACTTGGATATAGCTTTGGTTGCTTCAGGGAAAGCTTCGGCCCCTTAAAATTAGGTTTTTCCTCCCTTTTCTCCCCTATGGGTCTGTTGGGGTTGGCATCAAAGAAGGCAAGTAGGAAGGAAAGAAAAAGAAGGTGGGCATCAGGCAGAAAGAGTTAATTAGACCAGTCGTCCCCATCAAATTCAGAGGAGTCATCTTCTGAGTCACTGTACTCAACAGCAATGCGACGAGACAAGATGGTGGCCACGTCATTGCCCACGACATCCCACTTCTCTTGTTCCTGCTGCTCCTCAACCCTGCGCAGCTGAAAACCTTGACAGATGGCTGAAAGCAGGTCGCTATGGGCATCGCTTATGGCAGGCAAGGAGGACTTGGGCTTGGTGGTGTCAGAAAGCGGTGGTGGTACAGCAGGCTGGCCATCTGCACCAGTGAAAGGGGGAGGAGGGGGCCCCGGAGGAGGAGGAGGGGGAGGAGGAGGTGCTCCTCTTGTTGGCTGGGACAAGGGAGGTGGTGGGAGAGTTGGGTAGTCAGCTGCCGGTGGTGGAGGAAGAGGTGGAGGGGCAGCAAAATCAGGGTGAGGTGGGAAAGATGGGCTTGAGGGTGGTGGAGGCGTCCCTGGAGACCCAAATCCTATAGGCGGTGGTGGAGGTGGGATGCCTATCATTGGAGGCGGGGGTGGTGGAGGGGCAGGTGGTGGAGCAAACCCGGGTTTAGAGCTTGGTGGAGAGCCTAGAGGAGGAGCTGGTGGTGGATGGCTTGGGCTGACCACACTGGATCTTTTGGGTCCAGCCAAACCAGATCCTCTTTGGTTGTCCACTGGGTAACTGAATTCTGCTGGTGGAGGAGGCAAGTTGTCCTCGGAGAAGGAAGGAGAAGGTGAAGAAGCAGAGTCTGACTGTGATGGTGGTGGATAGCTACTTGCATCCACGTTTTCAACACAGCCAATGCTGCCATTCTGGTACACCAAGGTGGGTGGATACCCAAAAGGCCCCAGCTTTTCTTTGGACTCCACAAATTCTTGCCCCATCTTAATTTTCTCCCACTCTTCCTTACGTGTCTTGATTTTACGTGGGTTTACATTCCCTCGATTTGGATTATCTTTCTTTTCTTTCCTGTGCTTTCTCTTCTCTTTCATGATATCCCTGGTGTCCTGCAGCATCTTCTTCTTCCAAAGATCAAAGAAGTATGAAGGGTCTGTGTAGAATTTGAGTGCCTCTGTTCCATCGTCCCTGTAAGGGGTAAGATTGTTGAGAGGGGGAGGAGTATCACAGGTATTGTATGTTTCTAAGACAGGCACTGGGAGAGAGTTTCTGTCAAAAAGCTTCTGGTCTTGAATGGTGGAGCTTCTGAAGGCTTTTCGGGTGTTGATTACTTGCAGTGACACTTCTTCTTCCTTGGGATCCAGCTGAGTGACTTTAACTTGTAGTCCATCGACCCTCTCAGCAAGGGAGCTTACCGGAGAGGCAAAGGTATTTGCCTGAGTAAAGAGCTCTCCAAAAATGTCCTCTGCATATTTACTCAGGCTGCCCAGCTGTCGGATGACATTTGCCAGGGTGATGTTGGTCACGCATTCCAGCTCGCTTCTAACGCTAGGCAACGTCTGACGGCACAGGTGCCTTGGCTCGATGTTCCTCGTTACTAACGGCACGGTGGACCTGCTTCAGGCAATGTTCTGAATGATGAAAAACAACCTGGCCTCCCGCAGTCACCGTCAGCGACAGCAAGGGCAGGCTGGCCGCCCAGTCTCTGCACAGAGTGTGCTCCCGCGGACCGCCTCGCGGGCTGCCACACAGCCGGCTATTCCTTTACTTTCTTAATAAAATTGCTTTCACTTTTTCAAAAAAAGAATTTCTTGCTTCCTAGTTTTATAGAAAATGTGACAAGGAAAATATGTTCTTATTGACAAAAAAAAATTTTGTCTAATTCAAAAGTTATTTAAAAGCTAATTCAAATTATGGACTTAAAAAGGTTATTGTATCCATGTAAGTTTCTGTATTGTCTTTAAAGTCCTTGCGCCGTTAAGTTACAGGGCTTTGACTCTTGAGACTAAAAAGGACACATGATTGTGTTATATCTAGTCTAAATTTTCTTGAATAGTTAAAATCATTTGCAAGCTCAAAAATGACTGCTCTAGACTCCTGGGAAGAAGCAGTAGTCGTCACCTTGTGCAATAGTTCAGGAGCTAAGATTCTGGCCTTTCACACTGGCAGCCTGGGTTCAATTCCCAGCTTAGGTAATTAGTCCTTTCCCATTCGCTATGTGTGTGACTTTTTGCCATTTATTGGTTCTTTTCCCTTCCATGGACAGCTTCTGATTTCCTGTCTTGAAATTTTCTTTTCTCTGAGCTACCTTTGGAGCAATTCTAGATCTTGTAAAAACCGCTTGCTGTCTCATTGAAGATACTTCATGCACCTGTGGTAAAGTCATACCGTTAGTTAAGGCTTATTGATTTCATGTAGGAGGTAAAAGAATTCAAAAGCCAGAAATATTGGCCATTTCTCTTGACTAAAATCTAGTAATAAAATATTTTAAAATGATTCTCCTTTGGAGAGCTCTGTAGTTCGAAATCAACTTAATTAAGGCTGATATTTGCACTATATGTGCATGGATATTGTTTTAAAGCCCCTGCTCTGCCTCTAAAACCTCCTCAGTTGATGGATATCTGTCTAATTCTGCACCTGCTCCTGTCTGTTCCTCCTTCCTCTTGCATCTAATCTTTTGTCACCCTACCAAATCATCTCCATATCTGTGTATTTATATATGATGTGTGTGATGTTTCGCTACCAGAATATATGATAGTGGTCTAATTTATTGGCTTAAGAATGATAAGCACTTAAATAAAATATTTTGTCAGAAAAATAGACTTTAATGCCTTTTAAGTCACAATGTCTCTAACAATCTTTGAAAAATAAAGACAGCTTAAAGATTATTGGTAAAGTAAAATAAAAATATCTTCAAAATTTAGATATTTGGTCTAAATTGGGGGGATCGGATACTGTTTGCTAGATGTTTTAAGGTCATAAACTGCTTCTACGACTTTTAGTAATTGCTTGACTTGCCTGTTTTACAGCAATTAGATCCTAGGTAAGGCCTGGGGACATATGAAGTTAGCCAGGCCCCCTGGCTAGGCTGGGAAGTCATGTGTTCTGCAATCTTATACATGGTTAAAATTGCTTACTCGCCAGGTTTTCACCAACAATAAAAGTTGCTAAGAGTTAACATTGTAATATGTACTTGCGACTACTGGAAAAATAGTTTTACATGCAAGGTGTGTAAGGAAAGTAGAATGTGTTTTTGGTAAAAGATTATAAGAAGGCATGAAAACATGGTTTTTGTTAAAGGGAATGTAATTTTGTCTTGTTCAGAGGTTAAGATTGTCCTAACATAGAGGAGTAATGGGACAAAACTGAAAGTTTAAGCAAGTTGTGAAGAATTTGTGAAGGGTGGATCTTATAAACGAAGTTCAGTGGGTATAAGCAAGTTGCCTAAGATTTGAAAGGGATGATTTAGTTTTTTTGTGGGTTGAACATTGAAATGAAAGCACACTGATGCAGGGCCGGAATCTGGGCCCCTGTGTCTGAGTAACAGGGTTTTCTTAGAGAATTGATCTGCTGTTTAATAGAAAGCTGTAAAGGATTATAAAAGGTTTCTGGAAATTTTACCTTATAGTCAAACTAATTAAGATTGGATAGATTTTGTTTATAAGGTTTTATTAAGAATTGGGTTTAACATTAATAGTACACTAATGCAAACAAAGGTGAAATTTAGCTTTCTCTTTTGAACAAGATTTGCATGTAATATTAAAAGATAGTGAAATATTTTTGTTTACCTTTGGAATAAATGACAGAAAAAAGCGAGAGGAGAGGAGACAGATTCAACTGGCCTCATGCATCTTTATTGGGTCCTGTTTGGAAAGCTGTTTCCCCTCTATTAATGAGTACAGATTTTTCCCTTTTATTAATGGTGACCTAGAATTTTATTTTATAATACTAAGTGTTTAAACCTTTGATATTTGACAAACTTTCCACAGTCAGATTTTAAATTAAGCCCCCTTTTTTGATCTGGTTAACACTTTTAGATATTGGGTCCCCTAAAGTCCAATAGGGACATATTCAGCTTGTTCTGTATATTAAAATCATACAGGAAGTATTGTCAAGTACAAAATGGTTTTCAGATCTCTTTGGGTTGTATTTGTATAAATGTGTTATTGGTGTGTGTTCCAAAATTGTATATGATTCTTGCAATTCTGTTATGTCTCAGTATATAAGTAATAATTATAATTGTTATATTAAATTGCTGCATGCCACAGAGATGTTCAGACTTTAATCATGGTTATTCTAAGACTTTTGTCATCCACAATTGTTTTACTTTGATTATTTTCAAACGATTTTGTAATCAGCTATAGGACTCTGAGAGCTGCTCTTGAATGCAGGTTTCTGATAACTTCAGAGATTGTGGCATCAGAATAGAGGCAAAACTTCCAAGACTCCCATAGAGAGCTAATGTGTTCATGAATATTGAGTGGAACAGGACTTAATTACATAGACTGAACCAACAGAAGACCAAAATCTTTTTATGGCATTTTGTTTAAAACATTGCTAACTCTTGTTTTTCAGAATCCAGAAAAACTTTTTCTTTTGAGCTATTTGCAGCTTTTAACAATTGCATAAAGTACACTCCTGTGAGCAAAACTTGAAACACATTTCTTTCCCTCTACTTGCTTTCTCCAGAATTTTAAAACCATTTGTTAGTATACTTAAGTTATTTGCATAAGTTCAATAAGAATCTGTTTTCTTATCTAACAAGACACAACTGGAGATACTGGTTACTTTACCAAGGCTTTGGTTGGAATGGCACACTTTCATACTGCTTTAAGGAATCAAAGTTGACTTATAAAGCCCATAAAAGCCCCTTGGAAAAACTGGCCTCATGCATTGTCTATGCAGTCCCTGTATAGGGTTTTTGACCTGTGGTAAGTAAAGAATGTCATTCTCTGACAGGCCTAGGAGCTCCAAGTTATCTTGGGACCTGAAGTGAGGAATTCACCCAAATCATACAAGTATTGCAGGCACAGATGAATCCATGGCTGGGCTCAAGGCTTTGAAAGTCTAATCCAAGATTCCTTATGGAATAAAGTTCCAGCAAAGCCAATTTTCAAAAGAGCCTATATGACAAATAATTATTCCTGCTGACTTTATGCAAACACTTAGGCCAAGAATAGTAAGACTAAAATTTATTTTGCAAATACATTTGTCCTACTGTGATTTGTCTTTAGTAAAAACAGGGACTGGAGAGAGAAAAAGTATGTTTTGGAAAAAAATGTAGTACACTTATTGTTAGATTCTAGTTTTGTTCACTGTTGTTGAGTTTTTATTATTTTCTACAATTTGGAGTGAATCCTAAATTATTTCCGGGCTATGAGTCCCCAAACTAATGTTTTCCAATTTTTTCTTTTACTTTTCTGACTTGGATTCAATGAAATTGCTAGTACCTTTTTCCTGAAGCCCTGCAAGCTGCAGCTTATTCCTTGTAACATAGGTGAGAAAAAAGTGTCAGATTGCCTCTTCCTTCCTCCTCTATAATTAAGATCCTGGAGTCTAACATCTGAATAAATTGTGCCCAACATTAATCTTTGTTTTTCTTCTGTTTCCATAGAAATGCCTCTTATTAAAAATTTGTTTGTCTCCATCAGAGGCAGAGGCCTAGCCCATCTGTAATGCCGCCTCCTGGATGAGACACAGCTATTTAAGCTGATCCAGTCTCAAGAACTGGACAGGGCTTATCACTACTTTCATGAGTATTCATAGCTCTCTCTGTAGCCTGTTAAATATATATACTTAGCCAACCTATCATCATATCTGGTTGTGATTGGCAGTGGGGAAACTGCTTTATAATTAAGAATTCAGGAAATGCCTCAGATAGCCCCACAAGACATGCACCAACAAATCAAAGCTATGTCTGGCCACACATTGTCTCTAGACTAATGCTTAGCATCCTGATTCAGGTCAGGACAATTCTAATGGCAAAAGTTGCTTATAACATTAACCTGGACCGCAGGGATAGGCATATCCCTCTGTTGTGGAGTTTACTGCTGTTGTACCCTCTGTGTGGGAATATAAGGCAGGCTTTCCCAGAGACCTTATGGATGTTGCACCATAATGCTCCAGACAATATCATCTGTAAGTCTGGGTACTCATGAGTATTTCCAAATCCAAATAGATCAGTTCCATTCTGACTTCCAATGTCTATGTCCCCTTTCAGCAGCTTATCCAGAGACCTGCGTGTTTCAGTGGACTGTATAATGTAGTTGATGGAGGAGAGGGGGGATGTGGAGGGTTCAGCCCCATGGCCTAGAGGAGAAGGGAGGCAGCTCCCTGCTGATTCTAGACTCTGCAAGGTATCCCCTCACTTGTACATCCTCACTTCCCCAACTCTGACTTCATAGATCCCTTTTCTTCTCTACAAAAGAACCAGAAAAGACCTGGTCTCTGCTAAGTCATCATTTGTTTCTTTGTTTAGTTATTGCTTCCATTTACCATTGGATTTAGGAGGTTTATAATAATCAGAATAGTAACATGAATACATGTGAATCTATAATATGATCAGGGAAAACACAGACAATGTTGACACAGTCAACAACAGAGCATCAGTGGACTGTAAATATTCATGCAGTGTTGAATGAATTTTAGTAACATAGATACGAAACAGGTTCACTGTGCACTGATTACCAACTTCTCTGAGTCCAGTGGGACAGAACATCCACACACACACAAGTTACATGAATCAGGTTTATTACTTACAGACAGGCAGCAAGGGACAATGGAAGCCTAGGAATCATTATGAGCGGGTCCCCTGAGGCTCAGGAAAGCTGCCAGAGAAGGAAGGAGTCTTGTCTGTGTATGCCTCACTTGCCCCACAGCTGAGGGACCCCAGAAAGCAACTCACCCTGGGTTTTGTACCCTGGGGGATACATGACTTGCTGTCCTGGAGAACTGAAGGACATCTTGTTTCTAGGCATGACTGGAACAGAGCCCCAGCTGTTCCAGCCAGTCCCTGCCTATTTCAAGATGTTGCCTTCCCAGAATGTTCTACAGTTATCTTGAGAACTGCAAGTGAGAAAAGAGGGAGAACCGGGTCAGTCCAAGACCACCCAGAGAAGTGTCCTGCAATAGTTATTAAAATTAAACTATAAAGTTGTGTTCTTTGTGGCAGATATAGAATGAAAGAAATATAAGCAATTATATAATTTACATTTAATTGTCACAAGGACAATGTGACAATTCCTCTATAGTAAAGACTCTCTGGATGGAGTTTTCAAAAGATTTTTGATAAATCTTCATATAAATTGATACATGGGGGTTCTGTTCATAATTATGCTATAACAACTAGTCACAGAACCCTATTATTAGGCTGACTATATGTTCAATATATGACTATATATTGACTAATATATAATGTTGTTATTTATAGCAATATAATAACTCTGGGTGGCCTTAGACTGACCCGGTTCTCCCTCTTTTCTCACTTGCAGTTCTCAAGATAACTGTAGAACATTCTGGGAAGGCAACATCTTGAAATAGGCAGGGACTGGCTGGAACACTGGGGCTCTGTTCCAGTCATGCCTAGAAACAAGATGTCCTTCAATTCTCCAGGACAGCAAGTCATGTATCCCCCAGGGTATAAATAACACTGTTATTTATAGCAACTCCATCACGTGTATAGTAGTAGTATGGCAGTCCCCCCTTATCCTCTGGGGATATGTTCCAAGGCCCCCAGTAAATGCTTGAAACCATGGATAGTACTGATTCCTACATATCCTGTGCATGAATGTCCTTTTCCTTCTTCACAATTTCATGGAAAATTCATTCTTACTGTAGATCTTAACAACCTCAGCATACAAGTTTTTTCTTTTATTAAGTCAAGAACTTTCACTTTTTCACTTACAAGAAGTACTTTATGGCTTCTCTTTGGCATATCCAAATTGACACCATCACTACTTTTGCACTTCAGGGCCATTATAAAGTAAAATAAGGGTGACTTGAAAACAAGCACTGTGATTCCACGGGAGTTGATTTGATAACTGACATGGCTACTAAGTGACTAACAGGCAGATAGGGTATACAGCATGGATGCACTGGACACAGGGATGATTCATGTCCCAGTCAGGATGGAGTGGGATGGTATAAGATTTCATCAACGTACTCAGAACAGTGCAAAATTTAAAACTCATGAATTGTTTATTTTTGGAATGTTCTATTTAATATTTTTGGACAGTGATTGGCCATGGGTAACTGAAACCACAGAAAATGAAACCATGGATAAGGGGAGACTACTGTATTGTGTTTGCTTCTGCTATCTTCTAGAGCAGGACTTGGCAAGCTTTGTCTGCAGGGCCAGATAATAAATATTTTAGGCTTTGTGTGTCATATGGTCTCTGTAGCAACTACTCAGTTCGGCTGTTGTAGCATGAGAGCAGCCATAGACTGTGTGTAAACAAATGAGGGTGGCTGCCTACCTCTGTTCTAGAGCATTCTTCAGAGGCAGCAAAAGGCCTAGGGTCAAAGCAAATCTCAGCAAATGTATTATAACAAGCAACCAAGAGTATTTGAGGACACACCTTTCTGATGGCCTGATTTCACACAAAGAGAAAAAGTTAAATTATATGTTCAGTGGAGGGACTGAATGCATTTCAGTGACATGTAATAGTTTTCTTGGGCAGCTGTCTTAGTTCAGGCTGCCATAACAAAATGCCATAGACTGATGGCTTAAATAACAAACATTTATTTATCACAGTTCTGGAGGCTAGGAAGTTCAAGATCAAGGTGCTGGCAAATCTTTGGCTGGTGAGGGCCCTCTTCCTGGTTTGCAGATGGTCATCTTGTTGTATCCTCACATGGCTGAGAGAGAGAAAGAGATCATCTCTCTCGTGTCTTTTCTTATATGGGCAGTAATCCCATTTATAAAGGCTCTGACCTTATGACATAATTACCTCCAAAAGGACCCACCTTCTAATACCATCACATTGGGGGTTAAGATTTCAACATATGAATTTTGGGGGAACAAACTTTCAGTCTATAACAGCAGTCTTTTGACACTGCTTGAGCCACAGATAGATCAAAATTATAAGGGGAATTAGTTACATATATAATTTTTAGTACAATTTTAGACCGTATGGGAGCTCATTCTGTGTTCATTTCCTCCTTTTTTCTTAAAAACTGTCTATTTTTTTCATATTACAGAACTTATCCATGTGTAATTTATAATATTCAAGCTACTCAGAAACACAAAAATAGTATAATGAACCCCCTTGTATCCATCATCAATATACAACAGTTATCAATAGTTATGGGCATACGACCAATCTTGTTTTATCTACTACTGCTGGGTTATTTTAAAGAAAATCACTGAAGTAATATCATTTCTTCCTTACTTTCTTTAGTATGTATCCCTGCTTAACTACAATGCCATTATCACACTGAAAATATTAACAGTATTAAGAAAATAATTTCTTAATATTATCTGTTCCTACACTGTGTATAAATTTCCTCTCTTAGACCACTTTGTGTTGCTATAACAGAAAACCACAGACTGGATAATTTATAAAGAAAATAAATTTACTTCTTACAGTTCTAGAGGCTGAGAAGTCCAAGGTCTGGCTGGGCGTGGTGGCTCACGCCTGTAATCCCAGCACTTTGGGAGGCCGAGGCGGGTGGATCACCTGAGGTCAGGAGTTCAAGATCAGCCTGGCTGACATGGCGAAACCCCATCTCTACTAAAAATACAGAAATTAGCTGGGCATGGTGGTGGGCACCTATAATCCCAGCTACTCAGGAGGCTGAGGTGAGAGAATCACTGGAACCCAGGAGGCAGAGGTTGCAGCGAGCCAAGATCATGCCATTGCACTCCAGCCCAGGCACCAAAAGGGGAACTCTGTCTCAAAAAAAAAAAAAAAAAAGAAGAAGAAGAGGTCCAAGGTCAAGGGGCCACATCTGCTGAGAGACTTCTGCTGCATCATAACATGGCAGAAGGCATCGCATGGCAAAAGAGCATGTGTGTGTGAGAGAGGAAGGGGACCAAACTCATCCTTTTTATCAGGAACCCACTCCCACAATAACAACATTAATCCATTCATGAAGGCAGAGCTGTCATGACCTAATCACCTCTTAAAAGCCCTACCTCTCAATACTTTTGCATTGGAGATTAAGTTTCTAACATATGAACTTTGGGGGACACATTCAAACCATAGCATTTCCTTAATAGTCTCATAAGTGTCCTTTTAGTTTAAATTTAAATAAGAATATTGATGTTGATACTATATACTGTTCTTTTTCAGATTCCCTGTTTTACTTGTACTTATTTGTGTATTTAGTTTTGTACAATTTTATCACATGTATAAGTTTTTATATCCTCCACCACAGTGAAGATACAGAACAGTTCTGTCACCATAACGATCCTCATTGTTGCGATTTTATAACCATAACTATCTTCTCTTCTTACCCCTTTGTCTTAAAACCCCTGGCAACAACTAATCTAGTCTCTATTTCTAAAATTTCATCATTTCAAAAATGTTATATAAATGGAATCATGTGCAGATGGTCTCTGGCTTACAATGTTTTGACTTAAAATTATTTAACTTTTCCATGGTGCAAAAGTGATAAACATGCAGTAGAAACTGTACTTCAAGTATCCATACAACCATTCCGTTTTTTCACATTCAGTTCAGTATTTAATAAATTACATGAAATATTCAATGCTTTATTATAACATAAGCTTCTTGCTAGATTATGTTGTCCAACTGTGCTAATATAAGTATTCTATGCACATTTAAGGTAGGCTAGGCTAAGCTATGATGTTCAGTAGGTTAGGTGTGTTAAATGCATTTTTGAATTATCGTATTTTCAACTTAGGATGGATTTATCAGGATGTATGTCGAGTAGCATCTGTAGTATGTAACCTTTTGGGATTGGCTCTTTTCACCTAGCATAATTCCCTGGAGATTCATTCATTCATTGAATGAATTCAATGAATGAATGAATGAATGAATGAAAAGCTGTTGCAGGTATCAATAGTTCATTCCTTTTCATTGCTCAGTAGTATTCCATAGTATGGGTGTACATGTTTGTTTAACCATTCACCTGTTGAAGGATAACTGGTTGATTCCAGTTTGGAGCTATTACAGATAAAGTTGATATGACCATTTGTGTACAGGTTTTTGTGTGAACGCAAGTTTCATTTATTTTTCTGAGAGAAACAGCCAAGAGTGCAGTTGCTGGGTTTATGGTAATTTCATGTTTAGTTTTATAAGAACTGCCAAAGTCTTTTCTAGACTGACTGTGGTACTTTACAGTTTACACTGCCACCAGCAATGCTTGAATAATCCAGTTTTTCCACACCCTCACCAGCATTTGACATTGTCACCACTTTTCATTTTGCCATTCTGATAGGTGTCTCACTGTGTTTTTAATTTGCATTTCCCTAATGTCTACTGATGTGGAACATCTTTTCATGTGCTTATTTGTCATCTCTATATGCTCTTTGGCAAAATGTCTATTCATATATTTTGCCCATTTTCTAATGGATTGTCTGGATTTTTACCATGGAGTTTTGAGGTTCTTTATATATTCTAGATGTCAGTCTTTTGTCAGATATGTGGTTTCCAAATATTTTCTCCCTGTCTATAGCTTGTCTTTCATTCTCTTCACATGATCTTTCACAGAGCAAAAGTTTTTAATTTTGATGAAGTCCAATAAAAGTTTTATTGTTTTATGTTTTATATTTAAGTTCATGATCCATTTTGAATTATATTTTGTATAAGGTGTGAGGTTTATGTTGAGGTTATTTACTTGCTTACAATGTCTAATTGCACCAACACCACTTGTTGAAAAGCCTGTACTTCTTCCATTGAACTGTTTTTACATCTTCCTCAAAAATCAGTTGAGGCTGGGTGCAGTGGCTTATGCCTGTAATCCCACCACTTTGGGAGACTGAGGCAAGAGGGGATCATTTGAGCCCAGGAAGGCAAGGCTGCAGTGGGCTGTGATCATGGCACTGCAATCCAGCCTGGGCGACAGAATGAGACCCTGTCTCAAAAAAAAAAAAAAAAAAAAAAAGTCAGTTGGGCATATTTGATGAATGCCTTTTTAAAAAAATGAGTTGGGATTCAAACAAGGGCCACACATTGCATTTGTGAGATATAGTTCTTAAATTTATGTTACTCTATAAAAGATTAGCTTCACATTTTCCCTTGCTATTTATTTGTTAAAGAAACTGGGTCATTTGTTCTGTAGAATGTCCCATATTCTGGATTTGGCTGACGACATCCTTGTGATATCACTGAAGATATTCCTTGATCCTTCATATTTAATGCAAGCTGTTAGCTCCAGAGGCTTGAACATATTCAGGTTTAATTTTTTGATAGAATAATTCATAAGTTGTGTTTCGTACATATTCTTGCATCTCACTGAGAGGTGCATAATTCCTCAATATCTTTCTTTATGTGCTAAGATTAATCAGTGGGTTCAGGTGTTGTTGAACCTGATCCATAGATTATAAAGCTCCCTGCAGCCTTTCACTTAAATGTTTAGCATCCATTGATGATCATTGCCTAGGTCCATTATTTCATTAGGATTTTCAAAATAGTGATATTTTAATGCTATCCCTCCCTCTTTGTTTATCAGCTGGAATACTTCTATAAAGAACAACTTCACTCATGATTTGGCTCTCTGTTTGTCTGTTATTGGTGTATAAGAATGCTTGTGATTTTTGTACATTGATTTTGTATCCTGAGACTTTGCTGAAGGTGCTTATCAGCTTAAGGAGATTTTGGGCTGAGACAATGGGGTTTTGTAGATATACAATCATGTCATCTGCAAACAGGGACAATTTGACTTCCTCTTTTCCTAATTGAATACCCTTTATTTCCTTCTCCCGCGTAATTGCCCTGGCCAGAACTTCCAACACTATGTTGAATAGGAGCGGTGAGAGAGGGCATCCCTGTCTTGTGCCAGTTTTCAAAGGGAATGCTTCCAGTTTTTGCCCATTCAATATGATATTGGCTGTGGGTTTGTCATAGATAGCTCTTATTATTTTGAAATACGTCCCATCAATACCTAATTTATTGAGAGTTTTTAGCATGAAGGGTTGTTGAATTTTGTCAAAGGCCTTTTCTGCATCTATTGAGATAATCATGTGGTTTTTGTCTTTGGTTCTGTTTATATGCTGGATTACATTTATTGATTTGCGTATATTGAACCAGCCTTGCATCCCAGGGATGAAGCCCACTTGATCATGGTGGATAAGCTTTTTGATGTGCTGCTGGATTCGGTTTGCCAGTATTTTATTGAGGATTTTTGCATCAATGTTCGTCAAGGATATTGGTCTAAAATTCTCTTTTTTGGTTGTGTCTCTGCCCGGCTTTGGTATCAGAATGATGCTGGCCTCATAAAATGAGTTAGGGAGGATTCCCTCTTTTTCTATTGATTGGAATAGTTTCAGAAGGAATGGTACCAGTTCCTCCTTATACCTCTGGTAGAATTCGGCTGTGAATCCATCTGGTCCTGGACTCTTTTTGGTTGGTAAGCTATTGATTATTGACACAATTTCAGAGCCTGTTATTGGTCTATTCAGAGATTCAACTTCTTCCTGGTTTAGTCTTGGGAGGGTGTATGTGTCAAGGAATTTATCCATTTCTTCTAGATTTTCTAGTTTATTTGCGTAGAGGTGTTTGTAGTATTCTCTGATGGTAGTTTGTATTTCTGTGGGATCGGTGGTGATATCCCCTTTATCATTTTTTATTGCGTCTATTTGATTCATCTCTCTTTTCTTCTTTATTAGTCTTGCTAGCGGTCTATCAATTTTGTTGATCCTTTCAAAAAACCAGCTCCTGGATTCATTAATTTTTTGAAGGGTTTTTTGTGTCTCTATTTCCTTCAGTTCTGCTCTGATTTTAGTTATTTCTTGCCTTCTGCTAGCTTTTGAATGTGTTTGCTCTTGCTTTTCTAGTTCTTTTAATTGTGATGTTAGGGTGTCAATTTTGGATCTTTCCTGCTTTCTCTTGTGGGCATTTAGTGCTATAAATTTCCCTCTACACACTGCTTTGAATGTGTCCCAGAGATTCTGGTATGTTGTGTCTTTGTTCTCGTTGGTTTCAAAGAACATCCTTATTTCTGCCTTCATTTCGTTATGTACCCAGTAGTCATTCAGGAGCAGGTTGTTCAGTTTCCATGTAGTTGAGCGGTTTTGAGTGAGTTTCTTAATCCTGAGTTCTAGTTTGATTGCACTGTGGTCTGAGAGACAGTTTGTTATAATTTCTGATCTTTTACATTTGCTGAGGAGTGCTTTACTTCCAACTATGTGGTCAATTTTGGAATAGGTGTGGTGTGGTGCTGAAAAACATGTATATTCTGTTGATTTGGGGTGGAGAGTTCTGTAGATGTCTATTAGGTCCGCTTGGTGCAGAGCTGAGTTCAATTCCTGGGTATCCTTGTGGACTTTCTGTCTTGTTGATCTGTCTAATGTTGACAGTGGGGTGTTAAAGTCTCCCATTATTATTGTGTGGGAGTCTAGGTCTCTTTGTAGGTCACTCAGGACTTGCTTTATGAATCTGAGTGCTCCTGTATTGGGTGCATATATATTTAGGATAGTTAGCTCTTCTTGTTGAATTGATCCCTTTACCATTATGTAATGGCCTTCTTTGTCTCTTTTGATCTTTGTTGGTTTAAAGTGTGTTTTATCAGAGACTAGGATTGCAACCCCTGCCTTTTTTTGTTTTCCATTTGCTTGGTAGATCTTCCTCCATCCTTTTATTTTGAGCCTATGTGTGTCTCTGCATGTGAGATGGGTTTCCTGAATACAGCACACTGATGGGTCTTGACTCTTTATCCAATTTGCCAGTCTGTGTCTTTTAATTGGAGCATTTAGTCCATTTACATTTTAAGTTAATATTCTTATGTGTGAATTTGATCCTGTCATTATGATGTTACCTGGTTATTTTGCTCGTTAGTTGATGCAGTTTCTTCCTAGCCTCAATGGTCTTTACAATTTGGCATGGTTTTGCAGCAGCTGGTACCAGTTGTTCCTTTCCATGTTTAGTGCTTCCTTCAGGAGCTCTTTTAGGGCAGGCCTGGTGGTGACAAAATCTCTCAGCATTTGCTTGTCTGTAAGGTATTTTATTTCTCCTTCACTTATGAAGCTTAGTTTGGCTGGATATGAAATTCTGGGTTGAAAATTCTTTTCTTTAAGAATGTTGGGAGGAGCCAAGATGGCCGAATAGGAAAAGCTCTGGTCTACAGCTCCCAGCGTGAGCGACGCAGAAGACGGGTGATTTCTGCATTTCCATCTGAGGTACCGGGTTCATCTCACTAGGGAGTGCCAGACAGTGGGCGCAGGCCAGTGGGTGCGCGCACCGTGCGCGAGCCAAAGCAGGGTGAGGCATTGCCTCACCTGGGAAGCGCAAGGGGTCAGGGAGTTCCCTTTCTGAGTCAAAGAAAGGGGTGACGGACGCACCTGGAAAATCGGGTCACTCCCACCCGAATATTGCACTTTTCAGACCGGCTTAAAAAACGGCGCACCACGAGACTATATCCCACACCTGGCTTGGAGGGTCCTACGCCCATGGAATCTCGCTGATTGCTAGCACAGCAGTCTGAGATCAAACTGCAAGGCGGCAGCGAGGCTGGGGGAGGGGCGCCCGCCATTGCCCAGGCTTGCTTAGGTAAACAAAGCAGCTGGGAAGCTCGAACTGGGTGGAGCCCACCACAGCTCAAGGAGGCCTGCCTGCCTCTGTAGGCTCCACCTCTGGGGGCAGGGCACAGACAAACAAAAAGACAGCAGTAACCTCTGCAGACTTAAATGTCCCTGTCTGACAGCTTTGAAGAGAGCAGTGGTTCTCCCAGCATGCAGCTGGAGATCTGAGAACGGGCAGACTGCCTCCTCAAGTGGGTCCCTGATCCCTGACCCCCGAGCAGCCTAACTGGGAGGCACCCCCCAGCAGGGGCACACTGACACCTCACATGGCAGGGTATTCCAACAGACCTGCAGCTGAGGGTGCTGTCTGTTAGAAGGAAAACTAACAAACAGAAAGGACATCCACACCGAAAACCCATCTGTACATCACCATCATCAAAGACCAAAAGTAGATAAAACCACAAAGATGGGGAAAAAACAGAACAGAAAAACTGGAAACTCTAAAACGCAGGGTGCCTCTCCTCCTCCAAAGGAACGCAGTTCCTCACCAGCAACGGAACAAAGCTGGATGGAGAATGACTTTGATGAGCTGAGAGAAGAAGGCTTCAGACGATCAAATTACTCTGAGCTACGGGAGGACATTCAAACCAAACGCAAAGAAGTTGAAAACTTTGAAAAAAATTTAGAAGAATGTATAACTAGAATAACCAATACAGAGAAGTGCTTAAAGGAGCTGATGGAGCTGAAAACCAAGGCTCGAGAACTACGTGAAGAATGCAGAAGCCTCAGGAGCCAATGCGATCAACTGGAAGAAAGGGTATCAGCAATGGAAGACGAAATGAATGAAATGAAGCAAGAAGGGAAGTTTAGAGAAAAAAGAATAAAAAGAAATGAGCAAAGCCTCCAAGAAATATGGGACTATGTGAAAAGACCAAATCTACATCTGATTGGTGTACCTGAAAGTGATGCGGAGAATGGAACCAAGTTGGAAAACACTCTGCAGGATATTATCCAGGAGAACTTCCCCAATCTAGCAAGGCAGGCCAATGTTCAGATTCAGGAAATACAGAGAACACCACAAAGATACTCCTCGAGAAGAGCAACTCCAAGACACATAATTGTCACATTCACCAAAGTTGAAATGAAGGAAAAAATGTTAAGGGCAGCCAGAGAGAAAGGTCGGGTTACCCTCAAAGGGAAGCCCATCAGACTAAAAGCGGATCTCTCGGCAGAAACCCTACAAGCCAGAAGAGAGTGGGGGCCAATATTCAACATTCTTAAAGAAAAGAATTTTCAACCCAGAATTTCATATCCAGCCAAACTAAGCTTCATAAGTGAAGGAGAAATAAAATACTTTACAGACAAGCAAATGCTGAGAGATTTTGTCACCACCAGGCCTGCCCTAAAAGAGCTCCTGAAGGAAGCACTAAACATGGAAAGGAACAACCGGTACCAGCCGCGGCAAAATCATGCCAAATTGTAAAGACCATCGAGACTAGGAAGATACTGCATCAACTAACGAGCAAAATCACCAGGTAACATCATAATGACAGGATCAAATTCACACATAACAATATTAACTTTAAATGTAAATGGACTAAATTCTCCAATTAAAAGACACAGACTGGCAAGTTGGATAAAGAGTCAAGACCCACCAGTGTGCTGTATTCAGGAAACCCATCTCACATGCAGAGACACACATAGGCTCAAAATAAAAGGATGGAGGAAGATCTACCAAGCAAATGGAAAACAAAAAAAGGCAGGGGTTGCAATCCTAGTCTCTGATAAAACACACTTTAAACCAACAAAGATCAAAAGAGACAAAGAAGGCCATTACATAATGGTAAAGGGATCAATTCAACAAGAAGAGCTAACTATCCTAAATATATATGCACCCAATACAGGAGCACCCAGATTCATAAAGCAAGTCCTGAGTGACCTACAAAGAGACTTAGACTCCCACACAATAATAATGGGAGACTTTAACACCCCACTGTCAACATTAGACAGATCAACAAGACAGAAAGTCCACAAGGATACCCAGGAATTGAACTCAGCTCTGCACCAAGCGGACCTAATAGACATCTACAGAACTCTCCACCCCAAATCAACAGAATATACATGTTTTTCAGCACCACACCACACCTATTCCAAAATTGACCACATAGTTGGAAGTAAAGCACTCCTCAGCAAATGTAAAAGATCAGAAATTATAACAAACTGTCTCTCAGACCACAGTGCAATCAAACTAGAACTCAGGATTAAGAAACTCACTCAAAACCGCTCAACTACATGGAAACTGAACAACCTGCTCCTGAATGACTACTGGGTACATAACGAAATGAAGGCAGAAATAAGGATGTTCTTTGAAACCAACGAGAACAAAGACACAACATACCAGAATCTCTGGGACACATTCAAAGCAGTGTGTAGAGGGAAATTTATAGCACTAAATGCCCACAAGAGAAAGCAGGAAAGATCCAAAATTGACACCCTAACATCACAATTAAAAGAACTAGAAAAGCAAGAGCAAACACATTCAAAAGCTAGCAGAAGGCAAGAAATAACTAAAATCAGAGCAGAACTGAAGGAAATAGAGACACAAAAAACCCTTCAAAAAATTAATGAATCCAGGAGCTGGTTTTTTGAAAGGATCAACAAAATTGATAGACCGCTAGCAAGACTAATAAAGAAAAAAAGAGAGAAGAATCAAATAGACACAATAAAAAATGATAAAGGGGATATCACCACTGATCCCACAGAAATACAAACTACCATCAGAGAATACTACAAACACCTCTACGCAAATAAACTAGAAAATCTAGAAGAAATGGATAAATTCCTCGACACATACACTCTCCCAAGACTAAACCAGGAAGAAGTTGAATCTCTGAATAGACCAATAACAGGAGCTGAAATTGTGGCAATTATCAATAGTTTACCAACCAAAAAGAATCCAGGACCAGATGGATTAACAGCCGAATTCTACCAGAGGTACAAGGAGGAACTGGTACCATTCCTTCTGAAACTATTCCAATCAATAGAAAAAGAGGGAATCCTCCCTAACTCATTTTATGAGGCCAGCATCATTCTGATACCAAAGCCGGGCAGAGACACAACCAAAAAAGAGAATTTTAGACCAATATCCTTGACGAACATTGATGCAAAAATCCTCAATAAAATACTGGCAAACCGAATCCAGCAGCACATCAAAAAGCTTATCCACCATGATCAAGTGGGCTTCATCCCTGGGATGGAAAGCTGGTTCAATATACGCAAATCAATAAATGTAATCCAGCATATAAACAGAGCCAAAGACAAAAACCACATGATTATCTCAATAGATGCAGAAAAGGCCTTTGACAAAATTCAACAACCCTTCATGCTAAAAACTCTCAATAAATTAGGTATTGATGGGACGTATTTCAAAATAATAAGAGCTATCTATGACAAACCCACAGCCAATATCATACTGAATGGGCAAAAACTGGAAGCATTCCCTTTGAAAACTGGCACAAGACAGGGATGCCCTCTCTCACTGCTCCTATTCAACATAGTGTTGGAAGTTCTGGCCAGGGCAATCAGGCAGGAGAAGGAAATAAAGGGTATTCAATTAGGAGAGGAAGTCACATTGTCCCTGTTTGCAGACGACATGATTGTTTATCTAGAAAACCCCATTGTCTCAGCCCAAAATCTCCTTAAGCTAATAAGCACCTTCAGCAAAGTCTCAGGATACAAAATCAATGTACAAAAATCACAAGCATTCTTATACACCAACAACAGACAAACAGAGAGCCAAATCATGAGTGAACTCCCATTCACAATTGCTTCAAAGAGAATAAAATACCTAGGAATCCTACTTACAAGGGATGTGAAGGACCTCTTCAAGGAGAACTACAAACCACTGCTCAAGGAAATAAAAGAGGATACAAACAAATGGAAGAACATTCCATGCTCATGGGTAGGAAGAATCAATATCGTGAAAATGGCCATACTGCCCAAGGTAATTTACAGATTCAATGCCATCTCCATCAAGCTACCAATGACTTTATTCACAGAATTGGAAAAAACTACTTTAAAGTTCATATGGAAGCAAAAAAGAGCCCGCATCGCCAAGTCAATCCTAAGCCAAAAGAAGTGTGCTGGAGGCATCACACTACCTGACTTCAAACTATACTGCAAAGCTACAGTAACCAAAACAGCATGGTACTGGTACCAAAACAGAGATATAGATCAATGGAACAGAACAGATCCCTCAGAAATAACGCCGCATACCTACAACTATCTGATCTTTGACAAACCTGAGAAAAACAAGCAATGGGGAAAGGATTCCCTATTTAATAAATGGTGCTGGGAAAACTGGCTAGCCATATGTAGAAAGCTGAAACTGGATCCCTTCCTTACACCTTATACAAAAATCAATTCAAGATGGATTAAAGATTTAAACATTAGACCTAAAACCATAAAAACCCTAGAAGAAAACCTAGGCATTACCATTCAGGACATAGGCATGGGCAAGGACTTCATGTCCAAAACACCAAAAGCAATGGCAACAAAAGCCAAAATTGACAAATGGGATCTAATTAAACTAAAGAGCTTCTGCACAGCAAAAGAAACTACCATCAGAGTGAACAGGCAACCTACAACATGGGAGAAAATTTTCGCAACCTACTCATCTGACAAAGGGCTAATATCCAGAATCTACAATGAACTCAAACAAATTTACAAGAAAAAAACAAACAACCCCATCAAAAAGTGGGCGAAGGATATGAACAGACACTTCTCAAAAGAAGACATTTATGCAGCCAAAAAACACATGAAAAAATGCTCATCATCACTGGCCATCAGAGAAATGCAAATCAAAACCACTATGAGATATCATCTCACACCAGTTAGAATGGCAATCATTAAAAAGTCAGGAAACAACAGGTGCTGGAGAGGATGTGGAGAAATAGGAACACTTTTACACTGTTGGTGGGACTGTAAACTAGTTCAACCATTGTGGAAGTCAGTGTGGCGATTCCTCAGGGATCTAGAACTAGAAATACCATTTGACCCAGCCATCCCATTACTGGGTATATACCCAAATGACTATAAATCATGCTGCTATAAAGACACATGCACACGTATGTTTATTGCAGCATTATTCACAATAGCAAAGACTTGGAACCAACCCAAATGTCCAACAATGATAGATTGGATTAAGAAAATGTGGCACATAAACACCATGGAATACTATGCAGCGATAAAAAATGATGAGTTCATGTCCTTTGTAGGGACATGGATGAAGTTGGAAATCATCATTCTCAGTAAACTATCGCAAGAACAAAAAACCAAACACCGCATATTCTCACTCATAGGTGGGAATTGAACAATGAGATCACATGGACACATGAAGGGGAATATCACACTCTGGGGACTGTGGTGGGGTGGGGGGAGTGGGGAGGGATAGCATTGGGAGATATACCTAAGGCTAGATGATGAGTTAGTGGGTGCAGCGCACCAGCATGGCACATGTATACATATGTAACTAACCTGCACAATGTGCACATGTACCCTAAAACTTAAAGTATAATAATAAAAAAAAAGAATGTTGAATATTGGCCCCCACTGTCTTCTGGCTTGTAGAGTTTCTGCTGAGAGATCTGCTGTTTGTCTGATGGGCTTCCCTTTGTGGGTAACTCGACCTTTCTCTCTGGCTGCCCTTAACATTTTTTCCTTCATTTCAACTTTGGTGAATCTGACAATTATGTGTCTTGGAGTTGCTCTTCTCGAGGAGTATCTTTGTGGTGTTCTCTGTATTTCCTGAATCTGAACATTGACCTGCCTTGCTAGATTGGGGAAGTTCTCCTGGATAATATCCCGCAGAGTGTTTTCCAACTTGGTTCCATTCTCCCTGTCACTTTCAGGTACACCAATCAGACATAGATTTGGCCTTTTCACATAGTCCCATATTTCTTGGAGGCTTTGTTCATTTCTTTTTATTCTTTTTTCTCTAAACTTCCCTTCTCACTTCATTTCATTCATTTCATCTTCCATCACTGATACCCTTTCTTCCAGTTGATCGCATCGGCTCCTGAGGCTTCTGCATTCTTCACGTAGTTCTCGAGCCTTGGTTTTCAGCTCCATCAGCTCCTTTAAGCACTTCTCTGTATTGGTTATTCTAGTTATACATTCGTCTAGATTTTTTTCAAAGTTTTCAACTTCTTTGCCTTTGGTTTGAATTTCCTCCTGTAGCTCGGAGTAGTTTGATTATCTGAAGCCTTCTTCTCTCAACTCGTCAAAGTCATTCTCCGTCCAGCTTTGTTCCGTTGCTGGTGAGGAACTGCGTTCCTTTGGAGGAGGAGAGGCACTCTGCTTTTTAGAGTTTCCAGTTTTTCTGCTCTGTTTTTTCCCCATCTTTGTGGTTTTATCTACTTTTGGTCTTTGATGATGGTGATGTACAGATGGGTTTTTGGTGTGGATGTCCTTTCTGTTTGTTAGTTTTCCTTCTAACAGACAGGACCCTCAGCTGCAGGTCTGTTGGAGTTTGCTAGAGGTCCACTCCAGACCCTGTTTGCCTGGGTACCAGCAGTGGTGTCTGCAGAACAGCAGATTTTCATGAACCGTGAATGCTGCTGTCTGATCGTTCCTCTGGAAGTTTTGACTCAGAGGAGTACTGGGCCGTGTGAGGTGTCAGTCTGCCCCTACTGGGGGGTGCCTCCCAGTTAGGCTGCTCGGGGGTCAGGGATCAGGGATCAGGGACCCACTTGAGGAGGCAGTCTGCCCGTTCTCAGATCTCTAGCTGCATGCTGGAAGAACCACTGCTCTCTTCAAAGCTGTCAGACAGGGACATTTAAGTCTGCAGAGGTTACTGCTGTCTTTTTGTTTGTCTGTGCCCTGCCCCCAGAGGTGGAGCCTACAGAGGCAGGCAGGCCTCCTTGAGCTGTGGTGGGCTCCACCCAGTTCGAGCTTCCCGGCTGCTTTGTTTACCTAAGCAAGCCTGGGCAATGGCGGGCATCCCTCCCCCAGCCTCGCTGCCGCCTTGCAGTTTGATCTCAGACTGCTGTGCTAGCAATCAGCGAGACTCTGTGGGCCTAGGACCCTCCGAGCCATGTGCGGGATATAATCTCCTGGTGTGCCATTTTTTAAGCCCGTCGGAAAAGCACAGTATTAGGGTGGGAGTGACCCGATTTTCCAGGTGCCATCTGTCACCTCTTTCTTTGACTAGGAAAGGGAACTCCCTGACCCCTTGCGCTTCCCGAGTGAGGCAATGCCTCGCCCTGCTTCGGCTCATGCATGGTGTGCTGCACCCACTGTCCTGTGCCCACTGTCTGGCACTCCCTAGTGAGATGAACCCGGTACCTCAGACGGAAATGCAGAAATCACCTGTCTTCTGTGTCGCTCACGCTGGGAGCTGTAGACCGGAGCTGTTCCTATTCAGCCATCTTGGCTCCCCAGCCCCTTGTTTTTTTTTTTTTTAATATGTTTATTTTAAGTACTACTGACAGATTTTATTATCTAAAACATGACATCTATTTTATGCTCACTTTATGAAATGAAATGGAAGTTACTCCCTATTATGTAGCAAATGATCATTAAACTCTTCTCAGTGACAACAGTCCACAAATTTCTAGTTGAACATTATATATATTCTATAACTCATGTTCTATTCCATTTTTCTCATTTTCCTTAATGTTTCCTACATATGAAATTCCTCTCTGCATCTTGGCTGTTGATTATTTAAGGCTGTTTCTCTCCAGATACAGGTTTCAGTAGTTCTATTAAATTTAGTGTTTAATTACTCTAGCATTGAATATCTTTCCCTTTCTTCACCTTCCATCCCTCAGAATTTCAAAACTAATAACTTTTCCCCTTTATTTTAGTTTTTAATTTAAATTTTTGGGAGAGATAATATATTTACAAGGTTTGAAATTCAAAAATATGAAAGAGTACACAGTGAAAAATCTCACTCCCATCTCTTTCCTCCCATATCCCTCCCCAGGGACTACCAATATTAATGGTTTCCTTCCAGAAATATTTATATGCAAATTATATATTTTCAAACTGTATGACAGATGATGATTTCCCTCCTAGAGCTTTTCTAAAATCCTTAAGAATAAAAGTGATAGCAATATTTTATTCTTAATTTTTTAGTGGAAAAAGGGATAAACCAGTTCAAGTACTAAAATTTTTGGTTTTGTGGAGATAGGTAAACCAGGGTGTTTTGTTTCAGTGGGATTGTTTTCAGTGTGTTGAAAAGTGTTCAAAGAAACAGATTGTTAGTGGGAAGGGAAAACATGGCTTGAAAACAAAAAGAATTCAGGCTTTATTCATTAATCATTCCAGCAATGTGGACAACTATTATTTAAAAAGCATAAAAGTGGGTAACATAGATAGTGTCTGCTCTTAAAATTCAGAGAAAATCATGTCTCCCTAGAAATGTAGTTAGATCATGAGATTAATTTTCAGAGCATAGGACTCTTAACTGATCTGTGAATCACATATACATTTTGAATCGTCACAAGGCAGAAAAAGCAAGCTTAATGAGGGAAGAATATGTGAATAATGATTGGATTTAGGAATACACTGGAGTTTTGAGTAAATATTACTTACTAATGGAATGCAAACTCACATATACTATCTATTTTTTCAGACCAATGACTGTATGTGTGGCCTATGAAGTTGGTGGGCTCAAGAGTGTTAAAGATAACATTTTCAGCACAGGCATGAACTTTTTACATTGAAGAGTAGGAGCTGTAACTAAATATTTTTGGCTCCAGTAAAAGGTTTGTGTTTGTGTGCATGTGTTTTTGTGTGTGTGTGTATATGTGTGTGTGTGTGCATGTATGTGTGTTTGTGTGTGTATGCTAAATGAAGTACAAAGTTCAAAAAAGTTCCTCATCTGTGCCTATGAATTGACATGCTTAAGAATAAATGAAAGGAGATTTATGGATATAAGAGTATAGCATAAGAGTGAAAGTATAGTGGAGTTTTGGGGACAAGGTGCTGGATGCCAGTATTTTAGCCTGGGCTACAAGAGGAAAACAAATGGGATTTTATGATCAGATCATGCTCAGTATCTTCAAACTTGGTAGAATAGAATAATGGTGTAATTCAGGGGTCTCCAACCTCCAGATCACAGACTTGTACCAGTGGAAGATAGTCCGTGGCCTGTGAGGAACCAGGCGGCACAACAGGAGGTGAGCAGTGGGGCCGGAAAGCGAAGCTTCATTTGTATTTACAGCTGCTCCCTATCACTCACATTACCACCTGAGCTCCCCGTCCTGTCAGATCAGTGGGGGTATTAGATTCTCATAGGAGTGCAAACTCTATTGTGAACTGAGAATGCGAGGGATCTAGGTTGTGCACTCCTTATGAGAATCTAATGCCTGATGATCTGTCACTGTCTCCCATCACCCCCAGATGGAACCATCTAGTTTCAGGAAAACAAGCTCAGGGCTCCCACTGCATTATGGTGAATTTTATAATTATTTCATTATATATGACAGTGTAATAATAATAGAATAGAAATAAAGTGCACAGTGAATCTAATGCACTGGAATCATCCCGAAACCATCCCCCCTCCCTGGTCCATGGAAAAATTGTCTTCCACAAAACTAGTCCCTGGTGCCAAAAAGGTTGGGGACTGCTGGTGCAATTTATGCATTTTATAAATATTGAAAACCTGCTATAGTTCATCTTCTGTAAAAATAATTGAAATATTAGTGATTTCCTCTTCTTGGTAAGTTGATTTATTTATTACTTAGGGTAAAACTGAGCTGCTATAAGAACTAACTGGGTACTAGATAGCCTATGTAAATGGAGACAGGCTGGCTTGGTTTAAATCCAGTCTACTTGACACAGGACCCATGTCATCTTGGGCAAAGTATTTACCCATTCTGAGCTTCAGCTGTTTCTTCTGAAAGCATGTATAATAATATCTACCTCAGAGGGTTGCTATGAAAGTTAAATGAGTTTAAATATATGTATTATGTATTAATACTTTTATATTACTTAGAAAAGTACCTGGCATGTTGTAAGTGCTGTTTAAGTGTACAGCATATAATAAGAATCATCATTATCATCATCATCATGTGATTTCTCTGTGTTCAGTCTGGATAAGTTGCATACGGCTTCTCTATACTAAGCTAACTGTTCTATGTTTCAATTTCACCTTCTTTTTCTCCTTTTAGGAGGGAAGTGTGGGATTGAAATTCTTTAATAGTAAATTTCTGTTAAAAGCTTTATTTCACAATAAGAGAGTAGGTGAATTCAAGAGGGACAATTCATTGTTTCCATTTTTAATGAAAACTGTGGCAAGATGATGAACAGATAGAGATGTAAGGAAAACCAAAATAGACCTTTGAGTCATTTGCTTTCATCAACAGTAACATATTGAATAATGAAAAAGATTATGAATATAAGTACATTGGAAAAACAATTCACATGAGCCCATATCTAATTAGTTCACAGAAGCCATCCCTTAAATATGATTCATTTGGAAAGGATTTGAAACATAATTAAAACTTATAAGTCCCAATAGAAGCAATGCAAGAAAAACCTTGAGATTATTAATTATAGTCAAATTTTACTTACAGCTTCTTATACTATGTTAATTCTCATACAGGTGAGAAATTTTGTGAACCTAATCAATGTAGAAAAGTCCTCAGTGACAAATTTGGATGAAGAATGTGTCCATTCTTCATCCAAAATTTCTCACTGGGAGGATAGCCTATGTAGGCAATGAATGTGAAAAAGTCTTCCCTCAGAAGTCACACATCTTCACACATCAGACTTTTCATTCTGGGGAAAAGCCCAACGAATGCAGAGAAAATGAGAACGCTTTCACCCAGTAGTCAATATTCAGTTTGCAACAGAGAATTCACACCGAAGAGAAACCCTATATATGCACTGAATGTGGGCAGGCCTTCATCCAAAAGACACACTTGATTGCACATCAGAGAATATATAGTGGAGAGAAGCCTTTTGAATGCTGTTACTGTGGGAAAGCCTTTCATTCCAAATCCCAAGTGAATGAGCATGGGAAAACCCACACAGGAGAAAAACCCTATACAGGCACAAAATGTGTGAAGGTCTTCTCCAAAAGATCCAATCTCCTTGCACACCAGAAGACTCATACTGTAGAGAGCTTATGTCTGTACTGAATGTGGAAAGGCCTTTACTTACAAATTGGTCTTGATTACACATCAAAGATGAGAAACTTTATGAATGCGGCAACTGTGGGAAAACCTTTACTCAGAAGTCTCACCTCAACATACATCTGAATTTTCACACTGGAGAGAAACCCAGTGTATGTACCTGAACATGAAAAAGCCTTCAACCATAAGTCAAACTTAATCACACATTAAAAAGTTCATGTTAGGGAAAAACTCAATGAATGCAGTGATTGTGGGAATTCTTTCAAGTCACAGCTCCATGAGAATCAACAAAGTCATGCAGGAGAGAGACCCTATGCATGCACTAAATGTGGGAAGGCCTTCAAAAAACCACATCTCCTTGCACGTCAGAAAACTCATATTGGAGCAAAATCCCATGATCTGGTTTGGATCTGTGTCCCCACCCACATATCATGTTGAATTGTAATCCCCACTGTTAGAGGAGGGGCCTGGTAGGAGGTGATTGGATCATTGGGGGCAGAGTTCTCATGAATAGTTTAGCACCATCCCTGCTGGGTACTGTCTAGTGAGCGAGTTCTCATGAGATCTGGTTATTTAAAAGTGTGTAGCTCCTCCCCACTTGTTCTTTCTTCCTCCTGCTCCGGCCATGTAAGACATGCCTGCTTCCCCTTCACCTTCCATCATGATTGAAAGTTTCCTGAGGCCTCTTTAGAAGCTGAGTTGATGCCAGAATTATGCTTCCTCTACAGACTGCAGAACTGTGAGCCAATTAAACCTCTTTTCTTTATAAATTACCCAGTCTCATGTGTTTCTTTATAGCAGCGCGAGAATGGACTAATACATCCCATATATGTATGTCCTGAGTGTGAGAAGGCCTTCACATGCAAGTCAGTTTTGATTACATATCAAAGAGAATTTACACTGGAGAGAAGCCTTATGAGTAGAGTGACTGTGGGAAAGCCTTCACACACACACACACACACACACACACACACACACACCACTAGCTTCAGCAGCAGCAGCAAATTCACACAGGAGAAAAGCCCTATGTATATACCGAGTGTGACAAGGCCTTCACCAACAAGTCAAGTTTGAATAAGCACCAGATTACTCTTTCTCCAGCTAAACCTTATAAATGCAGTGACTGTGGGAAAGGCTGCACCCAGAGATTAGCTTTCAATATGCATCCAAGTATTCCTACCTAAAAGAAAATCTGCATGTTTCTTGAATATGAGAAAGCCTTCTCAGAGAAGTTGGATCTAAGTGTATGCTGTAGAATGCCTGCAGCAGAAAAACCATGTGAATATATTCATGAGCCAAGTTAAGAGGAGAAGCCCTAAGAATGCATCAGAGCAGCATCTTTCCATATTTGCACGTCCTCACTATGTGGAGTATACACTGTTGGTGCCTCACCCTGATCCCCTTGACTGGCCAGGGCATCCATTTTCTAACTGCTGCAAGTGCTGTAGCAAACAGCTTATACCTGTAACTTTTTCCAGAGCATTGCCTTTGGTTTTCCGTAGTGCCAACATGCCTGGAGATGGTTATACTACCCTCCTAGGGAGTAGCCAGTGAGTGATTTATAAAAGGATACAAGAGCCCAAGTTCCTCCCTCAAGGCAGAACAACTTTGCAGTGAAATTTACAATCCAGAGGCTCCTCCCCCTCTCCACACTCCTCTGCCCTGCATGGGGCCAAGGCTTGACTCTACATGAAACCACGTCCTTGTGATGACTCCTCTTTCCCTATCCTTCTCTTATTCCCTTACAGGTTCCACCATGAAGAACATATAAATCATATGCTTCCAGATGCCTTTCTTAGCCTCTGTGTATAGAAGGGAACCTGACCGGAGATGGTATCATAGAATTCATAGAACCCAACTGAGGAGAAATTGTTCAAGTTTAATCCTTTAGGAAAAGACTTCCCACAAAAAGCGCTATAACATAAATTGATTCCAAACTCCTTATAAAAAAGGAATATGGAAAATTATGTAAATGCTTTTCCTGTTTTCTGTGAAATTTTAAGTATTTTATAGTGTCAACAAACGAAGTTGTAGGACAACCAACTAGTATGTCTGATATGGACATACCCTGAATTCAAGAGAATATGTTTCATAATACACTGCACAACAGAAGGTATAGTATGTGTTTTAAATATTTTTGTAATATGATATAATTGTACCTGTCAAATATGTTCCCTAGTGTGTATTTCTAGCAAGAGATTCCACAATAAAACCATGATTTTGATTCCTTTATATATATAGGTTCTGTTTTTATGTAAATGTGTAAATATAATCCTATCATACTAGCTTTTATTTCACAATACTTTTTCTCTTCTTTCTGTAGACATTCATGTGAATGCCTAAACACAATGCTATTATTCTTTCTTATTACTAGTACATAATAATTGGATATATTTATGGAGTACATGTGATACTTTGATACACGCATACAACACATAATGATCAAATCAGGGTAATTGGTATATCCATCACCTCAAACATTTATCTTCTCTTTGTGTTTGGAATCTTGCAAGTCTTTTCTTCTTGATATTTTGAAATATAAAGTAAATGATTAACTGTAGTCACTTTATTGCGCTATTGAACACTAGAACTTACTCCTATCTAACTGTATGTTTGTATCCATTAACCAACCTCTATTTATCCCCCTTACCCTTCCCAGCCTCTGATATCTATAATTCTACTCTTTACCTCTAGGAGATCGACTTTTTTAGCTACCACGTGAGTGAGAACATGGGATATTTGTCTTTCTGTGCCTGGCTTATTTCTTTCTTTTTTTTTTTTTGAGATGGAGTATCACTCTGTCACTCAGGCTGGAGTGCAGTGGCACAATGTTGGCTCACTGCAACCTCTGCCTTTCAGGTTCAAGCAATTCTCTTGCCTCAACCTCCCAAGTAGCTGGGACTATAGGCCCATGCCACCACGCCCAGCTAATTTTTGTATTTTTAGTAGAGACAGCATTTCACCACATTGGTCAGGCTGATCTTGAACTCCTGGCCTCAGGCAATCCACCCACCTCGGCCTCCCAAAGTGCTGGGATTACAGGCGTGAGCCACCGTGCCCAGCCCGACTTATTTCATTTAACATTAAGACCTCCACTTCCATTCATGTTGCTACAAATGACAGGATTTCATTCTTTTATGGCTGAATAGCATTCCACAATAGTATCATTCTTATTAGATTTTAATATGTAGTACTTTTAATCTTCTTTTTATTTGCTCAACTTCCTCATCCTTTTATTCTACCTTCACTAATACCTGCAATCCTCCCTACAGATCACCAGTGCAAACCGTCATGTATGAACCATTTCACTCTTATTTTCATGTTTGTAATACACACACGTGCACACACATACACTTCTCCTATATTACATACATACATTCTTTTTGGATGTTTTACAAAAGTGAGATTATATTATGCTCAATTCTCTGCAACTTGATTTTTTCACTCAATAATACTTTTTAAATAGTGACAGAAAACTCCAACATGGTAGAATTTTTCCATTCCCTGCAATTATTTATCTGTTGGGTAAGTGCCAAATTTATTCTCCAGTATTTAGAGAACTGACTGAGGTTTGTCTAATCTAAGTTGCGCCCCACTGTTGGCACTGCAGCTGAGGCAACTATGCTCTACATGTCTTCCATTCTGGAGCTGAGACTGGGAGGCAGCAATTACCTATGTATCCTCTTATAGTGGTGCAAAGGGGCAAGAAGGCAAGCCAGTACAGGCAAAGCCTTGTAAGGCCTAGCCTCAGAAATGACATATTACTTCTACCCATATGCCATTAAGCAAAGCAAATCACATGGGCAAGCACAAAGCCAAGGGGGAAAGGGTATGGACACAGGGAGGAGGGAAAAATTGGGACCAATCATTCAATCTCCCAGAACTCAATGAATGGTCACTCACCCCTTTCCCTGACTTTTTTCTAATAAATATCCTAGAAAGTTAGCATAGCATAGTAGTTAAATGCATCAACTCAGAAACCAAATTGCCTAAGATTTATAAGGGAAAATAAACATGAAGGAATAACTATAAGCCACCCCCCAAAAAATGTAATGATGGTGATTAACCCCACCAGGTATTAAAACATACTATAAAGCCTCTATAATTAAAACTATGTGGTAATGTCACATGAGTACACAAGCCAGTGAAATAGAGTAAAAGGTCCAGAAATAGATCCAAATACAGAATAAATTTTTGTATATGATTGAAATGGCATCTCAAATCATAAGAGGCAAAGATGAACTTTTACATAAATGATGTTGTTTCCTAGGATTGCAGTAACAAATTACCACAAACTGGGTGGCTTAAAACAACAGAAATTTATTTTCTCACAGCTCTGGAGGCTAGAAGCAAAAAATCAAGATGTCATCAGAGCTGATTCCTTTTAGAGGCTCTGGGGGAGAATCTATTCTATGCCTCTCTCCTATTACATGCCTCTCCTAGCTTCTGGTAGCTCCAGTGATCTTTGCCATTCCTTGATTTGTAGACGCAGCACTCCAATCTCTGCCTCTGTCTTTACATCACCCTCTCTGTTTCTTTTTCCTCTTCTGTCTGTTATAAGAACACTTGTTATTGGATTTAGGGCCCACTGGCTTAAGCCAGGATGATCTCATCTCAAGATCCTTAAGTTCATTATATTTGCAAAGATCCTTTTCCCAGGTTCTGGGGACACATCTTTTAGGGAGACAGCAACCCACTAGACATGGCCATTTAGAAACAGATTAAATTGGATACACATCTCACACCATACACGAGAACAAACTCCATATGGATCAGAGATTTAAATGTAAAAATGAAATAATATACAAGTATTAGAAAAAAACTTGGGCATATTCCTTTCTAGCCCAGATTAGCTGTGCCTTAAAGTACAGATACCTCAGAGAAATAAATTAGTTAATAGATGTAAAGCATTTAGAACAATGCATGCAATCAGTCAATGCTTGATGAATAGTGGACATGTCCCTAAGATTCTCAGAGGTCGTTTGCTTCTCCTTCACCTTGATTTCTCCTTCCATCTCCCTGTGGTAGCACTCAGGGGTGGAACTTTACCATCTTGACTTCTCCCCTCTCTCCCCCAGTGGTAACACCCACATGGGGACTGTATTACCCTGAACTCACTCATAACCACAAGGATTATTTACCCAGAGGGATATATATCACCCTGACATCTCCCCCATCTTCTCCAGTGGTATTTCCCAGTAGTTTACAGTACCTCTCTGACTTCCCCATTCTCTCCAGTGATATCATTCAGAAGAGGATGGCTCTATCCCGAATTTTTACCTCTGTCCCACAGTTGTATCTCTTAGGAGATCATTTATCTGCCTTGCCCCATGCCATAAACTGAGGGGACACTTAAGCTTCTATAAATACCACAGATCCCTATAGCTCAAATCTAAACACTCCTACTCCAGGAATCCTGCCTAGAGAAGGCCAACACCTCTAATCCCTGAACCCTTTGTTAAAACAAGCAAGGCAGCTTCCTTCTCTGTATGTAATGGATACTTTTCCAAGAAGGCAGCCCCCATGGGGGAGCTCCCATAAACTCTACCATGTTCCCTGCCCACAAACACCACTTATGGAGACCAAACACAGACTATCTGTACCATACTGACTGTTGGCCAAGTGTGGTGTCAATGTTCCTAAGTATGTGCAAAACCACAGCTTCAGAAGGTGTGGTGCTAGGGGTGAGCTCCCAAAGTAACAGCGGCTTTCAGTGTAGGAGTTAGTGCTACTGCATGGAAGATATCCAAGGTTTCAAAGGTTTAGCACCTAAGGAGTATTGAGATGACTTGAGGCATGGGGGGATAAAAGGGATTTGTGGGGCAGTAATAAATTTCAAAAAAATTTTATAGGACTTCCAGTTTCAGCTTGGAGTCATATAAAGCTGAAAAGACATTACTGCCATTCTTACAACAAGAAAAAACTGGATAAGTTGGAAATTAATAACCCATTAGAAACCATCAGAAGACTGAAGTCATGGGACAAGCAACTATTGTATTATAAAATCTTGAGAGAGACAGGCACCTTCAGGGGAAAACAGAACACAAACATTTGCTTACTTGGGGCAGATGCCAACTGAATGCCGTATAAACTAGTAGGAAATTTAACTAGAACTTTCAATGAATTGCTAAGGGCCAAGTGTGGGCTAGTGTAAGGTTGTGAAGTTCCTGGGGGAGGTGCTACAAACGTGGTGGGGTTTCTACCCTTTTGCAGGCTTTTCCTCCAGAAGCCCCATAAGAAAGAATCCAGTGAAATACAATAAATAAAAAGAGCATAACAGAAATAAAGAATGCCTTCAATGAGTTCATCAGTAGACTTGACACAGTCAAGGAAAGAAATCAGTGAACTTGAAGATAGGACAATAGAAATTATCCAAATTGAAACACAAAGAGAAAAGTGTATGAAGAAAACAGAACAGAGAGTCCAAGAGCTATAAGTCAACATCAAATGATGCAATATATGTGTAATTTTAATTCCAGAGGAAAAGAAAGACAGAATGGAGCTGAAGAAAATTTGGAAGAACATAATGGCCATAATATTTTCAAAAGTAGTAGCAGACGCCAAACCACAGACCCAAGAAGCTCAGAGAACACCAAGCAGGACAAACAAACAAACCCACACCTAGATATATAATATTTGAACTGCTGAAAACCAGACAATGAGAAAACCTTGAAGGCAATGAGAAGGAAAAAACACCTTACTATGGGAAAACAAAGATAAGAATTACAGCAGGCTTCTTGTGAGGACCACACAGCTAAAAACCAATAAGGTGACACCTTTAAATTGTTTGAAGAAAAATGTTAATTTAGAATTTTCCAGTGGAAATATCCAATGGAAGGAGAAATAAAGATTTTTTTCAGGAAAACATAAACTGACACAATTCATTGCCAGCAGGATTAACCTATGATAAATATCAGAGGAATTTTTTTTAAGTTTTATTTTGGGTTCACAGCTACATGTGAAGGTTTGTTACATAGGTAAACTCATGTAACAGGGGTTTGTTGTTCAGATTATTTCATCACCCAGGTATTAAGCCCAGTACCCAACAGTTATCTTTTCTGCTCCTCTCCCCCCTCTCACCCTACACCCTCAAGTAGACCCCAGTGTGTATTGTTTTCTTCTTTGTGTTCATACGTTCTCAACATTTAGCTCCCACTTATAAATGAGGACATGCGGTATTTGGTTTTCTGTTCCTGTGTTAGTTTGCTAAGGATAATGGTCTGCAGCTCCCTCCACGTTCCTGCAAAAGACATGATCTCATTCTTGTTTATGGCTGCATGGTTTTCCATGGTGTATATGTACCACCTTTTCTTTATCCAGTCTACCATTGATGGGAATTTAGGTTGATTCCATGTCTTTGCTATTGTGAATAGTGCTGCAATGAACATTCACGTGCATGTATCTTTATGGTAGAATTATTTATATTCCTTTGGGTATGTACCCAGTAATGGGATTGCTGGGTCGAATGGGAGTTCCTCTTTTTGCTCTTTGAGGAATCACCATGCTGTTTTCCACAACGGTTGAACTAATTTACACTCCCACCAACAGTGTATAAGCAAGCATTCCCTTTTCTCTGCAACTTCACCAGCATCTGTTATTTTTGACTTTTCAATAATAGTCATTCTGACTGATGTGAGATGGTATCTCGTCGTGGTTTTGATTTGCGTTTCTCTAATGATCAGAGATACTGAGCTTTTTCCATATGCTTGTTGGCTTCATGTATGTCTTCTTTTGAAAAGTGTCTGTTCATGTCCTTTGCCTACTTTTTAATGGGGTTGTTTGTTTTTCTACTGTAAATTTCTTTACATTTCTTTAAATTTCTTTACATTTCTTTACATTTCTTTAAATTTTCTCCCATTCTGTAGGTTGTCTGTTTACTCTGTTGATAGTTTATTTTGCTGTGCAGAAGCTCTTTAGTTAAATTTGATCCCATTTGTCAATTTTTGCTTTTGTTGCAATTGTTTCTGGTGTCTTTATCACGAAATCTTTGCCCATGCCTATGTCCTGAATGGTATTGCCTAGGTTTTCTTCTGGGGTTTTTATAGTTTAGGGTTTACATTTAAGTCTTTAATCCATCTTGAGTTAATTTTTTTATATGATGTAAGGAAGGGGTCCAGTTTCAATCTTCCGCATATGGCTAGCCAGTTATTTCTTGTATTCTGCTAGTTTGGGGATTGATTTGTTATTGCTTCTCTAATTCTTTCAGTTGTAATGATAGATTGTTAATTTAAGATCTTTCTAACTTTTTGATGTGGGCATTTAGTGCTATGAATTTCCCTCTTAACATTGCCTTAGCTGTGTCCCAGAGATTCTGGTATGTTGTATCTTTGTTCTAATTAGTTTCAAAGAACTTCCTGATTTCTGCCTTAATTTCATTATTTACCCAAAAGTCACTCAGGAGCATGTTGTTTAATTTCCATTTAGTTGCATGGTTTTGAGTGATTTTCTTAGTTTTGATTCTATTTTTATTTCACTGTGGTCTGAGAGTGTGTTTGGTATTATTTTGGTTCTTTTGCATTTGTTGAGAATTGTTTTATGTCCAATTATGTGGTCAGTTATAGAGTATGTGCCACGTGGTGATGAGAAGAATGTGTATGCTGTTGTTCTGGGGTGGAGAGTTCTGTAGAGGTCTATCAGATCCATTTGGTCCAATGTTGAGGGTCTCCGCTCCTTCATTAGTCCAAGGTTAGCAAGGGCAGTTCCACTGCAGAGGCAGTGGCAGAGAAGCTTTCAGTTGCGCCTGGAGGCTCTGTCCAGGGAGTTGCACAGCTGCTACTGGCTCGATAGCTCTGGCAGGAAGTGGCTGGAAGCCCAGGCCTAGAGGATCTGCCTGGTGAGGAGATACGGGAACGGGCACCCTCATAACAATCTGGCCACTTTTTCACAGGGCTGCTGCAGTTTTCCGGGGGCCCGCTCCAGTGCCTTGTCGCCTCAGATTTTCCAGTATCTGGAAGTATCATCAGTGAAGGCTGCAAAACAGCAAAGATGGTGGCCTGCCCCTCTGTCTGGGAGGTCTGTCTCAGGGAGGTACCAACCTGCTGCCAGCCCGAATGCACCTGTAGGAGGTGGCTGGAGACCCTGATTGGCAGATCCCACTCAGTGAGGAGGAACAGGATTTGGGACCCACTTAAAAAAACAAGCTGGCCATGTTTTTGTAGAGCAGCTGTGCTGTGCTAGGGGTCCACTTCAGCACCTGGTTGCCTCAGACACCCCAAAACCCGAAGGCTGGAACAGCTAAGTCACCCAAACAGCAAAGATGGTGGCCAATCCCTCCCTCTGGGAGCTCCATCCCAGGGAGTTTTCAAATTTCTGTCCACTGGAGAACACCGGGCAGGTGGGGGTGGGGGGGACTGGGAGGGGGGCAGGGTGACTGGAGGCCCCGGTTGGGAGATCCTGCCCAATGAGGAAAAATGGGATTGTGGACCAGCTTAAAAAAGCAGTCTGGCCACATTTTCATAGAGCAGCTGTACTGTTCTGGGGGATCTCTTCCACCCCAGTCAGCTTGGAGCCTCCAAAGTTGGAAGGCTGGAATGGCTAAGGTACCTGAAAAGCAAAGATGGTAGCCTGCCCCTCCCCCTAGGAGCTCTGTCCCCTACTGCTACTGGTGGCTGGCTGGAATTCTAAGCCAGTGGGTCTTATTCTATGAGGTGCCCTGAGGTGGGGCCTGTGAACTGTCACTGCTCAACCCCCTGGATTCAGCCTCTTTCCTAGGGGTATTTATGGGGGTCTAACCTCCTGCTTTTGCCAGGAAGCCCAGAAAGCCCAAGTATCTATGGCTTCCAGGTCTCTGCATGTGCCTGAGTGGCTGCTCTGCTGAGAATCCAAATAGCTCTGTGTGTCAGAGTGAAGGCCCTGGTGGAGTGGGTTCACAAGGGGATCTCCTGACCAGAAGGTTGCACATTCACTCATGGCTTACCTGGGCAGGGGAGGTTGCCCTGGCTCTGTGTCGCTCCTGGGTGGGCTTGCTTTTCTCCGTTCTCCGTGGGTCAAGTTGTTTCCTTGATTAGTCCCAATGCATGTACCTGGATGTTTCAGTTGAAGGTGCTGTATTTACTCATCCCTTCCGTTCCTCTCAGTGGGAGCCCTGCACACTAGCTCCTTCTAGTTGGCCACCTTGTCAAAGGAAATTTTTAAGTGGGAAGCAATATGCTATAGGTCAGAAACTTGGATCTACATAAATAAATAAAGTGTCAGAGCACACATGGACATAAATATGGGAACAATAGACACTGTGAACCACTAGAGGGTGGAGGGGAGACGGTTAAAAAGGTAACTTTTGGGTACTATGCTCACTACCTGGGTGATGGGATTCATACTCCAAACCTCAGCATCATGCAATATTCCCATGTAACGAATCTGCACATGTACCCCTGTATCTAAAATAAAAGTTGAAAAATTTTAACAAGAAATGAAATAAATGAAGGTAAAATGCGATATTATTTTCCATATTTGTAATTGATCTAAAATATGATTGGCCATTAAGCAGTAAAGTAACAGTGTATTGAACATTTATAGCATCTGTAAATGTGAAATGTACTGTCATAAGGTCCTTATACTACATGTGAAGCATTACAGTATTATTTGAATATGGACCCAGATTATATTAAAACATATATATTAGGAAACATTTCAAGGTTTACTGTGATACAATGAAAGTAAGTACAGATCACGGTGGAAGACTTCCAGCCAAGTGGTAAGATACTGCCTTACTGCAGTCACAGCACAGATACAGCAGAAAGGAGCAAGTATTTTGATCTATTTCATCATTGGCTGTTATACATTAGCATTCTTTTTAGGGCAAGTAGAACGGTGTAAGCTGACTTGTGTATAGCTGATTGGTTTCATTTCTTTGAATCACACTAACAAGGATGTCCAAAAGCTTACATTTTGTATTTTGTTGATGATTAGAGTCCGTGTTGTGGGGAAATAAAGATGACTTACATTTTGGTTAAGTGATTATGGGTGGTTGGTCTTGGGGAATATTTATACTGTAGCCTCCATTTTAATTTTATAAAACATATATTTTAAACCCTAGGACAACCACTTTAAAAGTCTTTAAAGCCAAGCTTAGTGGCTCATGCCTGTAATCCCAGCACTTTGAGAGGCCAAGCCAGATGGATCACCTGAGGTCAGGAGTTCAAGACCAGCCTGGCCAACATGGTGAAACCCCGTCTCCATTAAAAATACAAAAAAATTAGCCAGGCGTGGTGGCGGGCACGTGTAATCCCAGCTACTTGGGAGGCTGAGGCAGGAGAATCGCTTGAACCTGGGAGGCAAAGGTTGCAGTGAGCCAAGATCACACCATTGCACTCCAGCCTAGGCAACAAGAGTGAAATTCCATCTCAAAAAAAAAGTGTTTAAAATAAGTATAAGTAGTAAGTCAATGCAATCATAGATAATAGTCAATAAAAAATAGAGAAGGCAGAAAAAGAGGAAAAAAGAAACAAAGAACAAATGCAACAAAGAAAAAATAACTAGTGTGATGGTAGATTTTAATCTAACTATACCAATATTACATTAAATGTGAAGAGGTTAAACATACCATTTAAGAGGCAGATATTTTCAGATTAGATAAAGAAGCAAGATCCAACTGTATACTGTCTTTAAGAAAAACACTTTAAACATGAAGGTTTAGATCATTTAAAAGTAAAGATATGGAGAAAGATATATTATGCAAACACTGAACAAGAGAAAGTTGGAGGGGCTATATTAATTTCAAAGTAAACTTCAGAACAAGGAAGATTATCGGGGATAAAGAGGAACATTGCATAATGATAAAGGGATCAAGTCTTCAAGAAGACATAACAATCTTAAATGTGCATGCAACTAACAACAGAGATGCAAAATACATGGGAGAAAAGCTGATGGAAATGAAAGGAGAAATAGATAAATACACAGTTAAAGTTAGAGAGTTCAACATTCCTCTCTCAGTAATTGACAGGGCACATAAGCAGAAAATAAGTAAGCCTATAACTAACCCAAACAGCACTATCAACCAACTTGGCTGAATTGACACATATAGAATACTCCACCAAATAACAACAAATTACACATCTTCTCAAGTTCCTATGGAATATGCACTAAGATTGACCATATTGTGGGCCATAAAACAAGCCTTAACAAATTAAAAAATAAAAACCATACAAAGAATATTCTCAGATCACAGCAGAGCTAAAATAAAAATCAATAACAGAAATATATCTGGAAAAATCTCCCAAATATTTGGAAATTAAACAATATACTTCAAAATAAATTTGAAATTTCAAGAGAAATTTAAAATATGTTGAATTAAACGAACATGAAAATACAACTTATCAAAATTTGCGGAATGAAGAGAAAGCAGAGAGTAAAGGGGAATTTATAATATTAAATGCATATATTAGAAAATGGGAATTACCTTAACTAGTAACAGACATTTATACATTAGAAAACAAGAAAAAAGAGCAAAGTAAACCTTATGCAAAAGGAAAGAAATAATAAAAAATTAGAGCTGAAATCAACAAAATTAAAACAGGAAATATAAAAAGAAATCAATACAACAAAAAGGTGACTGAAAATATAAAATTGATAGACTTTTAACCAAGCTAACCAAGAAAAACAGAAGACACTAACTACCAATATCAGAAATAAAAGGGTACATCACTACTAACATAATAGACATCAAAAGGATAATAGAGACTACCACAGACAATGGTAGGTCTATAAATTTAATAACTTAGATGAAATAGACCAATTCTTTAAAAGACAAAATCTACCAAAACTCACTGAAGAAGACACAGATAACTTGAATAGCTCAATATCTATTAAATAAATTAAATTTGTAGCTAGAAACCTTCAAAGAAAAAAAAACTGTAAGCCCAGATAGCTTTATTGGTGAATTCTATCAAATATTAAGAAAGAAATAATACTAAATCTACACAATGTCTTCAGAGAAAAGGAGGAAACACTTCCCAACTCACTTTATTAGATAATTTTTACATGAATACCAAAACCAAATAAAGGCATTACAAAAAAGGAAAACTACACACCATTATCTTTCATGAATATAGATACAAAAGTCCTTAGCAAAATATTAGTACATTGAATCCAGCAATATATCAAAAAAGATAATACATCAAAAATAGTTAGATTCATTCCAGGAATGCAAGACTTGTTCAACATTCAAAATCAATCAATGTGGGCCCAGCACGGTGGCTCACGCCTGTAATCCCAGCACTTTGGGAGGCCGAGGCGGGCGGATCACCCGAGGTCGGGAGTTTGAGACCAGCCTGACCAACATGGAAAAACCCCATCTCTACTAAAAATACAAAAATTAGCCGGGCGTGGTGGCACATACCTGTAATCCCAGCTACTCGGGAGGCTGAGGCAGGAGAATCGCTTGAACCTGGGAGGCAGAGGTTGCGGTGAGCTGAGATCGTGCCATTGCGCTCCAGTCTGGGCAATAAGAGTGAAACTCCATCTCAAAAAAAAAAAAAAAATCAATCAATGTAATTCACAGACTGGATAAGAAAAACCATATTATCATATTAGTAGATGAAGAAAAAGCATTTGACAACCTTTCATGATTAAATCTCTTAGCAAACTAGGAATAGAAGGAATTTTCCTTAACCTAATAAAGGATATCTAAAAATAAAACCCAGAGTTAACATATTTAATGGTGAGAGACTGAATGTTTCCCCCTATGATTGGAAACAAAGCAAGGACATGGTCTCTTACCACTTCCTATTTAATAGTGTACTGGAAGTTCTAGCTAGTGCAATAAGACAAGAATAAAAAGCACATAAGATTGCAAAGAAATAAGTAAAACTTTCCTTATTCACAGATGGCATGGCTTTCTATGTAGACAGTCCCAAAGAATCTATAAAGAAAATGTCCTGAAGTAATACGTGATTTTAGCAAGTTGCAAGTTACAAGATCAATATACAACATTCAGTTGTGTTCCTATACCAGCAATAAACAATTGGAATTTGAGATTTTAAAACAATATCAACTATAATAGCACCAAAAATAATCAAGTACTAATGAAAATATATCCCATGTTTATGAATTGAAAGAATTAATATTGTTAAGATAAAAATATTCCCAGGCTGTTTTGATTACTGTAGCCTTATAGTTTAGTTTGAAGTCAGGTAATGTAATGCCTCCAGCTTTGTCCCTTTTGCTTAACATTGCTTTGGCTATTTGGGCTCTTTTTTGGTTCTGTATAAAGTTTAGAATAGTTTTTTTCTAATTCTGTGAAAAATGACATTGGTAGTTTGATAGGAACACATTTGAATCTGTAGATTGTTTTTGATAGTGTGGCCATTTTAATGATATTGATTCTTCCAATCCATGAGCATGGAATGTTTTTCCATTTGTTTGTGTCATCTAATATTTCTTTCATCAGTGTCTTGTACTTCTTGTAGAGATCTTTCACCTCCATAGTTAGATGTATTCCTAGATATTTGGGGGGTTTTGTGGCTATTGTAAAAGCAAAAGAAACTATCAACAGAGTAAACAGACAACCTACAGAATGGGAGAAAATTTTTGCAAACTATGTATCTGACAAAGGTCTAATATCCAGCATCTATAAGGAACTGAAACAAATTTACAAGAGAAAAACAACCCCATTAAAAAGTGGGCAAAGGACATGAACAGACACTTCTCAAAAGAAGACATACATGTGGCCAACAATCATATATAAAAAAAGCTCAGTATCACTGATCATTAGAGAAATGCAAATCAAAACCACTATGAGATACTATCTCACACCAGCCAGAATGGCTATCACTAAAAAGTCAAAAAATAACAGATGTTGACAAGGTTGTGGTGAAAAAGGAACGCTTATACGCTGTTGGTGGGAATGCAAATTAGTTCAACCATTGTGGAAGACAGTGTGGCAATTCCTCAGAGACCTAAAGACAGAACTCCCATTTTACCCAGTAATCCTATTACTGAGTATGTGCCCAAATGAATATAAATCATTCTATTATAAAGACACATGCATGCATATGTTCATTGCAGCACTATTCACAATAACAAAGACATGGAATCAACCCAAATGCCCATCAGTGATAGGCTGCATAAAAAAAATGTGGTACGCATACACCATGGAATACTATGCAGCTATGAAAAAGAATGAGATCATATCTGTTGCAGGGACATGGATAGAGCTGGAGACCATTATCCTTAGCAAACTAACATAGGAACAGAAAGCCAAATACTGCATATTCTCACTTATGTGGGAGCTAAATGATGAGAACACATGGGCTCATAGAGGGGAACAACATACACTGGGGCCTTTTGGAGGGTGGAGAGTGGGAGGAGGGAGACGATCAGGAAAAATAACTAATGGGTACTAGGCTTAATAACTGAGTGATGAAATAATCTGTACAACAAACCCCCATGACACAAGTTTACCTATGTAACAAACCTGCAAATGTACCCCTGAATTTTAAATAAAAGTTTTAAACAATAATAAATTAAATAAATATTATTGTACTTGATTTTATTATCCTGATTTCATATCTATATCTTCTCATAGAATAACTCAGCCTATTAGATGGAATGTAATGATGAAATAACTAATTTTATGCCTTTGATTTTATTGTTACCATTTATTTTTCTTTGTTTTTCTCTTTCTTTTTCTTTTACTGGCTTAATCAAGTTTCTGTTCATGTTCTTCTTCCACCCACCTTGTTCATTCAGCAATTTTTAATTCTGTAAATTGTTCAAGTGGATATGTTCCATTCTTAATAAGCACAACTAAGGCTGTCATGTTTCTATAAACTTGTAACTCCACCTGCACAGACAGATGCCTCCTCATTCCCATTTTTTCTCGGCAAGTTAAACAATTTTAGTTCTGAATATTTCAAATATTATTTTAAAATGTTAATTCCCAGCTATTTATATTTTACTTATGGCATGTTTCTTCTGTTTCAAGAGTCCTTATGTAACAGTTTTTATTTCAGATTCACAATCACATTTTCTTCCTTACAATTTAATTACACATATATACATTGAATATATATATGTGTGTGTAATTAATATATATGGATGTGTGTGTGTGTTCACAAGAGTGATTGACTACCTGCTTGGAGATCTCTCTGCTGATTCAGTTTTCAATTATTTAAAATTCTTCCTTGAGTTTTTTCTCTAATATAGTATGGTATGCTCCTTTCTAATATAGACTCTAAACATCTCTGCCTCTTGCTATTCACACCCTTGTTTAATCTCCTCTTGCATGTAGACTGGCCCTAGGGGCTTGCTTCTAATGAATAAAATAAGGCAGAAGTGACAAGATATCACTTCCAAGATCATATTATAAAATCTTGGGTGTGCCCTTGCTTACTCTATCTTGGATCACTTGCCTTGGGGGAAGCCAGCTGCCATGTCAGGAGGCACCCTTGTGAAGAGGCCCTCATAGGTGAGCTTGGAAGCAGATCTTCTGAGACTCACCAGTAGCCATGTGAGTGAGCCTAGAAGTGAATCCTTCAGCCTCAGTCAAGCCTTCAGATAAGATTGCGGCCTTCATGAAAGACACTGAGCCAGACACACTCAGCTAGCCAATGCCTGGATTCCTGACCCACAGAAACTATGTAAAATAATAAATATGAGTTATTTTAAGCTGCTGCTAAGTCTTGGGATAATTTGTTATACAGCAATAGATAACTAATATATATGATAAGTTGGAAAAATATTATTTAAATATTTTTATGTCTAAAATTGTCTTCTAGTGAATTTTCAGTCAAAGAGGAATTTTAAACTGAAATGAGTTTAGAAATCAATGATAATAAGAACACCACTTTTAAAAACCTCTGGGACCCAATTAAGGCCATAACAAGAAGATTCTGAGCCTTAAATGATTTTTATATTACTAAACAAGAAAAAAAAGAAAAGGAACCAAGATTTCAACTTATTTCACATGTCCCACCCACTGCACAAATGTAATAACCTTGCAAGTGCATAATTTACAGAGAAATAACAAATCTTAGCAATTTGGTGGATATCCCTCGAGAATATTTTTTTGATAGGATACCTTTATTATGTTTTTAGTTTTTTTCTAATTAAACAAGGAAAATATGTGTGTTCCAGAAATATCTTTTAAATGATGAGCAAGATGGAGAAAGATGAATTACCAGTAATTTTATCATCTACATATAACATTTCTATATGTTTATAGATGGAAAGGTAGATACATTTTACCAATATGAATTTATACTATATGCAAATGTTTGAATCTTTTTTGATTACTTAAAAATAATTTTCATATTAAATATTTTATGTCAATAATAATGATTCTTTGTCTGCTATTTAAATGGTATTCCATTACATAAATTTTTTTTTTTTTTTGAGACAGAGTCTCACTCTGTTGCCCAAGCTGGAGTGCAGTGGTATGATCTCGGCTCACTGCAACCTCTGCCTCCCAGGTTCAAGCAATTCTCCTACCTCAGTCTCCTGAATAGCTGGGATTACAGGCACGTGCCATCATACCCAGCTAATTTTTGTATTTTTAGTAGAGATGGGGTTTCACCATGCTGGCCAGGCTGATCTCGAACTCCTGACCTCAGGTGATCCGCCTGCCTCGGCCTCCCAAAGTGCTCGGATTACAGGCATGAGCCACTGCATCTGGCCCTTAGATGTTATATATTTTATTTTAACCAAGATCTTACTGTTGGTTATTTAAGTTTTTCATTATTTCCTGCCTTGATTAACAGAATTGTGCTGACTATGCTTGTGATTTTTTAAATTACTCTCTTTGGTTATTTCCTTAGCATGTATTTCTAGATTATAACTTTTGAGAAAAGGGCATAGCCCATTATTAAGCTTTTTTATATTCTTTGCCAAATTGCCCCTACACTGTTGTACGCTACTATAAGCAGTGCCCATTAGCCCACACTCTGACTAACCCTAGATGTTATTATGTTTTACCTTTCTTAATTTGATCTATGAGAGATAGCATCCCATTTTTATTTAATTTCCATTACTTTTAAAAATGAAATATACCTTTAAAACTCTTAAACTGTTCATTATTTTTTAAAAATTTGTTTTCCTTTCCCTTGATGATCTATTTTTCTATTGATTGACTTAGCTTACCTTTTTTTTTTTTTTTTGAGACGGAGTCTCACTCTGTCACCAGGCTGGAGTGCAGTGGTGCTATCTCGGCTCACTGCAACCTCCACCTCCCAGGTTCAAGAGATTCTCTTGCCTCAGCCTCCTGAGTAGCTGGGACTACTACAGGTCTGTGCCACCACACCCAGCTAATTTTTTGTATTTTTAGTAGAGACGGGGTTTCACCATGTTGGCCAGGATGGTCTTGATCTCTTGACCTCATGATCTGCCTGCCTTGGCCTCCGAAAGTGCTGGGATTACAGGCTTGAGCCACCAAGCCCGGCCGGTTTATCTATTTTTAAAGAGCTTTGTATATATTAAGGATAACAACCTTAGTAAGATTGATAATAGTTTCTCTTATATATAAATTTGTGACTATTTCTTGCTTCTTTGTCATTTGGATTTTTTTTTTTTTTTGAGACAGAGTCTCACTCTGTTGCCCAGGCTGGCGTGCAGTGGCGTGATCTCAGCTCACTGCAACCTCCGCCTCCCGGGTTCAAGCGATTCTCCTGCCTCAGCCTCCTGAGTAGCTGGGATTACAGGCACACACCACCATGCCTGGCTAATTTTTTGTATCTTTAGTGGAGACAGGGTTTCACCATATTGGCCAGGCTGGTCTTGAACTCCTGAACTCAAGTGATCCACCTGCCTCAGCCTCCCAAAGTGGTGAAATTACAGGCATGAGCCACCATGCCCAGTCATCATTTGCATTTTAATTAAGGTAGATTTTTGAGAAAATTATAGACTTATCAAAATTATATGTGCATATCATAAAAATAATCAAGTAGTTTTACAAGAATTGTTACAAAAAATAGTTGTCTCCTGCTCTGCCCCACCTCTCATCCCATTCTCTTATCCCAGAGGCAACCACCTTTTACCCTTTTCAAGGATTCTATTGGTATTTACCTTCATAACTGTCAGAAACATAATTAGATTGCTCTTTGATTTTTCAATATTAAGTATTCCCTACTGACTGAATTCCTGCTGGAAGAAGATGTAGTTCTCTATCTCATCCCATATGCACATCACTCGCATACATAATTCTACTGCCTCCATCCTCCTAATATAGATGCATCATAATTGTGGTCAGACTTAGGGTCAGTGATAATTATCATTATGGCTTTGTAAACTGTAGTCACAATTGAGTTTAATAATATAGATACTGTGATTACTATTCCTTTTCTGTTTCTCTCTTTGTCTTCCCTGGAGTTAACAACTGTCTGGCTTAGTTTGTTTATTTAATTTTCTATACCTTTATTATTAGTCCATCTCCAAATTTCCCCTCTGATAGATTGAAATATATGGCTGCATTATGTTGCAATTCCTCCCATCAAGAGATGGAATCAATTTCCCCATCCCTTGTATCTGGTCTTCCTTGTGACTTATTTTGACTAATAGAATACAGTGGAAATATTGTGTCAGTTCCAGAGCCTGAGCTTCAAGTGGCCTTGCAGCTTCTGTTCTCATCTTTTTGCTGCCTTGGGACTACTATGAAAGGAAACCTGGGCAAGACTATTGAATGAGGCAAGATTAAGTGGAGAGAAGTACCAGCCTTCCAGCTATCCCCACCAAGACCCTAGACCTGTGAGTGAGCCCATCTTAGAACATTTAGTCCCAGTCAAGCGGCCAGATGACTGTAGTCCCACTAATGACATTAGACAAGACTAGCAGAACCACTCTGCCCTCCAAATGAGCCAAGTTAAAGCTGCTGTCCTATAAAATCATGAACAAATAAAATGGTTGTCGTTTTTAGCCACTAAGTTTTGGAGTAATTTATTTTGTAGCAACAAATAACTGAGATACTTTCCAAGTGTGTAAACCTCTTCTCTATAATCTCAAATGTATTAGGTAATAACGTTAGCAATTATACTTGCAAATGCTCATATAATATTCATGTTCCAGGCAAGTCTAAGTGCTCTACCTGGATTAACTCATTTCATCCTCATTGAGGAACATAGAACAAGTAACCAGTCTAATGTCATATAGCTAATAAATTCTGGGGGTGTGATTAAAATTTGAGTTGTCATATTAATATAATTCACTATTTTTAATGAGCCTAAAAAGAAAACTTGTATGATTATTTCCATAGATACTGAAAAGATCTTTATAAAATTCAACATCCATTCATGATAGATTACATACTATATGATCTCATTTATATAACATTGTGGAAATGACAAAACTATAGGGATGAGGACAGATCAGTCATTATCAGGAACTGGTGGGGAGGAAGAATTTGGCTACAAAGAGGTAGTATGAGGGATCTTTTAGAGGTTATGAAACTGTTCTGTATCCTTACTGTGATGCAGACCCAAAAAAGGTCAATTTTACTGTGTGAACATTTAAAAACCTTCAAGAAAAGTGGAAATGATGGATACTTTCTTAACATTTAAAAATTTACATATCTCAATCCAAAAGCCAGGATCTGTGTGTGTGTGTGTGTGTGTATGTGTGTGTATAACTTTTTCTTTCTTCCATTATTTTATTTTGTAGTATCTTTGTGGGTTGGGAACAATTATTATTATCATCATCATTATTATTAATCTTTAAATGAAGAGATTTCTTCCTAGGCAAACAGATTGCAGAAAATGTAAAGCTGTGTTCCAGATTAATATTGCAGCTTCCTCATTCAAAGTGAAAGCCCTGATGACATAATATTGTATATGTGTGTGTATAATTTAAATGTGTGAGTGTGTAAAAGGGAGAAAAGTGGAATTATATATCTGTAGTAGTGATGCCTAGTGTGGCCACCAGAGAAGTCTGCTTCCAGTGGTCATCTGAAGTCCCAGAACTATCGTACAGAATAGCTGCACAGTAATCAAACATACATGTATTACAATGGCTTCTCAGAGCTGAATCATTGATAGATGTACATGACAATATGACATAATTTGTAATAGTACTGATATGGTTTGAATATTTGTGTACTCCAAATCTCATGTTGAAATGTGACCTCCAATGTTGGAGGTGGGACCTGGTGGGAGGAGTTTGGGTCACGGAGATGGATTCCTCGTGAACGGTTTGGTGCTCTCCTCATTGGTAGAATGAGTTCTCACTCTGAGTTCACGCGAGACTTGGTTGTTAAAGAGTATGGCATTTCCATCCTCCCCCTTTCCTGCTCCTGCTCTCATCATGTGATGCGCTTGCTCCCCTTTTGTCTTCTGCTATAATTGGAAGCTTCCTGAGGCCCTCACCAGGAGCAAATGCTGGCGCCATGCTTCCTGTACAGCCTGCAGAACTGTAAGCCAATTAAATCTCTTTCCTTTATAAATTACCCAGCCTGAGGTATTCCTTCATAGCAATGCAAATGGACTAACACAAGTATACACGCACTTGTTAGTTGATAAAACCTAGCCAGGGCTTTAAGAAATGTTCTCCTCCCATGAAACTTCTGCTTGGGACACTTAGGGAAATTAATTTGTGGCTGGGAAGATAAGAAGAGCAGCTCTTCATGGAGATCCTCACTCAGTATCACTGGAATTCTGATCCTCTTCAATGTTTTTTTCCATAATTTTCTGTTGAACAAACCACATATTACAGAACGTTTTCAAATTTTGTTAATGTCTTGCAACACTTTGATGCAGAATTTCCAATTGATCTTGCAGCATGGCTTGCTACATGGAAGAGATGAGATGATCGGGGTAAGGGTAAATGCATTCTGGGATTGCCTGAAAGGGAAAGAATGTGCCCCCTAACCAGGGGCCTTATTGGTACAGTACAGGGAGTCCATATGATGGGACAGAGATTAACAGTGTTCCCAGGGCAGTTAGTTAAATGGGTATACTGGGAAGAAGAAGTGGAGGTGGAGAGTCTAAAGTTCTACTCACAGTGTCTTACATAGTATTTACCCTCTTAGGTACTTTCTGGAGTCAAGTCCAGGAAAGAGAATTAATAAAATGTCAGGGATGTGGGCTATTTCAGGACAAGTTAAGGAGTGAGTTCAGATTGATGAAGAGAAAGTAGATGCTATAGAGGAAAGAGTGGTTGCTCACCTGCAGCCCCTTTTCCAGTGAAGGGAATAGCAGATTAGTTTGCAAATGACTCAGCCTCAGAGAATAATCTACCTTACCTGTCTTTGCTGTTCATAGTATTCCTAAGGATAACAGGGAGGTACACATTGCCGAGTACTAAGCCCATGTCCCCCTCATACCTACCTCTTGACAGAGACCAGTTAATTCTGAAGTAATTTACAACAGTCTTCCCTCCCTCAGACTCAATACAACTCTGAGAATCTTCCCATCTCATAGGCACAACCAGCTGTTTCTCGCTGGTTCAACCTATTGTTTCTCATCCATGTAGTTTGACTTTCCAAGTTTCTTGAGGGGAATATGCCAGACTACCTACTTGGCTTCTTGCAATCCCATGATTAAATCCCAGATGAGAAAACCAATGGAAAATTCAGGAAAAGCAAGAATTTTTAACCGAAGAGTTACAAGATATCAATGCCCCCAGTCAAAGATCACCAAGAACATAGCTATACTTGAGTAAGTTGGGTTATTACTCATTGTAGCAGGAGAGAGTGCACATCATGGGGAACCATGGAGCATCTCAATAAGAGGATATTAAAAGGACATATTATAGGACTTGAGCTTTGGTTGGGCAATTTGCTGAAGGGTTCAAAGAAGTGGAGACCAGCTCTAATTGGGAGTTGTCAGAAAGTAGAACAATTCTGTGATTGAGTATCTCAACAAATCTTATCTATAGAGAAGGCAAACTAGATAGAGTGAAGATAAGGCTAAAATTGATAAAGAAGCAGAAGTCATTCATTTTAGCCAAGAAAAGGGGGATATTTAGTATTTTGGGGGTTGTGCAGTGACTTTGTCTTTGTGCTTAAAGAGATAGCTTCTTTAACAAAAAAAATCCCAGTCTGGTCCTCAGCAGGGATATTTCACTGTCACTCTACTCTGTGGAGATGTGGATTTTGGTAGCAGAAGCCGTCATCTAATCAGGGGTCTAACTATGACTGAATGATTACATAACCCTATGGTAGAAGAGACAATGCAAGCCCTGTATGGGGTCTGGTGGTATTTTAAATGGCACCACCAAACCCCAGTGTCAGGCAGCCAAACCAAAACTGAACACATGTTATGCAGTGAAGTAGTTCAATTCCTATGACAAATTAGAAAAGAGTCCTCATTGGGCTCACACCTGTAATCCCAGCACTTTGAGAGGCCTGGCAGGAGGATCACTTGAGCCCAGGAGTTCAAGACCAACCTGGGCAACATAGCGAGACCTCGTCTCTACAAAACATAAAAATAAAAATATTAACTGGGCATGATGGTACATACCTGTAGTCCCAGAAACTTGAGAGATTGAGGTGGGAGGATCTCTTGTGCCCAGGAGATTGAGGCTGCAGTGAGCTGTGATTGTGCCACTGCACTCCAGCCTGGGTGACAGAGTAAGACCCTGTCTAAAAAAAAAAAAAAGTCCTGGCCTTGATGTTGCCATTGCCAACAAGAGCAGCTATTTGGGTTGAGGCCTTAATGAGATCATAACATGGTCAGAAAAATTCAAACGAGTCCAAAGGCAAAGGAATACAGACAGGTGAGAGAACAAACCTAAACAGATAACAGATTTATGCGGTTACTATACAAGGAGTGAAAAGGGAAAATCAGAAAAACTTTTTTGGCAGTACCCATCTTACTCCAGTCAAACACCAATAGAAAAACCCGACCCCACCCATTTCAGCAAGATGAGTGGGGACCTGATCCCCACCCCACCACCTTGCAGAAAGCACAGGGCAGCACTCTCATCCCCTGCTGGGGTAGTGTCAATGGGACAGAGCAGGGAGTTAATATTTCATCCTCTGCCCAGTGGAAGCATGTGGCACTCTCACTCTCCTGCCAGGTTAGTGTCACTAAGGTGGGGTGCAGATCTGATCTTACATACATCCCCCTGCCTGGAAAAAGCAGGCAGTCCTCCAATTCTTCCACAATGGTAGTATCAGGGAGGTCCGGTGTGAGCTGGGCCTCCACTCTACCTGGTATCAAAAAGACTGAACAATGCAGCAAAAGTCAGGGCCAGTCAGAAATCCACTTGCCTCCCACCCCTTGGGTCAGTGGGGCCCAGTGGGGCCCATCTAGAAGGAATGAGACTGAACAAGGCCACCACTTGGGTGTCAGTGGATCCCAGTTAGGACCTGAGAATCAAGCCACACATGGCATCAATGAGGCAGAATGAAGTGGCGGGAAACAGCTAGAGGACACACTGTTTTCCTCCACCCTTGCCATCAGCAGGGCCCAATAGGGAGCTGAGCTTCTGCTCCCACCCTGCAGCAACAGGCAGTGTGTCAGATCCTGCTTTTCCTCTCCCTCGCATCAGCAAGGCTCAGTGGAGATGACCTTACACATTGACATGTACTCAATGAGGCGGTGCAGATGTCCCCAAAGTCAAGGTGAAGTTGTATTTCTGTGCATTGGCACATCTCTTTGCCAGGGTGGTGAAAGCAGGAACCAGCAGGAAGCTAAGAGTACATACCCAACTAATCCTTGTGCTACATCTCAACAAGGTGTTACTCATACGAGTGGGTTTGATTGCTTGGCAGTGACTGTCCAATGACCAAAACCAAGGAGGACTTAACAAGAGGATTTTATTACTTGCAACAAGGAGGACACTGGGGATAATTCCTCAAAGCAGCACCTCCTGGAACGAAGGTGAAAACAAGGGCCTTGGTGGGGCTGGTTAGCCGAGTCATTGTATGTAGAGGTGGAGTAAAGGCAGCACAGGTGCAGTCGTGAACATGCTTCCGCATAGAAGGTGGCAAATAAGCTCCTCCCTGAGCAGGGTTTTAAGTATGCCAATGAGGAGAGTTGCCAAAGTCATCTCTAACTCAGGCATCTCTGGATCCAACTGTTTTTGTTTGTTTGTTTGTTTGTTTTGCTGGGGCTGATCTTCTTCATGGAACTTTTTGAAATAAGAACCCAAGGTGCAACAGTTAAAAATGGATACTTTTTCACAGTACTGACTCCATGTTAGAGAAAAGTTTATTTGTTTGAATATAATTATTACTTTGCTTGAGTTTGTAGATTATTCAGGAAAAACAGCCTCAGGAAACATGACCTTCAATAGAGATAAAAGAAAAGACGCTGACCAACAACTCTGGGACATGCTGACCAGCCTGATAAGAATATACGCTGATAGCGCCTGCAGAAGGCCACAAAACATTGACCAAGAAAGCAATGATTAACTGCCCACTCGAGACTGCACGCGTGCAAATGTTTTGATCATCATTTCCCCTAATTTCCCTTAAACCTCCCTGATCCAGAGACACAACTCGGTAAGGTGGTCTTTGAATCTTTGAATGCTAGTTCACTGCCTCCCCTAGGTTGCTGGCTTCTCAAGTAAAGCTACCTTTCCTTTTACCAAAGCTTGGCTTTTGAGCTTTTGGCTTTCAAATAACTAGTGGCCCAGGCCTGAGTTTGGTTACATACTCCAAAACCCAGGGACCCTGGGTTGCAAAGAGAGTGCCTACTGAAAAAGAAGATTAAAACTCAAAACGGAACAGCTGTGACTGAGCTGTGGCCTAGTGAAGTCATTGGACACTGTGATGATTCAGGCTATTTGGATGTCAGAAGACACGGATCAGGGCCAGGTAGAGTAGAAAATGCTGTTCTAGGGGGTGCTGATGGAGTCAGTAGACGTTGCCCTTGCTGTTGTTGGTGATTCACAGATACTGTGCTGGGGTCCAGTAGGGAGTCACAGAATAATAATGTGATGGAGGCTAATGATGATAGCGACAAGAGGCAGCCAAATGCCTAGGAAGATAGGGGTGGGTCCCTGGTGAAACCCCACCTTCAAGCTGAGGACAGTCCCAGGTAAAACCTTGGACCAGAGTGAAAACATCTGTTCCTGTTTGCCTGCCCCTCCCCTATTCTGAGCCCATGAAAGCCCCAGACTCAGACACATTGCAGCGGAGGGTGGGGGGTTGGGGGGCTTTCCTGCCTTCAGGTAGGGGGTCCACCCACGTATCCCCTCTCCACAGAAAGCTATTTCATCACTCATCCCTCAGTAAAACCCCCCACCTTGCTCACTCCTTGATAGCACATCCTCATTCTTCTTGGATGCTGAACTAGGGTTCAGGACCCACCTAGTGCAGGTACCCATAAAGGTTGTTGCACTGGCCCTTTGCCCTCGCCAGCAGAGGGCAGCCACCCCACATGACGGGGCCAGGAGCCAGCTGAGCTGCTAACACACCGCTGTTCAATGGGCTGTGGACAGCAGAACTAAAAGAGCTTATCCCACACTCACTTGCTCATGTGCTCCCTCCCACAAGGGGTTGAGTGGCACGGGCTGAGTAGAGAGGGTGCCCTTGCTGCGAGTCTGGCAAAGGGGCTGAGAGAAAATTCCTGTGTCAATGAGTTCATCATTAGCCCCCATCACACTATTATTCTGTAACAATAAGGCTAGTGACAATAAGGCTAAAAGTATTGGGTGCATCTGCTGAGCGCAATTGACAATCTAGAAAATGATAATAAAAGGCAGAGAGTTGTTAACAGGCAATGAAACCAAAGTGTTTCAGGGGTTATGTTGGGGGAAAATTGAAGGGGCGCAGAGGGTGTTGGGAGATCATATAGTGTCCTCAAATCCCTACTGTCCCCTGAACAGCATCTATTGTTTCCCCATTTTCTCCCAGCAGTCTGCTGTCCCGCTATTTCCTTCAGCACACCATTTGCTGAACTTCCCGTTTTCCTCCATCACGGTGTTTGTGGAAAACCTCATGAGGTCCTTTCACTGGGCCTCACTGTTATTAGAAAAGAGGGTCCCGATCCAGATTTCAATAGCAGGTTCTTGGATCTTGCACAGGAAAGAATTAGAGACAATTCACAGAGCACAGTGAAAGAAGCAAGTTTAGTGGAAACTATTCTGTTACAGAGTAGGGTGTCCTCAGAAAGCAAGAGGAGGAAAGCATTGTCCTTTGTTAGTGTCCCTACTTATAAGAAACTATAAGGAGCTAGAATTAAACTTGGAAAGTGCAGATGTGTTCACTATGGGTAGGAGCAATTGGTGTTATTAATGACCATTAATCCTTCAACCTAAACTTGCTCATTAATGTTATCTTTAAGCAAAGTGGGCTGCATGCTTAGGACATGTGGACATTCTGCTGGCTTGGTGGGAGATGCTCTGTATGGCCGTAAATATTCTGTATTTATAATTGATGGTCAACTTAGAATGTGGCTATTTTCAGAGCCTAAGTATTAACCCTATAGGTGCCTTGTGAGTGCCTAGTTACTCACTCCAAAATGGACTCACTCTAGTCACATTTGATTAAACCAGAGGCCCGGTAAGCAGGGATTCCTGTAACATCAAGATACCCCATTTGCTTTCAGCCCAATGTCTGTTGAACAACTCCCATGGTCACCGTGACCTACCACCCAGATCTCTCTTCAAGGAAAGATGGTTTCCCAGTTATCAGCTGACAGTATTCAGGACTGTAAATCCCTTAAGGAATTGCCTGAGATGCACGGAGCTACCATGCCCAAGATCATGCCCTTTCCTGGGGCAGTCCCCATCCAATGTCTGATCAAGTCTAGGGAATAAAAACTCAGCACAGCAAAGAGCCATTCTAGCTCCAAAGCTCCCTGCAGGATTGGCTAAGGCTGTCATTTGGTCTTCAGCACAGCTCAGCTTCTTCTGTTCACTCCAGCTTCCTTCCACTCTTTCCCACAGGTGTTTCTCCCAAGGGCCCTCCCTAATAAACATCCTGTACTCTAAACTCTTTCTCAGGGTCTGCTTCCTAGGGAACTCAACACATAACAATTAGTATCAGAAGTGCTCTGAGACAGCAAGCTGTGGATGAAATGGAGTTCTGGAACTACATCACCCACTGCCCATCTGAGAAAGAAGTCATCATTATTAGTAGCAGGTGGAGTGCAAACAGCTCCTGGAATAAATAAACAATTCAATTGTTAAAACTCTCACAGGTGGTGAACTGGGCTGGCTACTGGTGGAGGGGGATGCACATGGGGGAAATAGTAACAATCAGGCTAAAAGTTTTTGGTGCCTTTGCTGAGCTCAATTGACAGTCTACAAAACGACAATAAAAGGCACAGAGTGGTTAACAGGCAATGAAACAAAGTGTAAAAGCCTCAAGGGGCTTCCTTGGCAGCAGCATATGAAGAAGCTTTCATGTCCTGAAGTGGAAGGGCAAAGGACACTAAGGACAAGGCTCAGGACTTGGTCAGAGCAGTAGAGTACAAGGAAAGTGAAACTCTCAACTAAGGCAAATCTTCTATGCCAAGGTCAGGGCTCTGACTGGGAAAGGAAGCAACCTTGACACAGGGTACGTCTGGGTTGATGACCTCCAAAATCCTGAATCTCCAGATTCCTTTTATTCCAGTTATTATGGCTATGTTGCAAATTTCTCCAAAACTTAGTTATGTAAAACAACCATTTATTATGCCTACATATTCTGTGGGTCAGAAATTCAAGGACTTGCCTCGGCAGTTCTTGCTTAGGGTTTCTCTTGTGGTTGCATTAGATATTGGCTGAGGCTAAAGTCATCTGTAACGCCATCTGGTCCTGGAGTGTCCACTTCCAAGTTAGCTCATTCACATGGCTAGCAAGTTGGTACTGGCTGTTTATTGGCCAGGAGCCTCAGTTCTTCCCCGCATGGCTCTCTCCACAGGGTTGTTCTCACAGTGTGGCAGCTGGCTTCCCCCAGAGTGAATGATCTGAGAGGTCAAGGAAACAGCTGCAGTGGTTTCTATGACGTAGACTCAAGTGTACTGAATTGGTCATACAGGATCAAGTCCCTAACCAGCGTGAGAAGGGACTATACTAGGGCATGAATACCAGAAGGCAAGGGTTATTACGGTCCATCTTGGATGCTGGTTACCATATCTCTGAACACTGTAAGCCTGCAGAAGTGGCCCATCCCTCCCTGTTAAGGACTATCACACCCCTATGCTGAAGTACACTGCAGCCCCTCCACTGTGCCCCCATCAGGATCTACCCTCACTTCCCCTCTTTGCCACTATACCTATAAATAAGGTTAAGCCACGGGATAACCCACAGATATGTGCTGGGCATGAAAAGGGAGGAAAGAGGCTATACTGCAAAGGCGATGCAAGGCCTGGGCTGCATGTACCAACAAGAGCCGGAGGAGTACATATGGGGCAGAATTTTGAGGGTGCTTGATCAAGAGGGATTCTGAGGGCATTGGATCAAGAGGTGGTGGATGGGAAGAACACAAGAATGGGTAAAAGAGAAACACAGGATTTAACATCTTGGCAAGGACTTCAGGAAATGATGTAATTCACCACTGAGATGGTTCCTTGCAATATGGGGCAAGCAATAATCTGTGCTAAGGGATGTTGAAATGCCAGATTTGCCATGGCAGTTAGTGGGAGAAGGGATGAAAAGTCGCAGGGAAGTGGACCTGCTGGATACACTACCAGAAACTGGATAATTACACTCCACGAGAAGTCATATTTACAAAGGCCATTAAGAATTTTCAGGTGAGAGGGACACCGACATCACTAAGTTCAGTGGTGTCTCTCCTTTCTAGGTCAGGGCTGGCAATAGGAAAAGCTGTTACAGACTTTTGCTAACTGATTGCTTTGAGGATGATAGGACTGCAATGCAACAGAGGCGAGTTTCCAGACCTGAGCCACTTTCAGACCCAGAGCGCATTAATTGAAGAGGAGGTTGGTCCCAAGGAGAAAGGACACTATAGTACCACAGCAAGTATACATGATCCCTAGGGGAACACATGATTATATCAATGGATATACAGTAGGCATTGGGCACAAATTGGCAGTCATTCTCAATCAAAATTCAAACCAAAGCAGGAATATTAAAACCTTAAATACAATAGAGATCATTTACTGAAAGTCATCAAGAAACAGAACACTGAATTGAAAAATACTGAAGACGTCTCCACTGAAGAAACCAACAAGATAGGCTCCATAATCACCGTTACTTAGTATTGTTTTGACAGCTTTCACTACTGCAATAGAAATGAAAAGGTGTCTGCAGTGCTGTAGGGCAGGGAATATGGCTGTGCCCACTTGGCTCTTCACTGTGGGCATCATTATCTGGGGAAGGTGTCCATTCCATACAGAAGACAAAGGCACCTCCTGCCTCACAGAGCAGAGTTGTGAACTTATACCAGAGCAGCAGGCAGCAAGGGTGGGGTCCTCCTCTGGACAGGTTTTCTGGAGGGAAGTGTCTTTGGAGCTGGTACCTAGAGCTTGCAGCAATATTTAGAGAAGCAGAGGTGCCCCTCAGTGCATAGCAATGGTGTCAAGGGACCATTTGCTAAGAAGAGGATGGGAAAGAGCCAGGAATGAGAGCTTAGGAGATAACACTGGGGTAATTGTCAGGATGCTACATGCTGTTCTGGGATGAGAATACTAGGGAAAATGAGGAGAAGATACTATGACAGCACAGCCCACTCCAACTGTACTGGTGGCAAGTGGAGGCAGGGTTCTAAAAGCCCCTCTTAATAACTATCAGAACACACCCCAACCTCCAAAGGAAAATAGAAGCAGTTATTATTAATATCTAATATGGACAACTGGTGTTTTCTTAGTCTCTATATTTCCTTGGATTCTGCTCTTGCAGATACTGGAAATGAATCAGCACGCAAAAATGACAACACAAGAAAACGAAAACAAACAAAACAGGTGAGGCATGGTAGCTCACGCCTGTAATTCCCATACTTTAGGAGGCCAAGGCAGGAGGATCACTTGAGCCCAGGAGTTCGAGGTCAGCCTGGGCAACATAGTGAGCCCCCATCTCTACAAAAAATAAAAATAAAAATAAATTAGCTGGGTGTGCTGGTATGCACCTCTGGTCACAGCTCCTCAGGAGGCTGAGGCAAGAAGATTGCTTGAGCCCTGGAGGTCAAGACTGCACTAAATCATGATCATGTCACTGGACTCCAGCCTGGGTGACAGAGCAAGACCCTGTCTCAAACAAACAAAACAAAAACTCTGGCATGAAGGATCAGGTGTACTATTCATGGAGCACTTACTAGCTCCACTTCCAAGTGCTTTATGTGTATTAATTCAGTTTTGTTCTTACATCGAATCTATGAGGTATCTGGATTTGGGTCATTTAGAAGGCCTTTCCTCACAACTGTTAGAAAGGAATTCACGTATATTATATTCTAGTACCTATATAATTTCACTATTTTTACATTTAGATCTGTCATCCATTTACAGCTTATTCTATCTAAAAACTTTCAAATCTGAGACTGAGCTGAAAAGTATAAGAAATGCTTTATTCAAACTGCTCCACAGCAGGGAGCCCCTGATCTAAATCAGTGACTTGCTGAGCAAAAGGTAACACTGTGCCAGACACTTCCTAAGTTGTAGAGAAAGGAGAGACTTAGAGTTAGCACATCTGGCGTTCTTTTTTGTTTTGTCTGTGGTCCACTGTGCTGACAGGGTGGTCCTGTTTTTATCTCTTGTACTGGGAAATTGTTTATGTTCAACAGCAGAACATCAAAGCCTAGCTGTCGGGAGAAGGCCAATTCCCAGCTGAAAGAAATCAGAGGCTGTTTTATCTTCTAAGCCCCACTTCTTCCCCGACCACACACTTTTCAGTTTTAGTTTAAGACAAAGGTTATGATCTACCTGGGGTCTATTACTGGGCTCTTACAATTCTCATGTATGGTGCGAGATATAGATCCAATTTAATCTTTTTTTCTAAACGGCTATCCAGTTATTTAAAAGTACATCTTTGCCCCGGTGTCTTTTTATAAATTAAATTAAAAAAAATAGAGAAGGGGTTTTGCTGTGTCAGCCAGGGTGGTCTCAAACTCCTGGCCTCAAGTGATCCGCCCTCCTCAGCGTCCCAAAGTGCTGGGATTACAGGTGTGAGCCACCGTGCCCAGCCTGCCCCAGTGTCTTGAACTCTTTTCTCATACACAGTACTATAATTTCTACATATACTTGGGTCTATGCCTGGAATTTTTATTTCTAGTCTATGGTCTGTCTGCCCATTCCTGTGTCAGTATCCCATTGCTTTAATTATAGGGGGGGGTTGTAGTAGAATCTAAAGTTGGGCAGTGCTAGCCTCTCTCATTTCTCCTCCTCTTCTTGCATATGTGTTTTTACCATATGGATTTTAGAAAGTCTGGCTCCAGAGCTGAAACACCTACTTATGCTCTACTCCCTCTCTCTATGGTATTTATTGACAACATTGTTTTGGGTGGAAAAAAAAAGTAGAGAAATTGTTAAAAGAAAAAAAAAAAACCATTGTTTCGTGATAGATGAAGTCATTGGCCCCAACCTTTCAGCCCTTCCTGCATCTACATCCTTGCCTTGCCCTCACGTGAGCAGAGTATACTTCCCTGTCTCTTCAACTTGGACTTGCACATGTGACTTACTTTGGCCAAGAGCATGTGAGAGTGAGTGTGTCAGCTCTAGGTCTAGGCTTTAAGATGTACACAACCCCATCACTGATTGCAAAGATCCTTAGTTATTAACTACACAGATTTCCTCATCACTGACCACACAGAATCCCTCCATAACCCATACCACAGAGCCTCATTAGTCACCCCATAGTTTTCCCATGTCCCCTTATGTTTCTGCCATAGCTGTGAGAAGAATATTCCCATGGGGAACCTCTGCCCCTAAAACTCAAGCCCCACACTGAGAGAGTTGAAGAATAGAGATGCCACAGCTACCACAACCTTAAATAGAGCCACCCAACCAAGCCTAGCTTGGATGAACAGAACCCCAGATGAACTGTAAATCTGTGAGAATGAACACTTATAGGTACATGCCTATGAGCTCTCGTGTTGATTACCTGGTGACTAACTGACACATGAGTAATGGTTGGGAAAATTCAATACCATTAAAAGAGGTGTTAAGCAAAAAACGAAGATGCAGGGATGTGGGAATAACAATGTTACTTTTCTAAAACAGAGAAGAAATGAACTCCTATACAAGTATAAGTATGTAGAGATAATTTATGTGTGTATATATAATTATAAGCACAGGGACAAAAATAAAACAGATCACACTAGATGGATATCTCTAGGGGGTTGCTGATGTGGGTGAAGATGCAATGAAATGGGACAGAGGGGGTGGAAAAGTAAACAAGGAAGATAAAAGATACATTACATAAGCCAGTATCTATGATTAGATCATGTTCATGCATTTACTAAAAACTAAACATACACTATTGTGTATGTATAGATGAATAAATTAGTGTCATGATTTTTATTTTAGAATATGTTGCTAGAGAATGTGAAATGCAGTTACTTTAGATTTTAAAAATAACAATACATTTATACTTCCTGTTACTCCTTTTACTTTGCAACATAATCTTTATGGATTTAAGAACATGTTTCCCTCAGAACTGTATTGTGAACCTATCATTCATTTTTTCCACACTTTAAAATGCATAACTTTCCATGGTGTATAGCATTATTATTTATATAATTTCCCACAAACTTTTCTACCAAAAATCTGTTTTGAAAAATTTTACAAGAAAGCTTTCCTAATGCATTAAATTGTCAACATGAAGATTGTGATAATCAATAAGGCTGGTGCAAATAAGAAATTTCCTGGCCGGGCATGGTGGCTCACACCTGTAATCCCAGTGCTTGGGAGGCCGAGGCAGAAGGATTGCTTGAGCCCAGGCATTCAAGACCAGCCTGGTCAACGTAGGGAGACCCCTTCTCTACCAAAAAATAAAATAAAAAATATTTTTAAAAGGAATTTCCCCCCTTCCTGCCATGCATTCTTAAAGGTTCCCTTGAGAATTATTTCCCACATGTACAGTAAGGAACAACTTCTCACTTAAGGCTTTTCCACATAAATCAATCAGATCTGATTCCTGAGAAAGCTTTATCGTTTTTCAAAAACAAACACGTTTTCTCGAAAGTATAAATAGTTCCACACATAATGAGAACAGACTTCTGAATGGAGACTTAGCACAGTCACTACACTTGTAGGGTTTATCTTAAATGCAAGTTTTGTAGCATTTCTCCAGCGTGGAACTGTTGGTGAAGGCCTTCCCACATTCAGAACATATATAGGGTTTCTCTCCTGTGTGAATTTGCTGACGCAGTTGGAGGCATGATTTCCTAGCAAAAGATTTCCTACAGACACTGCATTAATAAGGCTTTTCTGCAGAATGAATTTTCTGATCTATAATCAACTCTGGCCTCTGTCTGAAGGTCCTCTCTCAGTCAGTACAGAGTTTCTCTCCAGTATGAGTTTTCTGGTGTGTGAGAAGGCTTAATTTTTTGGTGAAAGCACTTCCACATTCGGTACATAAATATAGCTTGGCTTCAATGTGAACTTGCTGACTGCCATAAGAGTTGTGGCTTGGAAGTTAAGAATTTCCCACGAGATTGCATCCTAAGGTTCTCTCCAGCATGAATCATCTGGTGGGTAATGAAGTTTGACTTCCAGTTGAAGGCCTCACCACATTCATTACATACATAAAGTTTCTCTCCTTGTGAGTTTTTTGATGCATATTTAGTATTGATTTCTGATTGAATGTTGTACCACATTCACAATATTCTTTTTTTAAGATATGGGGTCTCACTATGTGGCCCAGGCTGGAGTGCAGTGACTGTTCACAGGCATGATCTTATCATGGCACACTGCAGTCTTGAACTCCTGACTCAAGCGATCCTCTTGCCTCAGCTTCCCAAGTAGCTAGGACTATAGGCGCATACCACTGCACTTGACTATCGTATTCACATTGCCTCTCTTCAGTATAAATCATTTGGTGTTTCCTGAAACGTGAAATCCCAGTGAAGGCTTTTCTACAGCCACTGCACTTGTCAGGTTTCTGTCCAGTGTGAATTCTTTGTTGGACCTTGAGTGTTGCCTTCTGGATGGAGCCTTTATGTATTCACCACACTCACAGAGTGCTTTGTAGCACTGTAGAGCACTCTATGAGTTTTGTGAATACACACGCTACATGGATTTCATTTCCATGGATTGCATTTTAAAATTTCTCTCCTGCATAAATATTTTCATGTTTATTACAGAATGAACTACACATGAAAATAGTCAATAGTTAATCTTGTCAAGGTTCTTTGAGGTACTGCTTCTATTATCACTCTGTGAGTCTACATTTTGTTTCCAATTCTTTACAAATGAATCAAATTAATGGGGTCTGTTTGTTAGAGGACAATGTTTGGAACCACTTGAAATACTTTTACAACATAGTAATAATCATAATCTCTCTTGTATTTAATGTTTTCTTTTTGATGAAAGAAATATGACTTCAAGGTTTGTTTGGATGTTCCTGATATTTCTCCATCTGGTCATCATAATTTTTTCTAACAGGAAGCATCTCACTGTGAAGTCAAGTTTTTTCAGAATTTACTGCTGTGTGACTTCAAGCCCAAATTCCCCTTCTGAAATGTAAAAGACAGAGTAATTATAACTGAAAGAATAGTTAGAGGATGGAGGAGAAAGCACATATTGTTCACCCAATTGGAACACAGGGAAATATGAGTCATATGACAATGATGATGATCATGATGATCATTATTATTATAAATATTTATGTGGCAATTACTATTTGCTGTGTATTTATCTGGGACTTATAATCTACCAGGTACTGTTATTTAATGCTCTCTAGGCATGGTGGCTCATGCCTGTAATCCCAGCATTTTGGTAAGCTGAGGCAGGAGGATCACTCTAGTCCAGGAGTTCGAGGTTGCACTCAGCAGCGTTAATCCACTGCACACCAGCCTGGGTAACAGAGAAAAACCCTGTCTCTAATTTTATAAAGACTTTGTAAAGAAAGACTTAATGCTTGCTTTGCTGGGTTTTGGACTGGCATGGAGCCTGTTACCCATTTCTCCGTTTTGGAATGGGAATTTACCCAATGCCTGTACCAGCATTGTATATTGGAAGTAAATAACTTGTTTCTTATTTTTATTTTATTATTATTATTATTTTTGAGATGGAGCCTTGCTCTGTCCCCCAGGCTGGAGTGCAGTGGCCCAATCTTGGCTCACTGCAACCTCTGCCTCCTGGGTTCAAGCGATTCTCCTGCCTCAGCCTCCCAAGTAGCTGGGATTACAGGCGTGCACCACCAGGCCCGGATAATTTTTGTATTTTTAGTAGAGACGGGGTTTCACCATGTTGGCCAGGCTGGTCTCGAACTCCTGACCTCAGGTGATCCTCCTGCCTCGGCCTCCCAAAGTGCTGGGATTACAGGCGTGAGCCACCATGCCTGGCCTTTTATTTTACAGGCTCACAACTGTAATTAACTTGCCTTAAGTCTCAGATGAGATTTTGAACTTTGAACTTTTGAGTTGATGGTAGAACGAGTTAAGATTCTTGGTAACTGTTGGGGAGGGATGATTATATTTTGCAACACGAGAAGAACATGGGATTTGTGGGGCCAGGGGCAGAATGCTATAGTTTGGATATTTGACCCATTCAAATCTCATGTTAAACTTTGATCCCCAGTGTTAAAGGTGGGGCCTAGTGGGAGGTGTTTGGGTCATGAGGATGGATCTCTCATGAGTGGCTTGGTACTGTCCTGGCAGCAATGAATGAGTTCTCACTCTGTTAGTTGCCACCAGAGCTGGTTGTTAAAAAGAGTCTGGCGCTTCCTCCCCTCTCTCTCACTTTCTCTCCCACTGTGTGATCTCTGCACAGACTTGCTTTCATTCACTTTCTGCCATGAGTGGAACGGTGATGGAGGCCCTCACCAGAAGCAGATGCTGGCACCATGCTTCCTGTACAGCCTGCAGAATACATGGGCAAAAATAAACCTCTTTTCTTTATAAATTAAAAAATAAAAATTTTAAATGCCTGGCATTAAACTAGAAAAATGAAGCTATCCATCAGCTGATGAATGGACAAACAAAACGTGGTATATTCATAAAATGGAATATTATTCAGCCACAAAAAAGAATGAAGTACTGTTACAAGCTACAACATGGATGAACCTTGAAAACATTATGTTAAGTGAAAGAATCCAGACACAAAAGGCCACATAGTGCATGATTCCATGTTTATGAAATGTCCAGAGGGCAAATCCAGAGACAGAAAATAAATTACTGGTTGTCAAGGGGTGGAAGCAGGGAAAAATTGAGACTTTTTTTTTTGTCAACAAATAATTTATTAAATTTTCAGATTTCCTGTAATTTTCCATTACTATCCATCATACATTTCTCTGCATGGTCACGCTAAAGATATAAATTCATCACATCCATTCAATAAATCAAGAAACTCAAAACTCACAAATATAGGGCTGGGCGCGGTGGCTCACGCCTGTAATCCCAGCACTTTGGGAGGCCGAGACGGGCGGATCACGAGGTCAGGAGATCGAGACCATCCTGGCTAACACGGTGAAACCCCATCTCTACTAAAAATACAAAAAATTTAGCTGGGCGTGGTGGCGGGCACCTGTAGTGCCAGCTACTCGGGAGGCTGACACAGGAGAATGGCGTGAACCCTGGAGGCAGAGCTTGCAGTGAGCCGAGATTGCACCACTGCACTCCAGCCTGGGCGATAGAGCGAGACTCTGTCAAAAAAAAAAAAAAAAATTCACAAGTAGAATCTTCAACTCTGTAGAATGCTACCAAGAGGTAAAATAAGATGAAGGTAGAAAGATTCACTTTGAAATGCTGCATGCAACGATATAGCAACACATTGGAAAATCTAGAGAAAATGGATAATTTTCTAGAAAAACATAAATGACCAAAACTAACCCAAGAAGAAATTTAAAATGTCAATAGACCAGTTACAAAGAAGACAGTGTAAAGTGATTTTTTAAATCCATAATTTAAAAAGTACTAGGGTTGCAAGAAGGATAATTCCAACGTTGTTTAAAGTATCCCAATTAAAAAAAAACTCACCAATCATTTCATATAGCCAGTGCAGCATTAATATGAAAACCTGATAAACACAAGGCAAAACAAAACCATAGGCCAGGCACAGTAGCTCACACCTGTAATCCCAGCACTTTGGGAGGCCAAGGCGGGTAGATCACCTGAGGTCAGGAGTTCGAGACCAGCCTGGACAACATGGCAAAACCCCGTCTCTACTAAAAATACAAAAATTAGCCCAGGCCAGGCATGGTGGCTCACGCCTGTAATCCCAGCACTTTGGGAGGCCGAGGCGGGCAGATCATGAGATCAGGAGATGGAGACCATCCTGGCTAACACAGCGAAACCCCGTCTCTACTAAAAATACAAAAAAACTAGCTGGGCATAGTGGTGGGCGCCTGTAGTCCCAGCTACTTGGGAGGCTGAGGCAGGAGAATGGCATGAACCCAAGGAGGCAGAGCTTGCAGTGAGCTGAGATCGCACCATTGCACTCCAGCCTGGGCGACAGAGTGAGACTCCATCTCAAAAAAAAAAAAAAATTAACCCAGCATGGTGGTGCATGCTTGTAATCCCAGCTCGAACCCAGGAGGTGGAGCTGCAGTGAGCCGAGATCATGCCACTGCACTGCAGCCTGGGCAACAGAGCGAGACTCTGTCTCAAAACAAAAGAAAAAAACCAAAACTATAGACCAATCTTACTTATACATATGAATGAATATTCTAAGTAAAAACCCAGCACTGTTATTAATAATTGCAACAACAAAGAGTAATACACTATGGCAAAGAGCATTGTATTTCAGGAATTCAAGGGTATTTCAATATCAGTTAAGTATATATATATTTTTTTTAATTTTTATTTTTTTAATATTTCTTTTTGTATTATACTTTAAGTTCTGGGATACATGTGCAGAACGTGCAGGTTTGTTACATAGGTATACACATGCCATGGTGGTTTGCTGCACCCATCAACACATCATCTACATTAGGTATTTCTCCTAATCCTATCCCTCCCCTAGCACCCCACCCCCTTGTAGGCCCCAGTGTGTGATGTTCCCCTCCCTGCGTCCATGTGTTCCCATTGTTCAGTTCTCACTTATGAGTGAGAACATGCGATGTTTGGTTTTCTGTTCCTGTGTTAGTTTGCTGAGAATGATGGTTTCCAGCTTTATCCATGTCCCTGCAAAGGACATGAACTCATCCTTTTTTATGGCTGCATAGTATTCCATGGTGTATATGTGCCACATTTTCTTTATCCAGTCTATCATTGATGGGCATCTGGGTTGGTTCCAAGTCTTTGCTGTTGTGAACAGTGCTGCAATAAACATACGTGTACATGTGAGACTAACTTCTAATAGGTTTGGGGTTTCCCTTTGAGATGATGGATATTTTCTGGACTTAGATAGTGGTGACAGTTGCACAACATAGTGAAGTGTATACTTGAAAATGGTGAATTTATGTGATAAATAAAAACATGCTATGAAGGGAAAAAAAGAATGGAGGGCTGATGTCTTGGAAGAAATTTGGGTCCCTGAAGGAACACAAGAAGCAAGTATTATTAAAAGACGTACATATGAAATTCTGGGTTGAAAATTCTTTTCTTTAAGAATGTTGAATATTGGCCCCCACTCTCTTCTGGCTTGTAGAGTTTCTGCCGAGAGACCAGCTGTTAGTCTAATGGGCTTCCCTTTGTGGGTAACCCGACCTTTCTCTCTGGCTGCCCTTAACATTTTTTCCTTCATTTCAACTTTGGTGAATCTGACAATTATGTGTCTTGAACCAACCCAAGTGTCCAACAATGATAAACTGGATTAAGAAAATGTGGCACATATACACCATGGAATACTATGCAGCCATAAAAAATGATGAGTTCATGTCCTTTGTAGGGACATGGATGAAGCTGGAAACCATCATTCTCAGCAAACTATCGCAAGGACAAAAAACCAAACACCGCATGTTCTCACTCATAGGTGGGAATTGAACAATGAGAACACATGGACACAGGAAGGGGAACATCACACATCGGGGACTGTTGTGGGGTGGGGAGAGGGGGGAGGGATAGCATTAGGAGATATACCTAATGCTAAATGACGAGTTAATGGGTGCAGCACACCAACATGGCATATGTATACGTATGTAACAAACCTGCACGTTGTGCACATGTATCCTAAAACTTAAAGTATAGTAATAATAATAATAAATAAAATAAGTACATAAAAGAGCAACACAATTCTACATTATTTAAGTATTTATCTTGGAGTCTGTTTGGTAAAGCAGCTTAGAATTACCATAATTCATGTATCATCTTTGCCCAGAATGGGAAACAGTGATGTTCTGATAGAATATGTGGCATAGTAAGTTTTCACAAAATATTTATAGAATGAGTAAATTATGCCATTTTCGTATTCCACCATGAATTTTAGATACTGAGCATAATCTGATTAAATGCAGTTTGTTTTCCCTTTTTTGGTGAGCCTGATATACTAGATGTTAGCTCTGTCCTGTGTAAAAGCCTCTCTTCTTTCACCTTCATATTTTTACTCCTACATGTTATGATTTTTAGTTATTCTAGAGAACGTAAGCATTGGATTCCTAAAAATTGATTTGGTATTTTTTCCACTTTCAATTTTCCATTTAACCTGTGTTGCACCTTTCATCATTGAGATTATTGCCACAATGTCCATTGCAAAGAATTTACTCTTGGGTTGAAAAACTCATCTGTAAGTCCCTTGTCCTACAGAGTCAGTAACATACATAAATGAAGAGATCAAGAGTCATCAGTCTTTAAAATGACTGTGTAGGTGATTTTGCATTCCACAAATTATTCATGAAATTGCCTTCAAAATCCAGTTTATTTGCAATTCCAATCTTAACTTCATGTTCTTCTCCAGAAAGCTTAATTTTCATGCCTATTTCCAGCAATACAAAATTTATATGGGCTCAAGAATAAATTAAATGTCCACTGTGCGAAAATTACTCTCAATCTTCCATATCTGAATTCAGGGAACATATTTTTTTGCACTCCAAAAGCAGATACACTCTGCCACTTGTTTTTAAACAATTGTTTTTACTAGATTTCCATTATATTGGAGGGGATTATTGTAGAAAGCCTAATATTTTGGCTTTAAAGCCATTGTTTTCTCTTTTCAGGTATAATTTATGTTCCTTTGAGTTTCTCTCACCAGACATTTTAAAAATAAAACAAAATATTCTCCTCTGACTACCTCCATATATTTAATACCTTCAATATTCTAAATAGGTTCTATGTCCTTAGCGCTGCAGTAATGAAAAGTAAAATATAATCCCTTATTACCAAGGATTTACTTAAAATAAAAGGACAAAAGCATCAAATACCATATGGTTTAAAACTCTCTAGTTTGAAGAATTTGCAGACTAGGGAATCAAACAAGTGAAAAAAATACACTAGAGTAGTTAAGAACTATTTCATGGAACAGAAGCAACTGAACGAAAAATGAAAATATGCATATTGTCCACATATGCAGTACACAAAATAATCAGAAGCCCAGATACAAAATGGAGCTTTATACAGTAGACATTGAGGAAAATGTGAAACAATGAAATAGGGCATGAGATATCCTATTAGTTTTCCATTGCTGCATAACAAATTCCCACGAACTTAGTAGCTTAAGACAACACACTTTTATTATTTCACAGTTTCTGTGTGTCAAAAGTTCACACATAGCTTAACTAAGTCCTCTGTTCAGGATCTCACAAGGTGTCAGCCAGGCTATATTTTCATCTGGAAACTTGACTGGGGAAGAATCCACTTCCAAGATCATTCACGTCATTGGCAGATTTTATTTTCTTGCAGCTACATGACTGAGGGCCCTGGCTTCTTACTGGTTGTCAGCTGGAAGCTACCTTCAAATCGAAGAGGCCACCCATGGTTTCTAGAGGCTGCCTGCAGTTTCTTGCCATGTGGGTTTCCTCAATATAGACGCTTACCTCATTAAGCCAGTAAGGAGAATCTCTTGTGCCAGTCTACTAAAGCAGAGTGTTAGATAATGTAATGAAATCATGGGAGTTATATCATATCATCTTTGACTGTAATATAACCTGATCAAGGGAGTGATATCCCATCACCTTCGCCATATTCTATTTGTTAGAAACAAGTCACAGAGATTCTATCTGCACCCAAGGAGAGGAAATTATACAAGATTGTGTGACTCACTATGTATCACCTTAGTGTGTGTCCACCAGAGTCTTCCCTCTGACCACCAATGCTTTATATCCCTCTCACATGCAAAATACATTCACCCCATTCCAAGGTCCCAAAAGGCTCACCTCATTACAGTATCAGCTCCAAGCCTAAAATTTTATCACCATATTAGGTCCAGGTGCAGATGAGGCTCCTGGGTGTCATCCATTACATACAGCTTCTGAGGCACAATTCCTCTCTTTCTGTATGTGGACCTGTGAAAACAGAAGAGACAGGTTATCTTCCCCCAAAACACTGAACATACAATGGTTGGGCAGACATATAATAAAAGTCGTAGACATTCCAATTCAAGATAGAGAAAAATTGAAGTTATAAACCTTCTTTTAGAGAAGAAGTGAGTTAAGGGAGTTTAGAACTTTCAAGATGAGTTACCTTCTGTGACGGTTAATTTTATATCAACTCAACTGGGCTAAGATGCCCAGATAGCTGGTAAAACATTATTGCTAAGTGTGACTGTGAGGGTGTTCCCAGAAAACATTAACATTTGAATCAGCAGACTATGTAAAGATTTGTCCTCACCAATGTGGGCAGGCATCATCTAATCCATTGAGGGACTGAATAGAACAAAAAAATGGAGGAAGGGCAAATTCACCCTCTCTGCTTGAGCTGTGGACATCCATCTTCTCCTGCTCTCAGACATTGAGGCTATTGGTTCTTGGGCCTTCAGACTCCAGGGCTTACACCAACACCATCCCCTCACCCCCTACCCCATTTTTCAAGCCTTTGGCCTAGGACTGATAGTTGTACCATCAACTCCCCTGGTTCTCAGGCCTTCAGACTCAAACTGAATTATATTATCAGCTTCAGCTTTTCTAGTTCTCCAGCTTGCAGAAAGAAGATGTTGGGGACTTCTTGGCTTCCATAATGGTGTGAGCAAATTCCCATAATAAATCCCCTCTTATATCCATATACCCTATTGGCTCTGTGTCTCTGGAGAACACTGACTAATACACTTTCAGGGCATTTCAAAGGCATCAAGCTCTCCCAGAAAACATGAGATTGACTTCCTAAATGGAAGTCAGTGGTGGCTCACACCTGTAATCCCAGCAGTTTGGGAGGCCAAGGCAGGTGGATCACTTGAGGCCAGGAGTTCGAGACCAGTCTGGCCAACATGGCAAAACCCCATCTCTACTAAAAATACAAAACTACAAAAATTAGCCAGGCATGGTGGCACGCACATATAATCCCAGCTACTTCGGAGGCTGAGGCTGGAGAATCGCTGGAACCTGGGAGGCAGAGGTTGCAGTGAGCCGAGATCATGCCACTACACTCCAGCCTGGGTGATAGAGTGAGACTCTGTCTCAAAAAAAAAAAAAAAAAAGTTTACTGAGATGATTAAAACAAAAAATTCCAAGGCTTAAGTACATGTAGGAAACATGGAGAGCACAAAAGAGGGAAAGATAAATTCTCCATGGGGAAGTAGGTTTGCCTGCCAGTGTTGGGGAAGCTTAACATGGAAAGTGAAACATGTGAGGCAAAGTGCAAAAGCATGGGAGTAAAAAAAAATAAAATAAAAAAAATAAAGTATCTGACATCATGGAAGTGCAAATAGCTCTATGCAAAAGGACAGGAGTCTATGTCTCATGTTAGGGAAGCAAAATAAGTTTAAAAATCTAAGGACAGACTGGGTGCAGTAGCTCAGGCCTGTAATCCCAGCACTTTGGGAGGCCAAGGCGGTTGGATAACCTGAGGTCAGGAGATACAGATCAGCCTGGCCAACATGGCGAAACCCCATCTCTACCAAAAATACAAAAATTAGCCAGGCGTGTTAGCAAACACCTGTAATCCCAATTACTCGGGAGGCTGAGGCACGAGAATCAGGAGGTTAGAAACCCGGGAGGTGGAGTTTGCAGTGAGCCCAGATCATGCCACTGCACTCCAGCCTGGGAGACAGAGTGAGGCAAAAGTAATAATAAATAAATAAATTAATTAATTAATTAATAAAAACTAAGGACAAATGCTGGACTACAATCATGGGAAAAGCATGGATTTTTTACTTGAACTAATGGATCACCACTAAGGGATTCTATATACAGGAAATAAATATAAACTAACTTTTGTATCTTGAAAGAATAAATTCCACGTTACCGTTGTATTTTGTACTTCAGGATAACATGTTAAAAATAGAGACTTTTTTTTTTTTTTGAGGAACCGACCACGAGCAGGGCCATCACACAGAGTTTTAAGTCCAGACTGAAAACACATATTGTATGATCCAATATTCCTTTAATTTTGAACTATTTAAGGCATAAGAAGTGTCAAAAGGCTCCAGAGGAATATAAAAATGTAGGATAGTTTGTACCTAGATGAAACAAGATAATTAGAGAGGTGTGCACATGAAGAACCCGATGGGCTGAGTTCTGCACTGGCCCTGTGCCTTTGACTTATTTGGAAGACAGCTCTAAATCAGTGGTTCTCAACATTGAGCGTGTATCAGAATCACCCAGAGGGCTTGTCAGCACACAGACTGCTGAGCCTCACACCCAAAAGTTAGATATTCCGTAGGTCTGGCATAGGGTCCAAGAATTTGCATCTCTAACAATATCTCAGGTGCTGTTGGTGGTGGTCCAGGGAACACACTGGAAGAACCACTGCTCCAGAAGATGGCCATGGCAAACTCTATTGCGCATTTATCATTAGGTTGACCACCTGTCCAGTTTACACCTGCTGTTCCAGCATGATTATTAATGATACCTCTTTCACTTTCCAAAGTTTCTGAATTTGGATGATAAAGTATAAGGTCACCTCACCTATAATCCATAATGAGATCAAAAAGGGGTTTTGGAGCCGAGCACAGTGGCTCATGCCTGTAATCCCAGCACTTTGGGAGGCCAAGGCCAGTGGATCACTTGAGGTCAGAAGTTCGAGACCAGCCTGGCCAACATGGTGAAACCCTGTCTCTACAAAAAAATACAAAAATTAGCTGGGTGTGGTGGTGCATGCCTGTAATCCCAGCTACTTGGGAGGCTGAGGCTGGAGAATCCCTTGAGCCCAGGAGGCAGAGTTTGCAGTGAGCTGAGATGGTGCCACTGCACTGCAGCCTGGGTGATAGAGCGAGACTCTGTCTCTAATAAATAAATAAATAATACAAAAATTAGCCAGGCATGGTGGCACGTGCCTGTAATCCCGGCTAGTCAGGAGGCTGAGGCTGGAGAATCGCTTGAGCCTGGGAGGCGGAGTTTGCAGTGAGCCGAGATCGAGCCACTGCACTCCAGCCTGGACAACAGAGCAGGACTCTGTCTCAAAAATAAGGGGGGCGGGAGATGGTTTACATTCAATTATCAGGAAATCTTTACCCTGGAAAATGTTTTCTTCACCCTTGTAGTCATTTTTCTCCCTGAGGCCAAGGTAAATCCTACAAATAACTGCATTTTCTTTCCAGCTATGTCTGATAGGAAGCTCAGAAGGAAACTGGCAGTTTAATTTTACTCTGCAGAACCCTAGGGCCCAAATGCCTACAGCCCAAATCAATTCTGGTCCTGACTTCATCCATTCTTTCTATATTTTCTCTGATCTAATTTTTATGGAGCTATACTTGTACATTTTACTACAGGGATTCTTAAAAGCTCACAAAAGCTGCTGAACTGCAACGGGTGCAACAAATACATGAATTAACGATAACTCATGAGAAACGTGGTTATTTCCTGACTTTCTTGGGTAGGGACATAGGTCTGTGAAGTCAAGGTTGTGTTGCTCAGATTAAGCAGGCTGGAAATCTCCACACTTCCGCTGGACAAGAGGCTGCACCCCATGGAAAGCCAGAGAACTCCATGCCTCTGTGATCACAAGCTGCATATGTGTGACTGATTTGATCATGTGGCATTTGGAAAAAGGCAGATTTCTCATTGGGACTAAGTGTGCAATTGTCCCCTCCCAATTCATTTATTATTATTATTATTATTATTATTATTATTATTATTATTATTATTATGTGAGACACAGTTTCGCTCTGTCGCCCAGGCTGGAGTGCAGTGGCGCAGCTTACTGCAACCTCCACCTCCCGGGTTCCAGCAATTCTCATGCCTCAGCCTCTGGAGTAGCTGGGATTACAGGTGTGCGCCACCATGCCCGGCTAATTTTTGTATTTTTATTTATTTTTGAGACAGAGTCTCGTTCTGTCACACAGGCTGGCGTGCAGTGGCACGATCTCAGCTCACTGCAACCTCCGCCTCCCTGGTGCCAGTGATTCTAGTGTCTCAGCCTCCGAAGTAGCTGGGATTATAGGCGCGTGCCACCATGCCTGGCTAATTTTTGTATTTTTATTTATTTATTGAGACAAGAGTCTTGCTCTGTCGCCCAGGCTGGAGTGCAGTGGCGCGATCTGGGCTCACTGCAACCTCTGCCTCCCGGGGTCCAGAGATTCTCCAGCCTCAGCCTCTCAAGTAGCTGGGATTATAGGTGTGTGCCGCCAAGCCCAGCTAATTTTTGCATTTTTAGTAGAGACATGGTTTCACCATGTTGACCAGGCTGGTCTGCAACTCCTGACCTCAACTGATCCACCCACCTCTGCCTCTCAAAGTGCTGAGGTTACAGGCATGAGCACAGCGCCCAGCCCATTTATTATTAACACCTGTCCTTACACCCTGACCCAAGAGTACAATTTCTAAAACTATATCTGTAGAAAATAATCATGTATGTGCACAAAGATTTAAATGTAGGAATTTTACCACGGCGATGTTCATAACAGTTAAAACCAAAACCAACTTTCATAAATATTTATTAACAGCATATTGGTTATATAAATTATGATATATTCAAAGATACGCTATTTGCAGCTGTTAAAATTGTTTAGAAAAATATATGCTGCCATGGAAAAATATTTAAGTTAAAATACAACGTAAAAAAACAAGGTAACCAAACAACATGATTCCAGTTTTCATTTAAACTAAAAGTGCACATATGAATATACTGATCACTTGCAAACATAAGCACCAAAGCACATGCCCAGAAAAAAGTATATGGAAGCAAATAAATCAAATTGTTGATAGAATTTATATTTAGGAGATGGCAGAGTTAGAGGTCATTTTTACTTTCTTCTTTGTATTTATTCATAATGCATAACTTAATATTAGGAATATAATTATTTATATAATAAACAAAACTAAAACAACAGAGTTTCAGAATATATACGGGCTTATTGACTGCATGATCCTGAGCCCCTGAGAGGATGAACCCTTCCAGAGCCGACAGCATCCACAGGCAAGTCTGAAAGGAGGGAGCTGTCAGCCAGAGCCTGGCTCACTCATCGTCCTCCTCAGTTTACAGAATCTCAACGGGAACTCTGAGTGGGAAAGTTGATCTCAGCTGTGGTGGGTGAAGGTAGAAGACACAGTCAGGAGACCTGGCTCCAGTCTAGTGCTGTCACTGCCAACCTGAGAGGCCTGGGCGAGTCACTTGCCTTCTGGGGCCATTTTATTTATCTTTGAAGGGAGGAGAGAGAGCCGGAAGGACCCCGGAGACTGTGGTGGCCCTACTACCCTGCCAGTCTCTAAGTTCCAAAGAAAAAAGGGTTTTTCTATACCTAAATTAAGATAGAGGAGAAATCGGCACATCCCCAGAGGAGGGGGGAAAGGGAGTGCTGGTGAGAATCAGCTGACATCTGTAAAGAATCAATGGAGAGGGAAGGATCCGTGCTGGGGTGGGGGATAGCATCTCCCTGGCTATGGCTGGTGGCTGCTCCCACTCGGATCTCCCCCTAGACACCCTGCAGGGAGCTGCCTCCCCCTCTCCCCTAGGCCATGGGGATGAACCCTCCACATCCCCCCATCTCTTCCATCTCAACTCCACAGAAGATTCTGATGTACAGTAAAAGGTGATGACTAAATCACTGATCCTCCCCTGCAAAGCTGCTAAAAATAATTAATCACCACAGGAACCCTTGCAATGACCAAATTTGATTACAGCCTTTTTAAAAATCTCTCTCTGTTTTGCAGATAAAGGTTACAGTCTTATAGTCCAAAGATGAGGAGAAATTCTTAAACACTTCCATGCAGAAACAAGTTTTATACAAGGGAGAGGAATAAGACCAGCAGCAGATATCTCATTGACAAAAATTGAATTCAGATGTCATTTAACATCTACAGACCATGTATTAGTTATCTATTGCTGTATTATAAATTACCACAAACTTGATGGGCTTAAAAACACACACATCTCATGGTTTCTGTAGGTTAGGAATCTTGGTATGGCTTAGCTGGGTCCTCTGTTTCAGAGTCTCTCATAGGGCTACAATCAAGGTGTCATCCAGGGGTTGTGGCTTCATCTGAAGGCTGAACTGGGGAAAGACTTACTTCCAAACTCACTTATGTGGTTGTTCCAGGATTCTATCCCTTTGGGGATGTTGGGATGTACTGAAAGTCTCAGTTTCTGATAGTTGGAGGCTATCCTTGCTACATGGGCCTTCCCAACATGTTGCCAAAACCAACAAGGGAAAGAGCCTGTCACCAAGACAGAAGCTATGATCTCTTGTCATCTAACCACAAAGGTGGCATCCTCTCAATGTTAAGGTATTGTATTGGTTAGAAGCAAGTTACTCAAATGGAGGGAATTACACAGGGTGATGAATTCCAGGAGGCAGGGATCACTGAGGGTTATCTTAGAAGCTACTTCCCATAGACCAATCTTGTCCAATCTGCGGCCCATGGGCCACATGTAGCCCAGGACATCTTTGAATGCAGCCCAACACAAATTGGTAAACTTTCTTAAAATATTTTGAGATTTGTTTTGCTATTTTTTTTTTAGCTCATCAGCTATTGTTAGTATTATTATATTGTATGTGTGGTCCAAGACAATTCTTCTTCTTCCAGTGTGACCCGTGGAAGCCAAAAGACTGGACACGCCTACCATAGGCCACGGAGAGATAAGAATTCCAATCCTGTACCCCATCCCAAGAAACCATTCCTTGGTCAGGGCAAAAGAATGACAGTTTCAGACATGAAATAATTTGAAGAGTGTTTCACTGATTTATTCTGCTTAAAGAAAACACTTAGGGATGTATTCTAAATAAATGAATATGAAATCATAAGAGAGATCGCAAAATAAGAGAGCAAAACAATGGTTCACAATTACTGTTGAGGTAAAATACACACCCCTGAGCACACACTCATACAGTTAAAAGTTAAATTATAATACATGAAGTCACTGGGGATTTTGAATAAAAATGTTAAGTGAGATTTCTTGAAGCAGGATTAACTCAACCTGTAAGAAAAATATAGTCTTTAAATACACAGCTTAAATTTTTCTAGAAAAATAAGAAAGTAATACTATTCATCTTTTTCTATAAAATAAGGTCCGGTTATGTTCGGATAAAATAGTAAAGGAAATAAATCATGCCTGTTGGAAATGGGAAAAGTATATAATGGGACAATTAATAAAAGTAAAACTTTCCAAACTAATGAGGAAAACAGTAGGGACAAAAATGAACAGAAACTGGCCGGGCACAGTGACTCACACCTGTAATCCCAGCACTTTGGAAGGCTGAGGCGGGCAGATCACTAGAGGTCAGGAGTTTGAGACCAGCCTGGCCAATTTGGCGAAACCACATCTCTACTAAAAATACAAAAACTAGCCAGGTGTGGTGGCACATGCCTGTAATCCCAGCTACTTAGGAGGCTGAGGCAGGAGAATTGCTTGAACCTGGGAGGCAGAGGTTGCAGTGAGCCAAGATCAGGTCACTGCACTCCAGCCTGTGTGACAGAGCGGGACTCCATTTCAAAAGAAAAAAAAAAAAGAAAATACGTGACATGGTGTGAAATGGTCTAAGATATATACTTTAGGATTCATCTCTCCCCAAAAAACACAAAACCACAGAAGAAATTTGTTTTAAAAGGTAGATTTATTCTACCTTTTGATAATATAACAGCTGAAGTAGACAGAAAGACAAAAAATAAATAATCCAACTAGATTGAAAAGTCCCCACCAAGTCCTAATATCTAACAGAGAATATAGTTTCTTCTCTTATATCCATGAAAGTTTTACAAAATTATGTCACATACCTAGGCCACAGAGAAAATATTGAATAACATTTACAAATTCATATTCTGCAGGCTACATTCTCTGACCATAATAAAAAAACATAATTACATAAAAATAAAAAAAAGACCACTAAACTATCTTAACCAGTAAGAACCTAAGAAGCTTTCTTCAATACCTAGGATCAAAATGAGAAGTCAATTTTGTAGTTTCACCTTCCATACCAGAGTGTTGGAAACGTAGCTACATGTAGAGGAAAGTGTATAATCTCAAATACTTTACTATCAAAAAAAAAAACAAAAAACTGGAAGCCCCAAAATGGTCGAGTTGGGAACATGACTTAGGAAATTAGAAAAAGAACAGCAAAATTAAACAAAAAAATGTAAAATAAAAATACAGAACAAAAAGTCAAGAAGTGATAAATAATACAAATAGAAGTTTATATAAATAAAATAAATATAAAATTAGGACCTATAAATAAATAAAAAGCTGATCTGGGAAATCTGATCAAATTGAAAAAAAAGAAAGAAACACAATATTAGTAATGAGAAAGGAGATATTGTACCAGACAAGTAGTAATGTAAAGTAGTTGTACTGGAATATGAGGTATAAAGTCTAGAGCAACACACTTAAACATTTAGAACTATATGAGTTCCTGGGAGGAGAGTAATTATAAAAGCAGATTAAAAAAAAATCATAAGGGCTGGGTGTGGTGGCTCACGCCTGTCATCCCAGCACTTTGGGAGGCCGAGGCAGGCGGATCACCTGAGGTCAGGAGTTCGAGACCAGCCTGGCCAACATGGTAAAACCCCATCTCTACTAAAAATACAAAAAAATGCCAGGTGCGCATCTGTAATCCCAGCTACTCAGGAGGCTGAGGCAGGAGAATCACTTGAACCCTGGAGGCAGAGGTTGCAGTGAGCCAAGATCGGGCCACCACACTCCAGCCTGGGCAACAGGGCGAGACTCCGTCTTAAAAACAACAACAACAAAAAAAAATCATAAGGAATCAGTGAGCATAGGAAAAAAAATAGGAAAGGTCGTTCAGGTCTGTCATTGGAGACATACCAGCACCCACAAGCAACACTACTGGACGCACCTCCAATGGCACAGAAGGCCTGGCTAGGGGCTGGCAAAGGCAGATGTGGCAGAAGTCACCTTCTGGCAAACCTACAGGTGTGAAATAGGTGTGACAGGACAGGCTGGAAAGGACAGGGCACACTCAGAGCAGGGTGGTGGGGGGAGGGGGCCCAGAAGTGAAAGGCAGGACAGACTAGGGTTGGACTGAGATGGGCCAAGGCTGACAGGGCAAGGACCTCGTGGGATGGTCAGGAATGGGACAAGATGGGTGCGTGTGGGGGCATGATGGTCATGACAGGCGAGGCCTGTCACCCACCGACTATTGGAGGTTTGGAATTGGGTTTGCAGCCAGAGAGACAGGTTTAGGGAACATCATGAGATATCAAAATCCTTGTTCTTCCAAAGTCGGTGAAGAAAACTCTAGACAGTGGATGTAACGGCAGGGCAGATCCCTTGGCCTCACCCAGGTTCAGGGAAGAAAGGGAAAGGGATGGAGGAATGGATGGGAATGGGGAATTTTAAACAATCCCCCTGACCACCACCAAGGAGTGGTAGACAGAGAGACAAGAGACCAAGTGGTGGACAGAGAAGCACAGAGAGAAACTCCAAGATGCCCTAAGAAAAAGGTGCATGGAGGCCGGGCGCGGTGGCTCACGCCTGTAATCCCAGCACTTTGCGAGGCCGAGGCGGGCGGATCACGAGGTCAGGAGATCGAGACCATCCTGGCTAACACGGTGAAACTCCGTCACTACTAAAAATACAAAAAATTAGCCAGGCGTGGTGGTGAGCGCCTATAGTCCCAGCTATTCGGGAGGCTGAGGCAGGAGAATGGCGTGAACCCAGGAGGCGGAGCTTGCAGTGAGCCGAGATCGCACCACTGCACTCCAGCCTGGGCGACAGAGCAAGACTCCGTCTCAAAAAAAAAAAAAAAAAAAAAAGAAAGAAAAAGATGGATGGAGCAACAGATGTGGGAGGAGAGATTCATGAGGTGTCACCTTTACACAGAGTGTGGAATACGGGACCTAGGTCCAGCAAGGCTTAAATGTCCACCCTGGAGCACAGGTCACTGGTGAACGGGTCGTGCTGGATCGTCCCGTGCAGCATCAGAGCCAGCAGCCCCACCCGGTTCATCATAGACGTGCGCACCTTCTGCTCCTGCTCAAACAGCTGTTCCAGCTTGTGCAACTGTGGGACCTGAATATGCGAGAGGGAGTCCAGGATCCTACCCCATCCCTCAGCCCCCTCGGCATGGCACCTAACAGCCTGCATGCACTCCAGGTCCACGGCACGCCTCAGCTTCTCCCAGCTGTAGTGGTGGTTGCACAGGCATTTGGGGAGGCAACAAAAATTACCCGTGAACTCAAAGACATTGTGCACGAGCGGACAACCACCCACCTCATCCTTTGACATCTATGGTGAAGAACAAAGGAGGATGAGTTATGAAGGAGCGAAGCCCTGGGGAATGATCAGGCACAGGGGAACAATAGGGAGATGGAGGACAGAGAGGAGAGGGATGGGGAGTGATCAGGCAGGAGGAAGAGAGGAATTCAGAGAAGAGAGGACAAATAGCGGGTGATCAGGCATAGAGGATAGAGGAATGAGGTAGACTAAGCAGGGATGGAAGAATGCAGGTGATCAGGCAGAAAGAACAGAAGCACAGAAAGAGATCCAACAGAAGGAGGGATGGCTGGAGGGCAGGTGGGCCAGGGAGAGCTGGAGAGCTGGAAGGCTGGAAAGCAGTCCGGCAGAGGAGGGGAGGGTTGAGGGTGGTCCAAGGAGGAGAAGTAGATGAGTGGGGCTTGTTGAGGCAGAGGGGAGGTGAGGGCTGAGGTGAAGGAGAGGAGGGTGGAGGGAGAGAATGGGGAGCAGTCAAACAGGGAGGAAGAAAGGATGTAGATGACAGGCAGAAAATAGAATCGGGGACAGTCAGGCAGAGAGAATGATCAGAATGGAGGAAAGTCAGAAAGTGAGGAAGAGAAGTTGAGGGCGCCACACAAGGAGGAGGGAAGAGGGAGTTGGCCAGGCAGGGGGTGGGGCAGGAAGGGAGGATGGTTGAGCAAGAAGAGGAGCAGAATTAGGGGGTGCTTATGCAGTGAGGAGGGGCAGGACCACCCAGAAGGTGGTCGGGCAAGGAGGTCATGAACACAGACAGCCAGGTAGAGAGAAAAGGAAGAAGAGAGGGTGAGAGGCAGCAATGAGCATGGAATGTGGGGTGGTCGGGAAGGGAAGGAGGACACACAGGAGTTGCTGAGGAGATGAGGAGGGCAGTCAGGCAGGGAGGATTGGAGGAATGGAGGGTGATGAGGTAAGGAAGGGTCTCACCTTGGGGTCCCAAGAGTGCTCAGGACACAGCACCTGGAGGCGCTTACAGTACCTCTTACTTTTCAGATTGTAGACATCACAGAAGAGCCATGTGGCCCTGGATGGGGGGTGGAAAAGTGAGGTGCTAAGAGTCAGGAGGAGTGAGGTCCCACCCCAGAACCCTACCTGTACCTTGTCCCAGACCCCACCCATACCATGCCTCTAATTACACCCGCCTCTGCCTCTGAGCCCACCCACATCCTGCCCCTGACCTTGCTCAACCTTGCTTCTGACCCTGTCCACGTAATGCCTTCGACCCTTACTAGCCCCCACACTCACCTTTCAATACAAGTAGGGTACAGGGACCCAACGGGCAATTGGCACTCATACTGGAGAAGAAAGAGCACAAATGGGAGGAACTGTGGACATATGCTGCATGTCCTCCTACAATAAAGCTCCAAACACCAGGTCTGTTGTCCCCTGCAGACCCTATGCTCCCGTCTGCACAGCCAGTGTCCCCTTCATCACTGGTTAATGCCCTGACCTTGGCTTTCATACTGGGCATGGGGGAAGAGCACACACAGGGGAAGCCATGGATGTGTGTTGCATTCCTCCTATGACAAATATCCAGGCGCCAAATCTGCCCCCACCACATGGACCCCACCCATGTGCCACCCCACCCAACCAAAAACACCCTCGTCCCATCTGACTCCCAGCCAATGTTCCAACCTTGGCAAAGCAGTGCTCCATGTGGTGAAAGGTGACACGCTTAGAGATGGGCCGCCTGCAGGAGGCGCAAAAGATCTGCAGGTCTTTGCTGCCCTTTTCACCTTTGTTGCTCTGCACAGGACAATGGAGGGACCAGGGAAGCAGTACAGGATGGGGAGGACAGGACCAGAGGCCCGGTACCTTTAAGCTCTACCTCGCCAATGCCCTCTCGCCTAGTAATCCGTGCACACAGCCTGCTGTTTGCCATGCAGAATGATGGCCTCAAGTTCATGGAAATGGTGCTCCATGTCCTTCAGGCAAGTATAGGTGTTCTGTTGCTTATGGTGGATGTGCTCGAGCATTTTCTTGCCATGCTCATTGGCAATGCAGGGGCTCCTTTGCCACTGCTGGATGTGCTGGGGAAGGATGTTATTGATGTGGCTGAAAGAAGAGAGAGCAAGAAATGAAATGGGTAGATGGGGACATCAGAGGAATGAGAAAGATGAGCTACCAAATGGTGACTCTATAGGGTACTGAGTGGTGGATGAGTGCACGTTGGTGAATGGGTGGTTGAACAGTGGACGGGTGGGTGGATGGGTGGAGGGGCAGGTGGGTGAGTGGCTATAAGGGTGGATGAGCAGGTGGGTGAGTGGCTATGAGGGTGAATGAGCAGGTGGATGAGTGGCTATAAGGGTGGATGAGCATCCTGGTGGATGTAATGTGGATGGGCAGTTCAGTGAGTGGGTGACTATGACGGTGGATGGGTGGGTGGCTGAGTGGAATTACAGATGGCATAGATCACACCTTACTTTGCCTTTGTCCCTTAACCTCGAGGTGCACTCACGCACCTGCCAGCCTCATGCCACAGTCATCTGAACAGTACTTGGAGCCTGGCCAGGTGGGATACACACAGCCGGGTCCCAGGCACTGCCGTGGTGAGGCTGGGTCCTTGACATGCTCCGGATGCTTCCACTTGCCTGTGTGCTTCCTTTTCTGCGTCTGCTGCTTCTCCTTCTTCAGGACAAGAGTGGTCAGGGCAGGATCAGGAGGGTTGATATCAACCCCCAATCCTGCACCCCTGCCCTGCATTCCACCCCCGACCTGCCTTCATGCTCCCCATTCAATTCGTCACCTTCTGCTCTACCTTTTTCTTCAAACTCTTCATGTGCTTCACATTCATTGCCTGCTTCTGCCTGTGGGATCCATGAGCTAGAGCTTCTTGATGTCACTCACCCAAGGCTGCAGATCAGGAAATACTGACACACTCCACACAACTGTTTTCTCAAAGTGGTCTTTGGATACTCCCTGCCTCCTGTCACCTCACTGCTGAACCTCACTGCCCTCATTGTCCCCAACCTTCTACCCCAGGGCCCTCCCTCACACTTGCCAGGCTCTGATTGCCAAAAATCCCCTCTGCAAGTGTCCTGGTACAGGTCACAGTGCCAAGGCAGGTCCTCTTCAGACAACAGCTGAGGTGTGGCTGTTGCCCAGGTGCCTCCCTTACTGCCAGTGGCACCACTGCCATCTGGTACTTCTGGGCTAGCCCGGACTTCTGCGTTTGAGGCAGCTGTCAAGTGGCCAGTGTCCAGTGGGACCACAGCAAGGTCTCTGGGGGTGTTACAGGCAAGGTCTGAGGGGCAGACCCTCAGCATCAGCCCGACTCCCTGTCTACCCTGTGTCCTGGACTCACCAGGGGCCAGAGATTACTAGTAGGATTCCCATGCTCTTAGAAAGAGGGCTGTTGGTCAGCCCTAAGTGGGTAGGGAAAAACCACCCTTCCCCAACACTCCTGGCCTCACCCTCAGGCCAATCTAGCCTGGGGCAACTGCACCTGCTGGACACACTAGGCCCTGCCTGCCTGGGAATGACTGATACCATCTGGTCCTGCCTGCCCACCTTATCCCTTATCCAGACACACTTGGTTGGTCCACCTGGACACATCTGCCCCCAACTTGCCTACCTCCATGCATAACGGCCTGCCTATCCGCCCAGAAAATCTGGGTGCCACCCCTTCAGATTTGCTCTGCTCAGCCTGATCCACCCCTCCCTCCAAGACACACAGGCTACCCTGCTTACCCAACACGATGGACCCAGACAAGTCCACCTCTGCCTGCCCAAACACACTTGGCCCCGCCCCTCAGACAAATTCAGTCTGCCTCACTGCCTGGCCTCCTCCGCTAGTCTCCCCAGGTTCCGCCTACCCACTCCTGCGCGCCTGGGGCAAGAGTGAATGGGTGATCGAATGGTGGATGGATGGGCGGATGGATTGAGGGATGATCAAACGGTGGATGGATGGGCGGACGGGTTTAGGGACGCTCAGACTCACCTTACCCTTCGTGCCCTGTGGGCCTCCAGTGCACATGGCGTCCGGTCATACCCAGCCCCGCCCCTTGCCAGGCTCCACCCCCTTCCCAGACTCTTACAGCACCACAAGCCCCTCCGCATTCTGGGACAGAAAGGACGCGGCCTCACCTCACAGCCCGCTGAAACATGTTAAGACGCCAAGCCCTGACCCTCCTCCCTACCTGCACAGGCCACATCGGGGCCTACCGGCCCTGACCCACCCACCTAGCGAAATTTTACAGTCTTTATTCTGAAAAGTACTCCTACCTGTGCCCAATATCGCCACATAAAATGCATAAATATACAAATATACTTTTGCGGCCCAGGAGATCGAGACCAGCCTGAGGCAACATCGCGAGATCTCATCTCTAGAAAAAAATTTTAAAAAATATTAGCCAGGTGTAGTGGCGCGCGCCTATGGTCCTAGCTACTCAGAAAGCCAAGGCAGGAGGATCTCTTGAGCCCAGGAGGTAGAGGCTGCAGTGAGCCACGATCGCGCCACTGCACTCCAGGCGAGATCGCACCACCGCACTCCAGCCTGGGCGACACGGCGAGATTCCATCTCAAAATATATACGTACATATGTACATATTTCTGTGTGCATCATATATATCAACACATGCAAACAAGTCACTACTCTCGGCAATTAAGGAAACAAGAACACACACAGGACCAATACGCATCTTGAACAAAACAGTATCAGTTGGAGAACTCATACTATCTTCAAGCTAGAGATACAATATTAATAAAAATGGACCTTGAACTTAGTCTTAAAGGGACTCTAAACACATTCCGATGAATAAGCACCACACAGCACACAGATAAGGTGCATTAGAAATCAATAAAAGGCTTAGCTTTTGTTAATTGGAAACACATATAAATAACTCTTGGTAAAAAGAAATTAGAAAACACTTAACTATTATGAAAACAATAATACTCAACTTATTGTCTTAGATGGAACTTTAAGCCATCTTAAAGTTCTTTTCTCATCTTAATATGAGAAAAGAAGAAAAATGGAAACAAATTACCCATCAGAGGATCTGACTGGGAGCATTCAACTCAACTTACAGCAAGTCCCTATTGTGATTCCAAAAACCTCCATTATCAACCCCCAAATTTCCTTCAAAGATCCTACATCCACTCTCCAATCATGAAACTCAGTCTCTCATCAAAGCTCTTGCAAAATACCTCAGCATCAAGTAGGTGCTGAACCACGGAGCCTCGTGTGAGGTGCAGCCAAAAAGCTGCGAAAGAGAAGCTTCGGGAAGCACCCTTGTCCCGCCCCTTTCTAAATGTGTCCAATTCGGGCTTGCTCAACACTTGGACGGAGCTGTTGTACCACCCAAGTTCAAGAGCATAGTTACAGAGAAACAGTACAGCCATGTGTGCACAGTTCCCACATTTTGTTTTGGCTTATTTTTATTTTTTTTCTTCCAACTTTTATTTTAGGTTCAGGGGTCCATGTGCAGGTTTGTTATATGGATAAATTGAGAGTTGCTGGGGTTTGGAGTACAAAAGATTTCATCACCCAGATAGTGAATATAGTACCTGACAGGGAGTTTTTCAATCCTTACCCTCCTCCCACCCTCCACCGTCAAGTAGACCCCAATGTCTATTGTTACCCTCTTTGGGTCCTGTTGGACTCATGCATTACATTTTGTAGGTGATTGATCATTGCAGTATCATATATAACAAGAAAATTGCTCCTCTTATAATTTCCAATTATTTTGAATAATTTAATATTATCACTATTTTACTATCTATTTATATTAAAATTATTATTATTATTATTATTATTATTATTATTATTATTATTTTGAGACGGTGTCTCGCTCTGTCGCCCAGGTTGGAGTGCAGTGGCGCGATCTCGGCTCGCTGCAAGCTCCGCCTCCTGGGTTCACGCCATTCTCCTGCCTCAGCCTCCCTAGTAGCTGGGACTACAGGCGCCCGCCACCGCGCCCGGCTAATTTTTTGTATTTTTAGTAGAGACGGGGTTTCATCGTGTTAGCCAGGATGGTCTCAATCTCCTGACCTCATGATCTGCCCCCCTCGGCCTCCCAAAGTGCTGGGATTACAGGTGTGAGCCACCGAGCCCGGCCTATTACTATTATTTTTAGAGACGGAGTCTCACTCTGTCACCCAGGATGGAGTGCAGTGGTGCAATCAAAGCTCACTGCAGCCTCGAATTCCTGGGCTCAAGCGATTCTTTCACCTCAGCCTCCCAAGTAGCTGGGATTACAGACTATCTGCTATTATTTTAATTATAAGGTAGGCAATGAGAAAAAACAAACAAAAATCACATCATTTTTTTAAAGTCAGGAAACTAGGAAAAGATTTATTAAAAGTGCAGGAAAATAGCGAAATGTATGAAAGTAGGAATAAATTCACATTTGAAGTTCATCCTTTATTACATGATCAGTAACTTTTTAAAAAGTTGTTAATGGGGCGGAAGCCTGACATGCTGCGCGGCCCCTCAGTCTCCCACGGCCGCCTTCCCCAGGCATGGCTCAGGGTCTCGCCTCACTATGGCAGCGGCATGGCACAGCACACTCGACTTCATGCTCAGCGCCAAAGCTGATGGCGAGACCATTCTAAAAGGGCTCCAGTCCATTTTCCAGGAGCAGGGGATGGCAGAACCGGTGGACACCGGGCAGGACCACACCGCTGTTTAGCAACCTGCACACACACAAAAAAACGGCAGCTTTGCCAATTTGAGAATTTACTCACATAGATTGGAGTTATTGGACCTTCAGAGTTACGATGGTGATGCACAAGGCAAAGAAGAGATCGACAGTCTTTTGAACAAAGGAGAAGAAAGAATGAAAGAATTGAGTCAGGACAGTAGTTGGCAGATGAGGCAATTACCACCTATAGTTCCAGGAGGAGCCATCGACAGATACTGGCCCACCGCAGATGGACTCCTGGTTGAATACAACATAGATGAAGTGGTATATGATGAAGATTCACCTTATCAGAACATTAAAATTCTACACTCGAAGCAATTTGGAAATATTCTCATCCTTAGTGGGAATGTTAATTTGGCATAGAGTGATTTGACATATACCTGGGCCATCATGGGCAGTGGCAAAGTTTGCATCGGCAAAGATGTACTCATTCTGGGAGGCCGAGATGGGGGCATATTGTGTGAAATAGCCGAACTAAAACTAAAGATGGTCACTATGATAGAGATTGACGAAATGGTGATTGATGGATGTAGGAAATATATGTGAAAAACTTGTGGTGATGTCTTAGATAATCTTAAAGGAGACTGCTATATGAGGTTCAGTACTGCATTCCAGTACTGAAAAGGTATGCCAAAGAAGGGAGATAATTTGATTATGTGATTAATGATTTGATAGCTGTTCCAATCTCCATGTCTCCAGAAGATTCCACATGGGAGTTTCTCAGACTGATTCCTGACCTCTCAATGAAAGTATTGAAACAAGATGTGAAATATTTTACACAAGGGGAACTCTGTCAATCTGACGGAAGCCCTGTCTCTCTATGAAGAACAGCTGGGGTGCCTGTATTGTCCTTTGGAATTCTCAAAGGAAATAGTCCGTGTCTCTTCATACTTGGAATTGTGGGTATTTTACACCATTTGGAAGAAAGCTAAACCTCGAAGACAAATATCCTCTAATCCTGTGTGCTGCAAATAGCCTTCCTGACCTCCATATGCTATACATGACATCAAAATGAGTCACGCAATTAATTGTGACTTCCTTAGAGTTTTCCTTTTTCAATTATTATTTTTAATTTTAAAACAGCAAATGGAAAATGTATATTTTGATGAGTATAGGGTTTTTTTTTTGAAAGTCAGTTGAAGGATGGTTAGACAGCACAGCTAAGACTGCTAAATGCACTAACCCCCTGGAATGTGATTTGTGTTCCTTTTTATTTCTCTGTGGACTTTTTTTGTTTTCATTTTGGTACACCTTCAATTTGGATGTTTGAAGGAATGAACATCATTGTTTTGTTTCAGAAGGAAGTTCTTGATGATGTTTCCTTCCCCCAAAATTGACTTACATATTAAAGTTTGGTGCTTATCATCACGATAAATAGCTAATGCTCGTGAGGCTTAATACCTAGGTGATGGGTTGATAGGTGCAGCAAACCACCATGGCACACGTTTACCTATGTAACAAACCTGCACATCCTTCGTGTGTATCCTGGAACTTAAAATAAGATAAAATAAAAAAATTTTAAAGCATTTTTTTAAAACAAATAATAAGAGCCAAGCGTGGTGGCTCACCCCTGTAATCCCAGCACTTTGGGAGGCCGAGGTGGGTGGATCACCTGAGGTCAGGAGTTTCAGACCAGCTTAGCCAACATGGTGAAACTCCATCTCTACTAAAAATACAAAAAAAAAAAAAAAAAATTAGCCGGGTGTGGTGGTGGGCGCCTGTAATCCCAGCTACTCGGGGTGGGAAACTGAGCCAGGAGAATCGCTTGAACCTGGGAGGCAGAGGTTGCAGTGAGTTGAGAACACACCATTGCACTCCAGCCTGGGTGGCAGAGGGAGACTCCGCCTCAAAAAATAAAAAATAAAAATAAATAAATAAATAAAATTTGGTGCTTATAAGAGAGAGTTAAAAAAAATGAATAGCAATTGCTTTAATTCAAATTACAAAAGAGACCCCAAAAAAAGTTGTTAATGGAGTAAATGCTCCAGTTAATGGTTGTCATTTTGTGTAAAAATTGACAAATCCAGTCATATACTGTTTATGCCAAACCTAGCAAATCATAAGAATACAGAAAAGTTTGAAATAAAGGGATGGAAGAAAATTTGCCAGGCCCATGCTAATCAAAATAAAGCAAGGTCAGTGATATTACTAGCAAACTGAAAAGACTAAGACAAAAAGTATTCATTGGAATTGAGAGGGCCCTTCCATAATGATTCAATTCACAATGAATGTAAAAATTCTAATCTTATATACACTTAAGAAAATGATGTAAAATAAACACAAAGAAAATATATTAGAACAAATGGTAAAATAGCAAAAATATATTATCATTGTGGAAGATTATAACCATACTGCTCCACTAATTCCCACTGACCCTTCAAGCCGCTGCCTTGGCATCTCTGTCTGGGAAGCTCTCTTTTCTTCTTTGCCATCTGGGTGTCTGGCCTCTCTTCTGAATGAACTTGTGGATTAATTATAATATAGCAAGGGCTGTTCATTTTATTTTAATCTTGAAATTAGGAAGAAAATATGGGTGTTGCCTGAACCTCTTACAACTGTCTTGTGTCTGTCTTCCCCACTAGAAATGAGGGAAGGGACAATGTCGGTCTTCATCACTGTCAGATGCCTAGTGCCCAGTTTACTGCCTGGCACAAGGGAGGTGTCCAGTAGCAATTGGTGATTAAAGAAATATATCAGGGACTCTAACCTTCTGGTGTTTTTGCAAAATGGCAAATTACTGTAATCTATGTGGCTCCATATTATTTCCTAGAGATAAAAGCAAATAAATGCTATAATTTACACTAAAGTTACATTTAACTAACCATGGACAAAGTGAACATTCAAAAAATGTTAAGATCTTTGTTAAGAAGCTATTTTCCCTCATTCAAGCCTGGTGTCTAATGACAGCGTCCCCAGCTAAATCTAAATCTTCACAGCTTGTGTCAAACTCAGTTTAGGGATTGGAGCATGAAGTGAGAAATCCAAGCTGAACTCAGAAGTACACTGTGAGCTCTATGTAAGAATTAAAGAAAGAGGAAAGAAACATGAAAAGCGGCTCAGCAGTTAAAGACAGGTTTACTTTGGAAAATAAACCTGAGAGGGGCTTCTGGCTGAGTTAGGACAGAGGTACTCTCTCTTACAGACTGAGAGTTTTTTTAATTTATTTTTTATTTTTTCATTTTGTTTTATTTTTATTCAGGAACTAAGACTACAAGGCCGTACATAGGACAATTTTCTTTCAATGTTTATGATAAAAAGTCTACATGCTTACAAAGAAGGGTTCATCATGGCCTTTACAAAAAACAAATAGAAAAGAATTGCTTTTTTTTTATTTTACTTTAAGTTCTGGGGTACATGTGCAGAACGTGCAGGTTTTTTACATAGGTATACATGTGCCATGGTGGTTTACTGCACCTATCAACCCATCATCTAGGCTTTAAGCCCTGCAGGCATTAGGTATTTGTCCTAATGCTCTCCCTCCCCTTACCCCCCACCCCCTGATAGGCCCCAGTGTGTGATGTTCCCCTCCCTGTGTCCATGTGTTCTTGTTGTTCACCTCCCACTTATAGTGAGACCATGCAGTGTTTGGTTTTCTGTTCTTGTTTTAGTTTGCTGAGAATTATGGTTCCAGCTTCATCCATGTCCCTGCAAAGGACATGAACTCATTCTTTTTTATGGCTGCATAGTATTCCATGGTGCATACATGCCACATTTTCTTTATCCAGTCTATCGTTGATGGGCATTTGGGTTGGTTCCAAGTCTTTGCTATTGTAAATAGTGCTGCAATAAACATACGTGTGCATGTGTCTTTATAGTAGAATGATTTATAATCCTTTGGATATATACCCCGTAATGGGATTGCTAGGTCAAGGGGTATTTCTGGTTCTAGACCTTGAGGAATCACCAAACTGTCTTCCACAATAGTTGAACTAATTTACACTCCCACCAACAGTGTAAAAGCATTCCTATTTCTCCATCCTCGCCAGCATCTATTGTTTCCTGACTTTTTAATGATTGCCATTCTAACTGGCATGAGGTGGTATCTCACTGTGGTTTTGATTTGCATTTCTCTAATGACCAGTGGTGATGAGCTTTTTTTCATGTTTGTTGGCCACATAAATGTCTTCTTTTGAGAAGTGTCTGTTCATATCCTTTGCCCACTTTTTGATGGGGTTGTTTGTTTTTTTCTTGTAAATTTGTTTAAGTTCCTTGTAGATTCTGGATATTAGACCTTTGTCAGACGGATAGATTGCAAAAAGTTTCTCCCATTCTGTAGGTTGCTTGTTCACCCCGATGATAGTTTTTTTTGCTGTGCAGAAGCTCTTTAGTTTAATTAGATCCCATTTGTCAATTTTAGCATTTTTTTGCAATTGCTTTTGGTGTTTTGGTCATGAAGTCTTTGCCCATGCCTATGTCCTGAATGGTATTGCCTAGGTTTTCTTCTAGGGTTTTTATGGTTTTAAGTCTTACATTTAAGTCTTTAATCCTCCTTGAGTTAATTTTTATATAAGGTGTAAGGAAGGAGTCCAGTTTCTGTTTTCTGCATATGGCTAGCCAGTTTTTCCAGCACCATTTATTAAATGGGGAATCCTTTCCCCATTGCTTGTTTTTGCCAGGTTTGTCAAAGATCAGATGGTTGTAGATGTGTGGTGTCATTTCTGAGGCCTCTGTCTTGTTCCATTTGTCTATATATCTGTTTTGATGCCAGTACCATCCTGTTTTGGTTACTGTAAGCTTGTAGTATAGTTTGAAGTCAAGGAGTGTAATGCCTCCAGCTTTGCTCTTTTTGCTTAGGATAGTCTTGGCTATACTGGCTCTTTTTTGGTTCCATATGAAATTTAAACTAGTTTTTTCTAGTTCTGTGAAGAACATCAATGGTAATTTGATGGGAATAGCATTGGATCTATAAATTACTTTGGGCAGTATGGCCATTTTCATGATATTGATTCTTCCTATCCACGAGCATGGAATTTTTTTCCATTTGTTTGTGTCCTCTCTTACTTTCTTGAGCAGTGGTTTGTAGTTCTCCTTGAAGAGGTCCTTCACGTCCCTTGTAAGTTGTGTTCCTAGGTATTATATTCTCTTTGTGGCAATTGTGAATGGGGTTCACTCATGGTTTGGCTCTCTGCTTGTCTATTGTTGGTGTATAGGAATGCTTGTGATTTTTGCACATTGATTTTGTATCCTGAGACTTTGCTGAAGTTGCTTATCAGCTTAAGGAGTTTTTAAGCTGAGATGATGGGGTTTTCTAAATATACAATCGTGTCATCTGCAAACAGAGACAATCTGACTTATTTTCATCCTATTTGAATACCCTTTATTTCCTTCTCTTGCCTAATTGCCCTGGCCAGAGCTTCCAATACTATGTCGAATAGGAGCAGTGAGAGAGGGCGTCCTTGTCTTGTGCCAGTTTCCAAAGGGAATGCTTCCAGCTTTTGCCCATTCAGTATGATATTGGCTATGGATTTGTCATAAATAGCTCATTATTTTGAGATATGTTCCATCAATACCTAGTTTATTGAGAGTTTTTGGCATGGAGGAGTGTTGAATTCTATCAAAGGCCTTTTCTGCATCTATTGAGATAATCATGTGGTTTTTGTCATTGGTTCAGTTTATGTGATGGATTACGTTTATTGATTTGCGTATGTTGAACCAGATTTGCATCCCAGGGATGAAGCTGACTTGATCATGGTGGATAAGCTTTTTGATGTGCTGCTGGATTTGGTTTGCCAGTATTTTATTGAGGATTTTTGCATTGATGTTCATCAGGGATACTGGCCTGAAATTTTCTCTTTTTGCTGTTGTCAGACGAAGAGTTTTTAAGGATTCAGGGTGGGAGAGTTTATCAGAGGCTTGGATTGTCTGTGTCTCTTTGCTGTGCTTATCTGGGAGGGAGAGTTTTGTGTCTGTTCCCATACATCTTCCTGCAGCCGCAGGCATACACCACCCCGGCCTCCCCGCCCCTGGTCTGCTTTTAGCTTCCTTATCTTAGTGCACCTGAAGGGAAAGGAATGTGCTTATTAAGGCCCACTGTTTTACTGGGGCCCATTGTATGAGGGTGAAGTTTGGCAGTTACTCAAGAGACTTCCCCCGCTCCTCCCTCTGTGCCCAAGCTGTCTTATCTGTGTTTTACTGTCTGCTCTTTCTGGCTGCTTGTTGTTAGAAGAGAAATTATTTCCTTGAAATGCACAAAGCTGGAAAGGCAGCTGGAACTTAAAATGGCAGTGTTTGTCCAATATGATGGTGCTCCTACTGTGTCACTCTAAAGAAAGTGTTACCACTCTGTGGCTGTGAAAGTTGATAAATAGTACTTGCAGTATCCAAGCTAAGGTGTACTTTAACTTTCCTTTGAATTATTTTCCTTTGCATTGTTCCAATATGAGGGATCTGTGCTACTATCACTGATCACTGCTTCTGATTACGAAGTTTCAGAAAATGAAACAGCAGCCATTGTTGTGGCCCTCTCAGATGCATCATCAATAACTTTTTGATCCTCTTCACTTCTGACTTCAAACCTACTTCTCTAATGTCTCCTGTCTCTTTACTGCTGTTTTTCTTTCACTCAGGTTTCTCATATTTTACATCATGATGAACTCCTGTCTCTGAGATGTGGATGGCTAATCCAGTTTGCCTCCAAGGTCGTCTTCCCAAAGGGCCATGGATTAAGAAATATATCACCATCAGCCAGGCGCAGTGGCTCACACCTTTAATCCCAGCACTGTGGGAGGCTGAGATGGGTGGATCGCTTGAACCCAGGAGTTCGAGACCAGCCTGGGCAACATAGTGAGTTCCCATCTCTACAAAAAATACAAAAAATTAGTGAGCATGGTGGTGCACACCTGTGGTCCCAGCTACTTGGGAGGCTGAGGCAGGAGAATGGCTTGAGCCTGAGAGACTGAGGTGGCAGTGAGCCATGACCGTGCTACTGCACTCCAGCCCAGGCAACAGAGAAAGACCCTGTTGAAAGAAAGAAAGAAAAAAAATGTCACCATCCTCCTTAGGAATCTTTCCTGGATCTCCAAGATGTTCAGGATCAGGGCTCCACTCTATAGCGTGTCTTTCCAAGTTCTCTATGACAGGGCCCCACTTGCCTGTAAAACAAGTCCGGTTCCCAGCCTCTCTAAACGTCGAGCAATCAGGGAGTATTCGCTCTCTTGTTGATCCAGCATGGGCTTCCGAGTTCAGGGTCTTTACTGAGGCTTGCCTTTCCTTTACTTTTGCTAATTCCTGCTTACCCTGCAAGACTAAGCTTTGGCATCGCCATCTGGAAAACTCTATTTCCTTTCCAACTGGGTGAACTGCCCCTCTTCTGAATGCACTTGTAAGCATAATTGTAACAGTGATGGGTATTCCTTTTATTTTCTTGGAATTATAATGGGTGGGGGAGTGTTGCCTGAACCTCTCACATCTGTGTTTGTCTATTTTTGCCTGTCAACATTCAGCTTATCTTTCAAGACTCACCTCAGATGCCTGCCCCACTGGGAAGCCTTTTTCAGACCCTTTGCTCCTCCTTCCTCAGTTTTCCCACAGCATTTCTGTCATTCTGCTCAGTGTTGCTGTGTATTTTACAGGTTTCTCTCCTCCCAGCACAGTGCTCCTACAACAGTTGCTGGTGATTACTGACTTACAGCTTTGGTCTCTTCTGACTGCCCAGATACACTAGATGTTAAGTGCTTTGTTGGCAGACTGGCATGTCCTTAGAGGCAAACACTAGATTGTCCATCCAGATTCGAGGGAACAAGAACATGAACCATTCCAGGAGCAGATACTCTGAATTTAACCTTTTTCTGCAGACTGTTTCTGTACTTGTAATTGATTTTTATAATGTCCAATGTATCAGTATTTTCTGTTATGGATCATGCTTTGGGTATCATGTCTAAAACTCTTTGCCTAACCTAAGGTCACAAAGATTTCCTCCTATGTTTTCTTCTAGAAGTTTTATAATTTTATATTTTACCAATAGGTCTATGGTCTATTTGAATTGATTTTCATGTAAAGTGTTAGGTTAAGTTGAAGTTTGCCTTGTTTTTTGTTTTGTTTTGTATATGGATAGTCCATTGTTCAAGCATCATTTATTTTTATTTTATTTTATTTTAAGTTCCGGGATACATGTGCAGGCTGTGCAGTCTTGTTACATAGGTAAATGTGTGCCATGGTAGTTTGATGCACCTATCAACCCATCACCTAGGTATTAAGCCCAGCATGCATTAGCTATTTTTCCTGATGCTCTCCCTCTCCCCGCATCCCCCAGCACAGGCCCCAGTGTATGCTCTTTCCCTCCCCGTGTCCATGTATCCTCATTGTTCAGCTCCCACTTACAAGTGAGAACATCCAGCATCCTTTATTAAAAAGACAATACTTTCTCCATTGAAATGGCTTTGTACTTCATAAAAAAAAAATTAGTTGACTAAGGCCAGGCATGGCGACTCCCACTTGTAATCTCAGTGCTTTGCAAGGCCAAGGCAGGAGGATCACTTGACACCAGCCTGGGCAGCATCATGAGACCCTGTCTCTACAAAAAATAAAAAATTAGCTGGGTGTGGTGGCATTTGCCTGTAGTCCCAGCTACTCAGGAAGCTGAGGTGGGAGGATCACTTGAGCCCAGGAGTTGCAGGCTGCAATGAGCTATAATTGAACCACTGCACTCCATCTTGGGCAACAGAGTGAAACTCTGTGAAAAACAAAAGTGTTGACTAGAGGAGGATTCTGGGAAGGTGGTGGAGTAGGAAGCACCAGGAATCCACCTCCCCACAGAAATAACAGTTACACTGACATAATCTGTCTGACATAACTATTTTGGAACTCTGGAGTCTGTCAAAGGCTTGCAATTTCCAGGGGAAGCCTAAATGGTGAGTTGCAGTTAATTTCAGTCAATTTAAGCTCTTAGCACAGTAGCAGTTCCCCATCCCTGACTTTTCAGCCCTATGGCAAACAGCCGTGCGCATGTTCCTGGAGCAGCTTGCACACAACTTGCAGGAGCAGAGTAGGCAAAAAGAACTCTATCTTCCAGTATCAGGGATCTGTGCTTGGATCACTGATCACTGCTTCTGATCACAGAATTGCAGAAAATGAATTAGCAGCCATTGTTGTTACACCTCCCACTACTGTTGAAAGCCTCACCTCCTGGAGGTTGCAGTGAGCCAAGATCATGCCACTGCACTCCAGCCTGGGTGATAGAGCAAGACTCTGTCTCAAACAAACAAACAAACAAACAAACAAACAACCTCACCTCCCATCCACCCACCCCCACTGATGTGATTTCCAGGAGATTTAAAGGGTCAGTGCCTTTCTCTCTCATTTTTCTCTTTTTCCCTTTTTTGGGAGCCAGCCATAGTACACTCAAAAGCAACCATACATATGGGGGAAATTAGAAAGTCACCACACATGCCCAGGGGAAGGGACTCAGGCTTAGTAAAGACCTGAGAAGACTGAATTTACACCTCAGGGTGATTCTCAGCACAGAGACAGCCTACAACAATTAAATAAACAAGTAAATAAATAATAGAAAGCCTTGAGGAAAGGGGAGCATCTGATATACAGAGTTATTACATTATTACATTTGAATGTCCAGTTTTCAACAAGAAATCAGAAGGCATACAAAGAAACAGGAAAGTATGGCCCATTCAAGGGAAAAAATAAACTAACAGAAACCATCCCTGAAAAAGACCTGTCAGCCATGGTCTGGGAGCAGTCATGACCATACAGGAACCCAGCAGGAGGCACACCTATCCATATTTCCAGAGGCAGAACTGCAGATGTCAGTCCCAGCGGTGGACCCTGAAGCAGCCCTGTGACTTGGTTCTAGCCTCTCTCAGCCACATTCCAGAGCCAATCCTGCCTGTTTAGTGACCTACCCAGTAACCCAGCAGGAGATGGCCCAGGGAACTGGTGGGAGTCATGTGCATTCACACACCTGGTAACAGGGCTGCTGTCTGTGTACTCAACTGCAGACCTTGAAGTGGATCCTTGTCCCAACACCAGTCCCACTGACCAAGGTCCTGGAAGCAATTCTATTGGCCCAGACACCATGCAGGATCCACACCTGCCTAGGACTCTGGTACTAGAACCACCAACTGCAGACCCCACTGCATACCCAGCTAGCAACCATGTGGCCCAGCTAAATCTCTACTTGACTGCAATCCCAGGAGCAATCCCATCAGCCCAGAGACCCTTAACTGCCTGTAGCCACAAAATTCTTTGTTTTCTTTTTTCTTTTTTAAAACTTATTAAAACTTTATTTATTTTGTAATCATTTTCTTCCTTTGAGACAAGGTCTCACTCTGTAGTCCAGGCTGGAGAGCGGTGGCATGATCACAGCTTACTACAGCCTCAACTTCCCAGGCTCAAGTGATCCTCCACCTCAGCCTCTCAAGTACCTGAGACTAGAAGCGTACCACCACATCCAGCTAATTTTCACATTTTTTATAGAGATGGGAATCTCACTATGTTGCCCAGGCTGTCCTCAAACTCCTGGGCTCAAACAATCCTCTGACCTCGGCCTCCCAAAATGCTGGGGTTACAAGCATGAGCCACTGCACCAGCCAAGGTCTTTGCTTTCTTAATCTATCTCTGAGAATGAATTTTTGAATCATGGGGGCTGCATCTTCTGCACCCACTCCAGGAACACTCCTTGCATCCCTAGTAAAGATTTCTCCTAAGCCTGGAAAGTTACCACGTGGTCCTTCCATAAAAGCCTTATTGAATTAAGTCGCAATTGGAATCTATACACCAATGAAGATCCTAATTGTCAATGACCAGAAGACAGATCCTTTGAATTAGAAAGAAAAATTTTATTTCAAATTTATTTGAAAACAATTTTAGAGAACGCTTATTCTAAACTATTTGCTTATTGTATTTATGGGAAGATCAGGCAGAACAAAAAATTCAGAAAAGTATTATTACTAGCCCTAAAAATTTCCTTAACAAAATTAAAGAACAAAAGCAGACCTAGAACAAAAGTTGAAATCTGCTCCCACTATAAATCCCCCTTCCCACTATAAATCACCCTTCTCCACTCACACCCCAACTCCATGTCCCTGACCCACCAGAGGATCTATTCACTCTCTGGGCCCCTGAATTGAACCCCCCCTCCTCAAGATCCAGCCCCATCTCCTCAGCCTCTCCCTCCTCCTCTATCTTCTCAACAAATTCTCTCTGCTCCTCCAAACCCCGGAAAAACTCCTTAGACATCCAGCTGCCTTCTTTTATCTCTCTTTCCCTGGATGATTTACAAAAACCCTCCTGATCTTAAAAGCCCAAATCAGGCCTGGTCTTAAAACCTGAAGCTTAGAGGTCATTTATGTAAGAACTGACTACCACAAAATAAATCTGGCACAGGCTCCAAGGACACCCAACAAGACTTGTTTTTCTGTGCCTTGAAACCTCTCTTATTTCCCAAGGCTTTGTAATCAGACTCCATCAGCTCCAGACCTCTCTATGCAATGCCCTCTGTAAATGTATCCTGGACTCCCTTCTCAAAGAATTCACGTCTCCTGGAGAGCAACAGATATTTTAAATTATAAAGCAATTTTGCCCCCACTTTCAGAAGGACTTACCAAGTTCAGAGAATAGTTGGAGAGATCATTGGCCATCTGTAACCCCATACGTAGAGACCTTGACTGGCTGCTAAGGGGTGTATTTCCCTCTCATGATCATACTGCAGTTATTAGACAGGCCAGACGGCCTCCTGGGGAAAACTCCCTCCACAGAGTGAACAGATGGCCGGAACCCCTTCCTGGCCCTCCTGCAAATGAGGAGATAGGCCCAACTAGTTGCTGATATTCAGGGGCCTGATAGGGACAATATTAGAGGCTCTCCTCCCAAGGTAAATTTGTCTAATGTTGAATTATGTATTCAGAACGAGGGAGAGCACCCCAAGGCTTTTGTCAAGAGACGTATACAAGGTTTTCAAAGGCATGCAGCATTACATCCTGAAGCTCCAGAGCATAGAAATATTCCAGTTTCTGCTCTGGCCGGAAATCTTCTTGATACAAAAAGGCAAATCCAAACTAGTATAGTGGTTGGGCTGGTCAGTCTGTAAGCATTATAATGGAAGCAGGCACTCAATTATTTGAAAATAGCTTGCAAGAAAATAAAGGGAAAAAAAGAACTAAAATCAAGTCATCTTGCGGCTTGAATTGTTACAGAAACAAAGGCGTGCCTCTAAGAATGACTCAAAGTTCTTTCATATCTTTGGTCAGCCACAAGATTTTTCTAGTTTGTCTTCTGAAATTTGCAGATATTGCAAAAGGCAGAGGCATTGGAAAAATTGCTGTCCTGTACAAAAAAAAAAAAAAAAAAAAAGGAAGAAACTCTCCCTAGAATCCAACACCTTTAGAAGGCTCATTATTCCCCTCCTTTGGGACAATACTACATTGATTGATGGGGTCAGCTGATCCTCAGTTGCACCTCAAAGCCCACCATTGAACTTAAAGTAGAGGATTAAGAACCGGATTTAATTGACACTGATAGGACTTCCTCTACTATTCACTCAGAAGAATTATCTCTACCTGTTACCTCTGCCTCTATTCAAGCTATTGAAAACTCTGGGCAACCTATTTCATCGCCCATATCTCAGGACACCCCAACATCCTTTGCCCTCTTAACACCTGCCATGCCTTTCTAGTTTCTGACTCCTCACTTAGCAAACCTTTTAGGTAGGGATTTATTATGTAGGTTTAATGCTGCCATACAATGTAATAAGGAAGGCGTTTTTATGTCTCTGCCTTCAGCCCAAACTTCAAACTTTCTATTAACCTTAGTATTAAAGTTAACACGCTCTCTCATGGAAACCCCCCTTGATTTAAATTCCTCTAAAGAGGATGCAATCTTAAAAGATGTCCCAGCTTGTCTCTGGGCTTAATGTGCAAGTGAGATTGGACTACTACTGAGTACAGAACCGGTACACATTGCATGAAAAAGGAACAAACATTTCCCATCAGTAGTAGCTCAGTACCCCTTCTCACAAGATGCAGAGAGAGGAATTGAACCTATCATAGACTCCCTTTTGCAGCAAGGTGTACTCATTTTCACCACTTCACCCTGTAACACCCCAATCTTACCAGTACAGAAAGAAAGAAAATTTGCTTCCAATGGAAATCAAATCTATTTGTACAAGATTTGTAAGTTGTACAAGATTTGTAATTCCCTGCCACCCTGTTATCCCCAATGCAGCTACTATCCCTACCTCAATTCCTGGTGATGTAGTTGACCTCTGCTCAGCTTTCTTTTCCTTTCCGTTGTACCCTGACTCAGTTTCTCTTTGCATTTACATTTAGAGGGAGGCAATTAACATGGACTCGCATGCTTCAGGGATATTGTAAGTCACTCTCAAAATTCTCTCTAATCCTTAAAGCCTACTTGAATTCTGTAGCCTTCACCCAAGACTCCATTCTTGTGCAATATATTGATGACCTTGCCCTTTTGCTTTGTAACCAAACTAAATAGGATACCCTTAAAGACGCTCCCTCACTCTCCTAAAGGCACTAGCTGACTGAAGCCATAAAGCCTCTAGATCTAAACTTCAGTTAGTGCAAACAACTGTTACTTACTTAGAACATGAAATACCTCAGGGCACTCAGAAGTTCACCCCAAAATGCCTCGAGTCAGTTTTATCCATTCCTCTCCCTAAAATGAAAAAGCAGCTGTGTAAATTTCTAGGGGCAGCTGGCTATTGACCACCATGGAGTCCTAATTTTGTGGCTATTGCCAACCCACTATATGCCCTCCTTCCAGATACCACTCCAGAGACCATTCTCTGGCCTTCAGAGGCATTAACTTCTTTTGAAGCCTCAAAATTAGCATTGCCCTACCCCCTGCTCTTGGCTTACCTAATTTTGATAAACGTTTTCACCTCTATTGTCATGAAAATAGTGAGATTGCTGCAGGTATTCTAGGGCAACCCTTTGCCTCTCAGATACAACCTGTAGCATATTTCTCATGCCAATGGAATACTGTGGCAGCAGACACGCCCCCATGCCTGCATGCAGTAGCATCAGCTGCCGCCCTAATTACTGTATTACCTAATGTATGGGTGCCAGCACCCATACATTAGGTTCCCCCATCCACCTCAATGTTTCCCATGCTGTGTCCGCTCTCTTTCAAGTTCTTAAGATGCAGCACCTCTCTACACATGGACAGAGCACCTAGGAGCAAGCCCTGTGAACCAATCCCTCCATCATCTTACGCCTTTGTGACACTAAATCCTGCTACACTCCTACCCCTCCCTGATGATGAAGAGCCTCATTCCATTCCACTTGATTGCCTAGCAGCTATAGAAATGAGTTCAAAGCCATGAAGGGATCTCTCAGACTCTCCTTTAGACAACCTAGCCGTGTTGCTATTTTGTAATGGCTCTCGCAAATTTAATTTTAAGGGAAACATAATAACTGGCTATGCCATAGTTTCCCCACATGAAACGCTTGAGGCATACTCTTTGCTGACTATAAAGTCAGCCCAGGCTGCTGAACCTATAGCTCTTATTAGAGCTTACACATTGGCAAAAGGAAAAACTGACATGATTTACACTGACTCCGATATGCTTTTGGAGTCTGTCATGCTGTTGGCACAATCTGGAAATCCCGTGGATTCTGAACCTCTGCTGGTACTCCTATTGCTAATGGACATATAATCGCTGCCTTATCACAGGCTGTTCACCTTCATACTAAAATTGCTATTGTTCATTGTCCATCTCACACTAAGGAGACTGACACTATATCTTTAGGAATGATAGGGTAGAAAAGGCTGCTAAGCACACAGCCAAAAACTGACCCCCTTTTTATTTTTCCACCCAATTTATAAACTTACCTTTATCCCTACCTGATATTATTCATTTTCAGGCAAATGCCCCAAAATATGAAAAAGATAAATGGGTACAAAAGGGTGCCAAGTAATTATCAGATGGATTGTATATTGGGCCAAATGGACTTCCTGTGGCCCCTTTTCATTTAACCTTTTGGCTTGTACTTATGTCTCATTGGATGGGACATATGTGCATATGAGGGATAGTTGAGGAACTAAAGAATAATTGATTTTACCCTGGGATCTACAAAATTTCTGTCCAAATTATTTCCCAATGCATTACTTGTAAATCTCATCACGTTTCTGGAGGAAACCAACACTCCTCAGGCAGTCTTCCAAGGCCCACGCTTCTCCTTGCAGCACTCCAGATACATTTCATAGATTTACTTCCAGCCTTGGCTTGTCCTGCTCTTTGGCTATAGTCTGCAGGTTTCATGGATGGATTGGAGGTTCTAATGGCACAACAGTGGTGAGGAAATTGATAACTGAGATGATACCTCACTTTGGCATCCCTTTATGGATCGAGTCAGACAAAGAAACTCATTTTACATCAGAGATAAACCTCTTGCTTGCAAAATCTCTGGAGTACTCATTAAAATTTAATGCCCCATACCATCTGCAATCCTCAGGGCAAGTGGAACATAAAAATCTAGACATTAAATGGACTTGTGAAAAATCTGTCAAGAAACAAAAGTATTACTCCTGGCCCTTATAAAAATTCTGAATACAGCTGGGCGGGGTGGCTCACACCTGTAATCCCAGCACTTTGGGAGGCTGAGGCGGGTGGATCACAAGGTCAGGAGTTCAAGATCAGCCTGGCCAAAATGGTGAAACCCTGTCTCTACTAAAAATACAAAAAAAATTAGCCGGGCATGGTGGTGGGCGCCTGTAATCCCAGCTACTCTGGAGGCTGAGGCAGATAATTGCTTAAACCCGGGAGGCTGAGGTTGCAGTGAGCTGAGATCGCACCATTGCACACCAGCCTCGGCGACAGAGCAAGACTCCGTCTCAAAACAAAAACAAACAAACAATAAAACAACAGTGATCTCAGTGGCTAACAACCAGGAAAGGTCAATATCAGAGACATTCTGAGGTCTTGATACTGACTGGGGTAAGTAATAAATCAACAGTTCAGTAATAAATTTAACAGGGAGATACAGGGAATGAGACAGACAAAAAAGGCCTTGATAAGATCCTACTTATCCCAAGCGGTCTGGAAGACAGCACATGAGCAAATCTGCATGCATGTTCAGGAGAAAATGGAGGGGGCCTGCTATAATCTGAATGTGTCTCCCAGCATTCGTAGGTTGGAACTTAATCCTTAATGTGGCAGTATTAAGAGGTGTGGCCTTTGGAAGGTGATTAGTTCATGAGGGCTCTGCCATCATAAAATTTCCAAATGGAAATTTTAGAACTGAAAAATACTGTCAACTAAAGAAAAAAATCAGGCTTTTAAAGAATTAAAAGTATTATTATTTTTTTTTGAGACAGGGTTTCTGTTGCCCAGGCTGCAGTGCAGTGGCACAATGTCGGCTCACTGCAGACTCCATCTCCTGGACTCAAGCGATCCTCCCACCTCAGCCTTCCAAGTAGCTGGGACTGTATGTACTTATTTTCTGTCTACTTATTCTATTGATTATTAAGATAGGAGTGTTGAAATATTTGACTGTAATTGTAAATTTATGTATTTCTCCTTGCAGTTCTATCAGGTTTTATTTGACATATTTTGAAGCTCTGTTTGTTATTAGATCCCTTAACATTGAAGATTGTTATATCCTTTTGATTAATTAACCCCTTAATTACCACAACATGACCCTATCAAGAGGAAAAAAAATAATGTCACTCAAATAGTGTTTAAATATTTTATTCAACTGATGTGCATCAGTGAAAATCTTAAGAACAAGAAGCCTCCTGTACTGAAGCAGAATTAGTTTATGTTAGGCAAGAAGAACAGAAGGGTATATGAATGCAGTCTGGTCCCAGTTGCAATTTTTTTTATCTGTACCTGCTGAAAATTTCTGGTTGGAACCACTGATAAATTGATCCAGTTTTTCATGCTTTTTGCTCAGGATTATTGGTGCAATCCCATGCCTGCAACTTTCAGAACAGTTCTTTGAGAGCTGTTTTTTTTAATCCTCGCAGTTTTTTAAGGTTCAAGGGGGAAGGAGATAGTTTTTAAGAAGTGGGTGTGGAGTGGAGAATAAGAAAACAAGGGAAAGGAGGCAAAGGTTGAAACAAGAAAAACTGAGGTTTGTTTTCATTCTTTTATAACTCTTCCTCTTGGCCAAAATAAACTCCTTTCTTCACTGGCCAAATCTATAGAGAGATAAAACAAAAGTACAGGAATGTATAAGATTCAAGAATTAAGTAAAGAAGGCTCCGACGATGAGCAGTGGAGGAGCAGTTTGTTCTTTGATCTTTTGTTCCTTAATTGTAGTTTGGATCATCTGTTTGGACAGGACAGTACTGGTGGTCTTAATTAAACATGATAGAATGCATTTGATTAGAGATATTCCTATCAGGAAAAATAGTAAAAGCTTCCGAGCCTTTGGAGAAAAGTATATCCTCAGAATGATGTCCCTGTTCAGAATATCCAGGGAAACATGTCCCATCCCTATCTACCTGATGACAGCCCATAGGTCCCAGGAATCAGAACTCTGTTGCTTACCTGATAAATGTTTTGGTTGGCTTCACAGATGTGTTGATTCACCAAAAAGACATCAGAAAGGTTTTTGGAATCTGTGTATGTCATTCATCCTCAACAGCGGCGCATATACCTCCCATAGATGCCAGGATGATCTATAATGCCAGTCAACGACGAACACCAGCCTTCCGGAGTTCCTGAATTTCTTGAGTGTGTCAGTATTTTTGGTAACATGGTTAGTGGCTTGGGTGGCTTCACAAATGAAAGCCTGGAAAACTAGGCATTGTGTAGAACTTGAATAGTCCACAGGGCTAATCTCTTAAGGGATGGATGCAACATAAAACATTTCGCTGAGTGTGGAGATCTCACTTCGATTGATTCCAAGTCTTTCAGCTTCTTCACACAGTCCCTCTCATCACCTACTAAGAATGGGCATTTTTTCAGAGGGTGGATTTTTCTTCTGGCTTGGGAACTAGGATTTAACTTCTGAACTAAAAATGTGATAAATTGTTCAAACTCAGTCCAATTGTATAGTCAGAAAGAGGAAAGAGATGGGAAAGACAGCATGACCCTGTCCAATTTGCTGGCAAAAATCAGCAATCCTTAGACCTCAAAACAAAATACGAATCACCTGGGGTCTCTCCAGCATCTAAAAAACACTCATACTTTTATCATTGTGGTTTGCCTGGGTGAAGATAGTGTTGAGGCCAGACCAACAACATCTACCTGCTTCAGCCTTTCCAGAAAAACAAGTTCTACCTCTTCAGAATATAATTTGTTAATCTTGGAGATTTGTCAGAGACCCAGTTTGGGGACTATGCCCCAAACAACAGCAATAGTGGTGTGGAGAGTTCTCTCAGGGTCAAGAACAAGTAAGGAACGAGTAGTATTTGTGAAGGTACAATGGAACTGACAGAAAAAAAAGTGAGCAAAAGCAAAAATCATAGGTGACATTAGCTTCATAATCATAAATCTTAAAAAAAAATCCAAGAACTTTGGGCATTAAGGAAAGGAGAGAAGAGAAATGAAATGTGGCAGAGAAATAAGGAGAGGGTGCAGTGGCTCATGCCTGTAATCCTAGCCCTTTGGGATGCCAAGGCAGGAGGACTGCTTGAGGCCAGGGGTTCAAGACCAGCCTGGGCAACATAGTGAGAACCCATCTCTACAAAAAAAATAAAAATTAGCCGGGCATGGTGTTGTACCTATAGTCCCAGCTACTTAGGAGGCTGAGGCAGAAGGATTGCTTGAGCCTGAGAAATCGAGGCTGCAGTGAGCTATAATTGTGCCACTGCACTCCAGTCTGGGTGACAGAGCAAGACCCTATCTCTGAAAAAAAAGGAAAGGGCATTTTTATGCCCAGCACTTAGAGATACAATAGTCTCCCTTTATCTGCAATTTTATTTTTCATGGTTTTAGTTACCCTTAATCAACTGTGGTCTGAAAATAGACGAGTACAGTACAATAAGATATTTAGGGAGAGACAAAGAAAGACCACATTCACATAACTTTTATTATAGTGTATTGTTATAATTGTTCTACTTTATTATTGTTGTTATTAATCTCTTATTGTGCCTAATTTACAAATTACACTTTATCATAGATATGTATATGTAGGGAAGAACATAGTATATATAGTGTTTGGTACTATCTGTGGTTTCAGGCATCCACTTGGGGTCTTGAAATGCATCTCTCATGGATAAGGGAGAACTACTGTAATTCTATAGAGATGCACAAATTCAGAAATTAAAAGGTAAAGGATAAGAAACAAGGCTAGGAAGAAAAGGAAAATAATAAAGATCAAAAAGATATTTTGTTCCATCATCTTGAGCAGAAGGTGTGCACTGTTCAAGGTCATCTGCTTGTTCCTATATTCTTGGGGAAATGTCTCCTTCATGCCATTGTCTGCCTCAGAAGTGTTTCAGGGATCTCTCAGTTTCCAGTGAAAGTAGAAGTCCAGTCCATCAAAGGTCAATGTCTCTTTATCTAGGAGACATAGACCCAATTATCTATTCCTTATAACTTAGCTGTGGTAAGGAGGACCTGGTAGAGGCCCTTCCAGTGGAGCTCCAGAGCAGTTTTTCACTCGTGTCTCTTCCATTAGAATAAGCCTTCTAGTTGTAAGTCATGCAGAGGCTTAGAAGGTGGCTCCTTTGAAAAGGCAATTTGAACCTGTTTGATGATGAATCTGAGTATATCCCATTAGTCCTTTATAGTATTGAGCCATATCTGCTTGCAACAAAGTAGAGTCTAAAATAAGGGATGTGATGTCCAATTTCATTGGTCTGGCTGTAACAAGTTCATAAGATAACAATCTATGTTTGCCAGAAGAACACCAGATGGTCAATGGGGCCAATTGGAGAACCTTAGTCCAAGGTAATTATAAGTCTTCAGAGAGTTTAGCAAGTTTTAATTTTAAAGTACCTCTCCAGTTTTTTCTGAGGATTAGGGATGGTAAGGAAAGTGTAATTTTTGGCTAATAGGCAGCACCTTACAAAGTTCCTTAATTATGGTCCCCATAAATTTAGTATCTCGGCCAGTAAGAGAAGTAAGCAGGGAATTCCCAAGTAGGAAAGACAAAACCTACTGTTTTTAGCCACAGAGCCACTGCTTTTCAACCAGGGGAAGCTTTTGGCCAACCAAAGAAAAGGCAGAAAACAGTAAATATGTATTCAGATCCACATGACGTAGTGATGCAGGAATTCTCTCGACCCCTTCATTGGACTTGTGACGGGGGTGCCCCACTTACTCAGCCCACCACACTCAACCCCTTATGAGAGGGAGAATGCTAGCAAGTGAGTGTGGGATCTGGCCAGCTGCTTTGGGCACCAGGAGGAACAAGCTCCATGTGGGCCCTGTGGCAGCACCCAGGTGGGAGTGCCTGCAACCCCTGAGGCCCCAGAGGGCATATTATAATGCTCTCTTAGCCCTGTCATCCATGGACAGCAGTGTGTTATCAGCTCAGTTATACCTTTGCCTCATCACATGGGGTGGCTGTCCTCTGCCAGCAAGAGCAAAGGACCATTGTGACAGCCTTTTTTAGGTACCTGCACTCGGTGAGTCCCAAGATTTTGTCCAGTGCCCAAGAAGAATGAGGTCACACTGACAAATTGAGGGACAGTGAATGCAGAGAATTGCTTTGAGTGATGAAAGTGGCTCTCAGTGGGAGCTGAAAAGGGGACAAGACAGACAGGTAATCTTCCCCCATAGTCTGGCTGTCTCTGGCCAGCTCTTCTCTGAAGTCCAGCCATCCCTCTGAAATCAGGTTGCCTCTCTCTGAAATCAAATTGTCTCTCTCTCTTCTACCAGCTGAGTCTGGGGTCTTTATAGGCACAGGACTGTGGTGGTGGGGCGGGCCATGGCTAATCTTGGAAAAAGCAATATTTGATTGGTAAAAAGGCATTATTCGGAAAGAACCAATTGGGAGAGAGTGGGCGAACAGGGATAGAAGTTTTCACTTTAGGCCATGGGTTTCAGGCTTTTCAGCTCAAAGGTGAAGTTTTTGGCAAGGACCCTACCTTGCCTGCCTCTATCAGTAGGAAGTTATATAAAGTCCATTTGTCAATGTTCAAAAAGTCCTCAAGACTGTAGTTCCTATGTCCCATTTTTATAGTTTTTCCAGGGCTGTGAGTCTGGCAGGCGGAATGTTCATTGGAGACCTCGTCTACTACCTGATTAAAATTTCCCCACCAATGTTGTCCCAGAATAGTTTTACATTTTCTTGACTATGATGGGCCACAGTGTGCAAATTTTTACCAACTCCCATCCCAGAGAATGGATAACTTCTGGAGAAATCAAGCAACTGTTTTGCTGTCTCCATAAAGAGCACATCCAGTTCTCTCCCAATATCTTTTTTTTCTGAATCTGTTACTTATTTGTGACTGCAATTTGCTGAAGATTTCATAGAAGTAATCTGGAGTTACCAAGTCATCTTTAATTTGGTGAACTAACTGAATTCATGTGAAATGAATTCCATGGGGAGGAGAAAGACATCTAGAAATGCTCAAATGTGCTCACTATGCTTAAGAGTACCAGCAGCAGTTAGGAAATCCTGTTGTTGCCATATCATGTGGCAATCATAAACCACACCACACGTATACCTGCAATCTGTGTATGTGTTAGCTCTTTTATCCCTTGCTCACTTCCAGGCTGAAGTCCAGCCTGTAAGTTCACTTCCTTTTGCTGACTTGACTTCAGGAAGGGGATTGAATTTAATAGGCTCTTAGGAAGTGGTTACAGCATATCCAGCTTGAAATTATCCTTGTTCAGTCTTAGATATGACCCATCTACAAAGAATTCTAAGTCTGAGTTCTGTAGAGTAGTCTCAAGGAGGTCAGAGTGAGGCATGAAAAGTTATTTGGTTAAAGTCATAATGTTCTCCTAACTTTGGTGGAGGGAGTAAGGTAGCTATACCTATTTATGGTAAAATAAGCTGGGAATAGAGCCACCAATTCATAGGAAGTGAGGCCAAATTAAAATATAGAGAAAATATTTGAACACACATTTCACCAAAGAAAATATACAGATGGCAAATAAGTACATGAAAAGATGCTCAATATAATTAGTCACTAGGAAAATGCAAATTAAAACCACAATGAGATAACACTATACCTGTTTGAATGGCTAAAATTAAAAAGACCAACCATACCAAGTTTTGGCAAGGATGCAGAGGAGTGGAAGTCTCCTACACTGCTGGTGGGAATGTAAAATAGTACAACTTTGGAAAACAGTTCGGCAATTTCTTTAAAGGTTTAACATATATACCTACCACATCACTTAGCCATTCCACTCCTAAGTATTAACCCGAAAGGAAAGGAAATATGTATGCATACAGAAGCATGCATGCAAATGTTCATAGTAGTTTTATTTAGAACAGCAAAAACTGGAAACAACCCAAATGCCCATCAACAGGTAAATGGATAAACAAATTCTGGTATATCCATAAGACGGAATACTACCCAGCAATAAAGGAATGACTTCTTGACGTACGCAAGTTTGATGAATTTTAAAATAATTATGCTAAGTGAAAGAAGTCAGACTCAAAAGACTACATATTATATAACTCCCTTTATACACACATCTAGAAAATGCAAACTAATCCATGGTGACAGAAAGCAGGGCAGTGGTTGCCTAAATATGGGGAGATAGGAAGAATCTCAAAGGCATATGAGAAAACTTTTTGTGTTGATGGATATGCTCTTATTTTTACTGTTATGGTTCCACAGATATATACACATGAAAAAATATATCGAATGTACTTTACGTATGTGAAGTTTATTATATGTCAATTATATCTTTAAAAGATACAGAGGTAGAGATCTATTCATTCCAAGAGGATGATAGGCCCCTAAAGAAAACTACACCAAGGCCCACCATAATTAAAGTGTAGAAACAAGTGATTGAAAATAGGAAATATTTAAGGAAATCAAAGCAAAAAGATACACTATCTACAGAGAAACATAGATAAGAAAAACAATAGGCTATTTATCAGAAATAAAGCAAGCCAGAGGACTTCTTGAAAGTATTAAAGCTCTCGACCTAGAATTCTATGCCCCATAAAAATATCTGTCATAAATTAAGATGACCAGCATTACAAGAAATATTAAGTGAAATCAGAAGGCAGAAGGAAAATGTCAAATGGATATGTTAAATAGGTGGGTGTCTTCACTTGGGCTGCTATAACAAAATACCATAGATAGACTGGGTGGATTAAAAAACAAACATTTAATTCCCAATTTCTGGAGGCTGGGAAGTTCAAGATGAAGGCACTAGCAGATTCAGTGTCTGGTGAGGACTCTCTGTCTGATGGCTGCCTTCTTGCTCTATTTGTGGTGGAGGAGGAGAGGAGGAGAGGAAGAGGAGCTCTCTTCTTATAAGGGTGTTAATTTCAGCATGAGATCTCTACCCTCATGACCTAATTACCTCCCAAAGGCCCCATCTCCAAGTACCAACATACTGGAGGTTAGGGCTTCAACATGACTTTTAGGGGAACACAGTTCATTCCACAGCAGTGGGTAAATATAAAAGACATCTTTATCATGTTTAAATTCTTTTAAAATAATTGTTTAAAGCAAAAATAGTAACAACGTTTTATGCAAAAATTACACTCCTCAGTTAAAAATTGTTTCTATGTCTCCTGTCTCAGATTCAATAAGCAACACATAAATGTAGAAATGAAAAGTCATCAACCTGTAAAAATAATTGTGTATATGAGCTTGAAGCCACAAATTACCGAAAAAATTGTCTTTAAAAATCTAGTTTTGGCCAGGTGCGATGGCTCATGCCTGTAATCCCAACACTTTGGGAGATTGAGGTGGGGGGAATCACTTGAGGTCAGAAGTTCAAGACCAGCATGGCCAACATGGTAAAACCCCATCTCTACTAAAAATACAAAAATTAGCCAGGCGGGGTGGCACATGCCTGTAGTCCCAGCTACTCGGGAGGCTGAGGCAGGAGAATTGCTTGAATCCAGGAGGCAGAGGTTGCAGTGAGCTGAGATCATGCCACTGCACTCCAGCCTGGGTGACAGAGCCAGATTCTGTCTCAAAAAAAAATCTAGTTCATTACCAAATTCAGTACAGATGGTCCCCGGCTTAGAATGGTTCAACTTATGATTTTTTTTTTTACCTTATAATAGTGCAAAAATGATATGCATCCAATAGAAACCATACTTTGAATACCTATACAACCACTCTGTTTTTCACTTTTAGTACAGTATTCAATAAATTACAAGAGCTATTCAACACTTTATTATAAAATAGGCTTTATGTTAGATGATTTTGCTGAACTGTAGGCTAATATAAGTGTTCTGAGCACATTTAAGGTAGGTTAGGCTAAGCTACAATGTTCAGTAGGTTAAATGCATTTTCAACTAGTGATATTTTCAACTTATGACGGGTTTATAGGGATGTAACCCCCATCATAAATGGAGAAACATCTGTATTAAGTACACATCCTCTTTCCCCATGAAGCTTGCATTTTTCCTATTATGTGTTAATACATTTATATGTGCTTCACGGAGCACAGAAGTGTCCGTTGCTCTAAAAACTAAATTCCAACCTCACTACCTGTCTAGGGAGATATAATTTGTGCATTATGGAAAAGCAACAATTATAGTATACAAAACTTACAATATATTCTTTACCAAACTTACCAATAATTTACATTTTACCCCATTTGCTTATATACGTATAATTTTTTCTGAACCATGAAAAAGGGAACATTGTTTCCTTTTATTCATAAATATTTGAGTGTGTATCTCCTAATAACAAGAATATTCTCTTAAGATAAATGCAGTAAAATTATCAAAAGCAGGAAATTTAACATTGATACAACACTATTACCGAATCCATATTCCATAATGAAATTTTGCAATTGTCCCAAATTGTCCTTTATACCTACTTTTTTCATACCATTAAATTAGGCCTATTGTTAAATACCCAATGCCATAAAAGGAGGCAAGAGAAGGCCGGGCGCGGTGGCTCACACCTGTAATCCCAGCACTTTGGGAGGCCGAGATGGGCAGATCACGAGGTCAGGAGATCGAGACTATCCTGGCTAACACAGTGAAACCCTGTCTCTACTAAATATATATATATATATATAAAATTAGCCAGGCGTGGTGGCGGGCACCTGTAGTCCCAACTACTAGGGAGGCCGAGGCAGGAGAATGGCGTGAACCCAGGAGGCGGAGCTTGCAGTGAGCCGAGATTGTGCCACTGCACTCCAGCCTGGGCGACAGAGCGAGACTCCATCTCAAAAAAACAAAAAACAAACAAACAAAAAGGCAAGAGAAAAATCCAGTCCATAGAGAGCTGTTGCAGAAAATCAGGAAATGAAATTTCATACATAACTAAGGAAAGTTCTTCCCAACAATCATTAAGTGGAAGGAAATTCTAAATCAACATCCCAAACAGAATGAAACCATGGCTTTCAAGTCATCATGAGAAAGTATCTAACTATGACTCAAAATCCACAGGCAATCAAAGATGAATATATTTGACTACATTAAAAATTGTTTAGTGTGCACGGAAAAGTATAAACAAAGTCAAAAGACAACTGACAAACTGGGAGAAAATACTTGAAATATATATACCTCAGACAAGGGCTAATCTCTAATGTATAAAGGAGGGATCAACAAACTTTTCCTGTAGAGGGCCTTTTGTAATGGTCTAAATGTTCCCCAAAATGTATGTGTTGAAACTTAATCTCCATTGTGGTGGTATTAAGAGGTGGGGCCTTTTGGGAACTGATTAAAGTAATGGATTCATGACTTATAAAAGGGCTGGAGGGAAGTAGCTTAGGCCCTTTTATGCCCTTCTACCTTCCCCACTGCATGTGGGGAATGCAGCAACAAGTCACCATCTTGGAAGCAGAGACTGGGCCTTCACCTTGATCTTGGACTTCCGGCCTCTAGAACTGTGAAAAATAAATTTCTGTTGTTTATACATTACCCAGTCTGGGGTATTCTGTTATAGCAGCCCAAACAGACTAAGGCAGGGCCTGATAGTAAATATTTCTGGTTTTGTGAATCATATGATCTCTGTCATACCCAATCAACTCTGCAGTTATAATGTAAAAACGGTATAGACAATATGTAAACAAATGAGTGTGTGTGTGCAACAATAAAACTTTGGTTATAAAAACTGGTGGGTGGGCCAGGCGTGGTGGCTCACGCCTGTAATTCCAGCACTTTGGGAGGCTGAGGCAGGCGGATCACGAGGTCAGGAGATCGAGAACATCCTGGTTAACACAGTGAAACCCCATCTCTACTAAAAATACAAAAAATTAGCTGGGTGTGGTGGCATGCACCTGTAGTCCCAGCTACTCAGGAGGCTGAGGCAGGAGAATCACTTGAACCCGGGAGGCAGAGGTTGCAGTGAGCCAAGATCACGCCACTGGACTCCAGCCTGGGCGACAAGAGCAAAACTCTGTCTCAAAAATAAAAAAATAAAATAAATAAATAAATAAAAAACTGGTGGTGGGCCAGATTTAGCCTATGGTCCCTCATTTGCTAACCCCTGATATAAAGGGCTATTAAAATTGAGAGACAAGGGCCTAAAAACATTACAGACAAGCGGGAAGAAGACATGAACAGGCAATTCACAAAAAAAGATATATGATGGTCACCAAACATACTTTTTATTTTTAAAATAAATTTTATTGTGTATATTTGAGGTTTACAACATGATGTTATGAGATACATATAAATAGTAAAATGGTTACTGTAGTGAAGCAAATTAACATATCCATCATCTCACGTAGTTACTTCTTAGTGACAATAGCAACTAAAATCTACTTATTTAACAAAAATCCCTATTACAGCACAATTTTATTGCCTATAGTCCTCATGTTGTACATTAGATCTCTAGACTTGTTCATCCCACATATCTGCTTCTTTGTGTCTTTGAGCTACATCTCCCCATTTCCTCCCCACCCAACCCCATCCCTGGTGATATGGTTAGGCTTCGTGTCCCCACCCAAATCTCATCTCCAGTTGTAATCCCCATAATCCCCATGTGTCAAGGGTGGGACCAGGTGGAGGTAATTGGATCATGGGGGCGGTTTCCCCCATGCTGTTCTCGTGATAGTGAGTGAGTTCTCATGAGACCTGATGGTTTTATAAGCATCTGGCATTTCCCCTGTTTGCACTCACTCCGTCCTGCCTCCCTGTGAAGAAGGTGCCTGCATCTCTTTGCCTTCTGCCACAGTTGTAAGTTTCCTGAGGCCCCCCCAACAATGCGGAACTGTGAGTCTATTAAACCTCTTTCCTTTATAAATCATCCAGAGTCAGGCATTTCTTCACAGCAGTGTGAGAACGGACTAATACACCTGGTAACCACTGTTTTATTCTCTATATCTGGATATTTTAAGTTTTGTTTGTTAGATTTCATACATAAGTGAAATCATGCAATATTTTTCTTTCTGTATCTAACTTATTTCACTTAGCATAATGTTCTGCAGGTCCATCTATGTTGTGGCAAATGGCAGGATCTCCTCCTTTTATATGGCTGAATAATATTTCACCACCTAGTGAAAATATCTGCACTCCCATGTTCATTGTAGCATTTTTCACAATAGCCAAGATATGGAAACAACCTACCTGTCCATTAATGGACAAATGGATCAAGAAAATGTGATATATATATATACACACAATGGAATATTATTCAACCAAACATATTTTTAAAGTTCAAACTCATTTATAATTAGAGAAATGCACACTAAAACAACATTGAGATTTCATTTCTCATCTTTTGGACTGGTAAATATTAAAAGTATGATAAGATATTATGTTGGTGAAGCTGTAGGGGAACAGTCACTCTTGCATATTTCTGTTGGGAATGAAAACTGGTACAGTCCTTCTGGAGGGGAATTGGAGAATACTTAACAATATCCTGAAGATACATCTCTAACAATAGCAAAATACAATGCACAAAGTTATTCATTACAGCATTGTAATTACAAAATATAAATGTCTATACATAGGAGAGTAGTTGAACAAACTAAGGTATATACACACAATGGAGTACTAGGTAACTGTTAAAAAGAGGAATATCATGAATTAATACAGAAAAATTTCTAGGACATATCTGTAAGTGAAAAAGCAAAGCTCTAAAGAATATCTACTGTATGCTATCCTTCACAGAAAGAAGGGATATAAGAAGACATACATGTACCTGCTCACTTGTGCAAAAGAAATACAGGTGAATAAACTATAATAGAAACTAAAGAGATTACTTACTTATAAGGGGATGGTGGGAAAGGGACAGGATAGTAGGGATGAGATAAGTGGCACTTCTTTGAAGGGACCTTTTGTGCAGCTTTTTCTCTTGGAACCATACTGTTTCACATACCCTAAAAAAATCAAATTCAAAATGGACTATGATGTGGGGGAAACTCTAAATGGCATATAAACTAACAAATGAACATACATGTATTAAAAATGAATAGCATAGTGACACTGAAGAACATGGGAAACAGAAGAATTCACCTAAATGTTCCAATTATCAGTAGAGGGCACTAGAAAGACTTTGGAAGAGGAAGAGATTTCTCTTCCTGGTTCTCATGAGCTCCCCTCATCAGGCTCCTGCAGCATCTGCGGCTTACACAATGCATCTCTAGGTGGCCAGCAGTGCCCAGTGGCCAGCAGCATGTGGCACATCCCTATGAACAGCTTCCCCCGGCAGCCCTCTAGTGACTTTGCTGTGAGTTCCAAAGCATGACTCCTGCCCATGGACAGCTTCCTTCTGCATTACAGAGGGCAGATTTCCAAAGCACCCCAGCAATCTTCTCTGCCATCCAGTAGGTCACAGTGGAGCCCTTTCCAGTGAGGTCTGGTTCTGAGAGGGGGTGGAAAGATGGAGAGTGGCCTCTTTCTTAGGCACTGGGGACAATGGCTACTCCCTAAATCTGATATTCCTCCTTTGTTTTGGGAGCAGTGAGGGTTCTTCTTACCTCTTACTAGCCAATCCCCCATTTCTCCAATCTCCTGTTATAGTTAATAGTTATATTAAACATTCTCTATTTAAACTACCATGTGGTTTCTATCTCTTGATTGGATTCCAGGGATACATTAAAGTAACAGTGGAACACAAGTTGAACACTTAGTCCCCAGATCTTGGCTTCTCAATACCATTCTCTAAGAAAAAGAATCAGAGGTTCTTGGAGAAGTGGCTGAGTCCAGGACTGGAGCAGGGAAACTACAAGATGAGCCTGAAATATCTTGTGGGGTCAGAAAGTAAGACAGTGCTCACAGAAGGACAGGGCATGTCTGAAGGATGCAGGAACCAGCATGAAGGAGCTCCCCATGGCCAAAGCTGGAATCTGAGGAACAAAATAAACAGTGGTAGTACTGGCTTATAACCCACAGAGTAAAATAAATGTCCATGAGTCCGTGCTGTTGTAAACACAAGATTGAATAAATTAATAAACAGGAGAGATGAGACAAATCCTTTGGAAAATTCCAAATAACTTGTGTAAATAGATAACCACCCTTCCAGGAGGTGGTAGTTAACCTCCCACTCCTCCCCCAGATATGTGTGTGCTTAGTGACTTGCTTCCAAGGAGCAAAGTATGAAAAAGGGAGAACAAGGAACGTTCAGTGGAGAAATCTGGCAAATGCCTGCCAGATGATCAGGGTTAATATTGTCAGTGCTAAGTCATGTTGATGGCATGTACCCCTGATGTGAAGTGATGAGAAGGGTACTTCACTTCTGTGGTATTCTTCCCAAAATCCAAAGCCCCAGTCCAGTAATGAGGGAAATAGCAGACAAATCTAAATTGAAGAATATTCCATCAAACACCTGACCAGTACTCCTCAAAATTTTCAAGGTCATCAAAAACAAGAAAAGTATAAGCAATTGTCACAGTCTAAAGGAGATTGTGGAGACCGAAGAGATGTGACAACTAAATGTAATGTGGCATCCTGGATGAGATCCTGGAACACAAAAAGGACATTATTTTAAAACTAGCAAAATCCAAAGGATGTGTGTAGTTTAGTCCACAGTAATGTACCAATGATGGTTCATTACTTGTGATAAATATACCATAGCAATATGGAAGGTTAACAATAGGGAAAACTGGGTAAGGGGTATATGAAAACTCTCTGTACTATCTTTGGAACTTTTCTATAAATTTAAAACTCTTCTAAATTAAAAGTTTATTTAAATATTTTAAAAGGACACGGGAGTCAACCTTAAGGAGCTCCCAATTACCACAGATGGAATAATTTGAGTAACACAATAAATAATGATAGTATTGAAGAATAATCTGTACAATAAAATAGCCACACGTTTATAGTGATGTAAATTTAAAAGTTGAATAAATAAATCAGAGAGAAAGAGAAGGGGTAGCTTTTTTTTTTTTTTTTTTTTTTTTTTTTGAGACAGGGTCTTGCTCTGGCACCCAGGCTGGAGTGCAGTGGCACAATCTTAGCTCACTGCAGTCTTGACCTCCTGGGCTCAAGAGATCCTCCCCCTCAGCCTCTTGAGTAGCTGGAACCACAGGTGTGCATGACCATGCCTGGCTAATTTTTGCATTTTTTTTTTTGTAGAGACAGGGTTTCACCATGTTGCCCAGGCTGCTCTTGAACTCCTGGGTTCAAGCGATCCACCTGCCTCAGCCTCCCAAAGTGGTCAGATTATAAGTGTGAGTCATGGCACCCAGCCAGGATAGCTTTCTCTTATAGAGGAATTCCAATTAATAAATGTAGAAGGAATGAGAAAACATAAAATTGCTATTGGGCAAGCATCACGGTAATAATTGTTGCAAGCATGATCTACCAAATGGATGCTAAAATTTGCAGGCAAAAGTTTGAATAGAAACAGGATATTTGCATAATCTCAAAGTATCTCTTCCAAGATATTTATTAAATACAACAGGAAAAATAGGAACTTTACGGTGGAGAAACTGGCAGACATTACTTTAACCAAAGGATCAAGGTTAACATCGACATCACATACCTCCCAGTAAGATGCCCTAAGAACACTTCTGCAGCATTCTTGCTAAAACGTGTAACCTCAGTGTAATCATGGGAAACATCAGACAAACCTAAATTGAGAGACATTCTACAAAATACCTAAATTGTATTCTTCAATAGTGTCAAGGTCATGAAAGGCAAGGAAGGACTGAGAAACAAAACATGGGAGGAATTCCTGAAACAGAAAAAAGATTAGTGGAAAAACTGGTGAAATTTGAATTAAGTCTATAGTTTATTTAACAGTACTGTGCCGGGGAGCGGGAACGGGGCTCTGGGGGGATCAGCTGATGTCTGTAAAGAACCGATGAAAGGGAAGGGTCCCTGCTGGGGTGGGGGATAGCATCTCCTTGGCTGTGGCCAGTGGCTGTTCTCACCCGGACCTCCCCTTCAGACACCCTGCAGGGAGCTGCCTTTTCCTTCTTCCCTAGGCCATGGGGCTAGACCCTCCACATCCCCTCTTCTCCACCAGCTGAGTCACACAGTCCATTGAAACACGCAGGGCCCTGGACGTGGCAGCATCAGCCATGTGGCGCTCACTCTTGGTGGGAGGATCCTAATCTGTCTCCAAGGCAGCAGGTCCAGAATCTGCAGCTTCCTCTGACTCACCTGCTCCTGCCCTGAGGCTCTGGGGACAGATGTCAGGTACCTCATTTAATTTAATCACAGCAACTCTGTCAGCTGGATAACAATGATTATCATTTGGCCCATTATATAATAGTAGCAGCTGAAACGCCATATGGAACCCCATACAGAGTCGGCTCCCAATAAATGGTATTTCTATTTTCCACCGTCTTCTAAGCAAGCGTTCCAGCTGAGGGATGATATCTCGTGCACACAAACAGATCTTTCACATATTTCAGTGCACATTCAGGGAAATCTACACAGCTCTCTCTGACAAAGACAAAAAACTCAAACTTACCTTCCCCATCCCCTTCTTTTGGTGATGGACACCAAACATCAGGTGAGCATCAGGTCCACCTATAGCTGACCAACTTAGGACTGTTGATCTTTGGTAACCTCAGGTCCCAAATCCCTGGAACCATGACCCTGATTCCTCTGGCTGCCAATCACTGACCAGCAGAATCCACCCATGGCTGAACTACAGGGACTGCAGTGGGCATTTTAAGGTCCCCCAATCACTGGCATGGCCCAGGTTCCTCCTAACATTTATCCACAGTAATAACCAATTACTATGTCCCAGAGTGGGCCATTAGCAACCTTTTATGAGAACCTTGAATAATGTCCAACACAGGCTCCCCAATGCCATGCCCCCAGCAGGTCTTCAACCACTGATCTTTCAGATTGCCAATTACTAATCCATATAGTGTCTGAAACTGACTCATGGAGAAGAGAAACACTGACCACTCCTGAAGCAAGTTATGGTTTCCATTCCAGGAATCAACCCAGTGGCCCTCATGAGTGTTCATAGCAACTTTATTCATAATAACCCCAAACTAACCATCGGCAGGTGATTGGATAAAAAACCTGAGGAACATCCATACAATGGAATAGTATTCAGAATAAAAAGGAACAAAAAACTGATACATGCAACAGCATGGAGGAATCTCAAAAGCAACGTGCCCAATAAGGCCGGGTGTGGTAGCTTACACCTGTAATCCCAGCACTTTGGAAGGCTGAGGCAGGAGGATCGCTTGAGCCCAGGAGTGTGAGACCAGCCTAGGCAACACAGCAAGACCCTGTCTGTACAAAAATAAAAATACAAAAATTACCAGGGCTTGGTGGTGCACCTGTAGTCCTAACTACTTGGGAGGCTAAGGTGGGAGGATCGCTTCAGCCTAGGAGGTTGAGGCTGCAGTGAGCTATGATGGCACCACTGCACTCCAGCCTGAATAACAGAGCGACACCCTGTCCCTCTAATATATATAATTTATTCAGTATATATATATATATATATATATGTATATGTATATGTGTGGTGTGTGTGTGTGTGTGTGTGTGTGTGTGTGTGTGTGTATTGAATAAAAGAAACCAGAAAGAAAATAGTACAATTGTATGGATTCCATTTACATGAAGTTTTAGGACTGGTGAAGAGGACTGACTGGGAAGAGACTATGATGGAACTTTCTGAGGTAATAGAAGTATCTTGGTAGAGATGAAGGTTATTTACATGGGTCTATACATTTGTAAAAACTCAACGTGCTATATACCCAAGATGGAAGCATTTTGTTGCATATAAATTATGCTCCAATAAAGGAAACAATCAGAAATACTGTGGGAATGTGCATTTCAGATCAGTTTGTACCAGCAAGATAGTTACTTGTATGCTTGTCTATGTGAAATGCACAAGGACACTGACTCTTGGCAAAGGTCCACTAGGAAACAGATAAAGATGGAAATTAAGGGAGCAGAGCAACAAACAGCCCCTACTGCTCCACCCTATTGCAGCCCTCCCTCCCTGAGAAAGGATTTTTCTTGCACATAAACCAAATAAGTCATAAAGAGCCACGCACCTCAAAAAAAGTCCAGGAGATGAAATGACTTCTTGGAAGCTGAGGGAGACCTACCTTCATACATTTGGCACATATTTATGGCACTAACCTCGGTCCAGGCATTGTAGTATGGAGAGAGAGCATCAAACAAAATTTATTAGTCCTCTGTACCGAGGCAGCTGCTGCTATGTCCCCAAGCTTTTCGGGTGGGACTTCAAGCAGGGAGAGGGCCACAAGGGAGGATCCCTGCAGGTGCTAAGGTTAGAAAAGTAGAAAGAATCTGTGAAAACATTGATAAGTTTGGGAAAAAACACACCTATGTTTCTTTGCAAAGGCATGGGCTGGTATTTTTCTGAGGTAAATCCTGTGTTCTACGTTTCTTGGTTTTTGTTTTTCAGTGCCACGATTCTCAAACTTTAGTGTGTATCAGAATAACCTGATGGGTTTGGTAAAACACAGATTGCTGAGTTCAACCCCTAGAGTTTCTGATTCAGCCTGTCTTAACTGGAGTCCAATATTTTCTTTTTTTAATTTAATTTTATTTTAAGTTCTGGGATACATGTGCAGCATATGCAGGTTTTTTACATAGGTAAACGTGTGCCATGGTGGTTTGCTGCACCTATCAACCCATCACCACCTAGGTAGTAAGCCCCACATGCATTAGCTATTTATCCTGATGCTCTCCCTTCCCCCACCCCCACCCCCACCCCCACCCCCAACAGGCCCCAGTGTGTGTTGTTCTCCTCCCCGTGTCCATGTGTATTGTTCAGTTCCCACTTATAAGTGAGAACATGCAGTGTTTGGTATTCTGTTCCTGCATTAGTTTGCTGAGGATAATGGCTTCCAGCTCCATCCATGTCCCTGCAAAAGACATGATCTCGTTCCTTTATATGGCTGCATAATATTCCATGGTATATCTGTACGTTTTTTATTTTAACTTTTCTCTTATTGGGGGATAAAATACACAGTAAAGTATACAGTGTGCTCAAACATTATAAGTGTAATGCCTGGTTTTTGACAACTCATTCAAATCCGCATATAGATACTCCCCCAGAAGGCTCCCTCATGCCCCTTCTCAGTCTATATACTGTCTCCCATCACAGGTAACCAATGACCTTCTTTCTGCCCCTAGAGACTAGATTTGCCTGTTCTAGGGTTTTGGATAATCATACAGTACAGAGCTATGCATATGGAGTCACATAATCACACAAAATAGAGTATTTTTTGTGTGGCTTCTTTCACTCAGCATAATGCTTTTTAAATTCATCCATATTGTATTAGTCAGTAATTTTGTTTCTTTTTATGGCTGTGTAATAAATAAGTCCATTGTATGGATGAATCACAATGTGCTGACCCATTCACAAGTTGAGAGATATTTGGATTGTTTCCTGATTTTCCCAATTATGAATGAATCATAAGATTTACCAGACACATTACGACCCCATTCCCAACTTCTTTCTTGTATTACAGATGGTCAAGAAGGGAAAACAAGAAGCCCTAAAGCCACTGAAAGAGAAAGAAAAGTGCAACTTGGAAAGGGGTATGGTTATGAAACTGGCTGTGATCCTCGTGGCTAACACAGCGGAGCTAGCAAAACAAACAAACAAACCACATGGCTTAACAGTTTATTTTAGCAGCCTCAGGAGGGAAGAGTGGGGACTTTCCAAAACAGGCTCCCCCAAACCAAGTGCCAATGTGAAGGGATTTCTACACCCCACAGAGCAAGGCTGTAGTGAATTCCTAGAATTTTATGACATCCAGTCTGAATATAAGTTGGACTTTCTCATACAAGAAAGAAGCAGGGCTTAGTCACCCTTGACACAGTCTCCAGTTCTCCACCTGTTCCTCAATGTGGTCGACCCAGATAACTGCTTATACAATCACCTGCTGGTGACCACCTCCCCCAACGGACAGCTAGACGCAACCCACTTGACTCGCCCCTCTAATCCCCACACCCCATGTGGACTGCACAGATATGCCGCAGTGACCACCTCCCAGTGACGGGGTGACTCCATGGAACTTGCGCCTGCTTGCTCTACACCCACCAATTAGAACTCTTCATGGGAAAGCTGCTCAGGTAATGCCCTAGGCCCCCAAAAAGGCTTCACCCCACAGGTCCGTCCCCACATACCCTTCTCTGTCCCCACTCGCTGGCTGAGCATGTGTGTCGTGGACAGCTCTCTGCATCCCCTTGGCCCTGTGAGGTGTGCTGCCCTCTTCCGTCTGGACCTGAAATGAATGCGCTGCCTCCATGACTTCATGTGTTCTGTTGAGTTGCCTCTCTGCGTCTCACCTGCCCCACACACCCAAACCTAACTTCTCTCCCGGTCAGAGCTCTCCTAGAGAGTGGCTATCTTGGTGGGAATAAGCTGGACTCAGGTCAGACAAGAGCCACAAGGGCGTCTGCCAGAATGAACAGGTTTTCTGGGAGAGGGACACCTGGTCATGCGTCAGACACAGGCACTAAGCCGCCCACCAGGACAAAGAATTCTCTGGAAGGCCCATTGTAAACACCCACAACCACATTCCCTGGAGCCCCAACAGGATGGGGTTAGAGTTTATGGCCACTCTCATGAGACAGACCTCAAGACCAAATTAGAAAAAAAAAAAAAAAAGAATGGCTTTTAGGTAGGTGATACATTATGGTTGGGTTGGGCAGGGAGAAATGTTAGGTCCAGATTCTTGTTCAGCTGATGAGAATAGAAAATGTTTAGAAATGGCTTCGTGACCAGCTTGAGCAGCAATAGCAAGACCTCATCTCTACAAAAAAAAAAAAAAAAAAAAAAGGAAGAGGAAGAAGAGGAAGGAAGGAGGAGAAGGGAGAAGGTGGATGGGAGAAGGAAGAAGAAGGGAAAAGGAGAATAAAAGAAGAAGAAAAAAAGAAAAAAAGAAGAAAGAAGAGAAGGAAAGAAAGAAGGAGGAAGGAGGAGGATGAAGAGGGAGAGAAGAAGAAAGAAGAAGAGAAGGAGGAGGAAGAGGAGGAGGAGGAAGGAAAAAGAAGGAAGAAGGAGAAGGAGAAGAAAAGAAGAAAAAAGAAAGAAAAGAAAGAAAGAAAGAAAAAAGAAAGAAAGAGAAAGAAAGAGGAAAGAAAGAAAAAGAAAGAAAGAAAGAAAGAAAGAAAGAAAGAAAGAAAGAAAGAAAGAAAGAAAGAAAGAAAGATGAAGGAGGAGGAGGAAAAGAAGAAAGGAGAAGAACAGGAGGAGGAGGAAGAAGAAATGGCAAAGGGGCTGAGAACCTAGGTGTGAGGGCTGAGGTCCCAATGAGGGCATGTTCATATCCAGTTTTTCCCAGGGTTTATGGGGCATAGCTCATGGAGGTGACAATGAGGAGACATTTGGAGCATCTCATCCTACATAGTTGGCCACAAGTGAACACAGTATTAAAATTCTGCTAAAACAAATATGTCATTCCACTGCACATATTGTAAAAACTTCACGTGAAAACCCTATTTTCAATGGCCCAAAACTCTCATAAATCCCTTATAGAAGAACAGTGACCTTCTGGGCACCTAGAAGGGAATGACACTTTGGAAGGGAAATTACCCTGTACCTTGTCATCTGGTCCAGACAGAGCCAGCTAGGGAAACAATGGGGGAGGGGATCTTTCTACCACATGCACTATATGATTTATTCCTCACCACATCTCAAAGGGGTAGGGATTTTTATTGCCATTTTACTGATTAGAAAACTGTGACTTAAAGAGTTTAGGTTACAATGCCTGGATTTGTATAAAGTCTGTGGTAGAGTTCATACCAAGTTTACAACCTGGATTTTTTGGCCCCAACTCTACTCTTTTGTCCTTGATTGGAAAATGATATCTGTAAGTGGTGTAGTGATACCTGAAGGTACTCACTAGCAACATAAAATCTGAGTTGTCCTCCTACATCCCAGCAAGTAGAAGTGCTCTGTGGTATCATGATAGATTTCTCATTTTTAATTCTAGAAGTTCTATCAACTTTTGTCTTGTATGTTTTGAGATCATTATATATTAAGTGCATATGATTTTTGCATTAAAACTTCTTAGTGTAATGAATTTTTTATCATTATGTAGTTATTCTTGTTTTTAGTATTTTTGGCCTTAAGATCTATTTTGTCTGCTATTAATATAACTACACCATCCTTTGACTTTCAACCTTTCTGACCTTATCTTTTAGATGCCTCCTAAAAACAGACTATAACTTGCATTTTTTAATCCAGTGACAATATTTATCTTTTAGCTGATGAGCTTAATCCATTGCATTTATTATGATTATTAACATATTTGAATTTATTTCTCCCATCTTATTGAATGTATTCTATTTGTCCTACCTTTTCTATTTTTATTTTTTCTTCCTTTGTCGCCTTTTTCTCTGTCAAATTTTTTGTTTTTAATTTTCTCTCATTCCATTTTCTCCCTGCTCTAATTCATTTGTTCTGTATCTATTCTTGTAAAGGCTAGTTGAGCTTTTAAGCATCCAAAACTACATAAATATTTGTAACTATTTTTACCCATAGTGCAAAGTACTAGAGCATTTTAAATCCTGTCCTGAGTTTTCACCTGTTTACAAAAGGCACAACAAAAACCGAAGTTCCCAGAAGGTTAAAAATAAAAGAATGGAAAAGTAAACATGGTTAAAATTGTAAATTTTATGTTATGTATATTTTACCACAATAAAAAAAAATTGAAAAAGACATACCAGGCCAGGCGCAGTGCCTCACGCCTGTAATCCCAGCACTTTGGTAGGCCAAGGTGGGCGGATCACTTGAGGCCGGGAGTTCGAAACCAGCCAGGCCAACATGGAGAAACCCATCTCTACCAAAAATACAAAAAATTAGCCGGGCCTGGTGGTGCATGCCTGTAGTCCCAACTACTGAGGAGGATGAGGTGGGAGAATCACTTGAACCCAGGAGACAGAGGTTGCAGTGAGCTGAGATCATGCCACTGCACTCCAGCCTGGGCAACAGAGCAAGAACCTGTCTAAAAAAAAAGAAAAGGAAAGAAAGAAAGATAGAAAGAAAAGGAAAGAGATATACCAAATAAATACTGACCCAAAAAAGGCTGGTATAGTTATATTAATATTAGATAAAATAGGCTGTAAGGGCAAAAAGAAATGCTGTCTATCCTTGCTGTCTCCAATTATTATCCTTCCACTTTCTCTCTGCCCCACTCCAATGAAGATTCTGCGCCTTTCACTATTCAATCGGTTTTTGACAATCACCAGTGACCTTCAGGGTGTGAAATCCAATGGTAATTCCTCATCTTACCCGACCTGTCAGCATTTGATAGAATTGATCCCTCTCTTCTTGAAACATACTAATCACTTGCCTTCCTAGATTCGCTTCTCTTCTTTCTCCTACCTCACACGCCACTCTCACAATCCCATTTGCTGGTTGCTCCTCATCTCTGCCACCTGGAAAAGGGGGAGTGTCGCAGAGGTGAGTTCTCAGCCTCTTCTTTTTGCTCCCTCTATGCGCTCCCTAGGTGACAGTATCCAGTCTTGTGACTTTAGGTACGATTTACATACCCAATACCCGCGGATTTATATCTGCAGCTATACCTCTACATCCAGATTCATGGAAAACAGCACACAGACATTTTCCACTTAGATGCCATGCAGGCAATGTCTAACTTAATATCTCAACAACCAAATTCCTCTCCCCACCACCAGCCAAGTCTCCTCCTTCCTCAGTGTTTCTACCTAAGGCAATGGAAACTATGATGTTTTCATTTGCTCATGTCAGAAACACTTGGCTCCTTTCTTTTGTGTCATTATTATTATTTTGAGAGACATGGTCTTGCTCTGTCACCCAGGCTGGAGTGCAGTGGCATGATCAAGACTCACTACAGTCTCAACCGGCCAGGATCAAGCCATTCTCCCACCTCAGCCTCCTGAGTAGCTGGGACCACAAGCATGCGCCACCATACCCTGCTAATTGTTTTATTTGTTGTAGAGATGGTATCTCTCTATGTTGCCCAGGCTGGTCTCGAACTCCTGGCCTCAAGTGGTCCTCCTGCCTCAGCCTCCCAAAGTGTTGGAATTACAGGCATGAGCCACCATGCCCAGCCTTGTCTCATTCTTCACTTCTTTTTTTTCCCCCTTATATACCAGCCAACCCATCAGAAAATACTGTCAGTTCTCTCTTGAAATTATATCCAGAATCTGACAACTTACTGCTCCCTCCATTGCTGCCACCCTGGTCCAAACCAGTATTATCTCTCATCTGGATTTCCTAGCAGTCTCCTAACTGGCCTTCCTGCTTCTGCCCTCATCCCTCTATACCCAATTTTAAATATGATAGCCATAAGGATTCCTCAAAAGCATAAGTGATATCACTGATCACTGATATCTCTGATCAAAGCCCTCTAATGCATCCTACCTCGTTGGTAGAAAAAGGTAAAGTCCTTACAATGACTTATAAGGCCTTATCAGATCAAGACCTGCTACATCTCTGATTTCACCTTCTTCCATTCTTGCCTTTATGTGTTCAACTTTGGACTCACTGATGCCCTTGCAGTTGCTGGAACATCCCACGCACAGCTTCAGAGCCTTTGCTCTTTCTCAACTCACATGGCTCTCTTTTCAGCTATTCCTTAACTGAGAGGTTTTCCTTGCCCAACCTGTACAGAATAGAAACTCCAACCTCCACACTTTTCTGTCTCCCTCTACATGCTCTTCCGTTGCACTTGCTTGTTGGTTTATCATCAATCTCCCACCCCACCCCACCACTCCTGCTACTAGAATGTAAGCACCATGAGGTCAAGGACTTTGTCTTATTCACTACTGTAGATCCATTGCTTTGAATAGTGCCTGGCACAAAGGAATTGCTCAACAAATTGCACATTAGTGAAGAGCATGGACTATGGGGCTAGAAACGCAGCTCAAATCTGGGCTCTATCACTTAGTAGAGTGGCCTCAGTCAAGTTGCCTCATTTTTCTCTGCCTAATCTTCCTCATCTGTAAAATGGGGATCATAATTGGGTTTTTGAGGGGATTCAATGAAATAATACATGGAAAGCCCTTGAAACAGTTCCTGGCAAATACTTTCTTACTACGAATGAATGAAAAGTTATTGCTAGTGTAAAAATATGATTGCTACATAAGAATAAAAGGAACAAATAAAAAAGGGAAAAAAGAATAAAAAGAACAATTAACCAGAAAGAAATAAAGTGTCTAAACTTTTATTTATTTAGTCACATTGCCTCAAAAAAAATAAAGAAAAAGATATCAGGATTATCTAGAGAATTATTTTTAAAATTTAACAACTCATAGTCATTAGAGAAGATTCTAACATGTCTAGCAGTAAATTACACGTATGTCTTAAACCATGTGGTCATTATATTGTATGTTCTGCGTTCTAAATAATCCTATTTGTATTATCCATAAGCAAACGTGCTTTCAAAGAATATTTGCCAGTAATCTGAAATATTTTACTTTATAAAGTCAAATAATTGCTATTTTTGTGTTTGCACAAAAACTAAATTTTAAAAGTCATTTGGCAAAATCAAATTTTCAAATGAGTGCACTGGCAGACTTTTTTTAAAAGTAATTTTTTGATGAATTAACCAAGTGCTTAGTTTCAAACATAACAAAAACATAAATAAAAATAATAAATCAAAAAAGAATTTGTGTATAACCATTACAGATGGCAACATTTTAAAAAGGAAACAAATTATAAATCATTTATAAGGCCATAAATTGAAACATTTGTATACAATCAATGTCCATCAAGGCATTTTCAGAACTTAAACATGTTGAATAGACTATTTAATGAAAACAGAACTAAGATTCTAAAATTCATTAGCTATGAATTTTAAATATTATAAGATAGATAAGGAAAATCTGAGCCAGATATTTGTGGTGACAGGAATTATATTTGGCTGAGTGCAGTGGCTCATGTCTGTAACCCCAACACTCTGGGAGGCTGAGGCAGGAGGATTGCTTGAGGCCAGGAGTTCAAGACCAGCCTGGGCAACACGGCAAAATCCTGTCTCTAAAAAAAATTATTTTTTTTAATTAGCCAGGCATGGTGGCATACACTTTTAGTCCTAGCTAATTGAAAGGTAGAGGCAGGAGAATCGCTTGAATCCAGGAGGTAGAGGCTGCAGTAAGCTATGATCATGCCACTGCGCTCCAGCCCAGGTAACAGAGCAAATCCTTGTCTCAAAAATAAGGGAACATTTAACTTTTATAAAAACAAAAAAAATCACCTATGTTAGTAGGAGAATCATTTTAGACAAAATCATTTTAGAAATAACTATTTTTTAAAAATTAGCTGAGTGTGGTGGTATGTGCCTATGGCCCAAGCTACTTGGGAGGCTGAGGTGGGAGGATTGCTTGATCCCAGGAGGTCAAGGCTGCAGTAAGCGGAGATAGCACCACTGCACTCTAGCCTGGGCAACAGAGGGAGACCCTGTCTCTAAAAACGAGAAAAGAAAAGAAAAGGAATGACAACTTTTAACATTAAAGCCTTAAAAAATTTCAGAACATACTAGAATGGGATATGACTTATTCTTTCAGTTGGTTATAGAAAAATAAAACAAAAAAATTATTCCTGTTACGTAATGTAAGGTAACTAAGAAATAAGTAGTGCAGTAAGCTTAAAGTGATGTCTATTTATGTAAGTGTGAATATATTTTAAACACCATCTGACTATGTTTGTCAAGTTACACCAATGGATTAACCACAGATGTCCATGGTAAGGATGCAATATTTCATCTGCTATGAGGGATATTGTATTAGTCCATTTTCACGCTGCTATAAAGAACTGCCTGAGACTGGGTGATTTATAAAGGAAAGAGGTTTAAATAACTCACAGCTCAGCATGGCTGGGAAGGCCTCAGAAAACTTGCAATTATGGCAGAAGGCAAAGGGGAAGCAAGGCACTGTCTTCACGAGGCGGCAGGAAGGAGAAGTGCCAAGTGAAAGGGGAAGATCCCCTTATAAAACCATCAGATCTCGTGAGAACTCACTCACTATCATGAAAACAGCATGGAGGAAACTGCCTCCATGATTCAATTCAATTACCTCCACCTGGTCTCTCCCTTGACACGTGGGGATTATGGGGATTACAATTCAAGATAAGATTTGGGTGGGGAACACAAAGCCTAATTCTAAGAATTAAAGAAAGAGGAAAGAAACATGAAAGGTGGCTCAACAGTCAAGGACAGGTTTATTTTAGAGAAAACAAACCTGACAGGGGATTCTGGCCAAGTTAGATCAGAGCCCACTCTCTTACAGACTAAGAGTTTTTAAAGATTTAGGGTGGGAGAGTTTATCAGAGGCTTGGACTGCTTCTGTGTCTCTTCATTTTGCTTATCTGGGAGGGAGAGTTTTGTGTCTGTTCCCATACATCTTCCTGCAGCTGCAGGCATACCCCCCCAGTCTACTTTTAGCTTCCCTATCTTAGTGCACCTGAAGGGAAAGGAATGTGCTTAGTAAGGCCCACTGTTTCACTGGGGTCCATTGTATGAGGGTGAAGTTCGGCAGTTACCCAGGAGACTTCCCCCCCGCCTCCCTCTGTGCCTGAGCTGTCTTATCTGTGTTTTACTGTCTGCTCTTTTCTGGCTGCTTGTAGTTAGAAAAGAAGTGATTTCCTTGAAATGCATGAGGCTAGAAAGGGAGCTTGAACTTAGAGTGGCGGTGTTTGTCCAAGATGACGGTGCTCCTGCTCTGTCATTAACCATATCAGATATTAAAGAAGAAACACATTTTTTTCTAGAAGTGAGGAAAGAATATTAAACAAAAGTGATAGGCAAAAAAGACAGAGAACGTCATCACTGAAATAAGGGCACCATTAATAGGGAGAGCAATAATAGTACTCACTTATTGCTGCTTCAAACCATTATCTTCTATTGTTGGGAATAATGCAATAACCATTCTTATGTGTCACAATCATCACATATATACAAATACACATGTGAAAATACAGATACTGCATGGTGACTAAGCATGTTTGGAATAAATCAAGAGTCTAAGTCACGACATACATAAATCATTTATATCTAAACTGCTAATTCAAGACAGGCAGCGTGGTGTAATGGTTAAGAACATGAATGCTGGAGCCAGATATGTATTCAAATCCTGCCCCTTAATGGTTTCTCAGATATGGCACAAAAAGTACACATAAAGAACCCTTACACTTTGCTAAAACAAAATAAATAAATAACCCAACTAAAAAATGGGCAAAGGCTGGGAGCAGTGGCTCACGCCTGTAATCCCAGCACTTTGGGAGGCTGAAGCGGGCGGATCACCTGAGGTCAGGAGTTTGAAACCAGCCTGGCCAATATGGCAAAACCCCATCTCTACTAAAAATACAAAAATTGCCCAGGCGTGGTGGTGCATGCCTGTAATCCTAGCTACTTGGGAGGCTGAGGCAGGAGAATGGCTTGAACCAGGGAGGCGGAGGTTGCAGTAAGCCGAGATTGCGCCACTGCACTCCAGCCTGAGCAACAGAGCAAGACTCCGTCTTAAAAAATAAACAAACAAATAAATAAATAAATATACTGCTAATTCATACTGGTACACATTTTTGTGAAACATACTAACACTTTTTAAGTGATGCAATCAAAACTCTAGTTACAAGGAAGGGAGAGACATCTGGAAAGGTTGACTAAGGAGCTTGGCAATCCTCTCCACAAAACGCCATGACAAAAGTGGACAAAATTGCCAAAAACAACCAGTTAAAGACTCTGGAAATTTACCAAGGTAATATAACAAATTGGGAAGTGGTTATTCAAGAAAAACTACTGAGGCTTGGAAGCAGAGCAAGATGGCCAAATAGAAGCTTCCACTGATTGTCCCCCGACAGGAACACCAAATTGAACAACTACACACACAGAAAACCACCTTCATAAGAACCAAAAAGCAGGTAAGCAGTCACAGTACTTGGTTTTAATATTATTTTAAGGAAAGAGGCACTAAAGAAGGTAGGAAAGACAGTCTTGAATCACCTACACTACCCTTCCCTCACCATCTGGCAGTGGCCATGTGGTGCAGAGAGAGAATCTGTGTGCTTGAGGAAGGGAGAACACAGTGAATGTGGGACTTTGCATTGGAACTCAGTGCTGCCGTGTCACAGCGAAAAGCAACATGGGGCAGAACTCAGCTGGCGTCTATGGAGGGAGCATTTAGATGAGCCCTAACCAGATGACATCCATCCCAGCAATCAAAACCTGAGTTCCAGCAAGCTCTGCCATCACTGGCTAAAATACTCTGAGGTTCCTATTTCTCCACAGCCTCACCAGCATCTATTGTTTCTTGACTTTTTAGTAATCACCATTCTGACTGGCGTGAGATGGCATCTCATTATGGTTTTGATTTGCATTTCTCTAATGATCATTGATATGGAGCTTTTTTTCATATTTTTGTTGGCCACGTAAATGTCTTCTTTTGAGAAGTGTCTGTTCATATCCTTTGCCCACTTTTTGATGGGGTTATTTGTTTTTTCTTGTAAATTTGTTTAAGTTCCTTGTAAATTCTGGATATTAGACCATTGTCACGTGGGTGGATTGCAAAAATTTTCTCCCATTCTGTAGGTTACCTGTTCACTCTGATGATAGTTTCTTTTGCTGTGCAGAAGCTCTTTAGTTTAATTAGATCCCATTTCTTTGCTTTTGTTGCCATTGCTTTTGGTGTTTTAGTCATGAAGTCTTTGCCCATGCCTATGTCCTGAATGGTATTGCCTAGGTTTTCTTCTAGGGTTTTTATGGTTTGGGGTTTTACATTTAAGTCTTTAATCCATCTTGAGTTAATTTTTGTATAAAGTGTAAGGAAGAGGCCTAGTTTCAGTTTTCTACATATGGCTAGGCAGTTTTCCCAGCACCATTTATCAAATAGGAGATCCTTTCCCCATTGCTTGTTTTTGTCAGGTTTGTCAAAGATCAGATGGTTGTAGATGTGTGGTTTTATTTTACACTGTTGGTGGGAATATAAATTAGTTCAACCATTGTGGAAGACAGTATGGTGATTCCTCAAGGATCTAGAACAAGAAATACCATTTGACCCAGCAGTCTCATTACTGGGTATATACCCAAAGGAATATAAATCATTCTACTATAAAGACACATGCATGCATATGTTTATTGCAGCACTATTCACAATAGCCAAGTCATGGAACCAACCCAAATGCCCATCAATGATAGACTGGATAAAGGAAATGTGGTACATATACACCATGGAATACTATGCAGCCATAAAAAGGAATGAAATCATGTCTTTTGCAGGGACATGGTTGAAGCTGGAAGCCATCATCCTCAGCAAACTGACACAGGAACAGAAAACCAAACACTGCATGTTCTCACTCATAAGTGGGAGTTAAACAATGAGAACACATGGACACAAGGAGGGGAACATCACACACCAGGGCCTGTCAGGGGGTAGGGGACAAGGGGAGGGAACTTAGATGACAGGTCAATAGGTGCAGCAAACCACCATGGCACATGTATACCTGTGTAACAAACCTGCACATTCTGCATGTGCATCTTGGAACTTAAAGCAAAATAAAAAATATAAATAAAAACTCTGGGGTTTTAAATAAACTTGAAAGGCAGTCTAGGCCACAAGGACTGCAATTCCTAGGCAAGTCCTGGTGCTGTGCTGAGCTTAGAGCCAATGGACTTGGGGTGCATGTGACCTAGTGAGACAGCAGCTGGGGTGGCCAAGGGAGTGCTTGTGTCACCCCTCTCCTAACCCCAGGCAGCATAGCTTGGAGCTCTGGGAGAGACTCTTACCCTCTGCTTGGGGAGAGGAGAGTGAAGAGTTAAAGGGACTTTGTCTTGCAACTTGGATACCAGCTCAGCCACAGTAGAATAGGGTATCAGGCAGAATTCTGAGGCCCCCATTCCAGGCCCTAGCTCCCAGGCACTTTAGACACACCCTAGGCCAGAAAGGAACCTGCTGCCTTGAAGGGAAGGATCCAGTCCTGGCAGGAGTCATCACCTACTGACTAAAGAGTCATTAGGCCCTGAATACTTAGAGGTGATAGCCAGGCACTACTCACCATGGGCGTTGGATGAGATTCAGAGCCATGTTGGCATCAGGTGTGACCCAGCACATTCCCAGTTGTGGTGGCTATGGGGAGCGACTCCTTCTGCTTGAGGAAAGGAGAGAGAAGAGTGAAGGGGACTTTGTCTTGCAGCTTGGGTACCAGCTTAGCCACAGTGGGGTAGAGCACCAACTAGGTTCCTGGGGTCCCCGATTCCAGGCCTTGGCTCCTTGACCTGCCCTGGGCCAGAGGGGAGCCCACTGCCCTGAAGGAAGAGACTCAGGACTGGCAGCATTCACCACAAGCTGACTGACAAGCCCTTGGGCCTCGAATGAACATCAACAGTAGCCAGGCAGTACCTTCTGCAAGCCTAGAGTGGTGGTAGCCACAGGGAGACATGTCCTTGCTTGAAGAAAGGGGAAGCATGAGTAGGAAGGACTTAGTCTTACAACTTGGGTGTCGGCTCCACCACAGTAGAATAGAGCACTAGGTCGAATCCTAAGGTTCCTGACTCCAGGCCATGGCTCCTGGATGGCATCTCTGAACCTGCCTGGGGCCTGGGGGAACTCACCGCCCAGAAGGAAATACACAAGCCTAGCTGGATTCACCACCTGCTGACTGTAGAGTCCTTGGGCCTTGAGTGAACATAGGCGGTACCCAGGCAATGGACACCATGGACCTTGGGCAAGACCCAGTGCTGTGCTGGCTTTGGGTCTGACCCAGCGAAGTCCTAGTTGTTGTAAACACAGAGGTGCTTGTATCACCCCTCCCCCAGCTACAGGCAGCTCAGCACAGACAGAGAGACTTCATTTGTTTGGGGAAAACTAAAGGAAGAGAGCAAGTCTCTGCCTGGCAATACAGGGAATTATCTTGGATCTTACCCAAGATCACCAAAGAGGTACCTCTACCATTCTGCAAAAGTCACAGCATTACTGAGCTCAGGGTGCTCTCTAATGCAGATATGACTGCAGTGGCCAAAGACTTAGATCACAAAACCCAAGTTCCTTCGAATACTTGGAAAGCCTTCCCAAAAAGGACAGGTATAAACAAGTCCAGGCTGCAAAGACTACAATAAATACCTAACTTTTCAATGCCCAGACACCAGTGAACATCCTCAAGCATTAACGCCATCCAGGAAAACATGTCCTCACCAAATGAACTAAATAAGGCACCAGGAACCAATCCTGGAGAGGCAGAGATATGTGACCTTTCAGACAGAGAATTCAAAATAGTTGTTTTGAGGAAGCTCAACAAAATTCAAGGTAACCCAGGGAAGGAATTTGAAATTCTATCAGATAAATTTAACAAAGAGATTGAAATAAAAAGAATCAAGCAGATATTCTGGAGATGAAAAATGCAATTAACATACTGAAGAATGCATCAGAGTCACTTAAGAGCAGAATTGATCAAGCAGAAAAAAGAATTAGTGAGCTTGAAGACAGGCTATTTGAAAATATACAGTCAGAGGAGACAAAAAACCTTACAGGCCAGGAGAGAGTGGCATGACATATTTAAAGTGTTGAAGGAAAAACACCTTTTACCCTAGAATAGTATATTCAGTAACAATATCCTTCAAACATGAAGGTGCAAAACTCACTGGTACTAATAAGTACACAGAAAAACACAGAATAGTGTAACAATGTAACAGCAGTATGTAAACTACTTCTATCTTGAGTAGAAAGACTAAAAGATGAACCTATCAAAAATAATAATACCACAACTTTTCAAGATAGAGACAGTATAATAAGCTATAAATAGAAACAACAAAAAGTTTAAAAGCTGGGGAATGAAGTTAAAGTGTAGCATTTTATTAGTTTTCACTTCGATTGTTGGTTATGACAAAAACCATATGATCATTTCAACTGATGCTAAAAAGCATTTGATAAAATTCAACATCCCTTCATGACAAAAACCTTCAAAAACCTGGGTATAGAAGGAATATACCTCAACATAATAAAAGCCATATGTGGCAGACCCACAGCTAGTATCACACCGAATGGAGAAAAACTGAAAGCTTTTCCTCTAAGATCTGGAACAAGACAAGGATACCCACTTTCACCACTGTTATTCAACATAGTCCTGGGAGTCCTAGCTAGAGCAATCAGACAAGAAAAAGAAATAAAGGGCATCTGAATTGGAAAGGAAAAAGTCAGATTATCCTTGTTTGCAGATAATATGATCTTACAGTTAGAAAAGCCTAAAGACTTCACCCACCTTATACAAAAATCAATTCAAGATGGATTAAAGACTTAAACGTTAGATCTAAAACCATAAAAACCCTAGAAGAAAACCTAGGCATTACCATTCAGGACGTAGGCATGGGCAAGGACTTCATGTCTAAAACACCAAAAGCAATGGCAACAAAAGCCAAAATTGATAAATGGGATCTAATTAAAACAAGAGCTTCTGCACAGCAAAAGAAACTACCATCAGAGTGAACAGGCAACCTACAAAATGGGAGAAAATTTTTGCAACCTACTCATCTGACAAAGGGCTAATATCCAGAATCTACAATGAACTCCAACAAATTTACAAGAAAAAAACAAACAACCCCATCAAAAAGTGGGTGAAGGACATGAACAGACACTTCTCAAAAGAAGACACTTATGCAGCCAAAAAACACATGAAAAAATGCTCACCATCACTGGCCATCAGAGAAATGCAAATCAAAACCACAATGAGATACCATTTCACACCAGTTAGAATGGCAATCATTAAAAAGTCAGGAAAACAACAGGTGCTGGAGAGGATGTGGAGAAATAGGAACACTTTTACACTGTTGGTGGGACTGTAAACTAGTTCAACCATTGTGGAAGTCAGTGTGGCGATTCCTCAGGGATCTAGAACTAGAAATACCATTTGACCCAGCCATCCCATTATTGGGTATATACCCAAAGGACTATAAATCATGCTGCTATAAAGACACATGCACACATATGTTTATTGCGGCATTATTCACAATAGCAAAGACTTGGAACCAACCCAAATGTCCAACAATGATAGACTGGATTAAGAAAATGTGGCACATATACACCATGGAATACTATGCAGCCATAAAAAAGGATGAGTTCATGTCCTTTGTAGGGACATGGATGAAACTGGAAATCATCATTCTCAGTAAACTATCGCAAGAACAAAAAACCAAACACCGCATATTCTCACTCATAGGTGGGAATTGAACAATGAGAACACATGGACACAGGAAGGGGAACATCACACTCTGGGGACTGTTGTGGGGTGGGGGGAGGGGGGAGGGATAGCATTGGGAGATATACCTAATGCTAGATGACGAGTTAGTGGGTGCAGCGCACCAGCATGGCACATGTATACATATGTAACTAACCTGCACAATGTGCACATGTACCCTAAAACTTAAATTATAATAATAATAAAGAAAGAAAGAAAAAAAAGATAATTCAAAAGATCAGTCTGAATGGAAGAACAGTAGTTGTAAAAATCAAAGGAATATAATCAGAAGAAGTCAAGTTTTACTTAAAATGAAGAGCAGAACAGTTCATTAGAGACTATTACAATTTCCTACCTGTGTCAATCCTGATGCTTTGAATAACTCCTGTGGTGATCTGATTCCATAATAACTATTTGGAGAATGAAGTGACAACAGTCTGCTATATATTTTGTTTCTAACCTATAAAAAACAGCATTTTATACTTTAAAAATGAATCAAGACAAACTTGGAAGATTATGGTAGTCACAATAGCTGTATTGAGAGACAATTCACCCTTTTAAAGTATACAACTTAGTGTTGTGTGTTTTGTTTTGTTCTGTTGAGACAGTCTCTGTTGCCCAGGCTGGAGTGCAGTGGTGTGATCTTAGCTAATTTTTTTGTATTTTTTGTAGAGATGGGGTTTTACCATGTTGCCCAGGCTGATCTCAAACTCCTGGGCAACAAGTGATCCTCCCACCTCAAGCTCCCAAAGTGCTGGGATTACATGCGTGAGCCACCACACCTGGCTTCAGTGGTTTTTTTTTTTTTTTACTATATTCAAACAGTTGTGTGACTATCACCATTATCTAACTTCAGAAATTTTTTATCACCTCAAATAGAAATCCCATAGTCACTAACAGCTACTTCTCAATTCTGCCTCCTTCCCATTCCCTGACAATTATTAATCTAATTTCTGTCTCTATGGGTTTGCCTGTTCCAGACATTTCATATAAACAGTAGATTATGGTTTTAATTTCTCTATTGTACTTGCTGAAATCAAGCCATGTATGTTTACAAAAGTTATCATGTATAACGGAAATATTATTAGACTTGGAATTAGAAAACTTGCTCAAGTATACTTCAAATTTAGTTATGCAATTTACTAATCATCTTGGCAAATAAATTAAATTAAACAAAAAAAAGACTTCACCAAAAAACTACTAGAACTAATAAACAAATTCAGTCAAGTTGCAGAATACAAAATCAACATACAAAAATCAATAACATTTCTATATGCCAACAACAAACCATCTGAAAAAGAAGTCAGCAAAGTAATCCCATTTACAATACCTACAAATAAAATAAAATACCTAGGAATAAACTTCGCCAAAGAAGTGAAATATCTCCACAATAAAACTGTGAAACAAAGAAATTGAAGAGGACACAAAAAATGGAGACATATTCCATATTCATGGATTGGAAGAATCAATATGGTTAAAATGACCATACTACCGAAAGCAATCTACAGATTCAATGCAACCCCTGTCAAAATACCAATGACATTCTTCACAGAAATAGAGCCTGGGCAACATGATGAAACCCATCTCTAATATATATATATATAATATATATATATTATATATATATAAATTATATATATTGTATATATTGTATATATTATATATATTATATATAATATATATTATATAATATTATATATATAATATATTATATAATATATATTATATATATAAATTATTATATAAATATAATATATATTATATATATATATATATAAAAATTAGCCAGGCATGGTGGCACATGCCTGTAGTCCCAGCTACTCAAGAAGCTGAGGTGGGAGGATTGTTTGAGCTTAGGAGGTCAAGGCTGCAGCAAGACAAGATCAAGCCATTGCACTCCAACCTGGGTGACAGAGTGAGACCCTGTCTGAAAGAAAGAAAAGAAAAAAAGAAAGAGAGAGAGAGAGAGAAAGAAAATCTGTATATTGAAGAGATATCTTCACTCCCATGTTTATTGTAGCACTGTTCATAATAGCCAAGATTTGGAAGGAGCCTAAGTGTCTGTCAACAGATGAATGGATAAAGGAAATGTGATACATATGCACAATGGAGTGCTATTCAGCCACAAAAAAAGAATGAGATCCTGTCATTTGCAACAACATGGATGGAACTGGAAGATATTGAGTGAAATAAGCCAGGCACAAAAAGACACACTTCACATGTTCTCACTTATTTGTGGGAGCTAAAAATTAATGCGATTGGACTCATGGAGATAAAGAATAGAATGATGGTTCCCAGAGGCCAGGAAGGGTAGTGGGGTTGCAGGAGAAGTGGGGATGGCTAATGTGTACAAAAATATAATTAAATAGAATGAATAAGATCTAGTATTTGATAGCACAACAGGGTGACTATAGTCAACAATAATTTACTGTGCATTTCAAAATAACTGAGACTATAATTGGATTGTTTGTACACAAAGAAAGGCTAAATGATTGAGATGATGGATACCCCATTTACCCTGATGTGATTTTTATACATTGTATGCCTGTATCAAAATATGTCATGTACCCCATAAATATATACACCTATGTACCCACAAAAAATAAAATATTTTTAAAAATCAACATATTAAGTGTTCTGACAAGCTCTGATAGGAAAAAGTAAAAGAAAATCTACTGAAGCTCAGATCTCAGTAAGAATAGTAGGTGCCTGTGGTGTTTTAATCTAGAGCTGTTACTATCTCCTCCAGCTCTGAGGCACAGAAGCTCCACCAAGAAAGGGCAGACCCAAAGAACCAGCAGCTCTGCTGCAGGAGAGGGCTGACTTTATTTAGAGCAGTGAGGAAAATTCTATGCACAGGAGCAACACTTAAAACAACAGTGATCTCAGGCTGAGGCAGGAGAATCGCTTGAGCCTGGGAGGCAGAGATTGCAGTGAGCCAAGATTGCGCCAGTGCACTCCAGCCTGGGCGACAGAGACTTAATCTCAAAACAAAATAAAATAAAACAAAACAAAACAACACAACACAACACAACAGTGATCTCAGGCGGGGCATGGTGGCTCACACCTGTAATCCCAGCACTTTAGGAGGCCAAGTGGGGGTGGATCACTTGAGGTCAGGAGTTCAAGATCAGCTTGGCCAACATGGTAAAACGCTGTCTCTACTAAAAATACAAAAATTAGCCAGGCGTGGAGGAGCACGCCTGTAATCCCAGCTACTCGGGAGGCTGAGGCACGAGAATTGCTTGAACTCGGGAGGCTGAGGTTGCAGTGAGCCAAGATTGCACCACTGTACTCCAGCCTGGGCAACAGAGTCAGACTCTGTCTTCAAACAAACAAACAATAAAACAACAGTGTTCTCAGTGGCTAACAACCAGGAAAGGTCAATATCAGAGACATTCTGAGGTCTTCATACTGACTGGGGTTAAGTAATAAATCAACAGTTCAGTAATAAATTTAACAGGGAGATACAGGGAATGAGACAGGCAAAAAAGGCCTTGATAAGATCCTACTTACCCCAAGCGGTCTGGAAGACAGCACATAAGCAAATCTGCATGCATGTTCAGGAGAAAATGGAGGGGGCCTGCTATAGTCTGAATGTATCTCCCAATATTCGTAGATTGGAACTTAATCCCTAATGTAGCAGTATTAAGAGGTGTGGCCTTTGGAAGGTGATTAGTTCATGAGGGCTCTGCCATCATAAAATTTCCAAATGAAAATTTTAGAACTGAAAAATACTGTCAACTAAAGAAAAAAATCAGGCTTTTAAAGAATTAAAGTTATTTATTTATTTTTTTTGAGACAGGGTCTCTGTCACCTAGGCTGGAGTGCAGTGGCACAATGTCGGCTCACTGCAGACAGACTCCATCTCTTGGGCTCAAGCGATCCTCCCACCTCAGCCTTCCGAGTAGCTGGGACTAGAGGTATGCGCCACTGTACCCGGCCAATTTTTGTATTTTTGTGGAGACGGGGTTTGGCCATGTTGCTTAGGCTGGTCTTGAACTTCTGAACTCAAGAGATCCGCTCACTTCAGCCTCCCAAAGTGCTGGGATTACAGGTGTGAGCCACTGTGCCTGGCCTAAGTTAATTTTATTCAGAACTCTTACTGAAGATTGCAACCGGAGAGAGTCTTTCAGAGAGTTTCTGTTAAACTGCTCCAACTGTTTTAGGCCACAGTTTATACACAGGTGGTGGCAGCTCTGCATGTAGCTTAGAAGTTACATCAAATGTGCTCAGAAGTTACATTAGAGCAAAATCACATCAAGGCTTGGGTATGAGGGCACATCTGGTTATAGACTACAGAGGCCTAATTATTAATCCGGTCAGATAATCCTGTTATCTTCTGTATAGGAAGAGGCCAGGATTAGGATCGCTGAACTTATCCTTTCTAAAACTGCTGTGATTCACACAAGGGACATGGCAGGCTGTCCTCCATACTGCTGATCATCTTCAGAACATTCTTCCAGTGGGTGGTGCTGAGTCACTGAGTCAGGGGCTTTGTAAAATTCCACTGATAAGGGATTTTGTGAAATTCTGCTGGTAAGCCGAATGAGCAAACATAGCTTCTTACATATGGTACTTTGTCTCACAATAACTGAATCGAAAGCTCAGTGAATGGGTTCAAAGGCAGAATGAAGAGGACACAAGAAAGAATCACGAATCATGAAGATAGAACAATAGAAATTACTCCAAACAGCAGAGAAAAGTAGACTGAAAACCAATGAATAGAGCCTCAGGGACTAGTGGAACCAAATATTCGATCATTTGTGTTATCAAAGTCCAGAAAAGAGAAGAAAGAGGAAAGAGCTGAAAAAGTATTCAAAGAAACAATGTCTGAAATTTTGCCATATTTGGCTAAAAATATAAACCTGTTGAATACAGATTCAAAAGGCTAAGCAAACCCTAAACAGGATAAACGTAAAGAAATCCATGCTGAGGCACATCAGAGTCAAACTTCTGAAAACTAAAGTCAAAGAAAATTTTTTTCTTTTTTTTTCTTGAGACAGAGTCTTGCTCTGTTGCCCAGGCTGGAGTGCAGGGGCATGATCTCGGCTCACTGCAACCTCTGCCTCCTGGGTTCCAGCGATTCTCCTGCCTCAGCCTCCTGAGTAGCTGGGATTACAGGCACGTGCCTCCACGCCCAGCTAATTTTTGTATTTTTAGTAGAGATGGGAATTTCACCATATTGGCCAGTCTAGTCTTGAGCGCCTGACCTCAAGTGCTCTGCCCACCTCAGCCTCCCAAAATGCTGGGATTACAAGCCATTATGCCTGGCCTAAAGACAAATAAAAATTCTTGAAAGCAGGAGGAAACGACATCTTATCTACATAAGAAAAATAATTTTAATGACAGTGAATTTCTCATTGGAAAACATGGAAGCCAGAAGGAAGTGGCACAACAGTTTTCAAGAGATGACATAAAAGGAATACCAACCAAGAATTCTTTAGCTGGCAGAAATGTCCTTAGGAATGATGGTGAGATTAAGACATTCTCAGATGAAGGAAAACTAAGAGAATGTGTTACCAGCAGACTTACCTTGAAAGAATGGCTAAAGAAAATCCTTACAACAGAAGGGCAATGATATAAGAAGGAATCTTGGAACATCAGAAAGGAAAACAACAAAAGGAGCAAAAATATCAATAAATAGACTTTATTTTCCCTCTCAAGTTTATTAAATGGTGCTTGATGGTTGAAGTATAAATTACAACATTGAGATGATTCCCAATATAGAGAGAGGAAATATTTATTTAACATTTAATGTTATAAAGGGGGAGGAAAAGGGACTTAAAAGGAGTAAGGACTTTACATTTTACTGAAATTGGTAAGAGAAATAAACAAAATGTGGCATATATGCACAAGGGACTATTATTCAGCCCTAGAAAGGAATAAAGTACTAATAAGTATTATAACATGGACAAATGAAACTTAAAAACATTATACTAAGTGAAAGAAGCCAGGCATAAAAGGCCACATAGTGTATATGATTCTATTTATTGAAATGTGCAGAATACAAAAATTTTTACAGATGAAATTAAATTTGTGGTTGCTTAGGGCTGGGGTGGGGAGAACACACTGAGGAGTGGGTACAGGAGTTCTATTTGGGGTGATGAAAATACTCTAGATTGCTGGGCGTGGTGCCTCACGCCTGTAATCCCAGTACTTCGGGAGGCCGAGGTGGGTGGATCGAATGAGCTCAGGAGTTCAAGACCTGCCTGGGTAACACAGTGGAACCCCATCTCTACAAAAAATACAAAACTTAGCCGGCGTGGTGGCACATGCCTATAGTCTCAGCTACTTGAGGGGGTGAGGCAGGGAGGATCGCTTGCGTTTGAGAGGTTGAGGCTGTAGTGAGCCAAGATCCTACCACTGCACTCCAGCCTGGGTGACAGCGTGAGACCCTGTCTCAAAAAAAAAAAAATTATTAAAAAAATAAAGTTAGATTGTGGTGATGTTTGTACAACTCTGTGAATATATTAAAAACTGCTGAACTGTAAACTTCAAATGTGTGGGTTTTATTGTATGTGAATTACATCTCAATAAAGCTGTTTTTTAAAAACAGATCACAGATTTAAATGTCAAACATAAAATTAAAAAACTTTAAAAATAAAACACAGGAGAACGTCTTTGGGAGCTACGGCTTGTGAAGAGTTCTTAGACACAACAACAAAAGCATGATCCAAAAAATGTTTTTAAATCAATAAACTAGACTTCAAAATTAAATGTGTTTGCTCTAACAAAGACCTTGTTAAGAGGACAAAAAGACAAACTACAGCCTGGGAGGAAATATTTGCAAACCACATATCTGACAAAGAACTCATACCTAGAATATGTAAGGAACTCTCAAAACTCAAGTTTTTTTTTTTTTTAAGCAATCCATTTGGTAAATGAGCAAAGAATGTGAAGAGACATTTCACCATAAAGGACATGTAGATGACAAATAAGCACATGGCAAGATGTTCTACATCATTAGCTATCAGGGAAATGCAGCCTCCCCTGGGCCTTAGTCATTTCTTGCTCTTCTTGGGAAAAGGCAAAGACAGAGACCTATGAGTCAGAGCTGGGGGCAGGAAGTTGGATGGAAAGGAGAGAAGATTCAAATGCAGACATAAGAGACACAGTCCATCTCACATCTTGGAGCTGGAAACAAGCTGACTGTGTCTCTCATATCTCCCAGAAGCACCAGCCTGAAAATGTGCACCCATAAGCCAGGTTAAGAGGTCGCCAGTGGAAGCCAGGGAGACCCACCTGGTTAGAGCCCCAACCTCTGTATTGGTGACAGGCATTGTACAGAGCAGGGGTTGGCAAACCTTTTCTGTAAAAGGCCAGATAGTAAATACTTTAGGATGTCCATACCATGTGGTCTCTTTGGCAACTACTCAACTCTGCCATTATAGCGTGAAAGCAGTAACAGACAATATGTAAACGCATGAGTGAGACTTGTGTTCCAAGAAAATTTTATTAATGGACACTAAAATGCAAATTTCATATAATTTTGATGTGTCACAAAATATTAGTTTTACTTTTCTAAAGCCCTTTAAAGATGTAAATAGTATTCCTAGTTTGCAGGCTATAGGAAACTGTAAAGGGTCAGCAAACCAGGGGCCATAATTTGCTGACCCCTGATATAGAGCTTAGATGAGGAGGTTCACTGTTATGCGTACCACTGTCACTCAACACTTGATTTACAATGCAGTGACCTCCTTTAAATCCATAAATTCAGCCGGGTGAGGTGGCTCATGCCTGTAATCCCAGCGCCCTGGGAGGCCGAGGTGGGCAGATCACTTGAGGCCACAAGTTCGAGACCAGCCTGGCCAACATGGTGAAACCCTGTGTCTATTAAAAATACAAAAATTAGCTAGGCGGCATGGTAGTGTGTGCCCGTAGTCCTAGCTACTCCAGAGGCTGAAGCAGAAGAATCACTTGAAACCAGGAGGCAGAGGTTGCCATGAGCAGAGATCACACCACTACACTCCAGCCTTGGCAACAAAGTGAGACTCTGTCTCAAAAAAAATCTATAAATTCTACTTCTAGGAATTTATCACAAGGAAATAATCATGGCTCCGCACAAAAATTTGACAGCAAAGACTTATCCCATCCTGGTTATAACAACGAAAATATCTGAACACATTCAAATATCCAGTGACAGAGGAGTGGCTCAAAAATCTGAGGCCATCCAAAGAATGGAATGCTATGCAGCCATGTCAACAATTATCCTATGGTCTGGAAAGAAAGCAAATGTGATCAAATATTAACAACGAGTGAATCCAGGCCGGGCATGGTGGCTCACGCCTGTAATCCCAGCACCCTGGGAGGCCGAGTTAGGCGAACTGATTGAGCTCAGGCATTCGAGACCAGCCTGGGCAACATGGTGAAACCCCATTTCTACAAAAAATTAGCTGGGCATGGTGGCTCATGCCTGTAGTCCCAGCTATGCAGGAGGCTTAGGCGGGAGGATTGCTTGAGCCCGGTGGCAGAGGTTGCAGTGAACCGAGATCACACCACTGCATTCTAGCCTAGGCAAGAGAGCAAGACCCTGCCTCTAAAAAAATTTTAAAAATTCAAAATAAAACAACTGGCGAACTTAAGTGCAGGGTATATGAGTGTTCACTGTCAACTTTTCTGTAGGTTTGAAATGTAAAAATAAAGTTGGAAATACATTTTTAAGTAAAAAATTCTTTTTTGTGAAATATAAGTTAATAGACTTACACAGACTCATCTCCAGCCCATCAGAATTGTGTTCTCTGTTAAATAAATATGTGTCTTCTTTTCTCTCTTTTCACAGGAAAGTGGTATAGATTAACTAGATAATATTTTTCTACCTAGTATCTATTCCAATCACACTCAATGTAATTTAAACTATATGTAACATGAGATTTACAGACCAAAAAAACTAATCTCAATGTTTTCATTTTACAATTATCTCGTTCTAAGGGCAAAGAAAAGCTTAACTTGGCCAGGTGTGCTGGCTCATGCCTATAATCTCGGCATTTTGGGAGGCCGAGGTGGGCAAATCACTTAAGCCTAGGAGTTTGAGACCAGCCTGGGCAACATAGTGAGACTCTGTCTCTACAAAAACTTTTTTAAAAATTAGATGGGCGTGGTGGTGTATGCCAGTAGTCCCAGGTACTCCAGAGGCTGAAGCGGGAGGATCACTTGAGCCTGGGAGGTTGAGGCTGCAATGAGTCATGATCATACCACTGCACTCCAGCCTAGGGGACACAGACCCTGTCTAAAAAAGAAAAAAAAGAAAGAAAGAGAGAGAGAGAGAAAGAAAGAGAGAGAGAGAGAAAAGAAAGGAAGGAAGGAAGGAAGGAAGGGCTTAACTTGCTTGGGTTTTGAGCATTTGAAAAAAAAAACTTGCTTTTACATATGAAACACAAATTATCTGGGAAGACTTCCTTGGTAGGGGTGGGTGCTCTAGGCTCTACAGATGGAAATAGCATTTGGGGATTCATCCCATGGTCTGGATTCTTCTCCAGGCAAAGGCCCATTCTTGCTGGGTTATAAGTTCTTGTTTGAAAATCTAACCTGAAAAATAAATTCACTCAGTCACTCTAGTGCATAAGAATAAATTCACAAAAACCTTACCATTTAAATAAAAACATGGGAACTATGCCTAACTACAAGATGGCCAATCTTCGGCAGAGGACTTCAGCCACCCTCTCCATTTGACTATCAAACGAGGTGATTAGACAGAGAGTGTTGTCAATTTCCACTTGAGCCTCACTTATGGGTTGCGAGTGCAGAGCTGGAGTTATCAAAGATGAATTTTAGAAAACCTGTCTCTGTTTAAAACCTTTTAAATGCTTATACTCAGTCCCATTGCCAGGAGTGAAATCCAAACCTCCCGTGTGAAAAATCAATATCCAGGCCGACAGATCACACGGGATCTTCCTTATAGACCAGAACCATAGTCAATTTTTAGGTCCTTTTAAATATTAAACTCTTCACTTCCTCTACCTCCACCTGTGCGTCGCGCCTACCTTAGAACCCGCCAAATCCCATTAAATCCCACCCCCACCAGCCACACACGGTCTCCATAGGCTCCAGGCGCCGCTTTTGCAGTCCCCCATTGGCCGGTTTATTGCCAGACGGCCCCTGCTCGCACGCCCTAGTCTTCTTTGATCTCCTCGGATTCCGTGAAGCCCTGCCCTTCTCTTCTCCCCTTTGGCCCGTCTTCTTCCACTCAGGCCCGCCCCTCCCCAACTGGCTATTTGGTTGGCCAGCGCGCTTGCCACTTACGTCATTCACCCGCGCCACCCGGAAGCCGCGGTTCCTACCAACCGTTCTTATTGCTGGCGGCCTGAGGTAAAGGCCGCGCTTGGGTGTCCCTGGGTGGTCGGGTCCCCGAGTTGGGAGGGGCGGAAGGCTGAACCTCCAGCTTGAGCCGGACAAGCCGATTCCCAGCGTTGAGAGGGTAGAGATGAACTGTGTGTGAGGCCAAACTGGATCGGTCAACATGGTCTTCCCCCTCCCCACTCCCCAGGAGCCCATCATGGCGACGCCCCCTAAGCGGCGGGCGGTGGAGGCCACGGGGGAGAAAGTGCTGCGCTACGAGACCTTCATCAGTGACGTGCTGCAGCGGGACTTGCGGTGAGTGACAGTGCGGGGGGCGGGGCGTTTGGAACATTCCACGTGGTGGGTGGGGCGTTCAAAGTTAGGGCCAACCCTTTGAATTGGCGGGCGAGGCGTTCAGAGTCCGGCCCCGCGCTCCTTGGAGCGAGAAGTGGGGACGACATCCGGGGTGCAGTTTGGCTGGGACGTGGCGTTCATAGCAGGGGCGTGTCAGCGCATGCGCGGCCTCCGATGTTTAACAGATTAAGGCTTGTTTTCTGGAGCCACAGTTCTCGGGTTCGAATCCTGGCTCGGCCATTCTTCATCCTTGTGAATACGTCCTACCTCGCCTTTCTGTGCCCTATAAACTTTACTCTTCTGTGAAATGGGGAGTTTTCTGGAACCTTCCCCATGCAGTGGTTTTGAGTTTTTGATGTGTCCCATCTTTGTCAAGAATTTAGCATGGATGCCTGAAACATAGTAGAGGTTCAATGAGTATGAAGAAATATTATTGCAATCTTTGTTAATCTAAGCAGGAAATAAGGTGTTCAGAACTAGGCCTATGAGCATCCTAAAAGGGATGGAGGATTTTTCTAGGGTGAGGATGGGACATTATGATTGGAGTTCAGTATTGGGAGTATAATAATAGTAATTATAACTAACATGTATATAGAGAGTTTACCATTTGATAAGCATTATTCTAGATGCTTTGTAGTAAACGCTCATTTAATCCTAATGACTCTACAAGGTAATACTGTCATCTGTATTTTATAAATGGGGAAACTGAGTCCCAAACAGGTTATTTACTTGCCAAAGTCACACATCTATAAAGGATAGAGCCCAGATCCAAACCCAGGCAGTCTGACCCAGAGCCGAAAATTAACTTATGCACTAAAAAGCCTTTTCAGTGTATGGTGACATGAGAGTCTCAGAGGGTCATGATATGAGGTATACTAGGAGGAATGGGGCTGCCTATTGGTCACCATTGTACTTTCGTCCCATCAGAAAGGTGCTGGACCATCGAGACAAGGTATATGAGCAGCTGGCCAAATACCTTCAACTGAGAAATGTCATTGAGCGACTCCAGGTAAAGACTATGGGATTGGGTACCATTTTTTTGGTATGTGTGGGCAAGGGAGGGAAATGGGAAGAGAGACTCCAGACCCAACCCTGTCACCTGACCTAAGAGTTCACCACTGACCCCTACCTCTTTTTCCCTGGCCCCACAGGAAGCTAAGCACTCGGAGTTATATATGCAGGTGGATTTGGGCTGTAACTTCTTCGTTGACACAGTGGTGTGAGTGTCTACCCGCCCCTCTGAGCCCACAGGGTTCAGCTTACCCCTTCCCTCATGCAACTTATATTTTTTTGAGTATCTTCTATGTACCAGGCACTATGCGAGGTTTTATATCCCAGTAGGATATAAGCTAGGTGCTGGGGATGTGACAGTGAATAAAATAGGACAAAATCCCTGCCTTCCCAGAGCCTCAATTTGGGGAAGGGTGGGGAGCAAAACATAAACTATGCTAAACAGTGATAAGGACTTCTCCCCACTTCCTCTAACCTCTCTTTCCTCAGCCCAGATACTTCACGCATCTATGTGGCCCTGGGATATGGTTTTTTCCTGGAGTTGACACTGGCAGAAGCTCTCAAGTTCATTGATCGTAAGAGCTCTCTCCTCACAGAGTAAGTCCATTCCATGAGGATAGTGTGTAAAAACACCACCATTTCCAACACTCTTCTCCCTTTACCCATGGCTGCCTGGAATGATACTTAAGGACTCATCTCCCCTCCTCTTCAGAGCTGGGGCTGAAGAAATGGGGTTGCAAAGCCCATGTGTAGCACATAATAAGCACTCAAAAAATGATCTTTGTATTGTTCATTCACGCAAACATTTATTGGGCATCTTCTGTATGCCAGGCACTGTGCTTAGCAGTGGGAATGCAGCAGTGAACAAGACAGAAGAGTTCCTTGAAGGCTTACAATCTAGAAGGACTATACTGTTATACATAAATACAATTATGACCAGATCCATGAGGTCTCAGCCTGTTAGAATTGGTAACAAGAAAACTAGTTACCTATGATTTCACTTCCTGCTAATTTTACTATTCATTCACTGTGTTCCTGCCACACTCACCTTCACATGCTTCTTTCAACACCCCAAGAATGATCCCACCCCAGGGATATTGCTGTAGCTGTTCTCTCTGCCTGCACTGCTCTTTCCCCCAGTACCCACATGGCTTCCTTTCTCCTCACTCACTCGTCTTGCTTAAATGTCACTTCCTCAACAAGGCCCTCTGTAACCTAACTTTCAAATTACAGCCCCTGGCATGCTTGATTCCCCTCCTTCTACTTTTTTTCTACTAACACTTATCACCCCCTAATATTTACTATGTAATTTCTTTCTCATGTTGTCTCCTCCAATTAGAATGTAAGTTTTACAAAGGGGGAGATTTGGTTTATTCCCTTATACCCAGGTGACTAGAGTAGTACAAGCATATAGTAGACACTCTGTGTTTTTGTTTTTAAGAGATGGTGTCTCGCTGTGTTGCCCAGGCTGGAATGCAGTGACTGTTTACAGCTGCGATCATAGCATACTACATCCTCAAACTCCTGGGCTCAAGCAATCCCCTTGCTTCAGCCTGCCAAGTAACTGGGACTACAGGCGCACTGCTGTACCCGGCTTTGTGTTTGTTGAAATAATTTGAAAGGGTATGCTGGAAGCATATTAAAGTGGTTATTGAAGCAGATCTGTGTTGGGGGTGATGGGGAGAGAAAATGTGGGCTCCAGTTGAGTTTAAGGCAGGAGTGTCCAATCTTTTGGTTTCCGTGGGCCACATTGGGAGATTTGTCTTGGGCCATACATAAAATACACTAATGCTAATGATAGCTGATGAGCTAAAATAAAAAAGTTGCAAAAAAAAATCACATAATGTTTTAAGAAAGTTTATGAATTTGTGTTGGGCTGCATTCAAAGCCGTCCTGGACCGCATGTGGCCCACTGGTTGCAGGTTGGACAAGCTTGATTTACGGTTTTGTGCAGGGAAGGGCAGTTGGGAGCATAGATGAGGGATTTGAAATGTAGCTAGGGAAGGCCTCCCAGAGGAAGGGACATTTGAATCATTTGACTGAGTGACAAAGCCATGGGGCTATCTGGCGAAGAGCATTCCTGGCAAGAGGAATAGTGTGCCTGGTATGCTAGTGAAACTACCAAGAGAGGTGAGCTTGGTTTCAATGGAATGAGCATGGGGGCACTGAGCAATACACTTAGATTAACAACATCTCACAAGTGTGAGTACCATTGATTTAAACTTCTTTGTTGGTTGTGTTTTGTGTTTATGTCTGTTCTACATTCATTTTTTCCAGAGTTGCCTCCCTTAGAGTTTCAGTAATTTTTATCTTTTCAAACCTTTCCAGCCATGGGAAGGACTAGCAGGTGCTAGTGGACCCAAAAGAACCTCAGACCTGCTGAGATTTCTGATTCTTGGTGTTCAGACCAATTAGCAAATAGTTTAATTAAACGGCCTGCTTTCATGGTCAACACAATTCTGAACTGGTGGTCATTTAGACCAAGTCCACTTTGTTTTTGAGACGGAATTTTGCTCTTGTCGCCCAGGCTGGAGTGCAGTGGTGCGATCTTGGCTCACTGCAACCTCTGCCTCCTGGGCTTAAGGGATTCTCCTGCCTCAGCCTCCCAAGTAGCTGGGACTACAGGCACCCACCACCACTCCCGACTAATTTTTGTATTTTTAGTAGAGACAGGGTTTTGCCATGTTGGCCAGGCTGGTCTCAAACTCCGACCTCAGATGATCTGCCCACCTCAGCCTCCCTAAGTGCTGGGATTGCAGGTGTGAGCTACCGCGCCCAGCTAAAGTCTAGTTTGTATAAGAAGGCTTTCCTTGTTATGTCACAGGATTCCTGAGCCTATCAAATAGATTTTAATGTTTTGAGACTCCACGTACTTCCCCAAAATGAAGTATTTAAATTGTCAGTGCCTGCCCCCTTGCCTGGTCTTTTTGATGTACTGACCTGGTCTGTTAGTGTGATGAAAAATATGGTTGAGTCTTACTGCTTTATTGTAATTAGTAGGACTGTCTAGAAGTTTAATTTTTCTAAGAGATGAAGATTTGAGTCTATGTAGCTGGCTGTCCTTTAAAAATATTTGGTTACTTGGGATATACTTTGAACTAACTTTCTGGTCATTTTATGTGATCAAAAGTGTCAGTTCTTCCTGTTCTTAGTATATTTCTTTGTTTGGGAAGTGGAAGGGATGAAATCTCTATATTCTTTCCTGATGACACAGAAAGGAGTACACATCCACATCTCATGAATAGACATGTAATTATAGAAGAAACAGCCTAACGGCCGGGCGCGGTGGCTCACACCTGTAATCCCAGCACTTTGGGAGGCCGAGGTGGGTGGATCACGAGGTCAGGAGTTCAAGACCAGCCTGTCCAAGATAGTGAAACCCCGTCTCTACTAAAAATACAAAAAATTAGCCGGGAACGGTGGCAGGCGCCTGTAATCCCAGCTACTTAGGAGGCTGAGGCAGGAGAATCGCTTGAACTCGGAGGGTGGAGGTTGCAGTGAGCCGAGATCACGCCACTGCACTCCAGCCTGGGCGACACAGTGAGACTCCATCTCAAAAAAAAAAAAAAAAGCATAACCATATGACTATTCACACTGCCTTACATACTAAATCAGTAGTAATTTGCTTCTCACATAGCAAATAAAAATAAATCAGCAGTAATAAACATATCCCTTTTGTGTTACAGCTAGCATTTGGTGAACTCTGTATTTTTCTCCCTTTTAAAGTGTTGAACTCATAGGTTTTCATAAGGTAAGCTTACACCATTAACTAATTTTGTTCTCTTTTTTGATGTTAAAATTGTCCCTTAGGAGCTGATCAGGTTCATTCTTCTGTTCTTTAAGCATTACCCCCAGAATATTCTTGAAAGTATTCTTGCTCTCTGGCAACAACACCCATACTTCATTTATTTCCTGTCCCTAAACATACACTCAGCCAACCTCAGGTTCCTTTTAATGGAGTAGTCACTTATTCATTCAACATACGTTGGGTGCCTCCTCTGTGCCACACACTGTTCTGGTCCCTGGGGATAGAGCAGGAAACAAAAAAAAACAAAATCTGCCCTCATACAGCTGACATTCTAGTCAGGGGAGACAAACAATAAACAAATGAATGATGTAGTATGTCAGATGTTGACAGTGCTATGGAGAAAGCATATCATGGAGATCAGAAGCATTACCTGCAATGGAACAGTCATGATTTTAAGAAGAATGGCTGACTGGATGTGAAGTGTGAGAGAGAGGAGCCCAGGTTTTTGGCTGAGCAACTGGAGGGATGGAGTTGCCATTATCTGAGATGGAGAAGTTAGGGGAGGAGTAGATTTGGAGGGGAAGGTCAGGAATTTAGTCTGGAACCTGTTAAGTATGAGGCACTTATTAAACACTGAAGTGGATTTTTAGAAGATGTCATTAAAACTAGTCAAGTTCAGGAGAGAGTTCTGGGCTAGAAATAAAAATGTGGGAGATATTGGTATATACATGGGTTCATACTACTTTTTTTTCCAATTTAACATCCTATCTTATTGCTCTCTGCTTTTCCAACAGTATTTAGTTTCATTTACCCCTCAAACTGACTCCTACATTGACAGCACAATAAAATCCACATTCCTTATTATATTAAGACCCTGTGTGATCTAACCTCTTCCTATCTCTTGGACCTTGTCTTAGGCCACTTTCCCTCCCCACTCAATTTCTAACACTCTGACCTCACTGCTTCTCAAACAGCTCTTTGTTGCCTCTTGTCCTTTTTGTGGAAAAGGCCTTCCTACTGCTTAACCATTAGGCATTCTTCGATTCCTTCTCATTCTTCATTCTTGAGAAAGGCCTTCCTTGACCCTTTATATCAATTAGGATTCTTTTGGGCGAGATCTGATCCAAACTGGCTTAGAGAAAAGGAGTCAACTGACTGGTTCATGTAATTCAACCTCCTTCCTCTGCTGCAACCTTCCCTTGGCTCCCATCTCACTTAAGGTCAAAGCCAGGGTCCTTACCATGGCCTTGTAGGCTTCACACAGTTTGTCTCCCTCATTACCTCTCTGACCTCACCTCTTACATTCCCCCTTCACTTATTCTTCTCCAGCCAGAGTGGCCTCTTTGCTGCACCTCAAACATGCCAGGCACACTCCCACCTCAGTGCCTTTGTGTTTGCTGCCCCTTGTGTGTGGAACACATCCTCCATATAGCCACACTACTCAAAATTCACTGTCTTTAAGTCTTTACTCAAATGCTTCTCCGTGAAGCCATCCCTGAGCCCTCTTTAAAATTGCAGCCCCCCACTCCTGTACTCCTTATTGTCTCTCATTTTTAATTTTTGTTATTGTAGTTAGAACCATCTGACACATAGCTTTTATTCCATTGGTTTTTTGTTATGTCTTTCTTTACAAGAATTTGAAGTCCATCAGGCCGGGAGTTTTGTTTGTTGTGTTTGCTGCTATCTCCCAGTGCCTAAAATTGCCTGGCATACAGTAGGCATTTAATAATCTTTGAATCAGTGAAAACCAGATGGTGGCTTGGCATTTCCACATAGGAATGAGCCAGGTGGAAATCATCCAGGATATAAGTAGATCTTGAAGTGATAAGGAAGGGTCATCATAATCATGTGGGGCCCATTTTGCCCTTTCTTGTTTCTTTTCTCTAGGCTCAGCAACAGCCTCACCAAGGACTCCATGAATATCAAAGCCCATATCCACATGTTGCTAGAGGTGAGAGCAGCTCACCCCACTACCAGACTCTGTGTTTAGGGTGGTGACCTGAAGAAGGAAGAGAGCGAAAGAAGGGAAGGACCATCTTTCCCTCTAAACTGGAGTCAAGGGAGGGAGGTCAGAGCAAGCCTGGGGGCGTAACCCAGACCCAGTCTTTGTTCAATCTCTTCTGTCCTCTTTTTCAGGGGCTTAGAGAACTACAAGGCCTGCAGAATTTCCCAGAGAAGCCTCACCATTGACTTCTTCCCCCCATCCTCAGACATTAAAGAGCCTGAATGCCTTTGAGTCACATGGCCCTTCTTTTTCCCCATAAACCCTGCTAGTTGCCACGGGGGCCTGTTCCTAGGGCACAAAGTTACTGAGAGACCCAGAGATCCAGTCTCTCTGTGGAACCTCCAAAATGCCCCAGCAGTCCTGCCTCCAGCCTGTTGCCTGGCAGTATTTGCCAGTTGACCTTATGCACTGCCCTCTCTTCTGTCATCTTGGCAACCTGGGCCCCCCACCTCACCCTTTCTTCCATTCCTTTTCCTAGACGCCACCCTTTGAATTGCCATAGAGAATGGGCCAATTCATGGTGGAGGTTTGTTCATTCCCACAACAATCAAAGGGCCCTAAGGTTTACGCTTTCACACACCCAATCATTCCCCAGGTACCCCAAATTACACCCAAACCCTAACTCAGCCCTACCTTGTCTTAGCCCCTGCTTGTAAGTGTTCCAGCTTCCAATGGGCACAGACCTGGATCCCGCTCTCCCTAGTCGGGCCCCTATTCTAGGTTGAGTCCAGCCACCGCCAATCAATGCAGAGCCAGGTTCCTCCCCTTTTTAACTCTGGCCGCAGTTCAACCCTGCCCTCTGAAAGCATTTCGTTTCTGCCACTCAATGCTCTTTCGTGTGCCTGACAGCCATCCTGCCCTCCTACCTCCGCTGTGTTCTAAATTCGTCTTTACCCAGCTCTATGGTCTTGTCTAACCGTAGAGCTGCCCTGCCCGCCTACGCGGAGCCCAGTCCGACCCACTCCCGCCGGCTGCTACGCCCATTTCTATACAAGCCCTGCTTCCGCTGAGCAGCATGGCGTGCGACACCGCCCCCTTGGTGTTTTGGCAGGGGTCTAGAAGTCCCTCGTCCGCCAATCAGAGAAAAACAGGGCCACCCACCCCCGTCCTTGGGGGCTGTCTTCCATCAATCCCATGTAAGCCAATCAGTGTGAGGCAGACCCCCGCCCCCCCGACACAGGCCCCGAGCCTTTTCAGTTGCTCACAGTCCGTCAGTCCTTGAGCCAATCGGCGTGGAGCACCGTGAAGGCCGAACGCGCCTCCTCGGGACTCCAGGGGCCGTGAGCGTTCCATCATTTCCCCTTACGCCAATCACGGCACAGCTCTGTAGGGAAGGGCCCGTCCCCCAACCCCTCGAGGCCTTGCGGCCGATTAATAGCGCTTTGGCCAATCAGCGAGCGGCGGGACATTGGGCTCCTCCTCCTCGGGCCCACGTGAGCTGTAGGGAAACGCAGGGGCGGCTTCTAGGTGCTGCCGCCGCCACCGCCACCACCACCTCCACCGCCGCCTCGGAACCCAGGCCTGGGGGGCGGTGGGGCCGCGTATGGAGCCCCCGCCCCCCGGAGCTGCCAACATTGCCAACGCCACCGCCACGCTACACACAGGTGAGCTCTGGGCCTGGAGGGTGGAGGGCCCAGTCCGTGACCCCACGTATCCTTCCCGCCCCCGCGCAGAGGATGTGGCTTGGCCGGTGGCCTGCTGGTGTTCGACTCCCCGCCGCCACCACCACGGCTGGTGGACCTGCGTGTGGCATTGCTCAAGCCCTTCGTCCCTTATAGTGGATCTGACCGTGGCCTAACCTCCCCCTCCCGTTGTATAATGGATCGGTCTGCGTGCTTATGTTTTTCCCCACGCCAACTTAGGGTGGACTCGTCCATAGGCTTTCCCCCTACCCCTACCCCCACCCGCCCCCCACCCACCCCCACTTATAGGGAGCTAGCCTGTGACAGTGTTCAGCCCCCTTAATAGTAGGTGTATCTGAGTGTTTGGATTTCTCCTAGCCTCAACTTTCAGGAGACCCGTCCGTGGCCTTATTTATTCCACCCTTCCTGTACATCGTAGCGAATCAATCCGTGGCGCCGCACTCCTCCGCATCCCTCTTTAACAGTGAGTCTACCTGAGTTTGTATTCCTGCCTCCTCCAGTCCCCCAATGCATCAGTCCATGGCTTTTTTCAAAACCACCCCCCCCCCCCACCACCACCACCACCATTTTATAGTGGATCAGTCTTCATGTTTGGATTCACGTCCCTTTAGCTATCAGTCCATTGCCCTGTCTCCTCTTTTTCGTAGACTGTCGCTCTAGCGCTTGGGGTTCTCTCCTTTTTAATAGTGGGTTAGTTTAGTGCTTTACATCTCCCTATTTTCAGTAGCTCAGTCCATAGCCTTTTCCCTCTCTGCTTTGAATCAGTCTGTGTGATGGCTTTTCTCTCCTCTCACTGTGGTGCAGGAGTCTGTAAGGTTTTCTGCTCCCCTTCCCCTCAGACGATGAGCCTCATCACCCCTCCCTTTGCAGTGGATCTGTTCATTGGCCTTCCTCCCCCACACCCCTGTATGCTTGCACAGTCCCCCGCATACCCTCCCGTGAGTCCAGTGCTTTGTAATTGGGGGAAGATCGGCCGTGTACTTTCAATTTCCTTCTCTTTTTTTTTCCCTTCCCAGAAGAGAACGTGCTGATCCTCTTTTCCTTGTGATGGAGCACTGTACGGCCTTCCCTGTCCTCCACCTCTTAATAGTGGGTCAGCCTGGTCACACTCGTAACCACAAAGACGTTCTGCCTCACTACAATAAGTGAATACATTAGCGCCAGTGATGATAGTAATGCCAATAGGAGCTAGCGTTTATTGAGCACCTGCCGTATATCAGGCAGAGTGTTTCATATGAATGAGTTCCTTTAATCCTCACCACAACCCCATGAGATAGGTAGTGAGGGAATTGGGCCATAGGGAGGTTAAATTCCTTACTCAAAGGTGGCCCAGGAAGTACTCAGGACACAGGATAATTTTTGAGGCTCCCCTCTTAGATCTCATCCCACCCCACGTGAGGCCTCAGTCCTTAAAAACCAAATTAGTTCTCACCTCCAAGCTTTTGTTCTTGCTGTTCCCTCTGCCTGCAGAGCAGTCTTCATTCCTCACCTTCTCTCAGCACCCACCCACCCCCCAATCCCAGCAGCTGTGTGACCTTAGATGAGTGATTTAACCACTTCCTCTCTGTGCCTTTTTCTTCATTTGTGAAATGGGGGATCAGAACTAGAATCCCTTCCAGTGTAAATAAATATTAACTGTGAATTAATGGTAAAACAAGTAACCTTTCTAGCATTACCGCCTATACCTTCCCACCCCCTTACTGTGCTCCAACCACACTGGTTCCACCACACAGCTCCTCAAACATAGCAGGCATGGGCCAGCCTCAGGGCCTTTGCATTGGCTGTTCTTTGTGCCTTGAACACCACCCCCAGATCTCTGCATGGTTCCTTTCAGCACTCTGTTCAAATACCAACCCCCAAAGGATGTTTACCACACTGTGGTGTGTGGAATGCAGTATAAAAAGATACATGTATGAAAGATGTTTCTAAGAATGCCAGTTTATATATGAGTAAGGGTTTTCCTCCTTTTCAAAAGGATGTGTTCACAAGACTGAGGTACGTAATATGCTCTGTAAAGGCATAGGTATAAAAGCTGTTTCTAAGAGTGCTAGTTGTATATGTGAATAAGGACTGTGTTGTTGCATTGAAAGAATGTGTTCACAAAACTGTGGTGTGTAGCTGGGCACAGGGGTGTGCACTTATAGTCCCAGCTACTCGGGAGGCTGAGGTGGGAGGATAGCTTGAGCCCAGGAGTTCCAGGCCAGCCTGGGCAATATAGCGAGATCCCTTTTTCTGAAAAAAAAAAACCCAAAAAACAACCACTGTGGTGTGTGTAATACACTCTCTTAAAGGCACAGGCGTAAAAGATGTTTCTAAGAGTGATTTGATTTTGTTGTACCTGGGTAGTGTTATTTCATTAAAGGTTGATTGTCACACCATGGTACTTAGAATATACTATACAAAGGCACATGTATAAAAAAGAAGTTCCTAACAATGCTACTTGTAAAAACAAAAAAAGTCAACCCCTCCCTGACCATCTGAAGCTGCACACCCAGCAGGGCTCAAGCCAGGTCCCTGATTTGTCCCGTTGCCCTTTATCACTGTCTGACACACTGTGTGGGTTACTTGTTTGTTGTCTGTCTCTCCTCATTAGAATGTGAGTCCCATGAGGACTCAGTTTTTGTCTGCTCATTCACCGCTATGTCTCCAGCAACTGAAAATGTACCAGGTAAACAGCAGATGCTCAATAAGAATTTATCCCATGAATAAATGGGAAAAAGATAATTTGAGACACCAGTGTAGGGGTCACATGAGGAAGAAGAAGGGATATGAGAGCTAATTAGTTGGGACTGTTCCTGCAACCAACCTTTACTGAGCCCCTTGTGAGTACCAGGCACTCTTCTAGGTGCTGGAATATGGCAAGGAACGAAACAGGGCGAAATATTTGTGCTTGTGGAGCTGACATTTATTAAAAGTTGGGGAGGCTGGGCACGGTGGCTAACACCAGTAATCCTAGCACTTTGGGAGGCTGAGGTGGGTGGATTGCCTGAGCTCAGGAGTTCAAGACCAGCCTGGGCATCACGGTGAAACCCCATCTCTACTAAAATACAAAAAAATTAGCTGGGTGTGGCGGCGTGCGCCTGTAATCCCAGTTACTTGGGAGGCTGAGGCAGGAGAATTGCTTGAACCCAGGAGGCGGAGGTTGCAGTGAGCCAAGATTGCACCATGCACTCCAGCATGGGTGACAGAGCGAGACTCTGTCTCAAAAAAAAAAAAAAAAAAACCCAAGCTGGGGAGACAGACTATGTGAACAAAATAAATAAGTAAAATTAGCATAATAGACAAATGCTGAGAAGAAATAATGAAATAGGGCAGGTAGGAATCGAGTATTGGGGGTGGTTGAAATCTTAGGCATAGGGAAGGTGACTCTTGAATTAGGGCCTCACGGTAGAGACGGAGAGAGCCTTAATGTCTACGGGAAGAGCATACCAGGCAGAAGGAAGTGCCAGTTCAGAGGCCCTGAGGTGGGATGGTGCCTGCCATGTTCAAGGAACATCAAGGCGGCCAGTGTGGCTGGAGCAGAGTGCGGGGAAGGGTAGAAGGTGAGGTCACACAGGTGATGGGAGCCAGATAGTGCAGGTGATACATAGGATAGGATTGCAGGGGCAGGGGGAGAAGGATGACACACTAGCTAATAGCTAATATCTGTGGAGTATCTGCCACACATCAGAGGCACTTTTCTGTTCAAATACCAACCCCCAAAGGATGTTTACCACACGGTGGTGCCTGGAATGCACTACAAAAAGATACATGTGTCAAAGATATTTCTAAGAATGCCAGTTTATATATGAATAAGGATTTTCCTCCTTTTCAAAAGGATATGTTCACAAAACTGAGGTATGTAATATGCTCTATGGAGGCACAGGTATAAAAGCTGTTTCTAAGAGTGCTAGTTGTATATGTGAATAAGGACTGTGTTGTTGCATTGAAAGAATGTGTTCACAAAACTGTGGTGTATAGCTGGGCACAGAGGCTGAGGTGGGAGGATCACTTGAGCCCAGGAGTTCCAGGCCAGCCTGTGCAACATAGTGAGATCCCCGTCTCCGAAAAAAAACCCAAAAAATAACCACTGTGGTGTGCATAATACACTCTCCTAAAGGCACAGGCATAAAAGATGTTTCTAAGAGTGATTTGATTTTCTGGCACCTGGGTAGTGTTATTTCAGTAAATATTCATTGTTAAACACTATGGTGCTTGGAATATACTATACAAAGGCACATGTATAAAAAAGAAGTTCCTAACAATGCTACTTGTAAAAACAAAAAAAAAAGTCAACCCCTCAAGTCTTTTACAGAAGTATTTTACAGAATTGACACAGTTAATCCTCACAGAAGCCTTGGAGGGTAGGTGTACTTTTGAGAATATTTGACTTTGAGAGTAAAATATCCCCATTTTACAGATGAGGAAACAAGCAAAGAGAGGCTGAGTAACTTGCTCAGGGTAACCTTGAGCCAGAATAGCCAGAACAGGGGCAGAGGAACATAAGGCTGAAGACTCAGAAAGAAGAACAGATTTGCAAGGGCAGGCAGGTTATTTGGCACCTTTGATCACGCAGAGGAAGAATGAATTCTTCCTGGAATGCGATGATTGTGTAATTGAGTCCATGAAGTGAGGGAAGAGCTCTCCCTGCGGGGAGAGCAGCCCGTGCTTACCCTCAGAGGTTGGAACTGTCTCGGGAACGGTAGATAGTTCAGGGTGGCTGCCTCAGAGCCTTTGTACACGCCGTTCGCTCCGCCTGAAGGCCCTCCCCCACAGAGGGCAGCCTGGCTTGCTACCTCCCCTCCTTCAGGCCAGGTGTCACTTCCTTGGGGAAGAACTCCTTGTACACCCTGTGTAAAAACAGCATTCCTGTCACTCTCTAGGATCTTACCCTTCTCTGTTTCTCTTCATGGAGAACTGGTGGTGTAAGGCGATTGCTCACTAGAGCCAAACCACTTAGGTTTTGAATTCCGGCTCTGCCAACTTCCAGCTGTGTGACTTGGGGCAGGTTACTTCTCTGTACCTCCATTGCCTCATGTGGAAAATGGGGGAAATGATAATCCCCACCCTTTAACGGTGGTTTGAGGATTCAATGAGTTAAATGATTCAAAGAGTGTGCAGCCCACGGTAAGGATCGTATGCCTGGCTTGCATTTTTAAATTATTAAAATGTATTCATAGCATACCCGTAGATGTCTGACAGGCCTCTGAAACTGACCATCTCCAAAACTGGTGTGACCCCCCTCAAAACTTACTCTCCTGCAAGGCTCCCACCTCAGCTGACCACAATGCTGTCTTTGTGGGTGATTAGGCCACAAACCTAGACTCACCCTGGACCCTTCTCTCACCTCCCCCGGGCATGCTATCTGTCAGCAAGTCCTATTCTGTGTTCAGGCTTTCTCCAGACCCCAGCTACTTCTCGCCAGCCCCACTGCTACCACCATCATCTACCGCAGTGGCTTCTTCAGCCCCAACAGTCTGTTCTTCTCACAACCGCCAGGGGGATCCTGTTGAAATCTCAGTCACAGCCTGTCATCCCTCTGTTCACAACCCTCTTGTGGCTCCTGTCTCACTCAACATCCTGACAGCACCCGAAAAAGCCTGGCTCAGTCTGGCCCCCGTCACTCTGTTCTCCTCTCCCGCTGCCTCCCTCCTCTCCCCCGAACCCATGTCAGCCTCCTCTCCCCATGTCACCTGCCAGGCACTCTCCAGCCTTGGGCCCTTCACACCGGCTGCCGCTTCCACCTGGCTTGCTGCTCTCAGATACTCACGAGCTCAGTTCCTTCACCTCCTTTTGGTCTCTGCCCAGTTGTCCCCTCCTTGGCGACTACTCTCCCCTGACTCTCCATGTAAAAGTAACAGCTCTCCCCTGCTTGATTTTTTTCCCATAACCCTTACCACCATCTGACGCACTCTTGTACATGTTTGCCTTTTTTCTCATCTGCCTTTCCTGCTAAGATGTGAGCTCCTCTGGAGCAGGGATTGTTGTCTGTTGCGTTCTCGACTGTATCCGCAGCACCTGGCCCACAGTATGCACTCACCAAATGCTTGCTAAGTGAAGGAGATGGAAAGAAGTAAACATATCTAAGCAAGGCAGATTACTAGAACTCTTATGAGGGGTCAAGTGGGAGAAATAACAAAATACAAAGCCCTGTGTGCTGTTGAAGCTGGAAGCCCACCGTCACCTTTCACTCAGCTGATAGGTTCTGTTGCAGCTGAAAGAAGAACTGGTAAAATTGCCTGTCTTTGCCACCAGGAGTCACTCTGAACTCTTTGGACTTCTGAAACAAGCCTGCCTGCAAAACAAATTCAGTGAGGTCTCTGGTGACAGGACTCTCTAATCGGACACTTCATGGCTTTGTGACTTGTATAATTGAACAGGAAGCTCATGTTTATTTCCAGTTTGCTCTCAGGAAAGAAAGCAGTAATGGGGTGACAGGGAGGATCCTGTTCTTTGAAGGACATGCTGAGAGGGAATAGTCGGTGTGAGGGGCCGTTTAGCCTAATGGTGAAATGCTTAGTCAACTGGAACCTGACTGCCTGGCTCCAAATGCTGGCTTTGCCACATGTGGCCTGTGGAAGGTACGTAGACATTTGTGCCTCCGCTGCCTCATTTATAAGTTAATGACAGGAAGACTACCTACTTCTCAGAGGCATGATCAGGGATAAATAAGTCAATGCCCATTAAAAAAAAAAATAACAGTACAGGTGTACATGCCCTTACCCAAAACCCCTGGGGCCAGATGTGTTTCAGAATTTCCATTTCTTCACATTTCAGAAAGGTAACATGATGCATATACGATGTTACATAACACCCCTTAGTAAGCTCTGTAATCGGCTGTGTTCATATTTCTGCAGCAAAATGTATGAACACTCGCAATAAGTGAGATTCAATAAAGACCAGAAAGGGCCTTGTTTCATTTCAAATCAGGTTTTGCCACCAAAAGAGTTAAAAGAAGCTTTCTGCCCTTAGAGCATTTTGGATGTTGGAATGGCAGATAAGGGACTATGAACAAATCAGAAACTAATATTTAGAGCTTATCATACACCTCAGGCATATAATATTTAATCTGTACAATATCTCTGTGAACTAGGTATTGTTATCCCCATTTTACTAATGGGCATATCATTATCCCTGTTTTACACATGAGAAAATTGAGGTACAAAGAGGTTAAAGAATATCAGCCAAGCGTGGTGCCTCATGCCTGTAATCCTAGCACTTTAGGAGGCCAGGGAGAGAGGATTGCTTGAGCCCAGGAGTTCAAGAACAGCCTGGGCAACATAGTGAGACCCCATTTCTTAAAAAAAGAAAAAGAATATGCCCAGGGTCACACAGCTAATAAGTGGCAGAACCAGGATTCAAACACTGGCAATCTGGCCCTAGTGCCTGGGCAGTTGTCCAGCAGGCCATATTGCCTCTCTGCTTAGAAGAGTGCCTGATGTGTATTAAGCTCTCAATAGATGTTAATTATTGCTGTCATCAAGAAAGAGAATATTCAGGGCCGAGCACGGTATCTCACACCTGTAATCCTAGCACTTTGGGAAGCCAAGGTGGGAGGTGGGTGGATCACTTGAGGTCAGGAGTTCAAGACCAGTCTGGCCAACATGGTGAAACCATGTCTCTACTAAAAATACAAAAATTAGCCGGGCGTGGTCGTGGGTACCTGTAATCCCAGCTATGCGGGAGGCTGAGGCATGAGAATCGCTTGAACCTGGGAGGCAGAGGTTGCAGTGAGTCAAGATTGTGCCACTATACTGCGCTCCAGCCTGGGCAACAGAGAGAGACTCCATCTCAAAAAAAAAGAAAAAAAAAAAAAGAACGAGAACATTCAGGGACAGTAACAGGACAGAGAGATCAGGCATTCATTCAGTTTTAGGACGGCTTCATAAAGGAAAGGACCTTTGGGCTGGGACTTGAAAGATAAGAAAGACTGCTAGGCGAAAGAAGGAAGCCCCACGTGGAGTGAGCAGCCTTTGCAAGGGTCTGGCAAAAAAAAAACCTCCTGAAAAACTTGACATTGATATGGTAGAAGATACAGATAATATTCAAATGAGGAGGATGGAACTAGTTTTCTATTCTTGCTGTAACAAATAATCACAAATTTAGCTGCTTAAAACAACACATTTGTTATCTTACAGTTCTGTAGGTCAGAAGTCCCACACTGGTCTCAGCTGAAATCAAGGTATTGGCAGGGTTGCGTTCCTTCTGGAGGCTCTAGGGGAAAATCCATTTCCTGCTCATTCAAGTTGTTGGCAGAATCCAATTCCTTGAGATTGTAGGACTGAAGTCCCTGTTTCCTTACTGTCTGTCAGCTGACAGCCATTCCCAGCTTTAAGAGGCTGCCCACAGTCCTTGATTCTGAGCCTCCTTCCTCCATCTTCAAAGCCAACAATGGCAGGTTGAGTCCCTCTCACATTTTGAATCTCCCCTGCCTCTTCTGTCATCACATCTCTGAGCTACCTTTCTTTCTCCATCATCTGCTTTTCAGAGCTCATATGATTAGATTGAATTTCATCAAATAATCCAGAAATAATCTCCCTGTCTTAGGGTTTGTAACCTTAATTTCATCTGCAAAGTTCCTTTCTGCTATGTAGTGTAAATAACATACAGGTTCCGAGGATTAGGATGCGGAGCAGGGTTGGCATCATTTGGCCTACCACAGTCTGCCCTCTGACCCCCACAGATTCACATTTGTTTCACATTCAAAATACATTCACACCATCCTAAGATACCCATGAGTTGTATCCCATCACAGGGAGCATCCCAAGCAAGACTGGGGAGCTAGAAGTTAGTCTGGGAAGGTTTAGGGAATGATGGTAGGGTTTGAAGACAGAGATGGAGAAAAGATGACAAAAAAAGGAATCCTCCTCCCGCTGACCTCTGCCCCTCCTATGTCCACAGCCTCTCAACTCAGCTGTTTGCTCTCCAGGTACCCCTGGGATGGCGTGAGCACTCCCCCAGCGATGGACCCATCTGTGACGCTGTGGCAGTTTCTGCTGCAGCTGCTGAGAGAGCAAGGCAATGGCCACATCATCTCCTGGACTTCACGGGATGGTGGTGAATTCAAGCTGGTGGATGCAGAGGAGGTGGCCCGGCTGTGGGGGCTACGCAAGAACAAGACCAACATGAATTACGACAAGCTCAGCCGGGCCTTGCGGTACTACTATGACAAGGTACAGTCTCTCAGACCAGGGCTGGAACCCCCCCCTGACATTTATATCAGAGATTTTATTTTGTTTTAATTGCCATAGCTATGACTTTGAAAGCAATGTTAAAATTTATCAGTTTTTAACCCATCCATTGGTACCCTAAGACCAGTATTGGGCCCCTAAACACTATCTCACCTACTTTCTTGTCTTACTGCTTTGGCGAAAACCACCACTGCATTATTAATACTGACTCTTTCTACTCCCACTCTGAGATCCCCAAAGTGATGCTGCCCTGCCATGCACAACGTTTCATTTTCCTGCCGTATTCCTATAGCCAACATCTTGAAAACACGGTTAATAATGGCTGGTCCTCATTCTGTCCTCTGAAACCCCTGGACCAGTGCTGGGCTTCCCTAGTTATTTCATAGTCTTCTCTTATTCCAGAATATTTCATATTCCTAGAATCAAAACCTCCCTGACAGTATTATACCAACTTTTGCTTACTTCGTCCTCTGGGACTCCCAACATTTTTAACTAATTATTTTCTTCTCTTATTCCTTAAGCTAAAACCTCTGAAACAACATGTTTAATGCCAACTTCCACACACTGTCTTCTTAAATTCCCAGAGGAGCACTGGTCTACCCCAATATTTATATCAATTGTTTTCATTATCTTATTCCTACAGCTAAAATTTAAAATTTCCCCCATCCTGCCCTCTCAGACCCCCAGGCCACTGCTGGGTTTCTCCTCCCCCCAATATTTATACCAGTTATTTCATTTTCTTAATCCTTCTACTGAAATTTCCCAAACAATATTCATGAATATCCCTTTTTATTCCTCTTCCGAGAAACACAGGCCCACCCTGTGACATATCTGACCAGCACTAAGACTTCCACAGAATGCCCTAGTGCCTCCACACTCCCAGAACTGCCCTGGTCATATGCTGCACACCCTTCATAGTTTATGGCATTTATTCCATTTTCATATTTTATTCCTTGAGCTCAACCCTCCAGAACAATATTAGTAATGAGGCTATCTCACTCTGCCCTCTGGGAACACTAGGTCATCTCTGAGACCCACCAGACCTGAAAAACCCCAAACATGCTCTGTGACCCAGCAAAGCCAGCCTTGATATAGGCCCCCTCCCAATATTTATACCAGTATTTTTAATATTCTTGTCTAATTGCTGTTAGTTACTTCATTTTCTTACCATTTTAGCTTCAACCTCCACAGTGGTATTAATAATGAGGCCTCCTCACCCTCTCCTCTGCAGTGACCTTGCCCTGTTCCACTTCTGTATCATTAGCTTCAAATAATCCTCTGTATTAATAATTCATCACCCCATCCATCTACATTAATTTACTTTCTTCCAACATTTATATCAGTTACTTCATTTTCTTGTCTTATTGCATTTGCTAGTCTCCAAAACTGTGTCCTGACAGTCACCCACAAGGCCTGGCCCTGTGAACCTCTGGTTCTTGGAGCCAGGAAGAAGACCTGCTCCCACACCTACTGCCCTTCATGGGCCCCATTGTGAAGAGGAGCTACAGTGTGGAGGGAGTGGGAAAATCAGATAGACGGACCTGGAGAGTGACAAAGGGAGGCTTGGAAAGGGGTGGATGGGAAGGGGCTTAAAGAAAAAATTATTGTGGAGAGAAGAGAGAAAGGGGAGGAACTGGGGAGGGATATAGATAAGGGGAATCTGGCGGGAGAGGAAAGAGGTAGAAACCAATGGGAGAGGAAATGGGCTGAGAGAGAAACTTACAGAGGAGGGACGGGAAAGCCGGAGAGGAGCAAGTGGGAAGAAAGCCACTAGGAGAAGAGAAATGCCACTCCACCCCCCTCCTCCCCCCTGACACCCTGCCTCCAGCCTGCCCCTTTCCTCTAAGGCCCTCTGTTCCTCTCCTCCCTTCCTAGAACATCATCCGCAAGGTGAGCGGCCAGAAGTTCGTCTACAAGTTTGTGTCCTACCCTGAGGTCGCAGGGTGCTCCACTGAGGACTGCCCGCCCCAGCCAGAGGTGTCTGTTACCTCCACCATGCCAAATGTGGCCCCTGCTGCTATACATGCCGCCCCAGGGGACACTGTCTCTGGAAAGCCAGGCACACCCAAGGGTGCAGGAATGGCAGGCCCAGGCGGTTTGGCACGCAGCAGCCGGAACGAGTACATGCGCTCGGGCCTCTATTCCACCTTCACCATCCAGTCTCTGCAGCCGCAGCCACCCCCTCATCCTCGGCCTGCTGTGGTGCTCCCCAGTGCAGCTCCTGCAGGGGCAGCAGCGCCCCCCTCGGGGAGCAGGAGCACCAGTCCAAGCCCCTTGGAGGCCTGTCTGGAGGCTGAAGAGGCCGGCTTGCCTCTGCAGGTAAGGACTGGAATATAGAAATTCAGTAAGAGGAGGCAGTAAAGAGGAGGGATGTGTAATCCCCGGATGACGAGGGAGGCTGGTAGAAGAGACATAGCTGTCCCGTTAAAGGAGATAATGGTGGAAGGAAGACATCCTCTTAGAAGGAGGGGTGGGGCAGAGAGCTACACAAATCCTGAGACAGAAAGGGGAGAATACTGTGCTACAGTTAGTAGCTGCCGAACATGTAGGTGCCTGGAATATGTTTAATGCACTGGTTCTCGCACTCTAGTGCTCATCAGAATCACCTGTAGGTCTTGTTAAACCACAGATTGCCAGGCACACCCCCAGAGTTTCTGAATTTGTGGGGCTGGGGAGGGGCCCAATAATTTGCATTTTTAACTTGTTACCAAATGAGGCAGATATTGCTGGTCCAGAGGAAGGTAAATTTTTGAGAACCACTGTTTTAATGAATGAGGATGGTATCCCTCAGATTCCTACCCGCTTCAGGTTGTCTCACCCCAAGTCCCCTGTCCCATAGGAGGACCTGCCCCAGAGGAAGCCCTACTTCCTTGACGAAGTCCTATGTCCTGTTGGAGGACTTGCTCTGATGTGCAGTCATGCCCTGAGTACCAAGTGCCACCTTCCCGGGGAAATCACTGGGTGGCCCACAGGAGAATCCTGTGGTCCCAACAATCCTTACACACCCTCTTTGTGCCTGCTCCTCTACCAGGTCATCCTGACCCCGCCCGAGGCCCCAAACCTGAAATCGGAAGAGCTTAATGTGGAGCCGGGTTTGGGCCGGGCTTTGCCCCCAGAAGTGAAAGTAGAAGGGCCCAAGGAAGAGTTGGAAGTTGCGGGGGAGAGAGGGTTTGTGCCAGAAACCACCAAGGCCGAGCCAGAAGTCCCTCCACAGGAGGGCGTGCCAGCCCGGCTGCCCGCGGTTGTTATGGACACCGCAGGGCAGGCGGGCGGCCATGCGGCTTCCAGCCCTGAGATCTCCCAGCCGCAGAAGGGCCGGAAGCCCCGGGACCTAGAGCTTCCACTCAGCCCGAGCCTGCTAGGTGGGCCGGGACCCGAACGGACCCCAGGATCGGGAAGTGGCTCCGGCCTCCAGGCTCCGGGGCCGGCGCTGACCCCATCCCTGCTTCCTACGCATACATTGGTGAGTGCCTGCGGAGGGGTGGGGTGTGTGGGCGCCAGCACCAATGGGATTGGCATGTGGCGGGTGACTGACAGGAATCAGAGGAGGGTGAGTGTGGTTGTTCCTGAAGAGGGTGGAGCCTTTGAGTGTGATTGACTGGGCTGATGCTGGCTGGAGGGATGGGGTTTGATTAGTGAAGGGCAGGGCTGGGGACTTTTGTGGGTGGGACCGAGGGTCTTTCTGTGGGACTGTTTCTAGGTTGGGGTGTGGCTTAAGGAACCTGAGCAGGGCTTTTTGGTCTGGGATGTGCATATGGGGTTTCATGGGTGGGACATGAGTTGGAAGTTGACCCTGAGCTGTTGGGATGGTGACTTGAGAGGTTTGAGAGCAGCATTTGGATAGGGTCTTGTGGGTGGTCTTGACCAATGAGGTCTCAGCAACTGAGGGTGGGCTCTCGGGAGTGGGGAGTGGGGGGTGTCTGCAGAGTTTGAGAGATCATAGGCATGGCCTCCATGGTTACCATCTAGGTGTGTGCACTTTGGGGAGTGACCCTGGGAGTGTGAGTGGGAAATCTGTGGTGGGGCCGGGACCAAGTCCCTTCCAGCATCCCACATCTACTTTCTACTCACTTGAGCTCCGACCACCCTCTCCCCACAGACCCCGGTGCTGCTGACACCCAGCTCGCTGCCTCCTAGCATTCACTTCTGGAGCACCCTGAGTCCCATTGCGCCCCGTAGCCCGGCCAAGCTCTCCTTCCAGGTAGGATCCTCTTTCCCCGTTTTGGACAGGGTGAGAGACCCAAGAATGGCCCCCATCTGTGACCTCTCCCTCTTTTTGCCCCCAGTTTCCATCCAGTGGCAGCGCCCAGGTGCACATCCCTTCTATCAGCGTGGATGGCCTCTCGACCCCCGTGGTGCTCTCCCCAGGGCCCCAGAAGCCATGACTACTACCACCACCACCACCACCCCTTCTGGGGTCACTCCATCCATGCTCTCTCCAGCCAGCCATCTCAAGGAGAAACATAGTTCAACTGAAAGACTCATGCTCTGATTGTGGTGGGGTGGGGATCCTTGGGAAGAATTACTCCCAAGAGTAACTCTCATTATCTCCTCCACAGAAAACACACAGCTTCCACAACTTCTCTGTTTTCTGTCAGTCCCCCAGTGGCCGCCCTTACACGTCTCCTACTTCAATGGTAGGGGCGGTTTATTTATTTATTTTTTGAAGGCCACTGGGAGGAGCCTGACCTAACCTTTTAGGGTGGTTAGGACATCTCCCCCACCTCCCCACTTTTTTCCCCAAGACAAGACAATCGAGGTCTGGCTTGAGAACGACCTTTCTTTCTTTATTTCTCAGCCTGCCCTTGGGGAGATGAGGGAGCCCTGTCTGCGTTTTTGGATGTGAGTAGAAGAGTTAGTTTGTTTTGTTTTATTATTCCTGGCCATACTCAGGGGTCCAGGAAGAATTTGTACCATTTAATGGGTTGGGAGTCTTGGCCAAGGAAGAATCACACCCTTGGAATAGAAATTTCCACCTCCCCAACCTTTCTCTCAGACAGCTTATCCTTTTCAACCAACTTTTTGGCCAGGGAGGAATGTCCCTTTTGTTCTTCCCCCTGAGAAGCCATTCCTTTGTCTGCCAACCTCCCTGGGGTCCTGCCTGTTTCCTCCCAATGGAGGGTTTTTTTGGGGGGTGGTCCCCGTCTGGGGGGCCCCTCCAGCCAGTACTCCAGGTCTCCCTGTCTCTCCCCCGCTGCCATTTTGATAGTATAATCTATTTTTAAATGGGGCTTTTCAATAGGGGAGAGGGAGTCATCTCTTCCTATATTTGGTGGGGTGGGTGGGAAGGAAGGGATTTGGGGGGGAATCTTCCTGCCGCCTCCCCCACTCCAAGTGTTTATTTTTGATACCAAACATGAATTTTCAGTTCCCTCCCTCCCAGCCCCCCAATTTCCTGCGGGCGGGTACAAAGGACCCTTTCAATGTCCCTGGAGTTGGGAGGGAGGAATGGGGGACATAAAGCCTGTCCTGTCTCTATTCTAGGCAAGAGAGAGTGGGTTCAAAAGACTCCTGGGCTCACCTGTTAGCGCTGGCCCAGCCCAGGCCTTGGGACCTGGGGGTTGGTGATTTGGGGGACAGTGCTACACTCGTCTCCACTGTTTGTTTTACTTCCCCAAAATGGACCTTTTTTTTTTCTAAAGAGTCCCAGAGAATGGGGAATTGTTCCTGTAAATATATATTTTTCAAAGTGATGCTGGAGGCTGCTGGCACTTTTTCTCTGATGTTGTCAGGACTAGCTGAGCGTGACACGCATGACTGTGTGTGGAGGGTGTGAGGCAGAGGTCGATTGTGAGAGAAACGGTGTGATGGCGTGTGTGAGAAACAATAGTAGGGACTGCATATCGGTAACCATGTGTGTGTCAGAGACGTGGAAAGCTGTGATTGTGTGTGAGAGTGTGCAGAAGTTGTGACCACAGACTTTTGATGGTGTGTCTATGTGGGAAATTGTGGCTGTGTTTCAGAAAATAACTGAGCCTGGATGAATAGTCAAGGTACTGTACAAGAACCTGTGATGGTATGCACAAAATAATGTCTACGAGAAGGGAACGGGGACTGCAGCCCTGTCACTGTTTGATGGCGAGCAAGACAGACTGGGTGACCAAAACCACATGTGAGAGACTACGTGGGCATGAAACTACAGTAGAGGTTGTCAGGGATTGTGGCAAAGATTGTGTAGGTGACAAACCTCACTGTAGGCGACTCAACGTTTGAGAAATAGATGATGTGCAAAACTGTTTACTTGAGGCTGTAGTGTCAGCTAAAGCTGTAAGACTGTATGGGTGCGAACTTGATTGTACGGGAGAGAATGGCTGGGAGACCAAACCAGTGACCGAGACCAAAGATACAAGAAGGTGCAATTGTGTGTACGAAAGCAGGCGTGAGAGACTGCAGCAAAGACTGAGAAAAACGAATGGCTGTGACTGGGAGAGTGTGACAGGCTGTGTGTGTGTGTGTGTACACCTGAAACTAGTTGCAAATCGATTTACCATTACTACCACAGTCTATCCCACAGGTTCAGGGACTGTGAGAAAGTAGGAGAGAAAATGACGGTGAGCCGGACGGAGCCACTGACATGGTGTGAGAGACCACATCACTGGGCATGCAAGGGAGAGGGACAAGGAACTGTTTATGAGAGACTTGGCAGTAGCAGTAACTGGAAGTCAGAAACTGTGGGAGAGGAACTTGACAACTGAGTGATGTCAGAGCACCAGGGGGTCTGTGAAACAGTTCATAAGAAACCATAAATCAGGGGCCATACAAAAGAGCTGAGCAAATGAGACATGCCAAGTGACCACGTGACAGTGTGTGAGAAACTTGTAAAGCTGTGCACGTGTGTCCGTGATGAGCTGACCATATGAAGAAAATGACGGTGTGCACGACTGAGAGGGCATGGGTGACTGTGGGTGACTTATCGAGGGCCTAGTGGTGATTGTGAAATACTGACCGAGTATATCAGAAGCTGACTGAGGGACAGTGATGACTGAGACAGTGGCTGAGAAACGGATTGTGTGTCCATGGGTAAACCCTTTGCAAGAGACTTTATGAAAGGCTGTAAATCAAGGACTGAGGGTACTGGAAGCTGATTGAGAAGAAACGTGAGACTAGGTGACGACAGTGTCTGAGATACTGTGTGATTGTGTATGCGTGTGAATGTCTTTGTGGGAGAGGCTGTAATCAGGGATCGTGGGTGTGTGAAAAAGTGGCTTGAGTGAGAAAGGGGTAGGAGAGGTGATTTTTGTGCATGTGTGGGAAACTTCATGAGAGACTAGTTAGTGGTGACTATAAATCAGTGACTATTTGTGTATGTGAGAAAGTAACAGGCCAAATGAGTGCCTAAACGTTTCATGAGATTGTGTGACTGCACGTGTATGTAAGGAACTGACTGGTGAGAGAAACTATTGGCAATATTGACTGAATGAGACAGGCTGTTAAACATGATTGTGTGTGTGAAACTGTTAGGAGACTGTAGTAAGGCTGGAATCCATGACACAGAAAATGACTATGAGTGACAGAATGTCTGAGAGGCTGTGTGATTAAGAGAATATAGTAGAGGCTGTAAATCCGGACTGGGTGCGGTGGCTCATGCTTGTAATCCCAGCACTTTGGGAGGCCAAGGTGGGAGGATCACTTGAGGCCAGGAGCTTGAGACCAGCCTGGGCCACATGGTGAGACCCCGTCACTACTAAAAATTTAAAAAATTAGCATAACGTAGTGTTGTGCACCTGTAATCCCAGCTACATGGGAGGCTGATGTGGGAGGACTACTTGAGGCCAGGATTTTGAGTTTGAGACCAACCTGGGCAACATAGAAGGACCCTGCCGCTACCAAAACAAAAAACAAAATTACCCAGGTATAGTGGTGCATGCCTGTAGTCCCAGCTACTGAGGACACTGAGTTGGGAGGATCGCTTCAGCCCAGGAGTTTGAGTTTGAGACCAGCCTGGGCAATGTGGCAAAACCCTGTCTCTCCAAATAGTTTAAAAAATTAGCCAGGTGTGGCGTGTGCCTGTAGTCCCAGTTACTCGGGAGGCTGAGGTGGGAGGATGGTTTGAGCCCAGGAGGTTGAGGCTGTAGTCTGCGATCACGCCACTGCACTCCAGCCTGGGTAACAGAACCAGACCCTGTCTCGAAAAGAAAAGAAAGAAAAGAAAAACATAACTGTGTAGATAGGTTTAAAAAAAAAAAGAGAGAGAGAGAAAATAACAGACCAAATGAGACTGTGTGAGAGGTCTAATGCCCTGCAGACCCTCGAATGTTCCAGGCCCTGGAGAAAAACCCTCTTCTGTTTTTCCTGTTCCTCCACAGGCCCCTCCTGCTCAGTCCGCTGGGCTGGCTTCTCCTACTTCTCTAAAACTTGAAATGCTGGGGTTCCCCAGGGCAAAGCCCTGGGATTCCCTTCTCTCTTCTCACGCATCCTCTCTAGGTCATCTTATCCAGGTCTTCACACTTGAAATACTACTTATCCTCCATGGGATGCCCACATTTTTACCTCTAACTCAGACTGTCCTTCTGGCATTTTATCGTAATCTCTAAAGTTTTGTTTATTTCATTGATTGATTCATTTAGCAGATGTTTATTGAGCATCCACTGTTTCCTGGTGCCTATCTAATGCCCTGCAGACCCAGCAGTTAACAAGCCAGACAAAAATCCCTGCCCTTGTGGAACTGATATTTAGGGAGTGAGAATAACAAGAAGCAGGCAAATACATAGTAGCAGGTAGGGATGTAATAATTAAATAAGACAAGACTCTCACTCTTTGTTTAAGGAATCTGCAGTCATTTTATTGCCTAAACGTGTGGGAAAAGATAGAGTGCTGACAGTCCTCTTCCACAGGGAATCCTATGAGTATTTATACAGTTTAGAAACAAAGGAAATATTGTTAATATTATTACCAGGGCAACAGGTGGTTAAATAAAGAAGCCAGCCAGAATTTCAGGTTTCTTTCTTTTTTTTTTTTTTTTTTTTTGGGACAGAGTCTCACTCTGTCGCCCAGGCTGGAGTGCAGTGGCACGATCTCAGCTCACTAGAGCCTCTGCCTCCCGAGTTCAAGCGATTCTCCTGCCTCAGCCTCCCAAGTAGCTGGGATTACAGGCATCCGCCACCACGCCTGGCTAATTTTTGTATTTTTAGTAGAGACGGCGTTTCACCATGTTGACCAGGCTGGTCTCGAACTCCTGACGTCAGGTGATCCACCTGCCTCAATCTCCCAAAGTGTTGGGATTACAGGCGTGAGCCACCATGCCTGGCCAGTTTCAGGTCTCTTGGAGAGTGTTTTCACAGGATAACACAGCAATGATTGTCTTGAAGTCGTAGAATCTTAATAAGACTCCTTTGTTCAAAGCACATTTTCAAGGATAGCCTTATGTTATCAGAGAACAGAGTATGTCTGTAATGGATACAGATATTAACACATACTTTACTGCCCATAAAACAAGTGTTCCTGAAGAACTTCTGTTTTAACAGCTGACCAAATTATTACATTTGAATTTGCAGAATTCCTCTGCCTCCCTGAGAGCAGAGGAAATTAGGCATTGCCTTCCTATCTTTCTTGTGCTTCTTTTTGTTAATTAAAAGCAAAATAAAAATTTTAAAGTGGGCCCTGGAGTTTCATTAGGGTTTATAAAAAAAAAATAAAAAAATAAAAAAAAAAGAAGGGCTGGTGTGATGGCTCATGCCTGTAATCCCAGCACTTTGGGAGGCTGAGGTTGGGAGAAAATATTGAAGCCAGGAGTTTGAGACCAGCCTGGGCAACACAACGAGACCCCATCTATACAGAAAATAAAAACATTAGTTGTGTGGTGGTGTGTGCCTGTAGTCCCAGCTACTTGGGGACGCTAAGGTGGGAAAATCACTTGAGCCCAGGAGTTTGAGGCTGCAATGAGCTATGATCAGACCACTGCACTCCAGCCCAGGTGACAGCAAGACTCTGTCTCTTTAAAACAAAACAAACAAAAAAACAGGTTTGGAAGCTACTGGGCTAGAGAGTGACAGGGATGCCAGACAAGGGTATGGGGAAGGCCTCTGTGAGGAGGGGCAACATTTGTTATCCATCTTCTCGAGGGCCAGGATTTTTGTCTGTCCTATTCTCTGCTCTAATGCTAAGAACCGCATCTGGCATCCAGTAGGTGCTCAATAAATGTTGAATAAATTTATCAAACACAGAGCACCTACTATATGCCAGGCACTGTTCTAAAGACTTTCCAAAAGCTTAACTCCTGGCCGGGCACGGTGACTCACGCCTGTAATCCTAGCACTTTGGGAGGCCAAGGCAGGTGGATAACCTGAGGTCAGGAGTTCGAGACCAGCCTGGCCAACATGGTGAAACCCTGTCTCCACTAAAAATACAAAAATTAGCTGGACATGGTGGTACACGGCTGTAATCCCAGCTACTCAGGAGGCTGAGGCAGGAGAATTGGTTGAAATCGGGAGGCAGAGGTTGCAGTGAGCCGAGATCGTGACACTGCACGCCAGCCTGGGCGACGGAGTGAGACTCCATCTCGACAAAACAAACAAAAGCTTAACTCGCAATCTTTGCAACACACCCTACCTATGTTGTAGGTGCTGTCTGTGAGCACATTTTACAGAGGGGAAACAGGCTCCAGAAGGGGGGTGTTATCTGCCTGAGGGTTCTCTGATGGAATATGGCCCAGCTTATTCCCTCCTAATCACCCCAGACCCTGGTGTTGTCCCCAGCTGGGCCCATGGAACAATGGATAGACCCCATTCCCCTCCTGAATCCCTCCCCAGGCTCCTGCCACTTCCCTTTCTCACTTCCCTTGTGCTGACCTCCCCGACCACAAGCTGACCACAGGGAACCTCTCAGGAAAGGAGGGCCGAGGTTAAGGGAGGGTGGAAGGTGGAGCAACTGACTCGATGCTCCCTCCACCCCCACGAGCAGGAACATACTGAGCACCGCACACTCACTTCACCCTGGTTCAACACCCCCACGAGGTTGACCCCGTCATTATGTTAGAGATTATGCATTTTCCACATAGGGAAACTGAGGCTCAGGGGTGTTAAGTGACTCACCCAAGGTCACACGGCTAGGAAGTTGCTGCACGCTCCTATGCTCCATTTCCTCTGGGTGAGAATTTGTCCTAGGAGCTTCTATTGAACACTGTGAGGTTGCTGGGAGGAGCGCGAGGTGCTGGGGATATAGTAACAAACAGAACAAGACCAAGAGTAAGACAGGAAATGGGGAGGGGAGAGTAGAGAAGGAGGCAGAGGGGACAGGGTGGGGTCAAAGCAGGATGCCCTCCCAGTTCCTCCTGCCTCTAGGTTCCTCTTTCCCTGCTGATTCCAGGAGCCTATCAACCCAGATAAAGCGGGACCTCCTCTCTGGTAGAGGTGCAGGGGGCAGTACTCAACATGATCACAGAGGGAGCGCAGGCCCCTCGATTGTTGCTGCCGCCGCTGCTCCTGCTGCTCACCCTGCCAGCCACAGGTGAGGGGGTGAGGGCCCAGCTGGCCCCAGGGGTGTCCAGGCCCACCACATCCCTGACCGAGCCCCACCCACCCATCCCCTGGCCCTGTTACAGGCTCAGACCCCGTGCTCTGCTTCACCCAGTATGAAGAATCCTCCGGCAAGTGCAAGGGCCTCCTGGGGGGTGGTGTCAGCGTGGAAGACTGCTGTCTCAACACTGCCTTTGCCTACCAGAAACGTAGTGGTGGGCTCTGTCAGCCTTGCAGGTTAGGGGGAGCCTGGGGTGGGGGATGGGGGGGAGGGAAGGACTGTCTGTGGGGGTCACCCAAAACTGGGCACTTTCTTTCTCTGGGACTTCCAAGGGTGGCCCTGAGGCCCTGATCGTGACCATACCTCAGGGTTTCTCAACCTTGTTACTATTGACATTTGGGGCTGGAAATTCTTGGCTGGGGGAGGGGATTGCTTACCTGTGTATTGTGGGATGTTTTGTAACACCCCTAGCCTTCCACTAGATGCCAGTAGCAATTCTCCCCACCAGCTGTGACAACCAAACATGTCAGCAGACATTGCCAAATGTCCCCTGGGGGTCAAAATCACCCCTGATTGAGAACCACTGACATAGCTCACACATATTGAGCACCTCCTGCACACTGGAAGCATTGCAGGTGGGGTGCAGCTTGGTATTTCCCTAATTTTGATGACAGCTCATGTTTATTGAGTGCTTACTGTATATGGACACACTGTGGGGGCGGGAAAGTTTGGGGAATTCAAAGGGCAGCTCTAGGCCCCTAATTATGATGACACTTCACATTCATTGAGCACTCCCTGTATACCAGCTGCATGGCAGGGTTGGGAGATGAGCTTGAGGATTTCTGAGGGTAGCTCTAGTCTCCTGATCATGATTTCCAGCTTGCATGGATTGAGCCCTTACCGTATGCCAGACCTGTTTTCTACTTGTTTACTATATATCCCAGATACACCGTGGGCATGGGGAGCTTGGGGATTTTTGAGGGCAGCTCTGGGCCCCAAGTCATGTCAACAGTTCATCACATCTATTTGGCATGAACAGCATACCTAGGGCTATGCAGTGGGTTGGGGATAGATCTGGGGTTATTTCTGAGGAGGCCTCTGAGGTCATAGGGATGATGGCTCAGGTTTATTAAGCACTTTCTATTTACCTACTACCGTGTAGTGTGGTGATCTGGTGGGTTTCTGACAGCAGCCCTTGGTTTCTAGTCCTTACCTTTGCTTACTGCGGACCTGGTGTTGGCCATGCAGCCTTCCAATGGTAACTCCAGATGCCTGATTGTGAAGGTAAATGACATTATCAAGCACTTATTGTATATCCACTGCTTCCCATCAGTATCCCAATATCCCTAAAAGGTAAGGACTTATCAATCCATCGCACACGCACTTGCCTAGCAACCCTTCGTGTCTGCCCACACTCTGGAGTCCCACATGCCATTCTTGTTAGCTCATGCCAGGATGGGATGTGTGTGCTCTTCTCCACAGGTCCCCACGATGGTCCCTGTGGTCCACATGGGCCCCCTGTTCGGTGACGTGCTCTGAGGGCTCCCAGCTGCGGTACCGGCGCTGTGTGGGCTGGAATGGGCAGTGCTCTGGAAAGGTGGCACCTGGGACCCTGGAGTGGCAGCTCCAGGCCTGTGAGGACCAGCAGTGCTGTCCTGGTGAGGAGGATGAGCAAGGCGGGCAAGCACTCCCTGTCACCCAGCACTGGTGGGAACGATCGGTACAGAGGTCCTCAGAGTGGGCCCGTCCCCAGTGTTTGTAAGGACCTAAGGAGGAGAGTGGTGGGAGGTGAGGTCAGAGAGGTGAGGAGGGTCCATTGCCTGGGGGCCACAGAGAGGACGTTGGCTTTTCATCTGAGTAATTTGGACTGTGGGCAGAGGAGGAACGTGATCTGACTGGGGTTGGGAGGAGAACAGACTGTGCACGGTGAGGGTGAGAGGGGAAGCGGAGGCACCCATGTGAAGGTTGCTGCGGCAGGCCCGGTGAGCGGGGATGGTGGGCCCAGAATGGTGGCAGAGGATATAAGGACAGGATTAGCTCATGTGGGGCACTCAAGGAAGCAAAGAGCCCTGAATGACACCCCACCTCCATCCCATTACCCTCTCTTCTCTCCCACAGAGATGGGCGGCTGGTCTGGCTGGGGGCCCTGGGAGCCTTGCTCTGTCACCTGCTCCAAAGGGACCCGGACCCGCAGGCGAGCCTGTAATCACCCTGCTCCCAAGTGTGGGGGCCACTGCCCAGGACAGGCACAGGAATCAGAGGCCTGTGACACCCAGCAGGTCTGCCCCAGTGAGTGAGGGAAGCCACAGGATGCTGATGGGTGCACCCAGCGTGGGTCTGCGGGGTTACAGCAGGGAACTGCCAGGCTGAGAGGACTTTAGCATGCATGACCACACCTGCATCCCTCCACCTCCCACCCCACCACAGCACACGGGGCCTGGGCCACCTGGGGCCCCTGGACCCCCTGCTCAGCCTCCTGCCACGGTGGACCCCACGAACCTAAGGAGACACGAAGCCGCAAGTGTTCTGCACCTGAGCCCTCCCAGAAACCTCCTGGGAAGCCCTGCCCGGGGCTAGCCTACGAGCAGCGGAGGTGCACCGGCCTGCCACCCTGCCCAGGTACACCAGGATGAGGCTGCTGATGTTGCTGGTGGGGCTCTTGATTGAGGGCAGAGATGCTCTGCCATTTCTAGAGTTCCTAGGCCATGTGACCATGCAGCCCTTCATTTGGGGACAGTCTGCTTCAAGGGTCTAGGGGCTGAGAGGAAGGATTGAGGAGGCCTTTCTCCTCACTCCCTTTCCTCCTCCAACAGTGGCTGGGGGCTGGGGGCCTTGGGGCCCTGTGAGCCCCTGCCCTGTGACCTGTGGCCTGGGCCAGACCATGGAACAACGGACGTGCAATCACCCTGTGCCCCAGCATGGGGGCCCCTTCTGTGCTGGCGATGCCACCCGGACCCACATCTGCAACACAGCTGTGCCCTGCCCTGGTCAGCATCTCAGGGTTCACGATTTGCATGCCTAAGTCCCCCTTGCCCTTCTCTGCTGCCCAGCTCCTGCTGCTGAGGCCTTGTTCCTGTCTCTGATTCCTCCTTTCCTGGCCCTGATACCTTGTTTCCACCCCTGGTCCCCCATTCACACATCTGATCACCTCTACTCCCTCCTACCGCCCTCATTCCTTCCTCTGAACCCCCTTGCTGATTCCCTGCTTTGGTCCAATCCCCTGTTGCCCTGTCTCTGCAGTGGATGGGGAGTGGGACTCGTGGGGGGAGTGGAGCCCCTGTATCCGACGGAACATGAAGTCCATCAGCTGTCAAGAAATCCCGGGCCAGCAGTCACGCGGGAGGACCTGCAGGGGCCGCAAGTTTGACGGACATCGATGTGCCGGGCAACAGCAGGATATCCGGCACTGCTACAGCATCCAGCACTGCCCCTGTGAGTGTCCCACAGACTGTGCTCTGAGGGTGGGGTGGCCCATGCAGGATAAGGGGTTTCCAACTCTCTGCTGTGGACCTCACGTCTCTGCAGCCTCCCTCTCACTTTCCCACCAAGACCTCCAGTTCTGACTCTGTGACCCCTACCCCTCATTGCAGTGAAAGGATCATGGTCAGAGTGGAGTACCTGGGGGCTGTGCATGCCCCCCTGTGGACCTAATCCTACCCGTGCCCGCCAGCGCCTCTGCACACCCTTGCTCCCCAAGTACCCGTGAGTGAGAGGGCAAAGTATGCCTGGGAGGGGGTCATTATATTACAGGCGGGAGAGTCGGCTACCCCAGGAAACCAGGGTTTCCACTGCTGAATCTAAGGTATCTGCCTTGCCGAGTGCCACCTCCCAGCTGCAGGAAGTGGGGAGAAACTAAGAAGATGAGAAAGAAGTTCTTGGAGGATAATTCGTAGCCTCTGTGCCCCTCAGTCACCTGTTCAGTCACTCATCCACTTAGTCCTTCATGTGTCATTGACTCCGACCTTCAGTTACCCATGCTTTTAGCTGCCATCACTCAGGCCTCCATTCACTGCCTGCCTCCCACAGTCACTCATGCCTCCATCCACTTTGTCAGCATCTCACTGAGCCAAGGCACTCCAAGGCTTTTTCAGCAACAGTTGCAGATACACACAGCCCAGATCCTGTGGATCCTCCAAGGGACCCAGCTGAGCAAGCCCCTGACAGGAGGCATATGAGGAACAGCTGGTGCATGCAACAGGTGCTGCCACCTCAACCTAGGTCCAGGAAGCTGACTGGGCCTCCCAGGGCAGGTAGGGGTTGGGAAAGGCATTCCTGGCATCAAGACTGTGAACGGAGCCTTGGAGCTAGGTGATTAGCCGCTATAAGTGTTTCCAGGTGCCAGAGGGGCCCAGGTGTTAGAGAGGGTTAAAATGTTCATCCCTTTTCTTCCTTCCACATACATCAAGCTACTAGATTAAGTGAACTATTCCCAGCTCGTGGAAGGGCTGCCATCTGGGAAGGGATCTCCCGGCTGAGGGGGTTAGAGTGGGGCCTGAAGATTAGAGGTGTTGAATGGAGGCACAAAGGACTTGAGTGAGCGAGAGACTGAGTGGAGGAAGAAGCAATTGAGAGAACTGGGATGGGAGTGAATGGAGGGCTTTCCTAGTGGGACAAATAACCCAGGTAAAGACCTTTCTGGACAGGGACTGAGCTTGAATAAAGTGGAGGAGACAGAGAGAGAGATTGGCTTGGGGCAGGGATTTGGGCCCAACAATAAGGCCTTGAATGTCAGGACAAGGCATTGGGTTTTTTCCTGGAGGCAGTGGAAAGAGATATAAAGGGTATATATTTCGGAGGTAAAAGAAAGTAGCTCATGCCAACAAGTAACATTCACCAGCATTTATTGAGCACTTGCTGTGTGCCAGGCACTGCTCTGAGCACTTTACCTGAATTAACTCATTTATCCTCATTCAACCCCGTGAGGTGAGTATTAATATTACTATTCCTACCATTCTCATTTTGCAGATGAGGGAAACCGAGGCACAGAGAAGCTAAAGAAATTGCCCAATATCCTATAGCTAAAAAGTAGTGTTGGGAGGCCAGGCACAGTGGCTCACGCCTGTAATCCCAGCAACACTTTGGGAGGCTGAGGCAGGAGCATCACTTGAGCCCAGGAGATTGAGGCTGCAGTGAGCTATGATTGTGCCACTGCACTGCAGCCTGGGCAACAGAGTGAGACCCTGCCTCAAAAAAAAAAAAGGAAAAAAAAAAAAAAAAAAAGTAGCCCTCGGCATATAGCAGGCACTCAATAAGAATTGAATGCATTCTTGCCTTCCCTGAGATTCTCCCTTCCGTTCCTCCCCACCCCTAATGCCTCAGGCCCACCGTTTCCATGGTCGAAGGTCAGGGCGAGAAGAACGTGACCTTCTGGGGGAGACCGCTGCCACGGTGTGAGGAGCTACAAGGGCAGAAGCTGGTGGTGGAGGAGAAACGACCATGTCTACACGTGCCTGCTTGCAAAGACCCTGAGGAAGAGGAACTCTAACACTTCTCTCCTCCACTCTGAGCCCCCTGACCTTCCAAACCTCAATAAACTAGCCTCTTCGAGTTCGTCTACGATTCCTTAAAGGAGGAAAAACAACCTATCCCCTTCCCCAAAAGTAGGGTGATAGCATCTCATAGGGCAAACAGCACAGCACGGGCCAAGACACAGCAGCCTGTTGCGGAAAACAGTATTTTCCACTGTGGTCGCAGGTTGGCAGGAGTGAAAGCGAGTGTGCAGTCCCAGCCTCTCCCCGCCGCTGCCATAACCCCAATGTCTGGGCCCTGCGCAGCCCCCTTAGAGCCTCAGGGCCGCCCGGCACGTTCCTCTGCAGAGCTCCGCGTTACGGGTTTCCTGATTGGCTACTTGTCCTGGCAGGCACTTCTTGATTGGCCGGCGTGCTTGTTCGTTGTCTCCCCGTCTCCTGGACCTCCCTAGATTCCCACCAGCCGGAACCCTGGAGGAGCCTCTGCCGGCCGACTCCGACTCCGCGTCAGTCGAGGATGAACGGCAGAGGCGTGGCCGAGGCTGGCACCCTGCCGCCCGAGCACCTGCACCCACCCACTCCCGACAGCCCAGCTCCAATGCCACAATTACCAGCGACAAATAGCTCGGCGAGGCGGGGGGCGGGCCGAGGAAGTGCCTGTGTTGCGCTCTGAGCTGAGGAGGGGCAAAGAAGCTAGAGTCAGTATCCGCCCGGAGGAGCCCCCAAGACAAATCCAGACACTTTCCTCTGGTAATTTGTTCATTCATTCAACACTTATTAGCGCCTGCTGTATGCTAAAGCTGAGTCTGAGCATCTAGGGTGGAGGAGGGCTGGTAGAAAGAGGACATCTGAGTGAGGGAACAGACTCAGAAGGTATTCCTTTCGTGTGAACATCTATTCAACACTTAACGCCTACTGTATACTAACAATAGTGCTGGACATCACGGAGAATAGAGAAGAAGAGGAATCAGAGCGTTACGTGTCTCCGCAGTAAAGGGAACAAAGCCAGACACCAGTGCTTTTAGCATTTGCTCATTCATTTACCACTTACTGAATGCCGGGCCCCTTGTGAAGAGACGCATCATAAGAATCATAATAATCATGGTAATAGCTACTACTTAGAAAGTACTTACTGTGTGCTTAGTAGTGTCTTAAGGCTTTCCATAGCATGAACTCATTTCGTCCACAGCAAACCCATGTGGGTAAGTATTATTATCCCCATTTTACAAAGGAAACACGCACAGAAAGGTAGTAGGCTGGACATTTTTGAAGCATCATGGATTGTGATGAGGTCTTAAATGTCAAGAGTGCTGTGGGTGGAGGGGACCCGTCTGTGTGGGAAGGTTCGGGTAGGAGGTTTGTGACATGCACACCCAGAGTATATTGGTACACTTACTTGACTTCTCTGGTTCGTTTTCCCCTTATTCAAGTGGACCAGTCAATGAGTTGAAGTGAAGATGAAGTTGATGAGTACTTACTTGGTCATCTTGGGAAGACTGAGCCAAAGTGAGGGGTTCTGGTTGCTACTACAGGGTATGAGAGAGGTATACGTTTACAAGAAAGTGGGAATTCAGCTGTGTGTGTGTGAGAGAGAGATGCAGACCTTTGGGCCTGTGCAAGAATTAAGGATGTATTGATATGTGGCATGTGTGTGAGGTTACAAATGTATGTATGCCATAACAATGCAGGAGTCCCGTGTGTGCACATACACATTAAGGTGCCATGGACATGTATGTGTGAGTCACAAACATGGGTACAATACTGAATGTGAACATATGTCAGGGGTGTGTGTTTGAGAGTCGTTGCTCACCAATGTACAGCAAAATCATTATTGGGGCCCCTTTTGTACGCCTATTCCTGCTGAACAAGATGGAGACAGTTTGGGGGAGCCTAACCTTTGCCTTAGTGAATTGAGGCACTCCTGAGGTGAATCCTCATTCCTCTACAAAACAATCTACAAAAAATTAATTTCTGGAAATTGAGCCACGTGGAAAAATGAAATGGTGCTGGGGCCACAAGTACTAGGAACCTAGGAATGGGGACCCCAGGAAGAGGCGCAGCCTGGAGATAGATTCCCGAGGAACCTGAATTCAGACCTAAAGGAGTCAGAAAGATCTGTAGACCTGCAGCTGTTCCTGTCCCCAAAGAGGGCACCGCGCCCTGCACAGCTTGTTTGCTTCCGTTACTGGGCAAAAAACCAGGGAGCACATACTTCAAGACATTGGAAAATATCTGATTTGCGGGGAGATCCCCATCTGGGTAACACTAGGATTTGGAATGCCAGAGAAGGAATCCTGAAGGGAGGAGAAAAGAGTGGCCAAATCAAAGGCCTGGAGGTGGGACTGAAGCTGGCTGGGTTGGAGGAGGGAGTAGAGGATGGTTTGGGAAGTGTTTGACTTGGGTACTGTGGAAGCCTAGGGGAGGAGGGGATAGAATCTGAGACCTGGGGGTGAGGGGTTCCTGCAGACAGTGGCCAAAGGCAGCCCTCGAGAGAGAAGGAGAGGACATTCCTGGCAGAAGTTACAACACATGCAAAGGTACAGAGGTTGCCCCCTTCCTACCCCTCTCCTTAGAGGTGGGTTAGAGATGTATCCTTTTTACAGATGAGGAAACCAAATCTCAGAAAGATTAAGTCACTTTCCCAAGTGTATGGTGGAGGCCCCACTTGAACCCAGGCACTGTGTCTCCAGACCCCACACTATTACTGCCTTGTTTAAACCAGCCAATGATTTAATGAATAAAGGATGAACAAATGAATAAGTGGATGAGTCACCTGAAAATTCTGCAGGCAAAAGAGACTCCATATCTACTTACTTCTTGCCTATCTTCTGCCACCTCTCCTAGTCCACCATCACTGCTCACTATGGTCAAGGTCCTACCCAATCTGGCCCCTGCTACCACAACCCCCTTCAGCTTGTTCCAGCCACATTGGCACTGGATGTTTCCTCTTCCTGGCACATTCTTAAAAAAATGTGTTGATCATAAAGTGAACATGACCCTTTGGGAATTAACTGGAGTTCTTGTATTCCCTCATCTGTAAAATAGACATTATATTATCCACCCCACTGGATTGTTGTGAGGGTTGGATGAAATGATGCATGTAAACAGCTTAGTTAAGAGTTGGGTACAATCAGTGAACAAATGATTATGAATTAGTGCTTTTATTGTAGTCAGAATCATAAAGATTTGACAGGTTCCCATATCCCACCTCTGCTTGGACTACCTCATTTGCTCATATGCAAACATTATTTGGTACCTACTGTGTGTGCACCATGGGATGGGCCTGCCTCTGTGGAAAGTTCTTGGGTGCAGGGGGAGACAGCCATGGGCACTGATGACATCAGGTAGTTATCGTGAGTTTTGGCGGTGTCCAGAGCAAAGGGATGGTGGCGTATATACCAAGTGTGTTCTGGTGTGGGGGTGGACACGCACCAGGGCTAGGGCTGCAGAGAATGTCTGTGTTGCAGATCTAGGTTTCTCCATGATCATCGGTGGGAATGTGTTTTGTCTGCAAGTGTATGCTCATATGAGTTTCCCTGGGTCTCTGTGTGTCAGTGTGTTACCTGTGTGTGTGGGGGTATGGGTGTATGCATGCATGTATGTAACATGCCCATGTGTGTTACTCTGGACTTGTATGTCTGTATGTATACCTAGATTGGCGTGTGTTCTGTCTGTACATGCCCTCGTATGTTTCCTCACTTTTGTGTGTGTTTATATGTGTGTCATTTCTTGTGTGCCTCCAGGCCCCCCTTGCCACCTTGGGCAAGGGTGTGTACACCACCCAAGTGTCCACCTCCGCTTGTCTGATGCTGTCTGTGACGCCCCCGCTCTCTGCCTAGCTGAGCCTGTGTGGATGTGGGAGACTAATCTCCCCGCGGGCACTGCGTGTGACCTCACCCCCCTCTGTGAGGGGGTTATTTCTCTACTTTCGTGTCTCTGAGTGTGCTTCCAGTGCCCCCCTCCCCCCAAAAAATGCCTTCTGAGTTGAATATCAACACTACAAACCGAGTATCTGCAGAGGGCCCTGCGTATGAGTGCAAGTGGGTTTTAGGACCAGGATGAGGCGGGGTGGGGGTGCCTACCTGACGACCGACCCCGACCCACTGGACAAGCACCCAACCCCCATTCCCCAAATTGCGCATCCCCTATCAGAGAGGGGGAGGGGAAACAGGATGCGGCGAGGCGCGTGCGCACTGCCAGCTTCAGCACCGCGGACAGTGCCTTCGCCCCCGCCTGGCGGCGCGCGCCACCGCCGCCTCAGCACTGAAGGCGCGCTGACGTCACTCGCCGGTCCCCCGCAAACTCCCCTTCCCGGCCACCTTGGTCGCGTCCGCGCCGCCGCCGGCCCAGCCGGACCGCACCACGCGAGGCGCGAGATAGGGGGGCACGGGCGCGACCATCTGCGCTGCGGCGCCGGCGACTCAGCGCTGCCTCAGTCTGCGGTGGGCAGCGGAGGAGTCGTGTCGTGCCTGAGAGCGCAGCTGTGCTCCTGGGCACCGCGCAGTCCGCCCCCGCGGCTCCTGGCCAGACCACCCCTAGGACCCCCTGCCCCAAGTCGCAGCCATGAACTACCTGCGGCGCCGCCTGTCGGACAGCAACTTTATGGCCAATCTGCCAAATGGGTACATGACAGACCTGCAGCGTCCGCAGCCGCCCCCACCGCCGCCCGGTGCCCACAGCCCCGGAGCCACGCCCGGTCCCGGGACCGCCACTGCCGAGAGGTCCTCCGGGGTCGCCCCAGCGGCCTCTCCGGCCGCCCCTAGCCCCGGGTCCTCGGGGGGCGGTGGCTTCTTCTCGTCGCTGTCCAACGCGGTCAAGCAGACCACGGCGGCGGCAGCTGCCACCTTCAGCGAGCAGGTGGGCGGCGGCTCTGGGGGCGCAGGCCGCGGGGGAGCCGCCTCCAGGGTGCTGCTGGTCATCGACGAGCCGCACACCGACTGGTAAGCCACTGCCGCGGACGTCTCCCGTGGGCCTGGGTCCCCAGATCGTTCTTCTGCGAATGAGCAATTATCGAGCGCCGCTTGTGTGCCTGACACCTGGCCCTCTCACCTAAATCTTTTTCCTTTAAATTATTAAGCTGGATGCTTCCTCTGTGCCCCGCCCTTGTCGCCCCCCTCCGCCCCTTAAACCTTGATGGATCCAGGGAGCAATTATCAGGCACCTGCTGCGTACCTGTTCCCTACTACCCCTCCCCCAAAAGTCTTTGGCTTCAATATATCCTATGAGCCTTCGAAAACCGAACGTGTCCTTCCTACCCTCCCCAACCCTTGCCCCATAGGCCTTGTCCTCTAATGGATCTTGTGAGCACTTATCTAGTACCTGCAGTATGCCTCATCCAAGAGCCCTTCCCCAAGGCCTTTGATTTCAATGAGGTTTGTGAGCATTCTTTGAGAGCCTGATACTGTCCTGTTCTCCTCAACCCTTGCCCTGAGGCCTTCTCTAATGGGTCTTGTGAGCATGTGTCCAGTCTATGCTATGTGTCCCACCCCAGCTCCGTCCTTAAAGCCCTTTTAAACTATTTAGTAAACATTGAGTACCTGCTGTGTATCCCACCCCAGCTTCTCTCCAAAAGCTTTGCCTTTCATGGATCCTGTGAGTTTTGATTGGATGCCTTCTCTGTGCCCCAACTCCAAGCCCTCTCTCTGAGGGCCTTTTCTCCAAAGGATCTAGGAAGCATTTGTTAAGTGCCTGATACGTGCCGCACCCCCAAACCCCTTCTCAAACAAATCATTTTCCTCCAGTGAGTTCCATGAGCAGTTTTGAACCTTCTTTGTGTGACTCATCTTCAGACCGTCTCCTCAAAGACCTTTCCCTACAGTGGATCTAGAAAACATTTATTGAGTGCCTCTTGTATCCCCCGTTCTCCAGCTACTTCTTCAAAGACCTTTCCTTTGGTGGATCCATCTAGCATTTATCAACTGCCTGCAGTGTGAGCCTTCTCTAAAAGTTCTTTCCTCCAGTGTATTCAGCAAGCATGCATTGACTGGTGCCTGCTGTATACCCCACCCTCAAACCCTTTCTGCAATACCCTTTCCTCCAGTGGCTTCAGTCTGCATGTATTGAGCACTTTCTGCATGACCCAACCTTAGACCTCTCCATAAAGGCCTGTGCCTCCAGTTAATACAGTGCTCAGATATCTGGCACTTGCTGTGTGTACCATTCCAGTCACTCTTTCCAAAGACCTTTTCTTTTAATCACTCCTTGGAGTATTTATGGAGCACCTGCTGTGTACCTGATTGTGTGCCTTCTTCACAAAAGCCTTTTCTCCTATGGATGAAGAATCGAGCTCCCATAGATCAACTTTCTGCACTCCCATTTCCCCTCCCCATAGGACTTTTCCTTCAGGGATGCAGTGAGCCTTGATCAGGTGACTATATGTCCATCCCCAGCCCCACTCCCCAAAGGCCTTTTCTTCTAATGGATCCAGTGAGCATTTATTCCTTGTCTGTCATGTGCTCCATTTTAATCATCCTCCCCCAAAGACCTTTTCTTCCAATGGCTCCCCTGAGCATTTATGGAGTGTCTTCTGTGTGTTCTGTATATTCACACCTCCTCCCCAGAATTGTTTTCTTAACAGTAGATCCAGTGAGCACATATGCAGGACCTGTTGTTTTGGGGAGTACATTCTTCTTCCTTACCCCTAGGAGAGCCTGTTCCAATCACAAGGCCTCTCCCAAGGTCCTTTCCTGTGATAAATCCAGAGCTGAGTTTATAATGATCACCCCTTTCCCACTCCCTTCAGTACCCCTAGGATTCCCTCTACCAACTTTAATTCATACCCCCAAAGGGCTTTTAGTCTATTTAAGTAACACTTACTTAAGTAAACACTTTTACTTAATAGTTTTACTATTGACTTAATTTACTAAATAAATTTAGTAAATTTACTAAATTTACTATTTACTTAATAGTTTTACTATTTAAGTAAACACTTATTGAGCACTTACTGTATAAGTCACTTTCAACTTCCTCTTTCCAAGTCTCTGGAAATCCCTGACCCTGCCTCAAGAGCTCTCTCTCTAGGGGTCTACTTCAGCCTAAATGTATTGAGTACCAGCTGTTTACTGGTTAGATTACCTCTCCCCCAGGAGCCTTTACCGAGTAGCCTTTCTCTCCATTCAGAGCAATTTATTCATTCTGCAGATATTTATTGCATCCTTTCCATGAAAGTGTGGGAGGCATTTATTATGCACCATTATATACTAGGAATAACCCTTCTTCAGCTCCCCTTCCTTCTTTTTTTTCTAAATGCAGGTGTGCTTGAAATCCTCACCTGCCAGCTGGCCTTGCTATACCTTTTCCTCCATGCAACCCCACAATCATTTAATGAGCATTTATCGTATACTACTGAGAACCCTGCGTTAAATGCCTCTTCTCCCCTTTTTGTAGTCCCAATTCCCCCTTCAACAATCTCCATCCTGCCTTTTACACAACACAATCCTGAAAGCTCACAATGTGCACTGTTTTCCATTTATTCTAGCTAGGCCTCTTCCTCCACTTAGTAGCCATCTCCCCAGCTGCCTTTTTCTCCCCGAATTAGTCCAGAAAACACTTATTAATCTCTTACTGTATTATTTTCAAACAGCCACATTATCATCCCTGCAGCAGGCTTCTCCGCTTTTTTCTCTATCAATCTGTAAAGCATTTATGGAGCACGTGCTGTAATTCCTTCACCAACGTCCACTCACCAACGTGTTATCTTCCTGGTTAAGTTTGCTCCATTGAAGTCAGCAAACATCAATGAGGCCTCTGCTGGATATAGGTAATCACCCTCCTTTAGACTTCCGGTCTCCACTCCAGCCCTCCATGCAGGTCCTTTGCGTCTGCTTCCTTCTTTCCATCAAGCATTTATTATCTATGGAATACTGACAAGTCCCTTCCCCTTTCCATAATCACAAATTCAATGTTTTCCATTTTTTCTTTGTCCAGAAAACATTTATTGAGCACCTGCTGAATTCAGTGAAAGATCCATCCCTTCCCCTTCTGCATCTCAGAAGCCCCCCTTTATCCCAGCATCCCCTCCAGTCTTTTCTTCCAGGCAATCTAGCAAATATTTATTTAGTGTCTACTATATGTGGGGTGGGGTGGACAAAGGGACAGAGCCTATGTATGTACGCCAGGCTCAGTGTGGGGAACAGAGACCTGTTTTACCAACTTGCAGACACTCAGAACCACACTAGCTTCAGGGATTTCAGCCCCAAATAAAGCAGGAGTTGTGCAAACTCTGTGATGGAATGTACACCGAAATACAGTCTGACGCCTTTTCCACCAAACCTCACCACCCTCATTCCTTCCTGGGTCTCAATTCCTCTGTGGTTTAAAGTTGAAAACTCTAAGTTGAGACTCATCTCCCCCATTTTGTGGGTAATTTTGTCCTGTGTTTTTCTTTCTTTTTTTTTTTTTGAGACGGAGTCTTGCTCTGTCGCCCAGGCTGGAGTGCAATGGCACGATCTCGGCTCACTGCAACCTCCGTCTCCTGGGTTCAAGCGAGCCTCCTGAGTAGCTGGGACTACAGGCACATGCCACTATGCCTGGCTAATTTTTGTATTTTTCGTAGAGATGGGGTTTCACCATGTTGGTCAGGCTGGTCTCAAACTTCTGACCTCGTGATCCACCCACCTCGGCCTCCCAGAGTGCTGGGATTACAGGCTTGAGCCACCGTGCCCGGCTCTCTGGTGTTTCTCAAACTATGGGTCACCTATTGGCTTATGACCAGCATTTCACTTTCTTCTTGAAGTAGGATAAATAAAAATAGAGAATAACAGAGCATATTGCACATAGTAAATGGAGTTGTTGTTTAGCAAAACATATAATGTTATTCCATTAAGATATACAATCTGTAATGTATATTATATATGACATACGGTATGTAATACATGTGTTATACAATGGCTTTACAGTACATAATACATCTATATGTATATGTTCTTCTTCATGAAATGAAATAAAATAGCATAGAAAAATCAGACTGCATTACACATAGTAAAGGTAATTATCTATTGAAACTTTAATTCCAGTTATGCATATGTATTTATATACATTCTAAATACATATACACATAATATGTAATATACAACATTTTATATGTTACATAATATATAAGACATTCTATATTCTCATATTTGCTGTACAACATATGTGTCTTATATAATACATATATAGGATGAGTTATTATGCAAATACATATATAGTGGGTTATATAAGCTTTATTTCTTACTGTGGCTTCTTTTCTCAGATATATTTCCCTGGAAGCAGACCCCGAGACTCTGAGATTTGCATGCAGATTTACTGGGGAGAGCGCTTGGGAATAACACCTGTGGGGGAGGTTGTGAGGGAAGCAGGATTGTGCAGAGGGAAAAGTTGAGCTGTGATGCAACCACAAAAGAGGCCTCGGCCAATCCTCTGGGGAGCTCTGGCACTGGAATGACCCTTCAGAGTTGTCCCAGTTGAAGCGGGGTGGCCAGGCTTTGAATTCCTATGTCAGTCATTGGCTGTAGGCTGCCCCCTGGGAGGAGGCGTAATCTTGGGTGAGGCAAATCCCTGTTGCAGAGGCCAATGCCCAGTGAGGGACACCTATGAGCCATCAGCAGCGGATAATTCCAGAAGCTGAGGATAGATGCAAAGGTCTGGAACAAGGAGGTAAGGATCTGGGGGGAGCATATAGTCCACACCTTGCACTGCTCCGATCCACTTCCTTCTTATAGTAAGTTCACCCCATTGGGGAACGGCATTTCCAGAATTCTAATCGGTCTTGTTTTCTCAGGGACACTTGAAAGAGCACGGTAGTGAGATGAGCCATAGTCTCTGCTGCTGCAGTTGATTTCAACGTCATAAATGATATTCATCCTCTCCTTCTTTTGTTACCCATTCTAGATTCCCCCCACCCTCAGCTAGCACCACTCTTGGTCTGGGTGGCTCCCATCCTGCAGAGATCCCTGAGCCTTTGGTCCCCATGCCCTTCTCAGGCTGTAGCTGCTGTACAAACAACCACATTTCCCATTTACTATCAAAGTTGAGCAAGGAGTACCAACAGATGCCCAAGTGGATCCCCTGGGTGCCAGACATACTCCTCCCTGCCTCCACTGTGTACCAGCAGCTCTACCTCCTCCTGAGGAGCAAGGTTGGTCACGTCCCCTGCCAAGACAATGGCTCCTTTTTATGTCCCTTGGCATGAGAAACACGAAGTGCCCTGAGGGCAATCATAGCTTACAGTTTAATGGGATTCTTGCTGTGTCCCCTGGTAGCAGTGTTCCCCCTTGGAGAACCAGGACCTCTAACCTTGCAGAGCCCTGAGGGAACAGGAAGCACAATTTCAAAAGTGGATCACTGGGATTGCTGGTAAGCTGGGCCACTCCTTCCTAACCTCTGTGTCCCCAAACCGGTGTATTCTACCTGTTAGGAACACAGCACCTACAATGGCCATTGATTTAGGGTTGACACTGTTTTGGAGGATGGTGCCCATTCTTGCATGATCTCACCTTCAACCTGGGATCTTAGCTGTGGCTGCACCAAATTGTTCCATCATTCCATCAGGCCAGCAGCTCCCGGGTGGCGTGGTGTGTAATACCATCAGTTAATTCCATGGTCATGGGCCCACTTTTGCACCTCCTTTGCTTTGCATTCCTTTACTTTGCTATAAAGTGTGTCCTTTGGTTTGACGCAGTGTTATGCAGGGTCTCGTGCTGGTGGATCAAACGTTATGTAAGCCCTTAGACAGTGAGCTGGCTGAGGTCCTGCAGTAAGAAAAGGCAAACTCAAATATGGAATATTCCAGTCAAAATCGATTACTGTTCTTTGCAGGATGGAAGGGGCCCAATCTAATCAGCTTGCCACAAAGTGGTTGGTTGGCCTTCTGGAGGGATGGTGGCGTGTCAGGGATTCAATGTTAGTCTCTGTTGCTGGCAGATTGGACATTCAGCAGTAACACTGCTGCCCCCACACATAGCTTCTCTCTCTGCTGCTATTGCCACTTATTCATGTGCCCATCTGCTAACACTGGGGTGGCTGATTAGAGCCTGGCTGACATCATCGGGCTGACTCATGCTGTCTACCTGGTTGCCTAGTGTCACTTCCATGGCGCCATGGCAGATGCTGTCTGGTGGGTGTTAACACACGATCCAAAGATCCTCGCTCCTCCCTTTTTTTTTTTTTTTTTTTTTTTTTGGAGACGGAGTCTCGCTCTATTGCCCAGGCTGGTGCTGTGGCACGATCTTGGCTCAGTGCAACCTCCACCTCCCAGGTTGAAGCAATTCCCCTGCCTCAGCCTCCCGAGTAGCTGGGATTACAGGCGTGCGCCACCACGCCCGGCTAATTTTTGTATTTTTAGTAGAGATGGGGTTTCACCACATTGGCTAAGCTGGTCTTGAACTCCTGACCTCAGGTAATCCGCCCACCTCGGCCTCCCAAAGTGCTGGGATTACAGGCGTGAGCCACCGCGCCCAGTCTCACTCCTCATTTCTTGCCCACTCCTAGGTGTCTGCCCACATTTCTGTATCCCAGACCTCTTTGTCTGGATCTTCCAGTCTTTTTATTTCCAGGCCCCTGACCAACCAGCCAAACCATTTACCACTGCCCATAAGTGGATATATGTATTCTAATCTTGAGGCACTTCTCTTTCTGCACAAAGGAGATGAGCAGGTGCACAGCCTGAAGCTCTGCCCACTGGGAGCTCTGCCACTGTCTTTCAAGGCCATTCCAGTTGGGTTATAGTGCAACCACTGCCCATTTTTGGCTTCCACCCACATACTAAGACAACCAATTTGTGAACCAAGCTTAGACCTTTCCCTCTTTCATCAGCTAGTTTTAAGGAGTCCCCTTAGTGAGACAGGCACTAGCACAACAGTGTGGAAGACATGGGGATCAGGGTTACTTACCTGCTCATGCACCTTGCTTGGTTCTGCTTGGGCTCAATCCTGACTGCTGGGCCCACCTGACTTTATTATTTGGCGGGCCCAGCAGGACCCAGCTTATAATGGGAACTTCTGGATGCACAATCATTTGGTGCCTGGTCAAGCATTCTGTCTCTATCAGGGCCCAGCACCTCAATGGGGTGTCTTTCTCAAAAGGCGTAAAATTCTCTGCTGCAGATGGCATGGCTTTGCTCCAGAACCCCAAGGGCCTCCCACTCAGGCTTCCCATAAGCTCCTCACTGCATCTTTCCCCACTACTGACACCTCCAGTATCATAAGATCTGCCAGATCATCTGGCCTAAATGGCAGGACTGCTTGTACCACAGCCTGGACCTGCTGCAGAGCCCTTTTCTGCTCTGGCCCTCACACAAAGCTGGTAGCTTTACATGTCGCCTGGAATATGGGTCAGAGCATTATTTGTGTGTGGGGGACATGCTGCCTCCAGAATGGGAAGAGGCCTCCTAGGTATTGTGCTTTCCTCTTCATGGTGGAAGGTGCGTGATTCAATGCTTTGCTCTATTCTTTGGAGGGGCTGTCCTGGTTTACTGCCCTGGACCACTGGATTCCTAAAAATTTTACTAATGCATCGGTCCCCTGAGTCTTTGTGGAGTTTATCCTCCACCCTCTGTAGTGGATGTGTCTTACCAGGGCAATATGCTCACCCTCTCTTGCTCATCTTGCACAATCAGTATGATGTAATCCATGTGGTGGTCCAGTGTGCTATTCCATGGGATGTCCAGATAGTCCAGGTTTCTCTGGACTATATTATGACACCAGGTGAGAGAGATAGCATAGCCCTACAGCAAGACCATCTATGAATATTATCATCAGTCTCATGTGAGTGTAAACTGTTTCTGATCCTTTTTTCTAATCAGAATAAAAAAGAATGCATTTGCCAAGTCAGCAGCCACCTGCTGTACCTGAGGTCTTATTAATCTGCTCTGGCAATGACAGCGTGTCCAGTATGGCAGGTATAACTAAGGGTACTACTTGATTGTGCTTGCAGTAATCTGCAAGCATTCTCCAGGACCCATCTGACCTCTCCAGGGGCCAGACTGCTCAACTCGATGGAGATAAGATGAGACCAACACCCCTGCATCCTTTAGATCTTTCAATGTGGCATTGATTTCCATCATCACCCATAGGATGCACACAATATTGTTTGTGGTTTATTGTTTTGTTCAGGGCATGGGGGTGTGCGCCATTTTAGAAGCTTCTATTTGGACTTCCCTACTGAAACAGCTCTTATCCCACAGGCTGAGGAGCCCATGTAGGGGTTCTGACAACTACAAAGTATGCCATTGCAATTACGCATTTGTGAACTGAGGAAGTGACCACTGGGTGGGTCTCTAGACCCACCAGACCCACTGTAAGCAGGACCTGGGCCAGGACTCATTTATCACCTTACCACTACTGTGCTTCTCAGCGTGACTGGTACCACCCTCACCAGCATGTTTCTTATTAATTTCATAAGTTGAGTGTATCCTCCAGGCCTTAATCAGCTGGTGGGTTTTCCAGACTTCAGTAGTATATCTACTCCAACATGTCTGCTTCTTTGAGCCCTTTAATCCTTCCCTGTGCAATCTGCCATGGAAGTTCTGCTTCACTTAGTGTGGGCCATTGTTTACTCCAGGTTTCCAAATACCAGTGTGTTAGTAACACTTCCTAGAGTCCTCGCCAGGGTTTTAAGTTCCGTATCCTGGGAGAGCACACCAACTTCCTGTTCTACCTCCTTCGCCCATTGTCCTCAGGATCCAGTCTCATGCATACCTTCCCAGCTCCTGCCAATACGTACTAGCCAGATTCTTTAGGTTCTTCTACAGATCATTTCTCTCCCTTTGCAAGCCTAGAACCTGTCCAGTCAGGTTTCACTAGGATTTCACCCTAATTTTTGGTCTGGTTTCCAGGAGGGTAGGTGGGGGGTAGACTCTGAGGGGGGCAGGCATTGTCTTACAAAGCACCTGCATCATCCGAGGCCTCTGCATTATCTTCAAGCAGAAGGTCTATATTCTAACTCAGGGGAGTAGTCTACTTCAGCAGGCCCAGTGGATGCAGGTGAGTCTGTAAGTTCAAGGTGTTTAACTGCATCTGCCCAGATATCCCCATCTCAGAGTCCTACTCCTGTCCTATTAGGGACATGAGCATGGCCCAGGAGATGTGCTGGGCCTGAGAAGTCAACTTTCTCCGAAGCTCCGCCACCACGTAGAATTAAATTCTGAGCCTGGCCCTCCCTTCTGTCTGCCCTCTGACTGCAGGAGATGAGGGTTTCCTTAAATGCAGTCAGGGAGATCCTCTGGCTTTCACATTTTGCCTTGAATTCACCCTGAGCATGTCAGGTCTTTCTTCAGCTACTCAATGGCGTTTAGGGAATAGTCACCCAAGTCTGGTTACCATTTCCCTGACATCACTCAAGTTCCAGGGATATTTCACCATCCAGTACATTCCCTTCCACCAGAATCCCATTACAGCCCACCATCAGGAAAAGTCACCGCTACTCCAAAACCCTGGGGGCCTGCGCTGTATTCTCCCACCTGGGAGAAGAAATTCCACACAGCATCTTTTCCTACTACTGACACCTCCAGTGTCATAGGATCTGCTGGATCATATGGCCTAAGTCACATCCTGCTTGCACCACAGCCCGGACCTGCTGCAGAGCACTTTGCGTTGCTACAGCATATCGGAGGCTATCTATGCCCCACCTCCCACTACTGATGGGTCCTCACTGCCATCTGGCTGCTGGGTAACCCAGCTCCAGAATTGCATTAGACCACCCTTGTAGTTTGACTTCCATGGCCCACTGTTTTAGGTTGGGTTCCCTGGAAAAAGACTTTGAGGTGGAGATTTGCATGCAGGAGGCTTACTGGAGTGTGCCATTGGGATCAACACTTGTGAGGAGGGTTGGGTTGAGCAGAGGAAGAGGCTGGCTCAAGATGTAGTTGCCTTAGGGGCCTCCGCTGCTCTTAGGGGGAGCCCTGGGGCTGGGAGGGTCCTTCAGAGTCAGCCCAGATTGAGGCAAGGAGGCTGGCCTTTCTTTCCCTTCATAGACCAGACCATGGGGATGCCCTCATGAAGTAGGTGTAACCTTGGACAAGGCAGTTCCCTGTGACAAGACAATTCCCAGTGGGGACACAGCCATGAGCTGTCAGTAGCTGCCATTCAAGGTACATTGTCCCTGAAGAGGAGGCCTGAGCAGACCACCACAGTATCCAACTACACTTATGGTCAGAAAAGTTTTAGAAACAGTGATACACCCTCATCATCCCCACTCATCAGTTTATAGATGAAAAATGTGCAGGGCTGAGAGAGATTCTCTCTCAACACTTCTGAGGGGATAGTGTCAGCGATGGTGTGTGTGTGTGTGTGTGTGTGTGTGTGTGTGTCAGAGAGAGAGCAAGGAAAAAGAAGTAGCTGTACTTGGGGTCTCTTGCATATGTCAGTCAAGTCACCAGGGTCCATTTGTGCCGTGTGTGTGTGTGTGTGTGTGTGTGTGTGTGTGTGTCTGTCCAAGACCCTGATTGTATGTGTGTCAGTGACCAGTAGCCCTGAAAGTGTCTCTCCCCCTCATCCCCCTTCCATGATAAACCTGATTGAGGATGAGCTTCCATCCCTGGAGCAAGCAGCCTGTTGGCTAGAAATCTTGAGCCTGGGGGAGGAGGCCACCGGAAACCAAGCCCAGCTGGGGACGGGCCCGGGGACAATGACATAGCAGTTCGTGATGTTCCTACTGCTGCTCCCACTCCCCCTCCCTCCTGTTGCTCCCTCTCCTCCTCAGCTGCATTCCTCCCTGCCCCCCATCATTGCCAGCTACACTGGCTTCTCTAGAGCCACCCAGCCTGCACCACTCAATCCACTCCTCCTTATCGGATGCAGCTGCCCACCTATGGCCATTGTGTTTCTCACAGCACACAACCACACATGGTGAATGTGCTCCTCCTTGCGAAAGGGCCAGAGAGCAGAGAGATGCTTCAGGCCACACAGCCAGACACAGGCACTGACATATACACAGGCACTAAAAAATACACAAAAACAGGCACGCTTCAGAGAAATGTAGTTTCTTTCTCTCCTTCCTTCCTTCCTTCCCCTTCCTTCCTTCCCCTTCCTTCCTTCCTTCCTTCCTTCCTTCCTTCCTTCCTTCCTTCCTTCCTTCCTTCCTTCCTTCCTTTCTCTTTATTTCTTTCTCTTTTTTGCCTAGGTCTTGCTCTGTTCCCCAAGCTGGAGTGCAGTGGTGCAATCACGGCTCACTACAGCCTCGACCTCCTGGGCTCAAGCCATTCTCCTGCCTCAGCCTCCCCAGTAGCTGGGACTACAGGCATGCACCACTATGCCTGGCTAGTTTTTGTTTTTTGGGTTTTTTGGAGATGGAGTCTCGCTCTTGTTGCCCAGGCTGGAGTGTAATAGCACCATTTTGGCTCACTGCAACTTCCGCCTCCTGGGTCCAAGTGATTCTCCTGCCTCAGCCTCCCAAGTAGCTGGGAATACAGGCATGCACCACTACACCTGGCTAATTTTGTATTTTAGTAGAGAAGGGGTTTCACCATGTTGGTCAGGCTGGTCTCGAACTCTTGACCTCAGGTGATCCACCCGCCTTGGCCTCTCAAAGTTGTGGGATTATAGACGTGAGCCACAGCCCTCGGCTTTTGTTTTTTTTTTTTTTTTTTCAATTTTTTTTGTAGAGATGGGGGTCTCTCTATATTGTCCAGGGTGGTCTCCAACCCTTGGCCTGAAGCAATCCTCCTACCTCCAGCCTCCCAAAGTGCTGAGATTACAGGCGTAAGCCACCGTACCTGGCCAGATAGGTGTTTTCTAAGGTTCTTTGCTGTTTACCGGTCTCCATGCAATTTCAAAGTATGTTCTAATTTACATAGTGCTGCTAATTTTGTGAAGTTTTTTTAAAAAATTTACAATGACAATGTGATGAGCAGACTAAATTTTGGGAAATACCTGCTCTCTGCAGTGTAAGGCCACATTTTACAGTTTGCAATGTCCTTTAATATTTTTGCAACTCCATGAGGATTACAACAGACATTATTCACAAAGCACTCTTGATTTTTTCAAAATATTTCAATAATTATAAGGCACTTTGTGGTTTCTTTAGTAGCATTGAAGGGGCAAAAGGGTCAAGGGCCTGTGTTTTGTCTTCCCTTCTGAGATTTCATCATTGACAGATGTGTTGTTTTTCCTCTCCAGGGCAAAATACTTCAAAGGGAAAAAGATCCATGGAGAAATTGACATTAAAGTAGAACAGGTAAGTTGGGACATTTGGACCTGGGGGTCAGTTGTCCATACTGCAAACTGAGTGGCCATTTTTGTGTGATGTAGGTGAATCACCAGTTTTTTTCTCCTTCCCAGGCCGAATTCTCTGATCTCAACCTTGTGGCCCATGCCAATGGTGGATTCTCTGTGGATATGGAAGTTCTTCGGAATGGGGTGAAGGTCGTGCGGTGAGTATAAGAAGGGTACCTTGGTGTTATGAGCAAGGCATAAGAACTCTCCCTTAGAGCTGGGGGAAAGTTCCTACCTCCCCACCCATCCTTCTGTGGGCAAGAACTTAGGCATGGAATGTGGGGAGACAACTTTTCTTCAGAAAAAGAGCCAGGGACCCCAGGATGCCACAAGTCAGACTTTAAAAAAAAATATATATATATATATATATATTTCAGACAGGGTCTTGCTCTGTCTCCCAGGCTGGAGTGCACTGGCACAATCATGGCTCTCTGCAGCTGCAACCTCTCAGGCTCAAGTGATCCTCCCACCTCAGCCTCCCAAGTAGCTGAGACTACAGGTGCGCACCACCATGCCTAGCTAATTTTTATGTTTTTTGTAGAGATGGGGGGGGTCCTCACTATGTTGCCCAGGTTTGTCTCAAACTTCTGGGCTCAAACAATCTACCTGCCTTGTCCTCTCAAAGTGCTGGGATTACAGGCATGAGCCGCCACACCCAGCCTTCAATTATTAATTAAATAAACATTTGCTAGACATCTGCTGCATGCCAGATGCTGCTCTCAGGACTTCATATTCAATAAATATTTATTGTACACCTACTGTGTGCCAGGAGATATTCTACATGCTGAAAGGCCAAAAAAAAAAAAAGAAAAAGAACCTGGGCCTTATGAAACTTACATTCTACTGTGAGATACACACAATACACAAATAAATAAGAAAATGTAAAAGTGCTAAGAAAAAACATAACAGTGGCCGGATGTGGTGGCTCATGCCTATAATCCCAGCACTTTGGGAGGCCAAGGTGGGTGGATTGCTTGAGCCCAGGAGTTCAAAATCAGCCTGGCCAACATGGTGAAACCCCGTCTCTACTAAAAATAAAAAAATTAGCCAGGCGTGGTGGCAGGTGCCTGTAATCCCAGCTACTCGGGAGGCTGAGGCAGGGAAATCGCTTGAACCCGAGAGGCGGAGATTACAGTGAGCCATGATTGCTCCAGCGCCTGGACAACAGAGCAACAGTCCGTCTCAACAGAAAAAAAAAAAAGAAAAAAATATATATATAGCACTAAAGCAGATGTAGCAATTGTTGGATGATGGTGGGGTCTGCAGTTGGGATAGGGTGGCCTGGTTGCAGGAGAGACATTTGAGGAAAGACCTGATGGAGGTGAAGGAGTGATCCATGCAGATATCTAGGGGGGAAGTGCTTTAGGCAGATGGAACAGCCTTGGTAAAGGTCCCAAGGTTAGAATTTATTCTGGGCAGAACACTGAAGACAGCTTGCAGTCTGAGAGATGGTGACCAGGGAGTTGTCAGAGCTGTGTCGGTAAGCTGCAAGCTGACCTTGCTGAGAAGGGAACAGGTAGGAGAGGCTTAAAGGGGATCACCAGGTGGGCAGAGGGTAGAAAGGGTGCACTAGGCAGAGGGAACAGCTCACACATGTGTGCAGAGGTGAGAAACCACTTTGCAATTTCTGGGAGCTATGGAGATTTAAAAACTTGGTCTTTGTTTCGAGAGTGATTGGGAGCTTCTGGGGGAACTCTCAACACTCCTACCCCTGCCACACTAGGTCTCTGAAGCCGGATTTTGTGCTGATCCGCCAGCACGCCTTCAGCATGGCACGCAACGGAGACTACCGCAGTTTGGTCATTGGGCTGCAGTATGCTGGAATCCCCAGTGTTAACTCCTTGCATTCTGTCTACAACTTCTGTGACAAGCCCTGGGTGGTAAGTAACAGGAAGGGTGCCACTGGCAGAGGGAACAGCTCATGCATGTATGTGGGAGCTTGAAACCAGTCTGCGATTTGGGGAAGTGAGGGTGTTCAGAAACTTACAGATTCGTGGTGAAGGACTCACTGACCCAGCTCTCCTGGTTCTCATAGTTTGCCCAGATGGTTCGACTGCATAAGAAACTGGGGACAGAAGAATTCCCTCTAATTGATCAGACCTTCTACCCCAATCACAAAGAAATGGTGAGTTTGGGGAAAATAGAGTGGGCAGGAGGGAAGAGTCATAACTACTGCAATAATATTAAATATTGGTATATTATCAGCAGTGCGATATCAAGAGTGTGGCTGCTGTGTGCACGTGGAGTCATGAAGTTGCTTTGTGATAGGGTCTACCGTGAATTTCCTTATGCTTACAAGGAAAACTAAATCATGATCCATTCTAATATGTATCAGATCCTGTTACTCATGTTGTCTATTTTTGCCAGTATTAAAAACCTATTTCTAATGTGAATTGACAGAATTAATGTAATGAATCAGAATATATTACATATAGAAATTAAGTCATTATTACTAACATTATCAAATATTCCTTCTGATAGAAATTTTACCTATATTCAAATTAGGATTGCCAATAACATTTATCAATAATAATGTTATAAATTAAATTGTTGGCAAGGCACGGTGGCTCATGCCTGTAATCCCAGCACTTTGAGAGGCTGAGGTGAGCAGATCATGAGGTCAGGAGATCAAGACCAGCCTGGTCAACATAATGAGACCCCGTCTCTACTAAAAATACAAAAATTAGCTGGGCATGGTGGTGCGTGCCTGTAGTCCCAGCTACTTGGGAGGCTGAGGCAGGAGAATCACTTGAACCCGGGAGTTGGAGGTTGCAGTGACCAGAGATCACGCCACTGCACTCCAGCTTGGGCAACAGAGTCCCACCTCAGCCTCCCTCCTATTAATTAATTAATAGAAATTGAACTTTTGGTTACTATTATGAAATATAATCACTGGCCGGGCGCGGTGGCTCATGCCTGTAATCCCAACACTTCGGGAGGCCGAAGTGGGCGGATCACCTGAGGTCGGGAGTTTGAGACCAGCCTGACCAACATGGAGAAACCCTGTCTCTACTAAAAAAATACAAAATTAGCCCGGCGTGGTGGTGCATGCCTGTAATCCCAGCTACCTGGGAAGTTGAGGCAGGGGAATCGCTGGAACCCGGGAGGCGGAGGTTGTGGTGAGCCAAGATCACGCTATTACACTCCAGCTTGGGCAACAAGAGCGAAACTCCATCTCAAAAAAAAAAAAAAAAAATATATATATATATATAATCACTAATATTACAAATTATCACTAATATTATAAATTATTTTTACTGTTGTAAATTATGAGTACCTATGTCATGAATTAAATTATAGTTTCTAGTAGAAATTGAATAATCATTACTAATAGCATCAAAGATTATTGCTGTTATTACAAATGATTATTGCTATTACAAATTATGCTCTAATATAAATTATAAGTACCTGTTTTGACTTACATAAACATGGCATGCAGTGGAGACTACCACAGTTGGGTCATTGGGCTACAATGTGCCAGAATAAAATATGCTGAACGTTTAAATAATAGAAATTGAATTATCATTGCTAATATCATCAAATATAACAACTAATATTACAATGCATTACAGTGTTACAAATTAAGTTTATTACTATAAATGATTAGTACTTATGTTGTAAATTGTTATAATTATTTTTTAAAAATTTAAACCCAAAGTGGGAGGATCTCGTGAGCCCAGGAGTTTGAGACCAGCCTGGGCAACATAGCGAGACCCCATTTCTACAAAAAATTTAAAAATCAGCCCGGCATGGTGGCATACACCTGTAGTCCCAGCTACTTGGGAAGCTGAGGTGGGAAGATTGCTTGAGCCCTGGAGGTTGAGGCTGCAGTGAGCCATGATAGCACCACCGCATCCCAACCTGGGCAACAGAGTGAGACCCTGTCTCAAAACATTAAATAAATAAGTAAATAAAATTAAACCATTAGTACAAACAGTGTAAAAATTTTTACAGATATAACTATTACCAGTGTTACAAATTAAGATTACTAATATAACCCATGAGTACCTGTGTTTTGAATTATCTTGTAGTTCCTAATAGAAATAATTACTAATATGGTTAACATTCTAACTGCTATTATAAAAAAAATCACTAATATTAAAATTTTGATTACTAATATAAATTATGAGTACCACAGTTATGAATCAAATTTTAGTTACAAATAGAAATTAAATAATTGTTACTAATGCAATCAAATTGTATAAGTAATTTTGTCAATTTTTACCAATATTACAAATTATGTTTACTCATATAAATGATCATCACCAATTTTATGACTAAAATTACAATTAAATATAAATATTGACCCAACACTATCAACTTGATTAAATAAACATTGCTACTAATATTAGCAATTCTTACCAGTACTACAAATTATGATCACTGATATACGTCAACAGTGTTGTAAGTTAAGTTTACTTACAGATAAAGATTGAATCATTAGTTTTTCTTTTTTTTTTTTGAGGAGGAGTCTCGCTCTGTCGCCAGGCTGGAGTGCAGTGGCACAATCTCAGCTCACTGCAGCCTCCGCCTCCTGGGTTCAAGCGAATCTCCTGACTCAGCCTCCCGAGTAGCTGGGACTACAGGTGCGTGCCACCACGCCCAGCTACTTTTTGTATTTTTAGTAGAAAAGGGGTTTCACCATGTTGGCCAGCATGGTCTCAATCTGCCCGCCTCGGCCTCCCAAAGTGCTGGGATTACAGGCATGAACCACCATGCCCGGCTTGAATCATTAGTTTTAAGGAAACCCAATTTGTTTATCATTATTATTAGTCTACATTCTTTGAGAGACAGTAGAGCAGAATGTGATTAAGAGCATGGACTCTGTAGCCAGAATTTCTGTATAAGAATCTTACCTCCACAACTTATTAGTTGCTTAACACAGGAAAAGTTACTTAAACGCCCTGTACCTCAGTTTATTCATCTGCAAAATGTAGGTAATAATAGTTCCCGCCTCATATAGTTGGTGTGAGAATGAAATTACTTAGTAAATGTAAGGTGTCTAGAACAATGCATCTGGCATATATTAACTGCTACCTCAGTGTTGACAAATTTCTCCTTCTATTCTTAGTTGGTTGAGTATTTTTGTCGTGAAAGGATGTTGGACATTGTCAAATGCTTCTTCTGTGTTTATTGACATGATTGTGTGAATTTTGTCCTTTATTCTATGAATATGGTATGTAGTACATTAATTGATTTTCATGCAAGTTGATACGTTCATAAGTTTGTTTATGATGTGTCTAGGTGTAGACATTTGCATTCCTAGGCTAAATCTCACTTGGCCTTGGTATAAATCCTTTTTGTATGTTGTAGGATTTAGTTTGTGATTATTTTGTTAAGGATTATTGTATCTATATTCGTAAGAGACATTGCTCTGTAGTTTTCTTATGATGTCTTTTTCTGGTTTTGGTATCAGGATAATACTGGCCTCATAGAATAAGTTGGACAGTGTTCCTTCTTCTATTTTTGGGAAGATTTTGTGAAGATTGGCATTAATTTTTTTTCTTTTTTTGAGACAGGGTCTTGCTGTGTTGCTCAGGCTGGTCTTGAACCCCTGGGCTCAAGCGATCCTCCTGCTTTGGCCTACCAAAATGCTAGGATTACAGGTGTGAGCCACCATGCCTGGTCGGTATTAATTCTTTTTAAATGTTTAGTAGAATTCACCAGTGAAGACATCTGGTCCTGGGTATGTCTTTGTAGGAAGTTTTACTTATTCCTAAATCAATCTCTTCACTTGTTATAGGTCTATTGAGATTTTCCATTTCTTACTGAGTCAGTTTTTGTAGTTTGTGTCTTTCTAGGAATTTGTCCATTTCATCTAGGTTTTCTAACTTACTGGCACATAATTGTTCACAGTACTCTCTTATACTCTCTTATAATACTTTTTATTTCTGTAAGGTCAGTAGTATGTCCACTCTTTCATTCCTGATTTTAGTAATTAGAATTTTCTGCCCTTTTTTATTCTTAGTCTAAAGGTTTATCAATTTTATTGATCTTTTCAAAGAACCAAATTTTTGTTTTATTAGTTCTCTATTTTTAAAATTCTTTATGTCATTTATTTCTACTCTTATTATGTTTTTCCTTGTGCTTGCTTTGGACTTAGTTTGCTCTTTTCTTTCTAATTTCCTAGAAAAAAATGGAAGATTAGGTTACTGATTTTGATATCTTTCTTCTTTTTAGATATAGGCAGTTACAACTATGAATTCTCCTTTAAGCACCACTTTAACTGCATCCCTTACATTTTGATATGTTGTGTGTTCATTTTCATTCATCTCAAAGTATCTTCTAATTTCACTTGTGATTTCTTCTTTGACCTATTGGTTATTTAGGAGTGTGTTACTTTCCACATATTTGTAAATTTTTCAAATTTTCTTCTGTTTTTGATGTCTAATTTCATTCCATTGTGGTCAGAGAACATATTTTGTATAATTTCAGTCCTTTTCAATTTACTGAGATTTGTTTTCTGGCTTAACATATAGTCTGTCCTGAAGAATGTTCCATGTGCACTGAAGAAGAATGTGTATTCTGCCATTGTAGGGTGAAGTGTTCTATAGATGTTTATGAGGTCTAATTGGTTTATAGCATTTTTCAAATCTTCCTTATTGGCCATGCACAGTAGCTCACACCTCTAATTCCAGCACCTTGGGAGTCTGAGGCGGGTGGATTGCTTGAGTGCAGGAGTTCAAGACCATCCTGGGCTACATGGCAAAACCCCAACTCTGCAAAAAATACACATGCACACACAAAAAGCCACATGGTGGCACACGCCTATAGTCCCAGCTACTCAGGAGGCTGAAGTGGGAGGATCACTTGAGCCCAGAAAGTGGAGGTTGCAGTGAGCTGAGATTGCACCACTGCACTCCAGTCTGAGTGAGACCACGTCTCCAAAAAAAAAAAAAACTTCCTTTTTGGTTCCCTGTCTAGTTGTTTTACCCATTTCTTTAAATGAGATATTGAAGTCTTCAGCTATAATTGTTGAATTGTCTATTTCTGTCTCCAATTCTGCCTGTTTTTATTTCATATATTTTGTGCTGTGTTGTTAGGTGCACATATACTTATTATTGTTAAATCTTCTTGATGGATTGACCATTTATGCTTATAAAATATTTTTCTTTATCTCAAGTAACAATTGCTGTTTTAAATTCTATTTTACCTCATATTAGTATAGCTATTCCAGCTCTCTTTTGGCTATTGTTTGCATGGTAAATCTTTTTCCATCCATTTACTTTCAACTTATTTGGGTCTTTGAATCTAAAATGTGCCTCTTACAGATAGCATATAATTAAGTCACGTTTTTCATCCACTGTGCCTATTAACCCTTTACCGTTTGTGCTGAGAACACTCTCTGATGGCACTTGCGGCTGCAGTGTTTACCCTGAGATAACTTTGCCACAAACTGTCTCATTTTTATTATTATTTTCACATCACTCTAGTATATCGACTTTGGAAACAAAAGACATCATTCTATTTATAGCATTCTGTTTTTAGGAGTGGTATTTCCACTTACAAAATATAGTAATTCTCAATCATTGAAAATGTCAAATCCTAGAAAATGTAACATCCCTACAAATGATGTTAACATCGTTCTTGAACAGTCGTTGGATGAAGAATCATTTGATGAATCTGATTTTTCCAAAATAGATGGTTCTGATGATTCAGATGATTCTGATGATTCAGATGATTCTGATGTTAGTTCAGCTTAGAAATAACTCCAAGAATAGTTTTTATATTTTGTTTTGACATTGAAAATCAGTTAGCTTTGCTTCAGCCTCAAAGAGCATGTTTATATAAAATCTAGTGAGCACAGGCAGCAAGCTGCACGTTTTTTTTTCCTAAACAGGAAAAGGGTTAATCGCAGTGTTTAATTAACTTATGTTATTGTAATTCCTGATAAGGTAGGGTTTATGTTTGCAATTTTGCTATTTGTTTTCTATATCTTATTTTTTGTTCCTGTATTCCTCTAGTAATGCCTTCTTTTAAGTTAAACAGATATTTTCTAGTGTACCATTTTTAATTTTTCTGTTATTTCTTCCCTATGTCTTTTATTCATTTTTTTAATTTAAAAAATTTTTATTTTTTTTTGATACAGGGTCTTGCTCTGTCACCCAGGCCAGAGTGCCATGGTAGGAACATGGCTCATTGCAGCCTCAACCTCCTGGGCTCAAGCTACCCTCCTGCCTCAGCCTCCTGAATAGCTGGGACCACAGGCATGTGCTATCATGCTCAGCTAATTTTTAGTTTTTTATTTTTTATTTATTTATTTATTTATTTATTTTGAGACAAAGTCTCACTCTGTCACCCAGGCTGGAGTGCAGTGGCACGATCTCGGCTCACTGCAACCTCCACCTCCTGGGTTCAAGCAATTCTCCTGCCTCAGCCTTCTTAGTAGCTGGGACTACAGGTGCCTGCCACCACACCCAGCTAATTTTTTTGTATTTTAATTGAGGCGGGGTTTCACCATGTTGGCCAGGCTGGTCTCGAACTCCTGACCTTGTGATCTGCCCACCTTGGCTTCCCAAAGTACTGGGATTACAGGCGTGTGCCACCGCACCTGGCCAATTTTTAATTTTTTTGTAGAGACAGGACCTTGCCATGTTGCCCATGCTGGTCTCAAACTCCTGAGCTCAAGTTACCCACCTTGGCCTCCCAAAGTGTTGTGATTACAGGCATGAGCCACTGCACTTAGCCTGTTTTTTTTTTTTCTTAGTTGTTTCCTTGGGTATTACAATTAACATCATTATTTATATTACTCCAATTAGAATTAATACCAAATTAAGCTCAGTAATACAAAGAAATTGCCTCTATATAACTTTATTCCTTCATCCCTCCTTTGTGCTATTATTGTCAAACAAATTACATCTTTACACATTGTGTGCCCATGAACATAGTTATAGTTATTGCTTTATGCAGTTGTCTTTTAAATCAGGAGTAAAAAAGTGTTACACGCAAAAAAATGCATTTATACTGTCTTTTATATTTACCTATGTAGTTAACTTTACAGGTGCTATTTATTTCTTTATGTAGATTTACATTACTAGCTAGTATCATTTTATTTCACCCTGAAGGACTCCGTTTAGCATTTTTTGTAGAAGTTTGTTAGTGATGAACTATCTCAGTTTTTGTTTATCTGTGAATGTCTTAATTTCTCCTTCATTTTTGAAAGATAATTTTGCTGGATGTAGAATTCTTGTTTGGCAGTCTTTTTCTTTCAGTACTTTGAATATGTTGTCCTACTGCCCTCTGACTTCAAGATTTCTAATGAGAAATTAGCTGCTAATCCTATTGAGGATTCCTTGTATATGATGAGTTACTTCTCTCTTACTTTCAAGATTCTCTCTGTCTTTAGCTTTTATAAGTTTATGATGTGTCTGGGTGCCTATCTCTTTGAATTTATCTTAGTTGGAGTTCAGTGCACTTCTTGAATGCATAGATTAATGCTTTAAATCAAATTGGGGGGATTTTTAGCCATTATTCCTTCAAATAGTCTTTCTTGCACCTTTTTTTCTCTCTTTTCTCTCTCCTTTTGGGACTTCCATTATGTGGGTGTTCATATGCTTCATGGTGTTCCACAGACCTCTAGGACTGTGTTCATTTTGTTTACTTTTCTTCTTCCTGTTCCTCAGATTGGATCATCTCACCTGACCTGTCTTCAAATTCACTGATTCTTTACCCTGCCAGCTCAAAGCTACTGTTGATCCCCTCTAGTGAATTTTTCATTTCAGTTATTATGCTTTTTATCTCCAGAATTTCTTTTTTTTTTTTTTTTTGAGATGGAGTTTCACTCCTGTCACCCAGGCTAGAGTGCAATGGCACAATCTCGGCTCACTGCAACCTCCACCTCCCAGGTTCAAGCAATTCTCGTGCCTCAGCCTCCCGAGTAGCTGGGATTACAGGCACACGCCACCATGCCTGGATAATTTTTGTATTTTTAGTTGAGAGGGGGGTTTCACCGTATTGGCCAGGCTGGTCTCAAACTCCTGACCTCAGGTGATCCACCCGCCTCAGTCTCCCAAAGTGCTGGGATTACAGGCATGAGCCACCATGCCCGGCCCAGAATTTCTTTTTCATGTAATTTCTCTTTATTGATACTCTCTACTTATTAGGATATCATTTTATCCTTTCCTTTAAGTTCTTTAAACATAGTTTCCTTTAGTTCTTTGAAAATATTAAAAATCACTGATTTACAGTTTTTGCCTATTAAGTCTAACATCTGGGTTTCCTCAGGGATAGTGTTTGACTGCTTTTTTCCCTGTGTTTGGGCCACACTTAATTTTGTTTCTTTGCATCTCTCATACATTTTTGTTGAAAACTGGACATTTAAATAATATAATGTGGCAACTCTGGGAATCAGGTTCTCTCCCCTCCTCAGGATTTGTTTTTATTGCTTTGTTTTGTTTTTAGTGACCTTCCTGAACTAATTCTGTAAAGCCTGTGTTCTTTGTCATATGTGGCTACCCAAGTCTCTGCTCCGTTAGCTTAGTGGTCAGCTAATGATTGGACAGATATTTCTTTAAATCACCTGAAACCAGTAAGTCTCCCAGACTTTGCTGATGGGCTCTATGTGCATGTCAGGGTGTGCCTTTAATGCAAAGGCAGGCTGTTTACAACTTTGCCTTATCCTTCATTTCCTGCTTGTGCAGAGTTTTGAGGTCAGCCAGAGATCCTAGGCATACATACAGCCTTATGCGTATTTGTGGTTTTCTAGATTCCCAGGCATATGTCAGAGCTTTTTAAAGCCTAATAATGGACTGATAATGGATATATAATTACCTAGATTTTCCTTTTAAGTTTTCTTGAAAAGCTTGTTGTTTTTTCCTAAATGTTATCACTGCTGTGTTAAACAGTTGCTGCTAATTGTTTCTGAAAAGCACCCCCAGAGAAAGCTGTTTATACCAGATGAGCCCCATGAGTGGAGTATTCAGGATAGTGCCAGACAGATCAAATAAAGACAGTTCTCTGGAAATGAGATTTTGGAGGAACTCCAACCCTGTTCTGCCTCCTCCAATGGTTGCTAGTCTGCTGGTTTTCACTGGAATTGCAGGGCTGTTGATTTTCAAGGCTCTTGTGGAGGTGAGGAGAAGGGGATGTGTACAAGAGAAGTTCAAATGCCACAGCTTCCTGTTGTTACCAAGATTCAGCCATTTTCTTGAAAAAATGCTTTCTGAATTGTAAACCTTGGTCAATTTCCAGAGTTCTGATAAGTTTGTTTTGACAATTTTTGCCAGTGTTCTCATTGCTTTTAAGCAATTTTAAGGAGGAGAAGACAGGCTCTTACATTTCTGCTGACATCACCTCCAGGCATATCTTGTTCTTTCCCGGCCCCAGCCCAAAGATAATAGTATTTCAAAGCCAAGATCTGGGAACTAGATTTACTCATTGCTACTGGAATGTTCTTGCTTCAAGGCCCTCTCATTGTACACAGCTAGGACATTTCATTTCTTTATGTATATATATATAATTTCATATATGTGTATATATAAAATTGTTATATGTGTGTGAGTAGAAGAATCAAACTGTTTTTTCTTCTGCTCTCACAATACCATGTGTGGAGGCTTTTACACACACACCAAGAAGCAATTAATTCTGCAGCAAATTAATATACCAGCTGGATGTCCTGCAATTCAATTCTGACACTATCTACCTGGAGGATAGCATCAGATCACACAGGTTAAGGGTGTAGTCCCACAGGACTAAGCCCTACTTCTAATGCTGATGGCAAGCCCCAGGTTATTTTACCTGTGCTTCTGACCAACTAGCTATAAATCGGGGTCCACAACCCCTTCCTCAGGTTCAATTAGTTTGCTAGTGTGGCTCATGGAACTCAGGGAAACACTTATTTACATGATCGGTTTATTGTAAAGAGTATTACATTACAAAGGATACAGATGAAGAGATGCAGAGGACGAAGCATGTGGGAAAGAGCACAGAGCTTCCATGCCCCACCCCCAGGTAGCCACCCTCCAGGAACCCCACATGTTCGGCTATCCAGAAGCTCTCCAACTCCATCCTCTTCAGCCCTTCATGGAGACTTCATTGCATAGGCAGGATTTATAACTGTATAGAAATGTGATGGGACAGCCAGGCGCAGTGGCTCACACCTGTAATCCCAGCACTTTGGGAGGCTGAGGCAGGCGGATCACCTGAGGTCGGGAGTTCTAGACCAGCCTGACCAACATGGAGAAACCCCGTACCTACTAAAAATACAAAATTAGCCAGGGGCAGTGGCGCATGCCTGTAATCCCAGCTACTCGAGCGGCTGAGGCAGGAGAATTGCTTGAACCAAGGAGACGGAGGTTGCGGTGAGCTGAGATCACACCATTGCACTCCAGCCTGGGCAACAAGAGCGAAACTCTGTCTCAAAAAAAAAAAAAAAGAAAAGAAAAGAAAGAAAGAAATGTGATGGGACAAAAAGGGTGTGATCTTGTACTAACAGACTGAGTGGGGAAACCCAGCAAGGCCTGTCTGTTCAGAGCCTTAGACTCTCTCTGCAACATCCCTTCCTTCTGGGTATTGGGCAGGACCCCTTCTAAAAGGGAGGTCTTTTTTTTTCTTTTTCTTTTTTTTTTTTTTGAGACAGAGTCTCACTTTGTCACCCAACTGGAGTGTGGTGGTGTGGTCTTGGCTCACTGCAGCCTCTGCCTCCCGGGTTCAAGCAATTCTCTTGCATCAGCCTCCCAAGTAGCTGGGACTACAGGTGTGTGCCACCACACCCAGCTAATTATTTTTGTATTTTTAGTAGAGATGGGGTTCACCATGTTAGCCAGGCTGGTCTTGAACTCCTGGCCTCAGGTGATCCACTTGCCTCTGCCTCCCAAAGTTCTGGGATTACAGACGTGAGCCACTGCACCCAGCCTTTTTTTTTTTTTTGAGATAGAGTCCGTGACTCTGTCGCCCAGGCTGGAGTGCAGTGGCGCAATCTTGGCTCACTGCAACCTCCGCCTCCTGGACTCAAGCAACCTTCCCACCTCAGCCTCCTGAGTAGCTGGGGCCACAGGTGCGTGCCACCATGCCTAGCTAATTCTTTTGTATTTTTTATAAGAGATTGGGTTTCACCATGTTGCTCAGGCTACTCTCAAACTCCTGAGCCTGAGCGATCTACCTGCCTTGGCCTCCCAAAGTGCTAGGATTACAGGCATGAGCCACCACGCCTGGTAATGCTGATTTAATTTTATATTTTTAAATGTAAGACGTTAGCGTGGTTCTAAAAGTCAAAATATAAAAAAGGCATCCACAGATAAAATAGAAAACCTAGATGAAAATAAGTAATTTCCTGGGGAAACACAGTTTACCAAAATCGACCCCATTAGAGGTTAACAAACCAATTTCCATAAAAGAAATAGAGAAAGTTTTTAAGGAACTTCCCCATAAAAAATCATCAGGCCCAGATGATTTCACAGGGGAATTCCACTGAAATGCTAGAGACTAGTTAATCCCAATGGCCACATAAATTGTTCCACAGAATGGAAAATGAAGACAAACTTCCATATTACCTTTCTAAAGCAATTATAACATTAATAGCACAAAGAAAAGCATAGACCTGGTGCAGTGGCTCACGGCTATAATCACAGCATGTTGGGAGGCCAGGGCAGGTGGATCACTTGAGATCAGGAGTTCGAGACCAGCCTGACCAACATGGTAAAACCCCATCTCTACTAAAAATATAAAAATTAGCTGGGCGTGGTGGTGTGCGCCTGTAGTCCCAGCTACTCCGGAGGCTGAGGCAGGAGAATAACTTGAACCCAGGAGGCAGAGGTTGAGTGAGCTGAGATCATGCCACTGCACTCCAGCCTGGGTGATAGAGCGAGACTTTGTCTCAAAAAAAAAAAAAAAGCATAGACCATTTTTACTATAAATATCAATGCAAAAATCCTAAATAAAATATTAGCAAACAAATTCAAAACCACATTAAGGGTGAGCACGGTGGCTTACATCGTAATCCCAACACTTTGGGAGGCCAAGGCAGAAGGATCACTTGAGCCCAGGAGTTCAAGACCAGCCTGGTCAACATGGTGAAACCCCATCTCTATCAAAAAAACAAAACAAAACAAAAAAAACACAAAATTAGCCAGACATGGTGGTGCACCCTTGTAGTCCCAGCTACTCGGGAGGCTGAGGCGGGAGGATCACTTAAGTCCAGGAGTTTGAGGCTGCAGTGAGCTATGATCCCACCACTGCACTCCAGCCTGGGTGACAGAGCGAGACCTTGTCTCAAAAAATAAAAATAAAAAAGAATGCAGTAACAGCAGCATATGAAATCAACATGCAGAAATCAGTAGTTTTTATATACACAAATAACCAGATAGAAGGTATAATAGAAGAGAAAACATATACAATAACAACAAAAAAAATAAGATATTTTGGGATAAGATCAACAAGGGATGTGCAAAGTGATATGAGGAAAAGTTTAAAACACTCCTGAAAGACACAAAGGTAGACTTAGGCAGATGGAAAGACATTCCTTGTTCTCGGGTAGAATGAATTAACATCATGAAAATGGCAGTTCACCTTCTCACGTCCTTATTTAATTTATATATTTAATGTGGTTCCCAAAAATATACCTACAAACTTATATCTAGAGCTAAATGAGTTGATAGTAAAGTTCATATGGAAAAGCGAACATGCAAGAAAAACTAGGAAAACCCTGAAAAAGAAAAGTGATAATAAGGACTCATACTCCCAGCCCACAGGGAGTCTGATGCCTCTGCCACCAGACATTTTACGAAGATTTCATTTATTTATTTATTTATTTATTTATTTATTTATTTGAGACAAAATCTTGCTGTATTGCCCAGGCCGGAGTGCAGTGGCATGATTGTAGCTCACTGCAGCCCCAACCTCCTGGGTTCCAGCAATCCTTCTACCTCAGCCTCCTGAGTAGCTATAATTACAGGTGCATGTATAGCTAATTTTTTTATTGTTTATTTTGTAGAGGCACGGTCTTGCTATGTTGCCTAGGTTGGTCTCAAACTCCTGGCCTCAAGTAATCCTCCTGCTTTGGCCTCCCCAAAACTCTGGGATTATAGGCATGAGCCGCCATGTCCAGCCTGAAACTTTTATAATTTAAATAGTGTGATGCTGACCCATGAATAGACAGGCTGACAGATTAAAGGAAGAAAAACAAAAGTCCAGTTATAGATCCATGTACATATGGAACTTTAGTGTATGATCAAAGTAGTGACTCAAGTCACTAGAGCAAAGAGGGACTTTTTAGTAAAGTTTCGTTTTTGCCATCTAAATTCTTCATTCTTCTGAAATTCCTTTTCATATACAGTGTGAAGGAGGTAGGGATTGAGTTCATCTTTTTCCTTATAGGTAAGCCCTTGTCCCCCACTGAGCTTGTATGCCACCTCTGTCATATATATACTAACTTTTTTTTTTTTTTGAGACAGGGTGTCTCTCTGTTGCCCAGGCTGGAGTGCAGTGGCGCGATCTTGGCTCACTGCAGCCTCCGCCTCCTGAGTTCAAGCAATTCTCCCACCTCAGCCTCCCAAGTAGCTGGGATTACAGGGGCATCCCACCACACCCAGCTAATTTTTGCATTTGTAGTAGAGACGGGGTTTCACCATGTTGGCCAGGCTGGTCTCGAACTCCTGACTTCAGGTGATCCACCCGCCTCGGCCTCCCAAAGTGCTGGGATTATAGGTGTGAGCCACCGCGCCCGGCCTATACTAACATTTCATATCTCTGTCCTGCAGGTTCAGAACTCTATTCTGTTCCATTGGCCACTTTCTGTAAACCTGTACCAAAGCCATACTACCTTAACAGCAACTTTTCTCATTAATTCCTGGTGCCTGGTAGGGCAGCAGCACCTCCTGGCTGTTTTGTAACTATGTAGTTCTGACAAGAGTAGAAACAGAAAGGGAACCACGAAGAGTGGGAACAGGAGCTGGAGCAGGGCTTGATAGCAGGGAACATGCAGGCAGAGCCTGATGGCCCACGCCTGTAATCCCAGCACTTTGGGAGGCTGAGCTGGGAGGATCGCTTGAGCCTAGGAGTTCCGGACCAGCCTGGGCAACATGATGAAACCCCGTCTCTACAAAAAATTAGCTGAGCATGGTGGCATGTGCCTGTAGTCCCAGCTACTTAGCTGGCTGAGGTGGGAGGATCACTTGAGCCCAGGAGGTTGAGGTTGCAATGAACCATGATTGCACCACTGCACTCCAGCTGGGGCAACAGAGTGAGACTCTGTCTCAAAAATAAAATAAAATAAAATAAAACATTTTACAAAAGAGTAGGGAATATGTAGAAGGACCAAGGGATAGGAAGTAGGCAACGGGGACAAGGAGCAGGGAATAGGAAGAAGAAGTAGGGGAGCAAGAGGCAGGAAGAACAGGGGTGAGCCACAACACAAAGGGGACGCCTGTGGCTGCGGGAGTCCCTGAGGGACTCACTCAAGGCCCCATCGCATCCTTTCCTATAGAAAGTCAGGAAGCCCTTTCTGGGCTCCTCCCTGAGCCCCTTCCAAGGATGCACCCCCCATCTCGCAGAGTGCAGACTTCTATCCCTCAAAGGACCTGGAGGGACAGAGGCCATGTCCCAAGGACCAGTGTAGCATGACCATATGTCCCTTGGCTAGGACATGCTATGATCCCCAAGTCTCAAAGACTCAGAACACTACGGACTGGGGACAGAATTTGCTGTGACGGGCTGAAGTTGGGAACATAGTATTGTGAGGCGGGGGTTCTTCGTGGGGAGAATGCTCCAGGGATGGGGACTTTTTGTTCCAGGGTGGTGCAGAGGGAGACCTGAGGGTGAGGAGTCCACACAGGGTGGGGACAGGTTGGCTGGCCTGCCGTTAGGAATCCCTAAAGGGGAACCTCTCCTCATGGTGTCGCCACAGTTGTTGTGGGTGGGCGTGTAGAAGGATCTAACCACATTGCTCTTTATTTTCAGGTGCTTCTGTGAGCCACAGGTTCAGGACTCCACTAGGAAACTGGATTGTCTGTGAGGGGGAAAAGAGAGAGGGACACTGGGACTGAGGAACATTTATGGCGTAAAGAGCTGGGATCTTAGTATCACATCAGGAGCTTTTGGGTCTCGGAGACCTACCCCATTCCTTCAGGCAGAGCAGGGTCAGGAGCTTGTATTTTGGTGAGGAGACTGGTGTGGGGGAGAAATGGACATTAAATTATTGGTACTAATCATACACATTATTTCCAATATCGTATATTATCATGCCTAATATCAAACATTGTTTGCAATATTATAAATAATCACTACTAAAGTTATAAGTTATAGTTATCATAACTACTTCTAGTAACTAATGCTTGTAAGTGCTATATGCCTAGCACTGTTCCAAGTACTTCACATATACAACCTCATTTAATATGGACATTGTCTCTATGAGTTAGGCCTTCTTTTTATCCCTGTCTTACAGATGCAGGAACTGAGGCTCAAAGAGGCAATATGATTTATTCAAGGACACAGAGCTAAGACATGGCAGGGGCAAGATTTGAATGCAGATGATCTGGCTCCAGGGTTCCTGCTTTTTTTTTTTTTTTTTTTTTGAGACGGAGTCTGGCTCTGTTGCCCAGGCTGGAGTGCAGTGGCTTGATCTCAGCTCACTGCAAGCTCCGCCTCCCAGGTTCATGCCATTCTCCTGCCTCTCGAGTAGCTGGGACTACAGGCGCCCACCACCATACTCGGCTAATTTTTTTTTTTTTTGGTATTTTTAGTAGAGACAGGGTTTCACCTTGTTAGCCAGGATGGTCTCGATCTCCTGACCTCGTGATCTGCCCACCTTGGCCTCCCAAATTGCTGGGATTACAGGCGTAAGCCACCATGCCCGGCCTTTTTTTTTTTTTTTTTGAGACAGTCTTGCTCTATCCCCCAGCCTGGGGTGCAGTGGCATGATCTCAGCTCCCTGCAACTTCCGCCTCCTGGGTTCAAACGATTCTTGTGCCTCAGCCTCCCAAGTAACTGGGACCACAGGGCATGCGCCACCACAGCTGGCTAAATTTTGTATATTTAGTAGAGATGGAAACCATGTTGGCCAGGCTCGTCTTGAACTCCTGACCTCGTGATCTGCCCACCTTGGCCTCCCAAAGTGCTAGTATTACAGGCGTCAGCCACCATGACTGTCCCATTTCCTGTGTTTTGACCCCCCCAAAAATATCCAAGGGGCAAAGACACCCCGTAAACATCCTCCAACCCCACCACAGACCTCTGAAGGATTCTGGGCCAGGACTGTGACGTCCATGTTTAAACATGGCGAGAAGGACTGAGGCTCAGGTGAGAGAAGGACTGGCCCCCCAGGCTCCCCACTGAGCTGGGTCCCATGCTGAATACCACATGGCTGTGACCCCTACAAGCTTCCTCTCAGCTGTCACAGAGTCTCTCCCAGAGATTCACCCACAGACACCCCGAATGCTGGGGATGGAGGATGCTCACTTGACCTATTTTAACAGATGTTCTACAAGAGCAATGGGGGATGTAATGAGCCCAGGGTTACAGATCCTGCCAGGAGCTCATGCCAGGTCTCTGGTGGAGGTAGCCTCGTCTGCTGTTCTGGGCTCTGTGTCCCCTGAGACCTGTTCTGGTCTCCGGTCCTCCCTGTCCATTCTGCATTGCACTTGGCGAAGGGCTGACCTGCAGGGTAGACAGGTCGGCAGGAGAACGACCTCCACGCTGGGTTCCATCCTTCCCCTGCTACTTCACCTTCCCCCTAGGGCTTGGAAGAGCTGAGGACTTAGGAAATGGGCCCTGAGGCCAGGGAGCAGCTTAAGAGTGCAGGTAGCTGACACTAAGGTTTGGCGAATTGCCAGGAGCGGTCAGCCTCTTGCAGGCAGCTGAGGGAACATTGACAAGGTCACCAGGGATGAACCAGGGCTCGGGCCCTTACCTTACAGTTGTGCCCATCAGCAAAGGCTGCGGTTGGCCCCTTCGGTGGACAAGGTTCAGACCCTCCGAGGGCGTAACCAAGGTGTAGATGTTGATGTAGAAATTGTTGCTGCATGCGCATTCCCTGCTTAAGTGGCTGAGTACTGTGTGTTCAAAATCTGCCCATTCCCATCCGGGACATAATTTGGGCCGTGGGGTAACCTCCCAGGAGTGTAAAAGGCTCTGGGACAGGACCACAGAAGATCCAGGGGGCTGTGCTTGGTGACCTAGAATGCCCTGGAGGAGACCTGGGTTCTTACTGGTAAGAGCAGTGGGTACTCTGATGAGAGGGAATTTGGGGGTCCTTTTCTTTACCAAAGGAGATATATTGGGGCCCTTTTCAAGCACGTTCAGGTCAGGAGGACACAGGTGCTCCATTGAATGTTTGCACCAGTCTGAAATTCTAGTTCCCAAGGGCCTCACTTGAGTCAAGACCTTTGGAGTATGAGGGGCAGGAGCCAGGGACTGGACCCCGCTGTGGAAGCAGGAAGGCCTCAGAGGGGAGTATTTGGAGGTTCTCTCACTCAGTTTTTCTAGAGAAAGGATGATTCATAAAGGTGAGGGTCGAGTCTAGAGACCCTAGTTTGGGTGAGGGGACAGTTGGGTTGAGGGAGGTGTGTGGAGGGTATGGGCCAGCATATCTGGCTGGTCTTAATTTTGAACCCTACCTGCATTTCATTGCTGTCAGTATTTCCTTCCAAGTTGGTCAGAGGAGTGAGGGGAGAAGTAGGGGAGGGAGGATGGCAGAGCTTGGGGATTTTTAGCTCATACCTTCTCTCCATCCCACCTCTCCTCTGCCCCAAACAGTCCCTTCCAAGGAATGTCCTGCAGCCATGGCTGGGGAGCCAGGGCCACCCCTTCTTCCCAAGTCCCCAGCTGGGTTACTGTGGGACTCTGGGTGCCCTGGGTCCCCTTTCACTCAAGTCAGACTCATGGTACAAAACCTGAGGATGAGGACAGTAACACCCACGTGTTTGGATGGGGCATCCTCACTGGACAACATCAGGACTGTGCTTGAGGCAATGATAGTCATTTGCCAATTGGTAGGGCATTTGTCAATGACTCTGTCAGCTGGCAAGATGTGTGAATGGGGAATTTCCAGTAAGGCAGTGATTTGTCAGCTGTGGGATAATTTATAACTAGAAAGCCCTGGGCAAATAGCAATTAGGAATCAGTATAGGAAAATGTTTTAAAGTATTGGCTGGAGAAATTATTCAGAGGTTACGGTTGATAATGCAGGTTCAGTGACCATTGCTGCTGTTGCAGATCATCAGTGCTAATGCCAATGTTGAGAATTACTACCAGTACATCAGAATTTAAGTAAAATATAAAAACCCAACATTTGGCATCCCTCATCCCCACTGGTCCCAGGGTGCTCACACCAGGTCATCAGCAACATGGGTTTGTTCCCAGGCACTACACAGAAACAGTGTCTGCTGGGTGGTAACTCTTTATTTCATTGTCCGGAAGAAAGATGGGAGTGGGAACAGGGTGGACACTGTGCAGGCTTCAGCTTCCACTCCGGGCAGGATTCAGGCTATCTGGGACCGCAGGGACTGCCAGGTGCACAGCCCTGGCTCCCGAGGCAGGCAGGCAAGGTGACGGGACTGGAAGCCCTTTTCAGAGCCTTGGAGGAGCTGGTCCGTCCACAAGCAATGAGTGCCACTCTGCAGTTTGCAGGGGATGGATAAACAGGGAAACACCTGGAAGGGAGGAGGGAAACATCTCTGAGGGCTTCTCCCTGCCTCCCCCGTGGAGCAGAACTTCCTCTCCTCAGCTTTCAACACTGAGCCGCTGGGGAGACTTGCTCTCACCCCACCTAAGTACATACCCCAGGACAGCCCCTCCCATTGAGGGAAATGTCACTGGGTCCTGAAAGGTAACAGTAAGCCAGTAAATCAGTGTCCTGGAATGGTGGCTGGGGAATAGGCCCTGGGGGTCAGTCAGGCAGGTCGCCTGTGGAATTGTCCCAAAGGACAGGGAAAAACTGGCAGTAGTAAGGGGCCCCACCCGGTTGGCGGCTAAGGAGTTTAAGCACAGGAATAGCCAGTGGGGCTTCAAGATAGTCACTGGGCTCAGAGGCCATCAGGAGCCATCAGGGAACAGGCTTGGACTAGCCAGGAGGTCAGTGTAACACCCTCTGGTGTCTGGAATAGTCAGAGCTGCAGAGCAACAAGCAGATGTGCTGAGGAAGGGTCAGTGGGATTAGGGAACAGCACTTTGGGTTCTTGGAGAACATTCTGGGGAACCAAGAAACAATCCCGGGGGCTCAGGAACGGGGAGTGGGATTACAGAATAGTCACAAGGGAGAATTAGAGGGACCAGGGAGGGACAGGTGATCACACGGTATTGGACACAGGGAAAGGGAGCAGCCAGAATTTGTAAGGGAGCAGTCTCGGGCTTGGGGAAATAGCAAGAGAGATCAGGGACAGCCCTTAGGGTTGGGGAGCAGCCACAGGGACACAGAATAGCCAGAGGGAGCAAGAAACAAGCCCACGATTTAGGGAATGGCCCCGGGAAGGATCTCCCGTTGGAGGTCAGGGTCCAGGCACTCACTGTGCATTCCTCACAGCCAACAGTGTAGGTCTTGGTGAAGCCCCGGCGCTGAGCTAAGCTCAGGCTGTTCCAGGGAGCCACAAAACTGCAGGTAGTGATGTGCAAGAGTCCATCCTGCAGTTTTCCTAAGGAGAAAGGCGGGGCGGGGACCGACAAGCAGCTTGTGATTGGCTGAGCTGCCAAGCTGCCAAAGGCCCGGCCTTCTGATAGACTGAAATTGGGGTGGTCCCCATTTCCAGTGGGACCATTCCCATCAGAGCCTCGCCCCCTCGTGGTTGCTAGGCCGCGCCCCAGGGACTGGTTGGTGTGGCACAGGGCGCGGGGACGGTGCCTCACCAGCAATGAGAAACTCCTCGCTGCGGTTGTGGGACCTGTGGAAGTATCCGCAGACACTCTCCATGGCGGGGGTGTAGACGAACCGGATGTCAGCGGCATCCCCTAAGGCTTGGAACCCTTTATACATCTGTTGATGGATGAGGGGAAGTGTCTCTTTTACTGACATAATCCTCCCACTCCAGGTTCTTCCCTGAAGTCATATAGCATCCCAAGATCACAGCCAACTTTCTCGCACCAACCAGTGGCCAGAAGTTTCTGTTTTGACCAGGAGGAAGATGTTAGAAAATGCTGGGAAAGAGGCGGGGGCAGGGGATACCTTGGTCATCTTGATCTCATAACGCTGGTATAAGGTGGTCTGGTTGACTTCTGGTGTCCCCACGAACTTGGCCCTGATGACTGCAGGAGAGGAGGGAAATATGAGTCAAATGGACTGCATGAGCCAATAAAAATAAGATCATCATCATCATCATCATCATACCAGCAAAGCGCATACATAAATAGGGGTTATTGGATGCCAGACAGCACACAAAGTGATTTACACATTTGTTCATTGATTCATCTGTATGTTGAGTGTCTCTCTTTGCCGGGCACTGCTTAAGCCATTTTCATACATTGATTTGTTCATTTACTCCTCAAATATTTGGGAGTGCCCACTGTGTGCCAGACATTGTTCTGGGTGTTAGGGACACAACAGTGAACAAAACACAGAAATCCCTTTCCTTGTGGAGTTCACATTCTAGCCAGGAGGAGACAGGCTAAGAACAAACAAAATAAGGATATGGAATGTTAGACATTAAGTATAATGGGGAATTACAGACCTGGGTAAGGGGCTGACAAAGATTCTTTGCTTGACCAAACTTTACTCAGGCTCCTGAACCTCCTCCTAGGCCCATCTGTGCACTTCCTTGTAAAATCCAGTTTTAGCCGAGAGCCTTGCTAAGTCAGTTTAGCAAGAACCCCTATATTCTATATCTGATCATCCTCAATCTCTGATCATCCTCAATACCTGATCATCCTCAATCTCTGATCATCCTCAATACCTGATCATCCTCAATCTCTGATCATCCTCAATACCTGATCATCCTCAATCTCTGATCATCCTCAATCTCTGATCATCCTCAATACCTGATCATCCTTGCTATCTGACTGGGTTCTTCATCTTCCACCATCCCCCAGGTGATGTCTGATTCCCCTTGGCCTGCCTTCAGCAAGAATCCTGTTACGTCGGTTTAGCCAGAATCCCCCTTACCCCTGATGTTTCTTCTTAGTAATTTCCACCCACAGACCCTCACACTGCTCCTTAGCTACACATTCCCACTGGCCCATGCTATATTCAGTGTTGAGCCCAATCTCTCCCACCGACTGCAAGATCCCATTGCAGTGGTTCCTATACCCATCACCATGGTCCTGAATATGGTCTTCCTTACTGTGTTATAACAAGTATCACTGAATATTTTTCTGTTTAACAGGAGATCAGGAGTACTAAGGGGCAGGGGTTAAAATTTTAAACAGGATGGCCAGGGAAGGCCATCCTGAGAAGGTGACGTTTGAGGCAGCCACCCATGTGGATACCTGGGGGGAAAGTGTACCAGGCAGAGGGAGCAGCCAGCATGCAGATCCTGTGGTGGGCTTGGGCACAGAGTACTCAAGGAAGTGTGAGGATGCCAGTGTGGCTAAAGCAGAGGAAGTGCAGGGGCGAGTGGAATCATTCTAGAGGTAAGTGCCATGGTGAGCCCCACTGGACTGAAAGGGAAACCAAGGCAGAGTGTGTGGGCTGAGTGGGGTGAGGACTCACCGAGGTCGGAATTGCAGAAGGCCGTCTGTGGGTGGGGTGGGACACAGGTGCAGGCCCTGCTGGGGGCTATCAGCCACAGCAACAACAGGATGCCAGAAGCCAGGGGCTCAAAGGGGGCCATGGTGGGTTCTGTGGGGAAGGGGGATGTCAGGCAGGCCCCGGCCCAGCTGATCTGCTGACCTGGGCAGGTCATCCACCCCATCTTGCCCCGGGGCAGCCTATGGGGGGGATTAGGGGGCTGGATTTGGGCTTGAGGGGTTGGTAAGCTTAGGGATTTTAAGGGGATTGGGGAGCGCAGAGGAATTTAGGGTTTAGAGAGTTGGGAGAGTTTAAATTATTGAGGGACTGAGTGAGTTGCGGGGTTATGGGGTTGTGGCACTTGGGGGAGAAGGGGGCTGAGGAAGTTTGAGGAATGAGGGGATTGGGGAATTCTGGAGGTTGAGGAGTTTGGGGGTGAGGAATTTGGGATTGGGGGCTGGAGGAGTTTGGAGACGGCAGAGTTTAGGGGTTGTGTATATTAAGAGATATAAGAGGCTGGGGGAATTTAGGGAGGTTGAGGAATTTGGAGGAGGTTGGGGGTTTAGGGAGCTGGGGGAGTTTGGAGGTTGAAGGGGTTGGGGGAATTTGGGGGCTTAAGGCAATGGGGATACTTGAGGAATTTGAGGGCAAAAGAAGTTTGGGAGCTGGGGAACTGGGGATTGGGGAGCTGGGGGAGTTTAGGGAGCTGCAGGGGTTAGCGGTGGGTATTTAGGGGGCGATGAGGGAAATTTCGGGATGAAGGAATTTGCGGGGGGATTTGGAAAGCATTTGTGATATTAGGGGGTCATGGGTTTGGGGGAATTGGGGGCGGATGTCAGGGGTTCTAGGGAGTTTGGAGCCTCGGGGTTGGGAAAGCAGTTCCAGCCTCCGACCCTCTTCCCCCTAGACTAGCCCAGGGTCCTGGTACCCGCAGGCCAAGCTGAGTAGACAGGCATCTGGCACGGGAGTGCACGGGCCTGGTGGCCAGCACCCAAGCTGCAGCCCAGCTCCGGTCCCTGCTGGGCCACCCCGGGCCCTGCTTACCTCTGGTGTCTCTCTGGGCGCTGGATCTGCGGCGATGGCGGCAGGGCCTGAGCGCTAGAGGATAAATGTCCACGCTAGGGGCGGGGGTGGCAGCGGGTGCGGAAACCACAGGCCTCCAGGCTTCCTGGATGCATTACTCATCCACCCACCATCAGTGCAGAAGCCAAGGGGCGGGCCGACGAAAGGAGATACACCCTCCTCCTCTCCCACCCGCCTCCTCTCCCTCTCCCTGGGCCTCGCCCGGGCCAGCCACCTCCCCCACCTCCACGTCAGTCACTATTCCTTCCAAGCCGCCTCAGCGGAGAGCTTAGAGGCCGCATTTCCCCCGGCCCAGTCCCCTAAAGTCTCCAGAATCTATCCAATCACCCACATCCCCCAAGCTCCCTATGACTCAAACCCAAATTAGTTCAGCCCTTCAACATTTATTGTGCATCTACTGTGTGCCAAGCACACAAAAATCCCTTGTTTTGTATGTCTGACATGCTGGTGAGGGGTGGCAGAGAGGAAACAAATTAAGTAGCAGCAGTGGAGGGAGATAAGGCAGGTGAAAGGGGAGGAATACAAAATGGGGAAACTGAGGCACGGAGTGGTTAAGTGACTTACCCAGGATCACAGAGTCAATACATGGCAGAACTGAGACTGGAACTCAGGTGGCCAGGAGCCAAAGCCAGGGTCTCAAATAACACAGGCAAATAGCCGGCATTTATACAGCACCTACTGTATACCAGGCACTCAGCATAGTTTATCTCACTCAAAGCTCACAACAAATCTCTGAGATGGGTACCGGTTCTTATTCCCGTTTTACGGATGAGGAAATATGGGGCGTAGAGGAACTGTAGAATTTTCCTAAGATCACAGGGCATGGCCGGGATTCAAACAGAGGCTACCTGGCACCAGGGTTGTAACTCAGGAGTGGCACCGTCCTAGCAAGCAGGGAATGGTGCGGGTGAATGAATGAGCATTGGGAAGGGGGTGGCCATGAATGATGGTGAAAGAAGCAAGTGAGTGGGTCAGTAGAAAACTAATCCCCACCCCATCCTGCCCTGCCCCCTCCCCATGGACCTGTACCCCTGGTGGGGGGTGGGGTGGGGCAATCCTTGCCCACCAGCTTTCTGACAATGCAGGAACCTTCCCTGGGGTTCTGATTAACATCCTTAATTCGAGGAGGATAGATCAATAATAATAATTGTAGTGATGATGGCAGCCACTTATTGAGCACTTTCTGTGTACTATGTGCTAAAGTGTTTGTATAAATTATCTCATTCACTCACCATACTCCCTTGCTAATTAAGTTTGATTAACTCAGGGATGATAGCCCAATAACAAGAACACAACAAAAACTACCAGCAGCCCTTATGGAGTGCTTACTGCGTATCCAGCACTATTCTGGGTGGGAGGAATGTGAGGGATGAGAAATTGCCTAATGGGTACAATGTACACTATTTGGTTGATGGGGACACTAAAAGCCCAGACTTCACCACTATGTAATATATCCATGTCACAAAACTGCAGCTGTACCCTCTAAATCTATTTTTTTTTTTTGACAAGAGTCTTGCTCTGTCACCTAGGCTGGAGTGCAGTGGCGCGATCTCAGCTCACTGCAACCTCCGCCTCCGGGGTTCAAGAGATTCTCCTGTCTCAGCCTCCTGAGTAGCTGGGATTACAGCCACACCACCACCACCCCCAGCTAATTTTTGTAGTTTTAGTAGAGACGGGGGTTTCACCATATTGGTCAGATCTCGAACTCCTGACTTCAGGTGATCCACCTGCCTCGACCTCCCAAAGTGTTGGGATTACAGGCGTGAGCCACCACACCCGGCCTTCTAAATCTTTTTTTTTTTTTTAGACAGAGTTTCGATCTTGTTTCCCAGGCTGGAGTGCAATGGCAAGATCTTGGCTCACTGCAACCTCCACCTCCTGGGTTCAAGCAATTCTCCTGCCTCAGCCTCCTCAGTAGCTGGGGTTACAGGCACACGCCACCACGCCTGGCTAATTTTTGTATTTTTAGTAGAGACGGGGTTTCACCATGTTGGCCAGGCTGGTCTCAAACTCCTGACCTCGGGTGATCCGCCCACCTCAGCCTCCCAAAGTGCTGCGATTACATGCGTGAGCTACGGCACCCAGCCTAAATCTATTTTTTAAGAAAGCACTTGGCCGGGCATGGTGGCTCACACCTGTAATCCCAGCACTTTGGGAGGCTGAGGCAGGCAGATCGCTTGAGCTCAGGAGTTCAAGACCAGTCTGGGCAACATGGTGAAACCCTGTCTCTATTTAAAAAAAAAAAAAAAAGCACTGTTCTAAAGTCTTTTTACAGACATTATCTCATTTAATCAATCCCGATTGCCTCTTTGTTCATTAATGTTAGTTAAGGAAGAGATGTTAAGCCAATAATAAGAGTACCCAACACTTCTTGAGGATCGAGGCTTACTGTATGCCCGATACCATGTAGAGCATTTTTCCCAAAATAACTAACTTATTTCTCACAATATCCCTGTGAGTTAGATATAGCTCATGTTCTCATTATACAGATGAGGAAACTTAGACACAAAAGGGCTGAGTGACCTACCCAGGAATGAGAATGAAGAAATGGCTCTGCTGCGGGGTGGTGGGGGGAGGGTGGGGGGGCGACAAAAACAGGGAGGAAGGGAAGTAAACCAAAAAAATCTGTAGGAGCTGATTATGAAAGTGGGACAGTGAGAGTGAATGAGACGGGGCTGAGTAACCTGGTGCCTCCGAGGGAGAAGTGAGGGCAGGGGAAGTCCTGCCTTGGCCCCTCGCTGACTCTGGTTCTGACGCCAACTCTTTGAAACCTGAGTCAGCACAGAGTGTTGCCGACTGTTTACATGAGGAGTCGTGTGGATCCGGTTATTGTGCAGTTTTGAAATGGAGAGTGGGAGGGGTGTTCATGGAGGGGTGTGTGACCATCTGGGGAGCTGGATGGGTGTGGGGGCCCATGGGGGTCCAGGAGGCATGTGCAAAGCGGACACCTGACAATGCCCACAGCATACCAGGTGCTTGGGCCTCATTGTGCTCTTTGTGCAGATGGGGAAACTGAGGCTCAGGGAGAGGTTGTGTCCTTCATGGCCTTAGGAAGAAGAAAGGCCAAAATTCAGACCTAGGGCTTTCCAGGAGCTCCCAGAGTCAGAGTTCAAAGCACTCTGCATGCACACATGTATGGGCACACACACATATACAGAGCGTTGTGTTCAGGCTCAAGTCCAGAGAAAACAAGGACAGTTAACGAAAAGAGGCACCTAGAAACCTCAGGGTTGTTGGGGGAGGTATGGGTGTGTACGCACAGCTCTCTGGTGTGTTGTGTGTCCATTGCTAAGAGTCGAGCATGTGCCTGTGTGTTTTGTGTGTTACTTCTGGGAGTTGTCTACCAGCCTCGGCAAAGCGGATCTGGGTTGCATATGTAACTGAGTGCATTATGCACTTCTGTGTGCTGTGCGCACACCTGGGTGGTACTGTATGCATCCGCCTCGGCATCGTTTCCCTGGCCCGCTGCCCAGAGATGCCCCAAACCCCCGTCCCAACATCGTGCCTCTCAGCCCACCTCATAATGACGCCAGTCATTTGGGAAATGAGGAAGGGGGGGTGTGCAGAGGGAGGCCTTAAGGTCAATCGGTCACCCTGAGTCTGCGGGCTTCCTGTGCCTGTCGGGAACTGGGAACCACCACCGCCCCAGCAGCCCCTCCGGGAATGCCATCTCTCTACCTTGTCAGCGAGAGGGAGGGCCACCAGAGGGGCACTGTGCAGCTGTGCTGTGGGGGTGGGGGTGGAGGGAGCGGGGAGCCTAGGGCCGTCCAACCTGGTTTCCTCTACCCCATCCAGGAGCGGGGGAGACTTGAGGTATCCCTCTCGCCTGAATGTGTGACTGTATGTGTGTTGGGGTGGGAGTGCCCAGGAATGTTTTCTGCAAACTGAGTTGTGGGTGTCTCTGGTTGTGTGTAGCCTCTCTGTATTGTATATGTGGCAAGGCATGTTGTGTGTGTGTCTAGATATACTTTTTGTATGCCCAGGAATGTGGCGTGGGTCTCTTACGGGTCCCAGTGGTGATGTGAATACCTAGAAGTGCATACACCTCTGTGTGTTGTGTAGGGCCTTATTTGCTGTGCATTTGCCTAGGGGTGTTTTATGTGTGCCTGTGTGTTGAGTATGTGCCCGGTTCTGTGGAGTGTGCCTGTGGAGTTGTGTGTCTCTTGATTGGACGGGTAATCTTTTGTGTTGTGTGTGTTCCCCTGATGGTGATGTGGGTTTGGGTGAGGGGAGGGAACCTGGGTGTGTGCCCAAGTATTGATTGTGTGCCTAAGGGTGTCCAGTGTGTGCTGCCCTGGAGTGCTGGCTGCTGACCCACGCTATGGGCACCTGGCTGGCTGAATGACTGTGTGGGTGTCTGTGCTGCTCCAGAGCTCATGTGCTTTGAGCCTGTGTTGGCTGTCAGTCTCAATGTCACTGGCATCTCTGGGTTTGGCGATGTACATCTGAGTTCCAAGGGCTCATGCCTCTCAATAGTTTATGTGTGCAGGTGAGGCTTACATACAAGGTTTGGCTGAGGGGTTCAGTCACTACATGCTCACCACCACTCCCCACCCCCCCCACCCCCACACACACGCACTGGCACACACTTGCCTCACTATCATCCATCCACTGTAAAAACAAACTTTCTTTTTACTGGAACAGTCCCCCACGCTCATACCATGCCTCTGCCCGGGAAAGCAGGGGCGGGACGTCTGGAACTTGTTGGTGGGGTGGAGTGAGGGACAGACAGACAGGGCTCTGGGTTCAATTCTGGGCCCGGAGGTGGAGACACTGTGTGACCCCCAGCTGCTGCCTGCCTGTCTCTGACCTGTGTGTCCTGGGAAGTGACTCATAATGCAGTTCCCACTGGCTGGGATCCCCTCAGTGCCGCCCCACCCCTGGAGGTCACCCTTTCTGCCCTGAGCATGTCTCCTCTGCCTTTTCCCCACCAGCTCAGCAGTACAACGTACCCCGTGGTTGTGAAGATGGGGCACGCACACTCTGGGATGGGCAAGGTGAGTCTCTGGCTGGGCTGTGCATAGGTAGATGTGTATTTGTGCAATGCACACCAGTCATTCTGTGTGATCGCGTCTCCTGGGGTGTCGTTATCTATCAGGTTGGTGCAAAAGTAATTGCGGGTTTTGCCAGTTCTTATGGTAAAAACCACAATTACTTTTGCACCAACCTAATAGATTTTTGTTTTCTCACATTCAGCTGACCTCATCGACCCCTTTTTCCTCCTGCATTCAGCCAATTTTGTGTGTCCTGTTATTTTGCTTGTCTCCAGCATCGTGTCTGTGTGTACATGCATGCCTGTGCCGAACACACATGATGTGGTGTGATCTTTTATGTTCCAAAGTCTTGGGGTCCTGTGTGCTTTACATCCATCTGATTTTGTCTCTGTGTACGTAGAAAGTAGACTTGTAATTTGTGTCCGAGTTTCTGTATCTTAGCATGTTGTGTGTACAATTGATTTTGTGTCTGGATGCCTATATTAGTATATTGTACATACACAGTTTTTTCACAGCTTTAGTGAGAGATAGTTCACACACCCTACAACTCACCCATTTAAAGTAGACAATCCAATACATTTTGGTATGCTCAGTGTTCTACACACCCAACTTTGTGCCTGTGTGCTCACATACAAAACAGGAGACCCATGATCGTGCCTGCTTGAGCGCCTTGGCATGTCCACCTAATTTTTGTGTACTCGCCTCACCTGTGTGTCATGTATACATGCTCCCCCAGGCACCCCCACTCCCCACAGCTGCCCTATCCTGACCAGGCCCTGATCCTTGCCCGCACTTCCACAGGTCAAGGTTGACAACCAGCATGACTTCCAGGACATCGCAAGTGTCGTGGCACTGACCAAGACGTATGCCACTGCCGAGCCCTTCATCGATGCCAAATATGACGTGCGTGTCCAGAAGATTGGGCAGAACTACAAGGCCTACATGTGAGTGGAGAGACCAAAGCCCTGGAAGGGGTCCCCTGCCTTGCCTCATGCAGCTGAGGCACCCCTGAGCTTCTGTCCCCTTGTCCCCCAGGAGGACGTCAGTGTCAGGGAACTGGAAGACCAATACTGGCTCTGCGATGCTGGAGCAAATTGCCATGTCTGACAGGTGGGCAGCCCGAACTCAGGGTGTGAGGGGAAGCGGGGGTGGGAGCACGACAGCTCAGGTGAGAGACTGACAGGCTTCCCCACCCTTTGTCTTGGCAGATACAAGCTGTGGGTGGACACGTGCTCAGAGATTTTTGGGGGACTGGACATCTGCGCAGTGGAAGCGCTACATGGCAAGGACGGAAGGGATCACATCATTGAGGTATGAGCACCCAGGGGTAGGTGGGGTAGAGGGAGGAACAGATGCCAGGCAGCAGCAGTGCAAACTGAAGCACTCCATGGCACAGAGGTCCTCAGCCAACAGCAATGTGCTTAGTACACTGTAAGGTGCCTGACGAACTTTCGAAGGGGCCATCCCTTGCAATGGCAGAACACTAGACTGAACTTGCACGTCCCTGGTGACTAGCAAAACCCTTATTAGATTGTTTAGTGCTCTGCGAATCGAGACATCTTGGTGAATGGCGAGGCACTTAGTAACCTTTAAAGTATTCTGCGAACTGGACCGACAGCAAAGCATTTTGGAAAGGACAAAGCACCTAGAAAACCGTGAAGCAGGGATCGGCAAACATTTTCTGTAAAGGAGCAGACGGTACATATTTTAGGCTTTGTAGGCCACGTAGCCTCTGCCGTAACTACTCAACTCTGCAAAAGCAGCCATAGACGATATGTTAAAAAAATAAGTGTGGCTGTGTTCCAATAAAACTTTGTTTATGGACATTGAAATTTAAATTTCATGCCATTTTCGCATGTTATAAAATCTTTCGATTTTTTTCAACTGTTACAAAATTTAAAGACCCATCCTTAGCTCTGGGTCATACAGAACCAGGTGGTCGGCCAGGTTGGGCCCATGGGCCCTAATTTGCTGAGCCCTGCTCTGAAGCACCTTCTAAGCTGTAAGGTACCTTGGAACAGACAAGCCTTCCTCACCGTGCACAATCAGTGCCTCAGACACTGGGGCTCAGCGGCGGCCATGCCCTTGGCCAACTGAAAGCACGGTGTTACTGCCGCCTCAGGTGCGAGGCCTGCCTCTCCCCTCACGGATCCTTTCCTTCCCCCAGGTGGTGGGTTCCTCCATGCCGCTCATTGGTGACCACCAGGATGAAGACAAACAGCTCATCGTAGAGCTCGTGGTCAACAAGATGGCTCAGGCCCTGCCCCGGCAGCGACAGCGGGATGCCTCCCCTGGCAGGGGCTCCCATGGCCAGGTCAGGCCCCTGGCGCTGAGCTAGTGGCTTGAGCTAGTGTGGGGAGGCCGGCCCTGGGTCATGCTGTGCCATGAAGCTGATAATCTGTAGGCTCACAGCATCACCTTTGCACACATGTGGCTGCGATTGCCAATTGTTTAAAACATTGATAAGCAGCTGCTGCCCTGACTTCCCTGAGCACCTCCCTGCCCCGCCCCTGGGAACAGGTCCCCCACCCCACAACCCAGAGTACCCTCAGCTCAGCCACAAGTGGGGCAACACCCAGCGCACAGGGAACCTGTGTCATCACTGGCTGATGCTCCACTGGCTGGTAACTATTTTTAACCTCTCCTGCTCCATTCCTCTGCCGCAGACTCCGTCCCCAGGGGCCCTGCCCTTGGGCCGCCAGACCTCCCAGCAGCCCGCAGGGCCCCCGGCTCAGCAGCGACCCCCACCACAGGGTAAGCGAGAGGCTGGCGGTCGCAGTCCCCTCCCTCAGCCCGCCATCTCTTACCCGCTCACTCTCACGTGTGCTCTTTCTCTCCCTCTGTCCCCCAGGCGGCCCTCCACAGCCGGGTCCAGGCCCCCAGCGCCAGGGACCCCCATTGCAGCAGCGCCCGCCCCCGCAGGGCCAGCAGCACCTTTCAGGCCTTGGACCCCCAGCTGGCAGCCCCCTGCCCCAGCGCCTTCCAAGTCCCACCTCAGCGCCCCAGCAGCCCGCGTCCCAGGCCGCGCCGCCGACCCAGGGTCAAGGCCGCCAATCCCGGCCAGTGGCGGGAGGCCCCGGGGCGCCTCCAGCAGCCCGCCCGCCCGCCTCTCCGTCTCCCCAGCGCCAGGCGGGCCCCCCACAGGCTACCCGTCAGACATCCGTCTCTGGCCCGGCTCCGCCAAAGGCCTCTGGGGCCCCACCGGGCGGGCAGCAGCGCCAGGGCCCGCCCCAGAAACCCCCAGGCCCAGCCGGCCCCACACGCCAGGCCAGCCAGGCGGGTCCCGTGCCCCGCACTGGGCCACCCACCACGCAGCAGCCTCGGCCCAGCGGCCCGGGCCCCGCTGGACGTCCCAAACCACAGCTGGCCCAGAAACCCAGCCAGGACGTGCCGCCACCCGCCACCGCCGCTGCAGGGGGACCTCCGCACCCCCAGCTCAAGTAAGGGGACCCCTACAGCAGCCTTCGCCTTGCTGCTCACAAAGCGGGCCGCTGCCCCAGTAGAGCAGCCCTAGCTCCCTTGCTCCTCAGACCCAGGTCCTATGCAGGGGTCCCACGAACTCTCTCCAGCCTGAGCCAAGCCCTTCCCCCAAGCTTTCGCTCCTCCCGGCCCACCAGAGGCTCCGCACCCCCACCCCAGGAATTTGGTGCCAGAATCCCAGAGAAACTGCACTCAGTTCGAATTCCTCCTCAAAGGCCCTGGGAAAGTTTCCTCCTCCAGGGCCTCCCAGGCACCTGGCTGACCCACCCTCTGCAACTTCCTGCCCAGCCCAGAGCCTTCCCTGCCAAACTCGCCCCCCCGCCACCAACCCATCCCTAAAACTCCTGGCCCGAGTCCTAGTCCTCCTATCATCTGGCTCTTCCCACTCCATCCTCATACTTTTCCTCCTCCTTCACATCCTTCTGGCCCATCTCAGTCTCCCCGCGAATCATCACCCATCTGCCTTTTCTGGTCCATTCCAACTCCCATCCCAGCTCAGACGTCCTCCCTGCCCCACCCAGCTGCTCTGCCTTAGGCTGACTTGCCCAACAGCCTGTCCTTGGTCCAAGCCCTTTCTATGCCCTCCTAGACACCTCACCCTTAGATTGGAAACTTCCCTGCTCATCTTCCCCTTTGTATCAAACTAGCCAAGAATTCACAGAGAAGGTTCTGCCCAGGACTCTTGCCACGAATCCCACACTTCACCCTGGATCCAAGTCCTCCCAGCCTGTCCCAGATCTCGCCTCCCTGGCCCAGGACTCCACCCACTCCACCTGAGTGCTCCCAGCCTTGAGAACCTGTTAGGGTCCAGGCCCATGGTGGCAGGTGGGGAGGTCACAGGCACAGCCCCAGGATCAGAGGGGCAGGGCTGGGGCTGGGCCTGGGGTAACGTTGTGTTTCTCTCCCCTTCCTCCCCTTCCTCTTCCCCCTTCCTCCCACGCCTCCACCTTGTCTCTCTCTAGCAAATCCCAGTCTCTGACCAATGCCTTCAACCTTCCAGAGCCAGCCCCGCCCAGGCCCAGCCTTAGCCAGGACGAGGTGAAAGCTGAGACCATCCGCAGCCTGAGGAAGTCTTTCGCCAGCCTCTTCTCCGACTGATACCCCACTCTGAGAACCCCAAAATCCCTGGGCAACCCTTCTCTGGGCCCTGAATCCATTTCTCACTTTTGGAGTCTCCAAATCCCTTGAGAACCCATCTCCCGGTTCTCCAAGATTCCACCTCTCATTCCTCAAGATCCCCGAGTACCTTGAGAAACCTGACTCCTCCTGGCCCTAAATCCGGTTCTCACATGTGGAATCCCCAAGTCCTTTTAGAACCCCACTCGTGGTCACTTCAGGATCTACTTCTGTTTTAGAACCTCCACATTCCTGAAGACCTCCGCCCCTGGTTTCCCCAGAGGGCGTTTTCCTTCCTGGAAGTGCCCAAATACCAGGCAACCCATTGCAGAATCCCTTCCTGGAGCCCTGAAGTTCCTGGAAAACCCTATTTTTGGTCCCAAATCTCTCCAGCACACCTATTTCCCATCATAATTTTCCAAATCCTCAAGAAACCCCTACTGTTGAGCCCCTTCCCATGGATCTTCCATCCCTCTGAAGATCCACATCTTCAAATGCCACCCAACACCTAGCCCCACAAGGATTTCCCTTCACCAGCTCCCCTCAACCTCATTCAATACCTTGGGAGCCCCTCCCACTTCCAGGACCCCTCGGTTCCCCCAGGGACCCCCTCCCCAGTTTCCTGCCTCTGACAGCTGTCTTTAAATATGCAAACTCCACCCATCTTCCCAGAATCCTTTGCACACGGAAGGCCAGTGGTCTCCGCTTCCCCACCTTTGCTGTGGTGTCTGTGTCTGTGACTGACGTGGCCTCCTTTTGTGCCGTGCTTGGCATATGTGGTCCTCGTTCATCGTGCCGCCTGTGGTGATGCGTGCAGTGACGCTGTTTATGTGGTCCGCACCTCCCCCTGACCTTCACTCCTTGCCTGGACTCACCCCACCCCTCAGCGGCTCTGAACCCCAAGAGAAGAGTCGGGAAACAAAATAAACAAGCAAAGGCCCAGCAGAATTCTGTGCTTCTTGGTGAAGAAAGAGAGGAGTCCTTGAATGGCGGGGGAGACACAAAAGGGACCCCCCAAAATCCACATGGGGTGCTGGGAACCCCAAAATCCAGTGGAAGGCACATCAGGCACAAATTCCAGAGAGGTTCTGAGTGGAATCCCTGCCACAAATCCCAGCCATTGGAGATGGAGGAGCTCCCAAAATTTAGAAGTATCCCCAAAGCCAAGAGGAAACCAAATGATGGAGGAGACAGGGGGCTCAGTCTTTGGCGGGGGTCCCCCAATTCCAGAAGAACTGGAAAAGCACATGGGGACCCCCTCATCTCCCAGGGTGGGGAATGGGGGATCCTGAGGCAGCATCAGGGCAGAGACGAACATTGATTGGCTGGTGGGCAAGGCTCCTTGGCGTGGAGGGCTGAGATTGGCTCCCTGGTGGCTTGGGCGGGGCCTAAGGCACAAGGCGGGCTGCGCTGAGTAGGCAGGCAGGCAACTCATCGGCCTGGGTGCGGTGCAAGGAGGGTTCCGAGGCACTCCGCTCAATCTTGGGGAGTGACCGTTGCAGCAGCTCAATTGTGGCCAGGATCTGAGGGCAGGTGGGGGTGAGGAGGGGTGTCCAGAGCCCTGTGGGCATCCCAACAGCCCCAGCCTCATGGCGAAACACACACACACACACACACACACACACACACACACCCAACAGTCCCAGCCTCATGGCGAAACACACATACACACACACCCCCAACAGTCCCAGCCTCATGGTGAAACACACACACACACACACACACACACACACACTATACCTCTGAGCTTTCATATTCACATCTGCCTCCATCTCAGTCTTCCTCTATCCCAGAGTCACCCACCCAAGGTGTCCAGCCCCCTACCCAGCCCACCTGGGGGAAGAGGGGCCGCTCCTCCCGCTGGAACTTGAGGCAGTCAGACAGCAGGCGCCGCATGGCCTTGGGGCAGTTGCTGGAGATTTTGCTGAGGTCCGGGGACAGATAGCCACGGCCCACCATAAAGATAATCTGGGGGCAGACGGGGGCAGGAAAGGGGTGATCTGGGGTCAGGGGCTGGGAGGCCCAAGGAATTTTGTATTGAGGGACTTGGAAGGTTCATTTTTAGCGAGCTGGGGTACTGTCAGTATCAAGGCCCAGAGGATTCTCTGTCCTTGAGGACTTGGGAGGATTCTCTGCTTTCAGAACAGAGGGATTTAAATTTGGGGTTGTCAAGGATTGTAGGTATCTGGGGCTCAGAGGATTATAGGCCCACGGGTTTCTAGGAGGCTTAGGGACCTGGAAAGTACTGAGTCTCGGGAAAACATGGAGTTCTGGGTCTGGGGGAGCTTGTACTTCTGTGGGGGTCTGGGGCCTAGAGGGTTCTAGGTATCCCGGCCCTGGGGCCTGCTAGATACCCAAGGCCTAGGTGACTGTGGGTGTCCATGACTATTCCAGAAGCACAAAGGGGTTCTGTTTCTGGGGAAAAATGGGATGCTGGGAGAAATGAGATCTGGGCTTTGAGGATCTGGGGGATTTTGAGTACCCAGAGCAGACGACTATAGGCGTCTAGGGATACAGAGGGCTTTGGGGTATTTGGGGGCCTCAGGGGATTCTAGGTATAGAGATTCGGGGCATTTTGGACTTCAAAGATTTTTGTCCCAGAGGGCTGTGGATGTGAGAAGAGGGAAGTTGGGGTAGGGGAGACCCAGAGAATTTATTGTAAGTGTCTGGAGCCCAAGGGATTCTGGGAGTCCTTATCCTAGAAAATTTTAGGTTTCTGGGGAAAGTGTGGCATTTATCAGTGCAAAGGAGGGGATGTGGGGTATGGATGCCTGAGGGGATCCCTCAGCCCAGGGAACTGTGGGTAAGGTGTGGGGCTCACCTGGTCACGGCAGCCAATGTGGCTGTAAGGCAGTGAGCCAGTCATAAGCTCGTAGAGCACAACCCCGTAGGCATAGACGTCTGACTGGAAGCTGTAGGGGTTCGGGTCCTGCATACGGATCACCTCAGCTGCCTACAACAGGCCAGACCAGGCAGGGGGACCACGGAGGTCAGCAAATGGCTGGTCCACAGTCCCAGATCCCACTGGCCACACAGGGTACAACTCAGAGCCACCCACACGAGGTGGGACATGAGGAGTCCAGACACCCACATCTGGCACAGGCATCCCCGTCCCCACTTGGCCCCACACACCCCAATCCCGGAGCCCACGTCCCCATGTGCCCCCCATCCAGCCTGGCCCAACTCACCATCCACAGCACAGATCCTGAGGGCTGCTCCAAGGGCTGGGCCCCGCTCCATCGAGTCTTCACTGTGGCCAAGCCAAAGTCACCGATCTTCACCGTGAGCCCCTCATGTAGGAAGATGTCCGCCAGGGTCAAGGACCACTACAGGGACTCCTAATAGCCATGCCTCTCACCCTGCCTGGGAGGTTCCCATTGGTGCCCCTATACCACTCATCCCTCTGATCCTGACCAGGAGCCCCTTAATATCACGCAAACTATCCACAACCTTGACGTGGGCAGGGAACGCCTGCTAATGCCCCCCACACTCAGCCCCGCTGTGACTCCTGAACAGGAAGCCCCTCGGAGGGCATCCGAACCCACTATGCCTCTGATGTTGACCATAATGCCCTCCACAACTGTCAGACATCAGACTCTAACCAGAGTCCCCAAGAATAGTACCTGAACCAGCCACACCTCTGACTTCTAAGAGACTGCCATTAAAGCCCCCTGGCTGGCCACAGCTCTGCCACCTGGCAAGGAGCTCTGGGACACATGCCCCTCCCTTGTAATTCCCAGAACCCCCACAAGAGGCATCCTTCTAAGCCCTTGACACCCCCACTCAACCCCAGCCCAGGGACAGATAGATACTGTTAGACTTGAGATCTCGGTGGATGATGTTCTTGGCATGGAGGTAGCTGTGGGGGTGGAGGCAGGTGGCGGATTGGCTGGGGGTTACCTCATTTCCCCCACCCTTTCCCCCCACCCCTCCCCAGGCTGGGAGGCTCACTCCATGCCCTGGGCAGTCTGCCGGGCCACGTCGATGAGCTGGACCATGTCGAAGCGTGTGTCGGCCACATGCAGGTGATGGTAGAGGCTGGAGCCCTCACACCACTGTGTGATGATGGCAAATCCCGGCCGGGTCATGAAGCCCATAAACAGCAAGATGTTGACATGTCGCGTCTTCCTGCAGGCAGGGAGGGCAGTGTCAGAGGTGGGGAGGAAAAATAGCAACTGTCACTTACCGAGCATCAGGAGTGGCACTGTTCTTTACCTTCCTCGGTCATTTATTTTCACCCTGTCTTTTGGGGCACTCAGGACCAAAGCATTGCCAGATTCCATGAATTTGTGAGATGTGTTTACTGGGCTATGATTCTGTGCTGTGGGCTCATATGTGGAGCTTCCCCATCCGAGTCTCCCAACAAAAGCAGGAGGGAGGAATTGCTGCCCCTCCCCCTCCCTGCCTACAGCAGCATTTCTAATCATTAACATCCCCCACCCCTCTGACTCTGACCATTACCTGGGTCTGTGACCATCTCACAGATGAGAAAGCAGAATGCCAACCTTCCTCACTGATGTATCAATATAATATGGATAGATGCAGGATTAAAACATTGGTGATATATGATGATTAGAGCCTGTTCAGCAGCATGAGAAGCTTAGAGGTAAAGAGCTTGGAGTCTGGACTCATGTTCAAATCTAGGCCTCACCAGGTACTCAAGGTACAACCTTGGGAAAGACATTTAACCTCTCTGGGCCTCATGTTCCTCAACTGTAAAACTGATCATTGCATTAGCTACCTTATTCTCTGTAACATAATTGTGCCCATCTGACACAGAGGAAAAGCCAATGCCAACATCCCCAGGGTTGGTAGACGCTATCCAGTACTACCTGTAGTATATAGGTATACAGTACTATGCTACATAGTAACTATAGCAGCAAAAAGGAGACACCTGGCTTTCTTAGCGTGACTAGATGAATACTGTATTGATTACATATTACAGCAATTATAATAATTAAGCAATGATTAGATTATGGTGATGATGATAATATTGTTTAAATCAAGGTATTAGAATTAATGAATAACAAGAACCAACACTATAAACAGAACATTACCATTGTAGCCCAAGCAGAGGGGAAGGAAAGATGGAAGCCTTCCTGGCAATGCAGTAACAAGAATGGTGGCCCACACACAGACCCAGTTCGCAGCAGGCAAATGAGAAGACCCACATTTTGGAGGCAGAACCATTCATTAATAACCCAAACACAAACAACTGCATGATCACAGGTCCTCTAAACATACTCATTTCCCAGAGGGGAAAGGGACACCCTTCAGAGAGAAACAACTTCTGATGATGGTTTAACAACACAAACACAGGTGATGTCCAGGAAGCACTCCAAGCATGGCCTTTTCCCAGAGAGATGCCAAGGCCGGGCCTGCCACCCCCATCCACGCACACATGCCACCTCACCTGAGCACCTGCATCTCATTCTTGAAAGCCTGGGCCTGCTCAGCTGTGGGCTGGGACACCTTGAGCACCTTCACGGCCACATCGCCATGCCACCGCCCTCGAAACACGGTGCCAAACGAGCCCGTCCCGATCCTCTTCAGCAGCTGCACCTCACTGGGTGGTACCTCCCAGTAATAGCCTGAGTCCCGGTACCCCAGGTTCTTCTGTGGGCCAGATGGGTGGCATCTAAGAGGCCTGCCCACATCCCTCATCCCACGTCACTCAGCCTTGGTGGCCCCAAAAGGATCCCCCTCGAGCATACCACTTTCTTCTTGTCATCGGCCAAGGACTTCCGCTCGCGCTGCTCTGCTGGTGACTTGGAATGTGGGGACTTCCTCCCCGAGGACACGCTGGCTGGGCTGGGGCTCCCCCGGGGGGTTCCATCACTACCTCCTCTACTACCGGCAGCTGCAGTTGCAGAGAGGATGTGAGTGGAGGTAAGTGGGGCAGCGGGGGTCAGGGTGCAGGCACAGGGGACTCACCATCAGTGCTGAAACTCTGGCCAGTGAGCTAGAAGAAGAGGGACAGGAGTCAAAAAGAGGGCATGGAGGCCAACAGGGATGGCTCTACCCTCTGCCCTGTGGTCCCCGGCATTGTCCCCCACAGCACCAACCTGGATGAGGTTGGAGTCCATGGGGGCCGTGGTGCTGACCATATGGACGTTGGGAGTGGACGTGGAGCGGATGCGCTGTAGGGGGGCATTGGCTGGGGCAGGGAAGGGGAAGTGCTCCGGGTCACAGTGCTGGGTGCGGGGGCTGCCAGGGGAAAGGCTGTGAAATCACTGCCAGGAATCAGAGAACCGAGAAAGCCCCCCACCCCACCCCCAGCCATAAACATGCATTTGGCTCACACAGAGCGAATGTCCACTGGCAGTACTATTATTCATTGCTTCAAGAAACATTTATTGAGTGCCTGCTGTGTGCCAGATACCATTCTAGGTGGTGGAGATAAAACTGTAAAACAAAATAACAGTTCTTGCCCTGGTGGGGCTGAAATAAAAAACAAATATATAATATGCCTGATGGTGATAGGTGCAATAAAGAAAAATAGTAAAGCAAAATAAGGAGACACAAAGTGTTCCTAGAAAGTGTCAGGAAAGGTTTCTCTGAGGAGGAGATGACAATGGAGTAAACGCCTAAAGGCAGGATAGCAGGCCACACAGATAGTGGGGAAAGGGTAATGTATCATATTTTATAATTATATATTATAATTACATGTACTTTTCAAATGTTATATAATATGTATCATCTATATAAAAATGGCAATGTTTTAAAATATACATATTACCATATTGTTATACATACATGTTATACATATGATATATGCTAAACATATTGTAAAGTTACAAAAATATGTTAATGTTCCCTTCACTATCCTGAAATGAAACTCAAAGGTAATTAATGCACATACACTCATAATTTAAAATAATACCCTAACTTTATTTTATGTATCATATAAACATGTATGATGTTCTACATTATATAAAATTATGTAATACAACATGATACAATAACATAAATATACCATAAAATATGCACATCATAAAATATATATTAGAGCAATAATATATTTTAATATAGCTATAGTTTTATATAATATTTAACATAAAAAAGCAATAAAAGGGAAGTAATTTATGATAAAATAATACGTATTTCAAAATGGAAAGGCTTGAGTATGATTATACTAGAATTAGCAAAGTAGTTAGATGCTTATAAATATATTTATAATTAATAACAAAAAAATTGATTATTTACACTGTACCAGATCCTGTTCTAGGCACTGAACATGTCTTAACTCATTTAAGCCTCACCAGAACCTTTATATGGTAGAAAGTATCATCATCCCCTCTTTACAGATGAGAAAACTGAGGCCCAGAGAAATGAGGTGACTTGCCCAAGGTCCCAGTTTCATGCCCTTACTCACACTTGTAGGTGCTCAATAAATGTTTGTCAAGTAAACAAATGAATAAAGTATGGCTCGTGGTCTACAAGAGCCCCAAGATCTTTTTCTCCCCCAGCAGCTCTTCAGCTAAGGCATCCCTACCTGGGACCCTGGGGGGTTAGCAACTCATTCAGGGGGCGGTTCGAGGGAGCCTCATGCTGTCTGGAGCCTCCGGACAAATCCTGGACACTGTGGTAGAACCTTGAGGGCATGAAGGGTATAAAGCAAGGGGACACGGGTCAGCTGTCTGTAAGGGCCTCGTGGCTGGGCCTCTGTGCTCCCCATCCCCCCACCCACCCCAGGCTGGGCTCACTGTTGGCGGTTGGTACTCATGTCAACACAGACTGTGGGGACCTTGGAGGAACAATGCTGGTGGAACTTGTAGCCACAGGTTTGGCAACGGAAGCCATGGAACAGAAACTTAAGGCAGAAGTCACAGAACGCCAGGCTGAAGAAGGTCTTCCGTACCTGATGCCACAGAGCAGGGAAGTTTGAGACCTGGTCAAGGACACCCCCAACCATGGTCCACCCCCACCGTCCACCCTGCACTCACAAAATTGTGCATGGTCAGCGGGACATCTTCAAGGACCTCGACAATGAGCTCCTCGCCATCCAGGGGAGCAATGGCTGTGTCCCAGGCAGTGACCGTCTTTCGTCTGCAGGGGGCATGGAAAGGAATGAGTGGGAGGTTGGGTAGGGGCCATGGGGAGGCAGGGAACCCCCACAAGTCCCTCCAAGCCTGCTACCCACAGGGTCATGTCTGGCATGTTTAATTCTCATCACAGCAACTCTAGAAATTAGTCACTATCCTTGCCCCAACTTTACAGATGGGGAAACAGGCTCAGAGGGATAAAGTGACTGGCCCTGGGCCACAAGGGTAATGAGAGGCATGACGGTGTGAAGAGTCCATGCTCTGAAACGGAAGGGGAGAAGCAAATGAAACTAAACAACTACATCTTAGAAGCGCTAAGCCAGCCCCTGAAAAGGGGGCTGAGGAGGCACTGAAACAACAAATAAAGTGCAGTGTGTGAACTGCATCATAAATTAAGGAAACCCACGAGAGAGGAATAAATAAAGTCAGCAAGACCCAACTCAGCAGACAGAGAATGGGGAAAATGAGGAAGAAGAGACCTGATGAAGTCATGACATCGTGAAAGGACAAAATAGATGAAATCTGGGCAGAAGTGATGGACCAGGGTGAGGACTTGGGGGCCAGGGGAGAATGAGTTGCTGACCTTACAGGCCAATAAACCAATGAAGTAACAAAACAAAAGATGGATGAACTCATAGATTACTTGAACTACAGTAGTCCTCCCTTATCTGTGGTTTCACTCTCCATGGTTTCAGTTACCTGTGGTCAACCGGGTGGGAAAGTATTAAATTGAAAATTGCAGAAATAAACAATTCATAAGTTTTAAATTACGTGCATTCTGAGTAGCGTGATGAAATCCTGCACCATCCCACCCAGGATGTGAATCACCTCTTTATCTAGCAGATCCACACTGTCTACGCTACCGCCCATCACTTAGTAGCCTGCTCAGTTATCAAACAACTGACTCAATATCATAGTGGCTGTCTTCAAGTGACCGCCATTTTACTTAATAATGGCCCAAAAGCACAAGAGTAGTGTTGGTGGCAATTCGGACATGCCAAAGAGAAGCTGTAATGTGCTTCCTTTAAGCAAAAAGGTAAAAGTTCTTGACTTAAAAGAAAATCATATGCTGAGGTTGCTGAGATCTACTGTAAGAAAGAATCTTCCATCTTTGGAATTGTGAAGAAGGAAAAATAAATTCATGCTAGTTTTGATGTCATACCTCAAACTGCAAAAGTGATGGCCGGAGTGCATGATACGTGCTTAGTTAAGACGGAAAAGGCATTACATTTATGGGTAGAAGACAAGAATAGAAACATGTTCCGACTGATAGCAATTGGGTTCGGTACTATCTATGGTTTCAAGCATCCACTGGGGGTCTTGGAACATGTACCCTGCAGATAAGGGGGGACTAAAGACTAAGGGAAGACTAATGGAAGACTCTGTGATAAAGTACAGAAGGAATCAAATGACTGAGGAGGGGATGGGAGGTGGGACACCCAGTGGGTGGGCGTGGGGCTGCCACACTCACCCCTTGATGAGTCGGTAGACCACACAGCAGTCCTGATTTAGACCCCGCACCTTCAGGGCCTTGTCTAGAGAGTCGTAGACACTCATGCCATCCCGGACAGTCACCTGTGTGTATGTGCAGATGTAGGGGTCCTCAATGCCCAACAGAAGCGCAGCTGATGTTCCCATCCTTCTGCAAAGGCCTCCCCCAACCGTTGTCACCCTTTTGATCCCAGAGTTACAACTGGGTCCATCCACAGCCCCTGCCATTTCGCTTCCATGACTCACCACCGTGCGTTGCTTGTTGGGCAGGTATACTTTGACGGTGCCCACTGCCCGGGATGGCTCGGCCCCATTGGCAGGGGGGCCCCGTGGTGGCTCCATGGAGCCTTAGATTTTGTCAAGATGGGCTGAGGTGGGGCTGGGCAGGTGCCATGGGGCTCCTACAAGAAGGCAGACAAGAATTCAGAGGTCCAATAATGATAGTCTAGAAGCAAAGTGGCAGGGGACAAAATAAAATTCAAAGTCCAGGCTCCTGTCGCCCCCTGCAGCCTAATTTTCACACGACAGTCCAAGAGATCCTGCTCACATCTGAAGTCCTTCCAGTTCCTTCTCTGCTCAGGCCCTCCTGTTGCTTGTCTCACTCTTGAGTGCCAAGGTCTCAGCTTCACTGCACAGGGTTGCGGGGGAGAGAACAGGGAAGGGGGACAGAGCATACTGTCTTGGAGGGTAGAGGAGCACACAAGACTCTGTGCTGGGGACCAATGGGGAAGTCAGTACACACTGCACTGAGCCGTCAGGTACATAAGAAGCACGAACAGAATGTCCTGGGTTTTTTTTTTTTTTTTTTCTGTTTTTTTTTTTTTCTGACAGAGTTTCGCTCTTGTTGCCCAGGCTGGAGTGCAATGGCATGGTCTCAGCTCACTGCAACCTCCACCTCCCAAGTTGAAGCCATTCTCCCGCCTCAGCCTCCTGAGTAGCTGGAACTACAGGCGTGTGCCACCACGCCCGGCTAATTTTTTGTATTTTTAGTAGAGACGGGGTTTCACCATGTTGGCCAGGCTGGTCTCGAACTCCTGACCTCAGATGATCCACCCGCCTCAGCCTCCCAAAGTGTCCTGGTTTTTTAACAGAGAACGGGGGAAATGCCAGTTACTGTGGTGAGGGAGGAGTCGCAGGCACGGTGATGGGAAAGAGAGGATTATCAGATACTGCCCTTAGTTTGGGGAAGATGGAGGTTGCACCAAACATGTCCTTAAAGGGCACTGTGGACATCCCTAAGCCCTGGGGTGTAATGTTGATGTTAGGACCACAGACACCGTTGTTAGGTGGCTAATGGAAGTCCCAAGCCTCTATGATGAGGAATTCATGGGGGGGGGGGGTCACTACATACTATGCGGAAGGGAGATGTAACAGGCGTCACTAGGGACTGTAATGGGGAGAAGGGTGGAAATGGAAATGACCAGACATTGAGCCGAACTGGGGAGGTAATGGTGGACCACCAGACATTGTCATAGCAAAAGGAGAAGGAAGGTATGGTGTTGCGGGGAGAAAAATGGAGGTAAAGAGGGAGCTCCAAAATTCTCCTTGACAACCTGTGAGGGGTCACAGGCATATTACTGGTCTAAACTGAATGAGGGATCATGGAAGGCGGTTACAGAGGCGAGAATCCTGACATTCTCCCGGCGGGGGCGGTCAGACACTGATCCAGAATAAGGAAACCGGGGAGTGAACCGCGTTTCCACACACTCCCCGCAGTTGGTAAGGAAAGGTCATTGGACACCTTAGCGGGGGTTAAGACGGAATCCCGGCACCACTCGGTCGGGTCCCGCCTACCAAAGGGCTTCCGGCTCTGCGCAGGCGCACCACCACTAGCAGCGGGCGAAACCATCACCCGCAGCCTTGCCCGCCTATTCCTGTTACCCACCCCACCCCCGCTGTCGACGATGGTCTCGCCCCGGGTCAAACCACTCCTCCGGTTCCGGGCAGGGAACGCCGGGGCCCAGGCGCAGCCATCCTGGAGCTGAGCTTTCGGTCCGGGCTCCCTGCCCGTGCCCGGCAGCCGCTCCAGAAACCGAGCCCTCCCGGGCCCGCCCTCACCTGTCACGCCGCTACAGCCGCCGCCGTCTCCATCTTGGGCCTCTCTTCTTGTTTCCTCACAGAGTCCGCCTCCGTCGCCTCTCGGACTCTCGTTATTGGCTCTGCGGGACTCAGCCTTCCACCCTTATTGGGTCAGGGTCACGTCTGTCAAGGCAAGACCAACGGAATGTGAGTCGTGTTCCGGATTAGGAGGGGCCGCCTGAAACGTCAAGATCTGGGGCAAGCGCTCGTCCTGACTCGCGCAGGCGCAGTTGAGGCAAGACCTGCGTGCCTAGGGCTTTAACCCCAACAGTGGCATAGACGTATAAAGCAGAACACAGGTCATTTGGGGCTGACCTTAGGGCTTTGGCATCTGGGCGGAGAAATCCTTAAGTACCCTTTTTGGGCCAGTGCCCTAAGCACCCTTTTATGATTTTCCCGTGTCTCAGTTTTTACCATCTTTGAAATGGGTTGGAATCAGAACCAATGATCGGCGATGTTCACCAGCTCTAGGAGACTGTAGTTCATAGCCTTTGAGGACAGCGGGTCTCTGGTGTGGCGGGGGCTGGGGGACTGGGCCTAGGAGGGGCGGCCTGCTGTCTGGGAGGCTTCCTTTAGGAATGGGGTTGATTAGGACTATGAAAAACTAGTCACAGGTGGCCAGGTGAAGAGGGAAGTGCGGACCTGGAAGGGAGCACGATGCCAGTCAATGTGTGGAGGTATTGTGGGGTAAACACAAATTTTTAAAGATCGAATTTTCCCTGGTGTCAAAAGAGAAAGACGTCTCTCTTAGAGCATTTCCTTTAGAAAACTTGTAACTGTAAAATTTTCTCTGTCCCTTTGAGATGTATGTAAGTCCTTTTAAAAGCTAAATCTCTTGCCAGTTTTACATCCCCGGAATGTTTTTCTTAAGAGCCTTGTAGCCATCTCTTTGAAATGTAAACATCAATGAAAATAGCACCCCTGTCTTTCCCTGTCTTCGTGGGAATTTGATCTGCGTGCCTGGCTTCAAGTTATTACCTGCTTGTCATAGAGATATGAGTTTTCGTTTTCCTTTGGATAAAGGCAATTAACTAACACAGATAGCCACCCTAATTACCAGGTGAATTTGGGATGAAGTATGTGTACCAAATGGTGCCGTCAAGTTTCTTGAGCACAAGTTATTGTTTGAGAATATGTTTGTAATGGGCTGTATCTGCCTGCTACATAAACGGATGAGATTTCTTTCTGTCTTTGAAACCTCTTTAGCAGATTGTTTGTGATGTGCATCACAGTCTGGTGTAATGCTTATTCAGTTATAAAACTTTCCATTCCTGCCGGGTGCGGTGACTGATGCCTGTAATCCCAGCACTTTGGGAGGCCAAGGCGGGCGGATCACTTGAGGCCAGGAGTTCGAGACCAGCCTGGCCAACATGGCAAAACCCCGTCTTTACTAAAAATGCAAAAAAAAAAAGTCAGCTGGGCGCGGTGGCGCGCGCCTGTAATCCCAGCTACCTAGAATGCTGAGGCAGGAGAATCACTTGAACCCAGGAGACAGAGATTGCAGTGAGCTGAGATCACGCCACTTGCCACTTGCACTCCAGCCTGGGTGACAGAGTGACCCTGTCTCAATAAAACAAAAAACAAAAAAAAACTTTTCATTCTTGTCTACTTTGTGGAGAGGATTCATTGGGTTGGCACGAGATTCTCTTTTTAATTATTTCCCCAACACCATGAATGGCCTGTTGTGTTTCAAGTGACTGCATTCTCCTGTTTGGAGATTTAGCATCCTTTGGCAATGTAATGGGAAAGATCAGAGGAAGGTCATAGGTGAGGGGGGGCCTCAACATATTTCAATCTGTATTTATCACATGGCTTTCTCTGTCTATAAGAAGGAAGACAGAAGTTCTGCCTACTGGCCTCCCATATAATTTCCATTTCCCAACTCCCCTTTTCTTTTCTTTTCTTTTCTTTCTTTTTTTTTTTTTTTTTTTTTTTTGAGACAGAGCCTTGCTCTGTCACCCAGGCTGGAGTACAGTGGCAAGATCTTGGCTCACTGCAACCTCCGCCTCCTGGGTTCAAGTGATTCTCCTGCCTCAGCCTCCTGAGTAGCTGGGACTACAGGCGCCCACGACCATGCCTGGCTAATTTTTATATTTTTAGTAGAGACGGGATTTCACTATGTTGGCCAGGCTGCTCTGAAACTCCTGACCTCAAGTGATCTGCCCACCTCGGCCTCCCAAAGTGCTGGGATTACAGGCTTGAGCCACCACACCTGGCCCCAACTCCACTTTTCTATTCGGATCTTCACCATTTAATGGCTAAAAAAATTTTTTTTTTTTTTTTAGAGACAGGATCTCACTATGTTGCCCAGGCTGGTGTCGAGCTCCTGGCCTCGTTCTCCCAACACTCTAGGATTACAGGCATGAGCCACCATGCCCAACTCCAATGGATAAAATTAAAAAGACTGACAATACTATGTATTGATGATAATGTAGAGCAATTGGAACTTTCATACATTGCTATTGGGAGTGTAAAGTGGCACAAGCACTTTAGAAACAGTTTGGCAGTTTCATATAAAATTAAACATAGACCTGCCATGCAATCAATCCAGCAATCTCACTCCTAGGTATTTACTCTAGAGAAATGAAAACACATGTCCAATGGTGTGCTGGTAAATGTTTGACAACCAACGCTCCAGGAAGAAAACAGCTCTAATTTGTACTGTCCCCATGGCTTATTTCAGGCTACCAATATGACAGTCGCTGAACCAGATTTAAAAGAGATGCACAAAATCCGCTCTGGTGAGCCAGCTACAACATGCTACTATTACAATATGTCTGCACAAAAACTTGTATGCAAATGTTCAGATTAGCTTTTTCTTAATAGCAAAAAACTGGAAACAGCCCAGGTGTCCAGAAACAGAACTGACAAAAAAATACAACAATGGGATTATGGAATACTACTCAGCAATGAAAGGGAATAAATTACTGACATATAGGAAGAGCATAGATGAATCTCGTAGACATGGGGCAAAATGAAAAAAGCCAGACACAAAAGAGAAATACTGTATTCCACCCATATGAAATCTAAACCAGGCAAAACTAATCTATAGTGAAGGAAATCACATTAGATGTTGTTTTGAGGGAGAATGACTGAGAAGTGCATTAAAGAACTTTTGCAGGTGATTGGAATGTTCTGTATGCATTTGTCAGAACTCATTGAACTCTATTTTTATTATTATCTTTTTTTATTTTTGAGACAGAGTCTGGCTCTGTCACCCAGACTGGAGTGCAGTGGCACGGTCATGGCTCACTGCGCCTTGACCTCCTGGGCTTAAGTAATTCTCCCACCTCGGCCTCCCAAGTAGCTGGGATTACAGGCATGCACCACCACACTCAGCTAATTTTTAAAATTTTCTGTGTAGATGGAGTCTCACTATGTTGCCCAGGCTGTTCTTAAACTCCTGGGCTCAAGTGATCCTCCCACCTCGGCCTCCCAAAGTGCTGGGATTACAGGCATGAGCCACCTTGCCCAGCCTCATTGAACTCTACACTGAAAATGGATATATTTTGCTTTATGTGTAATATACCAGAATAAGAACTGCATGGCAAAAAAAAAAAAAAAGAAGAAGGCCACAAACATAATTCTAAACATTTGTTTCTTAGAAATTCTTATTGGTTAGAGAAATTATTTTGAAAAAATTCTTTTTTCTGAAATTAAATCCCTAGACCCTGAATCTCCATCTCCCACTGCAGGAGCCCTGGCAAACACCTCAGTGCCAGTGGGGTCAGGAACAACTCCTGTTTGGAGCTCAGTGAGGGGCTTTGGGGAGGGGAATAGGGGAGTGCATTTTACATTTCAATTCACTTAAATATTTAATTTGTTTAAAAACTTTAATTTCTAGGCAGTATTTGAAGACAGACCTCTGGCTCCATCGTTCAACGTTTACAAAAAGATGAGAAAAATGCCAGCAAAAGCTCATTGCTTTTGCAGGATGGGGGAAGGAGGGGAAGGGTAGGGGACATAGCCCACTCAAAGGCAATGCTTTCTCCCCCAAGGACTCATAGACTCACTTCACACCCATCTCAACTGGCACTTCAGCCAAGTACCTTACAGGTACCTGACACTTTAAAGCATGAAGTCCTTTAAAGTGATTTAGGTTTGGTTTTCTTTTGTTTTGCGACAGAGTCTCGCTCTGTCACCCAGGCTGGAGTGCAGTGGTGCAATCACAGCTCACTGCGGCCTCGACCTCCTGGGCTCAAGCCATCTTCCCAGAAAGCTGGGACCACAGACGCATGTCACAGCGCCTGGCCTTTTTGACTTTTTGTCATTATCATCACCACCATATTTAAACCATTAGAAGTACCATGTATTAAGACAAAAATTAAAACCCAAACTAGTTGATTATAGTTTTCTGACATCCCCCTTGTAATTATCCATCTGGAAAAAAATGTAAAGTTATCAAAGTACTTGTTGGTTTTTATTGTTGTTCATTTTAAAGTCTCAGAAATATGTCTGAAAATTTTTTAAAATCTGAAGTGTTCACCGACTGCCGTTGTAATGCTACTTTTATAGCTGAGGACATTAAGGTTCAGGCTGCCCTAACCAGAGGGGAAAAGGAGAGAGTGCTCCAGGACTTCGTTTGATAAAAAGTGTTTAACAAGGGTGCGGGCCATGGGCACCTCCTTAAGGAATCCCAGATCCACCCAGCAGTCCTGCGTGCCTGGGGACCTCCTCTAAAACGTGCGACTCTCATTTTCCAAAGCCGCCGACCTCACCGGCCCCTGCTGCGGCCTGGAGAGCGCCATCTCTGGGACCCCCTCCCACCGCCGTCCTCTCAGCTGTTCATTTCGGGGGAGTTGACCGTGCATGCACATTTCTCTGAGACCGGGAACACAGGTTTGACTCAGGCCCCTCAACCACCAGCTCCTCTCTGCCAACCCAGGGAGCCTCTCTCCGCAACAGGCCCCCCCCAACAGGCAGCGAGATCTGCCAATAGCAGTGCAGTAGAAGGCGGGCCTTGGGATACCCTGGGCATTGATAGGCTCTACTTCACCACGGAGCCACTGACAGACCAATAGCTATGCACAGGAGGTGGCCAATGGGAGGTGTGTGGGCCTGAGACCGGCTACAAACAAGGAACTTAATGTTGCTTTTAAATCAGTGATGAGGCAACAGTAATTGTTCCATCGAAATCCTTAATAAAAGTAGAGTGTGGAAGTTTCCACTTCTGTACATTCCTAGAAGGGATTTTTAATATACAACCCTGGGGGGAGAGGTGTAGGAAATTTACAAGTAAGTGAATTTAACCATGACTTTTTAACTGTTCTTATTAAAAAGTCTTTCTTAGCAAAATTCATTGAGTAGTAATTTCAATTTGCTATCCCTATGAAAAACACACCATTTAACAGACAGAGTTTTGGGGGTTTTTTTGTGTTTTTTTTTTTTTTGTTTTGTTTGTTTGTTTGTTTTTGGAAACAGAGTCTCGCTCTGTCGCCCAGGCTGGAGTACAGTGGCGAGATCTCGGCTCAGTGCAAGCTCTGCCTCCCGGGTTCACAGCATTCTCCTGCCTCAGCCTCCCGAGTAGCTGGGACTACAGCGTGCGCCACCACGCCCGGTTAATATTTTGTATTTTAGTGAGACGGGGTTTCACCATGTTGCCCAGGCTAGTCTCGAACTCCTGAGCTCAGGCAATATGCCTACCTTGGCCTCACAAAGTGCTAGGATTACAGGCGTGAGCCAGCACGCCCGGCCTGTTTAATTATTTTTTTTAAGTTCATTATATGTTATATAGGGTACCTCCATATTTTCATAAAATTAAACAAAAGTGCAGGCTGACTTTGGGAGGCCGAGGCGGGTGGATCACGAGGTCAGGAGATCGAGACCATCCTGGCTAACACAGGTGAAACCCCTTCTCTATTAAAAATACAAAAAAATTAGCCGGGCATGGTGGTGGACACCTGTAGTCCCAGCTACTCAGGAGGCTGAGGCAGGAGAATGGTGTGAACCCGGGAGGCAGAGTTTGCAGTGAGCCAAGATCACGCCACTGCACTCCAGCCTGGGCGACACAGCGAGACTCCTTTAAAAAAAAAAAAAAAGTGCAGGCTGATATATTTTCCACTTCCAAACCCAAGGATCAGATGAGTGGAAAAACATGATTAAACCAAATAACAGTCGTATAATTTTATTATTAAAGATTTACTCTGATGAGGACATTCTGTGCTAAGTATGATTATTTCTCAAATAGGAAAATATTTACTAGTTAAGCAAAGGGATCAATATGAACCCATAAACAAACACTGAGCAGTGGGGGCAACCTTTAAGATGCCATGGACAGTGACAGACACCTCTCTCCCTCCCTGGTAGCTCCCTTGGTAGGGATTGCAATTCAGTATGGTCAGCAATTATTTTTAAAGTGTAATTAATTAAACAAAGAAACAAAAAGCATTTCCACCAAACAAGGAATTCTGAAATGTCTTCTTTTGGTTTCAATCAGAAATACACTTTGTAAAAATTTTCTCAAGGTTTACACATTTATTCCAAGCACATATACACTGACCCACAGTAGATTTCACCACCCATCATAGGAGAAAAAAAAGTGTAATATCTGTTGGTTTACATCATCTATATTTAATAAATTTTGATTCAATTTATAAAATTATTGTAAATGAAATTTCAAATATACTCCAAATAATTTTCATTTTTTCTGGATAAGTGAACCACATGTTGTCTTTGCTATATCATTATTGATATAATATAACATGTAGTCCTCTCTGTATATAGTATAAAATAGCTTGCAATAGTTTTTGTCACCCATGTAAATGTTGCCTACCATGATGTGGTATGAGAAAATCAATTCTGAAGTTACCCAGAATGCCTTAATACTTGACCACTTATCTAGTTAGTGTGTGTGAATATCCTCAGGTCCTGCTATGTATTAATAACTGTGCGATCTTGGACAAGCTGTTTCTTCTCTTGGTGTCTGTTTCATCTTTAATTTTTTTTTAACTTTAAGTCAACTGATTATAGGCTTTAACATCTTTAATATTTTCTAAAAGTATTTTCACCATAGGGTTCTTGTAAGATTCTGTGAACTAATCTGCATCAAACTTTACAGAATGCCTGATGCATAGTGACTGTGTAGTACTTATTAACTGTTCCTGTTATCACTGTCATCACCACTGAAATTATTAAAGTATCAAAGCAAATATCTATGTCCCTTGGCAGTACTTATTGAATGATCCAAGTTCAAGGACACTGATAAGATTACACAAGAATAAACACCCCAATAATCCAAAATGAAGTCTAGTTTCATTTCAGAAGGTTCAGTCACAGCATCGACAGATGTTTTAGCAATCCTGGTGGCCTGCAGGTACCCAGGTCAGCCAGTGCTGGCCAGTAGTGTTTGTTATGGACTAAATTGTGTTTCCCCAAAAATTACATGTTGAAGCCTTAACCCCCAGTGTGACTGTATTTTGAGATAGGGCCTTTAAAAGAGGAAATTAAGGTTAAATGAGTTCATAATGGTGGGGTCCTAATCCAATAGAATTGGTGTTCTTGTAAGAAGAGGAAGGCTGGGCGTAGTGGCTCACACCTGTAATCCCAGCACTTTGGGAGGCCGAGGCAGGAGAATCCCTTGAACCCAGGAGGCAGAGGTTGCAGTGAGTCAAGATCGCGCTATTGCACTCTAGCCTGGGCGACAAGAGCAAAATTCAAAAACAAACAAAAAAAAAAAAAAATGAAGAGGAAGAGGTGGGGTGGAGTGACTCACACCTGTAATCCCAGCACCTTGGGCAGCGAGGTGGAAGAATCACTTGAGACCAGGAGTTGAAGACCAACCTGGGCAACATAGTGAGGTCCCATCTCTACAAAAAAAAAAAATTAATTAGCTGGGCATTGGGGTGTGCACCTCTAGTCCCTGCTTCCCAGGAGGCTGAGGTGGGAGGATCACTTGAGCCCAGGACTTTTAGGTTACAGTGAGATATGATTGCACTTCAGCCTGGGTGACAGAGTAAGAACTTGACCCCCCACCCCAAAAAAAAAAAAAAAAGATGAGAAAGAGACAGCAGGGGCACGAGTGCACAAAAAAAGGCCATGTGAGGACACAGCAAGAAGGTGGCCATCTGTAAGCCAAGGAGCAAGGGCTCAGGAGGAACAAAAGCTGCTGACACCTTGATCTTGAACTTCCAGCTTTAGAATGAGAAGAAAATAAATTTCTGTTGTTTAAGCCATTCAGTCTGTGGTATTTAGTTATGGTAGCCCTAGCAAACTAATACAATGTTGTTCACATCAAGTAAATCCTTGTTGATATTTTTTAGCTTACTTGCTCTATCAGCTTTTGAAAGAGGGGAATTGAAATCTATTTCTCCCTGCAATTCTGTTGGCTTTGCTTCATGTAATTTGAAGCTCTGTTTTAGGTGCATAAGTGTCTTTTGTTTTTTTTATTTTTATTTTTTATTTTTTTGAGACTGAGTCTCACTCTGTTACCCAGGCTGGAGTGCAGTGGCGTGATATCGGCTCACTGCAACCTCTGCCTCCCGGATTCAAGCGATTCTCCTGCCTCAGCCTCCCGAGTAGCTAGGACTACAGGTATGCGCCACCACACCTGGCTAATTTTTGTATTTTTAGTACAGACGGGGTTTCACCATGTTGGCCAGGCTGGTCTCGAACTCCTGACCTCAGGTGATCCACCTATCTTGGCCTCCCAAAGTGCTGAGATTACAGGCGTGAGCCACCACACCTGGCCAGGTACATAAGTGTTTAGCATTGTTATGTTCTCTTGATTAATTGACTGCTTTATCATTATGGAATGGCCTTCTTTTCCATTATATATTTTTTGCTCTGGAATCTAAATTGTGTGATATTTGTATAGCTACCCCAGCTTTCTTTTCACCGGTGTTAATACAGTGTATTTTTCCCCGTGGCACACACCTGTAGTCCCAGCTACTCAGGAGGCTGAGGTGGGAGGATCAATTGAGCCCAGGAGGTCAAGGCTGCAATGGGTGTGATCACACCACTGTACTCCAGCCTGGGCAACAGACCCTGTCCCCACCCCCACCTTCCCATCGAGAAAAGAAGAGAAAAGAACACAGAGAGATTAGTGTATCCTTTTGCCAAATTCCCCCCATAATAACATATTGCAAAACTATAGTACAATATTATGACAAAGAAATGTATTCGATTCAAGGAGTCTACCAGATTTCACCTCAATTCCTCCTCTCTGTGCTATGGCCTGGAAACTCTATCCCTTATCACGGCAGTGAGCTGCGACAGTCATAGGGCTCACCTTGTTTATTTCCCATTTCTCAGGGGCCACTGTCCTACATTGCCTGATATCCAGTGTCTTTAAAACCTTTGTTTCACTTACATAGTCTGGGATTTTTTGGCTGTTTCAGATGGGAAGTTACATTTGGTCCCTGTTAATTGATTTTGGCTAGAAGCAGAAGTGCCTGTTCCTTTTCTTAATGACTCCGCACAATCTGCAAAACCAATACCTTGGGTGCTTTTCTCAAAGTAATGATATAACTCTGGCCAAAGTTTCTTTCTTTCTTTCTTTTTTGAGATAGGGACTCACTCTGGTCACCAAGACTGGAGTGCAGTGGCACAATCATGGCTCGCTGCAGCCTCAAACTTCTAGGCTCAAGTGATCCTCCCACCTCAGCCTCCTGAGTAGCTAGGATTACAAGGCACGTGCCACCCCCCACCACGATTACTTTTTTTTTTTTTCATAGAGACAGGGTCTCCCTATGTTGCCCAGGCTGATCTCAAACTCCTGGGCTCAAGCTATCCTCCTACCTCAGCCTCCCAAAAATGTTGGGATTATAGGCGTGAGCCATTGCATCTGGCCCCAAAGTCTCTCTCTTTTTTTTTTTTTTTTTTTTTTTTGAGGTGGAGTCTCGCTCTGTCGCCCAGGCTGGAGTGCAGTGGCATGATCTTGGCTCACTGCAACCTGTGTCTCCTGAGCAGCTGGGACTACAGGTGCGTGCCACCAGGCCCGGCTAATTTTTGTATTTTTAGTAGAGACAGGGTTTCACCATGTTGGCCAGGCTGGTCTGAAACTCCTGACCTCAAATAATCCGCCCTCCTCAGCCTCCCAAAGTGCTGGGATTACAAGCATGAGCCACCGTGCCCGGCCCCAAAGTCTGTTTAAAAGCTGCTGTTTACCCCAAAACTTTTGGCTTCTTTCACACTGGCAGGAGAAGTTTCTCTACACAGAGTATCTTTTCTCTTGAGAAGGACTGTCTGTCAACCCTGGGTTTAATTAATTCTAGACTAGCAGTTAAATGCTTGGTGTAGAAATAGTCTACAAGAAGCCTCTCTGAACCTATTCTGGTTCAAAAAGAAACAGTCTAGATACACAATATACTTCAGCACAATATTTCTGTCAGTCACCTCTTTTTTTTTATTTATTTTTTTCTTTTTTTGAGACGGAGTCTCGCTCTATCCCCCAGGCTGGAGTGCAGTGGCACAATCTCGGCTCACTGCAACCTCCACCTCCCGGGTTCAAGCGATTCTCCTGTCTCAGCTTCCTGATTAGCTGGGTTTACAGGTGAGCGCCACCACGCCTGGCTAATTTTGGTATTTTTAGTAGAGACGGGGTTTCACCATGTTGGTCAGGCTGGTCTCAAACTCCTGACCTCGTGATCCGCCTGCCTCAGCCTCCCGAAGTGCTGGGATTACAAGCATGAGCCACCGCACCTGGCACCAGTCACCTCTTTTATATGAAACATAAATATCTTTAGGCATAGAGAGAATATTCTCTGAGCCCTCTGGAATAAAAAGTACTATGCTATAGAATTTCATCCTCAGCTTTAATATCTAATGAAATGTTACCAATATATTTATGGGGAACAGGTGTGTCTAGTACATTTAGCTTGTTATTTATGGTAGAGAATGAAGGCACCTTAACCATGTTATGGACTCAATGTTTGAGTCCCAAAACTCATATGTGGGAAACTCTAACCCCTAGTGTGGCTATATTTGGAGATAGGGCCTCTAAAGAAGCAATTAAGGTTTAATGAGGTCATAAGAGTGGGATGCCGATCTGAGGGACTGGTGTCCTCATAAAAAAAGACACCAAGACCTCGTCCCCTCTCATGCCCAAAAAAGAGGTCACCTGAGCACACAGCGAGAGAGCGGCCACCTACAAACCCAGACAAGTAGCCTCAGAATAAATCTACCTTGCCTGTACCTGCCTCCAGAACTATGAGAAAATAAATGTCTATTGTTTAAGCCCCCAAGTCTCTGTGTATTTTGTCATGGCAGCCCAAGCAAGTAATACACCATATTTCTTGTTCAAGGATGGGATCTTGTTTAAGGTGGCTCACACCTGTAAACCCAGCACTGTGGGAGGCCAAGGCAGGAGGACTGCTTGAGCCCAGGAGTTCAAGACCAGTCTGGGCAACAAAGTGAAACCCCATCTCTACAAGAAATCAAAAAATTAGCTGGGCATGGTGGCACACACCTGTAGTCCTAGCTACTTGGGAGGCTGAGGCCTGAGGATTGCTTCAGCATGGGAGATTGAGGCTGCAGTGGGCTATGATCAGGCCACTGCACCCCAGCCTGGTGAAAGAGCAAGACCCTGTCTCAAAAACAAAACAAAACAAAACAAAAAACTGATCTGGGAACGTTTCTTTCCTCTAGATTACACAACATTTTTTGTCTCAGATTCAAGTTCTCAATAACTCCATGATCAAAGATGATGTTATCCAGGGGCATGGAAGGAAAATATTCAAATGTCTTTTATGTTTCCTTGGGAAATCACTAAAAAACAATAAGTTACTGATATCCGCAAATGCACTCACCTGACAACCTTTGACATTTTATAGGCGATGCCTAATTTTCAAGTCTAAATTTTTTTTTTTTTTGAGATGGAGTTTCGCTCTTATCACCCAGGCTAGAGTGCAGTGGTGCGATCTCGGCTCACTGCAACCTCTGCCTCCCAGGTTCAAGTGATTCTCCTGCCTCAGCCTCCCAAGTAGCTGAGATTACAGGCACCCACCACCACACCCGGCTAATTTTTGTATTTTTGTAGAGACAGGGTTTTACCATGTTGGCCAGGCTGGTCTCGAACTCCTGACCTCAGGTGATCCACCCACCTCGGCCTCCCAAAGTGCTGGGATTACAGGCATGAGCCACTGCCCCTGGCCTAAGTCTAAACATTACTCTATCTCATGAGCACTCTTTTTCAATACAGAAGGAAAAAGAGATGTCTTGTGGCACAAATGTAGAGTGGGGTGTCTGAAGTTGGGATCAGTCCAGGCAAAAGCTGACAAAGTCAAGGTTCAGCAGATATGGAAAATAAGAACCTCTTTTCTCCCTCCCTGGTCCCAAGGATGAGAAAGCTGAACTCGGTAGGGACAGAATGAGGGGTCCTAGATCTGTCTTTCACAGCAGGCCTACCCTAGCTCCTCTAAATCTGTGTTTACTCTTTTATCCCAATCTTGTTCCTGAAACAATGTCATCTGTATTATAATATTAGAATGATTTTGATTGATGCTAAAAACATGGTACTGAATCTATTGAGAATGCCACAGAAGAGTGAGTTTCACTTAAACTTCCTGTTTAAAAAGTGGAGCTCTTGTGAGAAATGACATCTTTTTTTTTTTTTTTTTTTTTGAGACGAAGTCTGGCTCTGTTGCCCAGGCTAGAGTACAGTGGCACAATCTCGGCTCACTGCAACCTCTACCTCCTGGGTTCAAGCAATTCTTCTGCCTCTGCCTCCCAAGTAGCTGGGACTACAGGTGCCTACCACCACTCCCAGCTAATTTTTGTATTTTCAGTAGAGATGGGGTTTCACCATATTGGCCAGGCTGGTCTCGAACTCCTGACGTCAGGTGATCCACCTGCCTTGGCCTCCCAAAGTGCTGGGATTACAGGCGTGAGCCACCGTGCCTGGCCCATGCCTGGCTCTTAATACGAAGTTCTAATTCAGATACAATTCTCAATTTCTAGAGCAATATATATATATTTTTACAACTAGAGGGCAGGTTTTCATGTTTTATCCAACAGTCTGAGTGACTTTGTATTTGTGCAAACTAATAGAAAACCAAGCTGAGTTAAATAACTTTTTCCATTTGTATCTTCATTCAAAATGCACACATTTCACAGTAGGCTGAAAGTTTGCAACTTGAGGTGTAATCTAGATATATAATATTAACTTTATATTATATACATAAGTTTGTTGAAACCATGTACTTTTTGAGACAGGGTCTTGCTCTGTCACCCAGGCTGGAGTGTAGTGGCATGATCACGGCTCACTGAAGCCTCAGACTGCTGGGCTCAAGGGATCCTCCCAACTCAGCCTCTGGAGTCTCAGTAGCTGGGACTACAGGCGTGCACAACCAGGCCCAGTTAATTTTTTAATTTTCTGTACAGATGAGGTCTCACTGTGTTGCTCAGGCTGGTCTCAAATTCCTGGGCTCAAGTGATCCTCCCACCTCAGCTTCCCCAAGCGCTGGGATTTCAGGCATGAGCCACCACGCCCAGCTCTGAAACCATGTACCTTGAAGCCAAAGACTCATCCATCTAATCAGGTAGTCACAATGTTTATCATTTCCTTTAAAACCTTACAGCATAGGCAGCAAGATAAAAAGGAGATATTGCAGGTTGGTTTTTCTTTTTTTTTTTTTTGAGATGGAGTCTCGCTCTGTCACCCAGGCTGGAGTGCAGTGGCATGATCTCAGCTCACTGAAACCTCTGCTTCCTGGGTTCAAGTGATTCTCCTGCCTCAGCCTCCTGAGTAGCTGAGATTACAGGCACTCAACACCACACGCAGCTAATTTTTGTATTTTTAGTAGAGACGGGGTTTCACCCTGTTGGCCAGGCTGGTCTCGAACTCCTGACCTCAAGTGATCCGCCCGCCTCGGCCTTCCAAAGTGCTGGGAGGTTGGTTTTTCTAACCAGCCGGCTCTGAGATGGAGTTGAGCGCACAGACTGTTTACTTGCTATCAATGCATGTGAAGGAAAGCGGAAGAGGTAGGATTGGACAGAGGGACCATACAGCTATGATACAGTCCCTAGCACAGCCTTGGATGATCCTGCAGGAAAGTTCTGGAGCTACGTTGGTCCATCAGAGATTTCTCGAGCTGGCTGAAGATGACCAGGCCTTCGTATCCCCTCATTGATCAATTGTGGATGTGGACTGCCCTGGGAAGGGTATGCCCTTGCACAAGGAGGCTTTCCGCAGCTGAGGCCACTCCTGAAGGGGCTGGCAATTGAGAGCTATCTGCTCACAGCACTGCCAGTGCTGGAAAAACAAGCCCCTGCTTGAAGTGGGATCCAGGAGGCACATCAGAGTGTCTGCCTCAGGTAGGTTGGTCTTAATTGACACCTGAGGACAACAAGTCATTCTAATTGGGAGTTCCTAACCATGCACAGTGAGCTGACATTTGATTAGAAAGGTCTCACTGTGGGCTGGGCGCAGTGGCTCATGCCTGTAATCCCAGCACTTTGGGAGGCCCAGGCGGGTGGATCACTTGAAGCCAGGAGTTCGAGACCAGCCTGGCCAACGTGGTGAAACCGTCTCTAATAAAAATACAAAAATTAGCCGGGTGTGGTGGCCCATGCTTGTAATCCCAGCTACTCAGGAGGCTGAGGCATGAGAATCACTTGAACCCGGGAGGCAGAGGTTGCAGTGAGCCGAGATCATGCCACTGCACTCCAGCCTGGGTGACAGAGTGAGACTCAGTCTCAAAAAAAAAAAAAAAAAGAAAGGTGTCACTGTGGAAGGCTACTAATAGTTGTTTATCTACCATGCAACACTGGAGGCTTTGATAATTTGTAAAATGAGCATTTTAAATGTCTTTTCATTTGCAACATTAGTGTTTGTTATTAGCTTGTGGATGTTAGAAATGGGCTCCCACGGGTCAAATCACTGGGGTTTAAGATCTGTGCACCAACTAAAATATTTAGAGAAATCCTGCACTGGCATGACCCACATAGTAAAGAGATGCCTCCTTAGGCTCTGTGGACATGTGTTTGCATCTCTGGCTGATAGAGAGTGTGTATCCTTAAAGTTAATAGATATCGCCAAGCTATTTCCAATGACAATACACCTATTGACAGTTCCATCAGACTTTTACATGTTTGACAATCTTTTTTTTTTTTGAGATGGAGTCTGGCTCTGTCACCAAGCTAGAGTGCAGTGGTGCGATCTTGGCTCACTGCAACCTCTGACTCCCTGGTTCAAGCTATTCTCCCGCCTCAGCCTCCCGAGTAGCTGGGATTACAGGCGCCTACCACCACGCCCAGCTAATTTTTGTATTTTTAGTAGAGACGGGGTTTTACCATGTTGGCCAGGATGGTCTCAATCTCCTGACATCGTGATCCGCCAGCCTCGGCCTCCCAAAGTGCTAGGATTATGGGCGTGAGCCACCGCGCCTGGCCATGTTTGACAATCTTATTGTGGTTTTAATGTGCAATTTCCTTGTTTCTAGTGAGACAGAGCCCTTTTTCACATGTTTAGATGTCATCTGAACTTCCTTCACTGTGAGTTGCTGATAGTTATTCTTTTCCATTGTGTTTCTTCTTTTTATATTGATTTACAAAACTCCATTATTTACTAAAGGCTTTACAGTTAGTTCTGCCTTTCTTTCTTTCTCTTTTTTTTTTTTTTTTCTGAGACACTGTCTCACTCTGTCATCCAGGTTGGAGTGCAGTGGCGCAGCCATGGTTCACTGCAACCTCTGCCTTACAGGTTCAAGTGATTCTGGTGCCTCAGCCTCCCGAGTAGCTGGGACTACAGGTGCATGCCACTAGGCCCAACTGATTTTTAAATTTTCAGTTGAGATGAGGTCTCACTATGTTGCCCAGGCTGGTCTTGAACTCCTGAGCTCAAGTGATCCCCCCATCTCAGCCTCCCTAAGTGCTGGGATTACAGGCATGAGCCACCATACTGGGCCTAGTTCTGCCTTTCATGTTCAGATCTATAATATCCTGTGAGTTGATGTTTGGTGGATAGTGTGCAATAGGGAACCAATTTTATTTATTTATTTTTCCCTATAGATATGCAATTGGGCTCAGATTTTTTTTTTTTTTTTAGACAGGGTCTCACTCTGTCACCCAGGCTGGAGTGCAGTAGTGCAGTCATAGCTCACTATAACCTTGAACAACTGGGCTCAAGTGACCCTCCCACCTCAGCATCCTGAGTAGCTGGGACTACAGGTACACGCCACCACATCCAGGTAATTTTCTTATTGTTTGTAGAGACAGGGTTTCACCATGTTGCCAAGGCTGGTCTTGAGCTCCTGGCCTCAAACAATCCTCCCGCCCCAGCCTCCCAAAGCACTGGGATTCCAGGCATAAGCCACCTCACCCAGCTCAGAACCACTGTTTTGAAAGGTCTGCCCTTCCCCATTGATCTGTAATAACACCTTGATCATAGACCAAGGGTCCATGCTGGGCATGCTGCTGTGCTTTCCATCCACCTTCATTTATCTGCTTGTCTATCCCTGCAGCAGTACCATGCTGTGCTAAGTTATATGTGCTCTGACATCTGGTGGAACAAGTTCTTCCAAATTTGCTTTTCTTTAAGAAGAACATCTATACAGTGTTCTTTTTTTTGAGACAGAGTCTCGCTCTGTCGCCCAGGCTGGAGTGCAGTAGCGTGATCTTGGCTCACCACAACCTCCGCCTCCTGGGTTCAAGCGATTCTCCTGCCTCAGCCTCCCCAGTAGCTGGGACTACAGGCGCCCACCACCATGCCCGGCTAATTTTTTTGTGTTTTTGTATTTGTATTATTTTGTATTTGTAGAGATGGGATTTCACTATGTTGGCCAGGCTGGTCTTGAACTCCTGACCTCATGATCCGTCCACCTCGGCCTCCCAAAGTGGTGGAATTACAGGCGTGAACCACAGCGCCCGGCCCATCTATGCAATATTCTAAGCCCACCCCTCACAGGTCCTAAAGTAAGAATCCAAATAGAAGCCACACACCACATATATTAATATTTACAAATTATTAATAAAACTAAAAATTTCCATCCCTTCCCTGGAACCCCAAGCAACCACCAATTATTTATTTATTATAGAGATGGAGTCTCACTATGTTGCCCAGGCTGGTCTTGAAGTCTTGGCCTCAAGTGATCCTTCCGCCTCAGCCTCCCAAAATGCTGGGATTACAGGCATGAGCCATCATGCCCAGCCAACCACTGATCTTTTATTCCCTCATCAGTTTCACCTTTTCCAGAAATGTCATATACTTGGAATCACAGTATGTAACCTTTTAAACTGGCTTCTTTCACTTAACAATATTCATTTAAATATCACCTGAGTCTTTTCATGGCTTAATAGCTAATTTCTTCTTTTTATTTTAGAACATCTTAAATTTTTAATCCTTATTTACAGGTTACCTCGACCACTTCTGATTGAGAAAACTAGCAGCCAAGTGCAATGGCTCACGCCTGTAATCCCAGCAATTTGGGAGGCCAAGGTGGAAGGATTGCTTGAGCCCAGGAGTTCAAGACCAGCCTGCACAACAGAGTGAGATCCCGTCTCTACAAAAAAATTAAAAATTAGCTGGGTGTGGTGGTTGCCCGCCTGCGGTCCCAGCTACTTGAGAAGCTGAGGTGAGATCTCTTGAGCCCAGGAGGTTGAGGCTGCGGTGAGCTGTGATCACACCCCTGCACCCCAGTCTGGATGACACAGGGAGACTATCTCTAAACAAAAGCATACAGGGTAAAATTTTAGCAAGTGAGGAATCTGGATAGAGGATATACAGTTCTTTGTTCTATTCTTACAAGTTTTCTGTTTGAAATTATTTCAAAATAAGCATTTTATTTTATTATTTATTTATTTATTTAGAGGCAGAGTCTCGCTTTGTCGCCCAGGCTGGAGTGCAATGGCTCAATCTTGGCTCACCGCAACCTCCGCCTCCTGGGTTCAAGCAGTTCTCCTGTCTCAGCCTCCAAAGCAGCTAGGATTACAGGCACACGCCACCACGCCTGGCTAATTTTTGTATTTTTAGTAGAGATGGGGTTTCACCATATTAGCCAGGGTGGTCTCGATCTCCTGACCTCGTGATCCACCCACCTCAGCCTCCCAAAGTGCTGGGATTACAGGCGTGAGCCACCGCGCCCAGCCTTATTTTATTTTATTTTATTTTTATTTTTTTGAGACAAAGTCTCGCTCTGTCGCTCAGGCTGGAGTGCAGTGGTGCGATCTTGGCTTACTGCAACCTCCACCATCTGGGTTTAAGAGATCCTTGTGCCTCAGCCTCCCAAGTAGCTGGGACTACAGGCACCTGCCACCATGCCTGGCTAATTTTTGTATTTTTAGTAGAGACGGGGTTTCACCATGTTGGCCAGGCTGGTCTCAAACTCCTGACCTCAAGTGATCCACCCGCCTCAGCCTCCCAAAGTGCTGGGATTACAGGCGTGAGCCACCGCGCTCAGCACAAAATAAGCATTTTAAAATGCAAAACAAAATATGGTGGAAAAGAGAAGAAATCCCCTATCTTGGAACTAAAGAATGCCTACAAACATACTTATTCTGTATGTCTACATATATGTACATAGGACTTCCATGTCAGCAGGTTTGGCTCAAGGGTTTCCTGGCCCTTCCTTGTACTCACAGTTTAGAGAAGCCCTCCGTGTCTGCAATGGGTTTGATGACTGGGCCCATCCACGGGTACTGAGGAAGGCAATGCCCAGAGGGCAGAGGCCAGTTAAGGTCCAAGGAGATGAGGTCTCCCTGAAGAATAGTTGGAGGACTAAAGAATGAGTGGGGCTTAGCCAAGTGACAGCTGGGGTTGGAGTGATAGTAACAGTTCCAGTTTCCTAAGAAGAGGGGCTTGTGATCTAGATGAGGTCCCTTTTTCTTCGGAGGGTTGGGGAGTTCATGGTATGAAAAGTATCTGAATCTCTAAATATTTGTGGAATAAATGGGTAAATGATCCTTTCATTCAAAATATACTTTAATGACAGAAAGTCATCAGACAGGGTCTTCTCTTCCTTGAAATCAAGATAAAAATAACGGCACTTCATGGTGCAGTGTTTTTCATTTCTTTCTGGAAAAGATATCTGTACCCTCTGCACATAAGTGGGTGCTTCTACTTTTTGGCTACAAGGGTTAAAATGATCAGTTATATATATATAGGCTAAATAAATTACTTTCTTGTATATTATTTTACACATAAGCACCCACTTATGTTCTAAAAATTCTTTTAATACAGATTTTTAAAAATTGCTCCAAGTGTTTTTAATCTTTTTGATGGGCATATATTTACTTCCTGTCTCTTGCCTTTTTGTTGTTGTTTGTTTGTTTGTTTTGAGACAGACTGGAGTGCAGTGGCGCGATCTCGGCTCACTGCAACCACCGCCTCCCGGGTTCAAGCAATTTTCGTTCCTCAGCCTCCCGAGTAGCTGGGATTACAGGCGCCCGACACCACACCCAGCTAAGTTTCGTATTTTTGTAGAGAGAGGGTTTCACCATGTTGGCCAGGCTGGTCCCGAACTCCTGACCTCAAATAATCCACCCACCTTGGCCTCCCAAAGTGCTGGGATTAAAGGCATGAGCCACCACACCCAGCCGCTTTTTCAAACTATATTTTCTCTTTCTGAAAAGAGAATATTCAAAATAAAAGAAACACGATAATGGTGTAAAATCTGGGAAATTAAAGAATGGAGTGAAATAAGCCATAATCTCTTTAGTAGTAATCATGGTTTACCATTGTGATATATTCCTTTTTAATGCATTTTCCTCTGAAGGCTTTATATGTCTCTATATCTTTTAAATACATTTTAAAATGAGAATAGGAATCTGAGGGGAATAAAAGCTGTAATATAAAATACGCGCAGGCTCATTCACATGATGGAAATGTTTTCCAGAGCCACTGGGTATTCTTAGAAACCATTTCTACCGCCGCCTAGACTAAAAGGAAGTGCAGACACCGTCAGTTGTTAGCTGACCGGCTGCAACTGGAACCTGAGAGCCCTTTGGCTGGAGTGTGGGAGGAGAGGAATTCTCGTTCCTGATTTGCTGATTGGTGTCTGCAGTGTCTTCTGTGTATGCCTGACTGTGGCTCAGAATACAGGGCCCTCTGCTGGGCTATGTGGAAAATTCCATCCAGGGAATTTTCTGGAAAGAACCGAGCCATGGAGAATGTAGGGGAAATATTCTAAGAACTAAAGAAAACAACTAAGTACTCATTTGACTTGATACAAGTTGGAAACTGCTTGGCAGATACAATATTGACGTGGTCAAATTAGAAAGCTCACCCCCCACACACACATCCACCCTCCTTTTTGTTATAAACATCTGAGATGTACTGCTGTGTGAAGTTTATTTTTAAAAGTTAATGACTAAAATGGGCCGGGCACAGTGGCTCACGCCTGTAATCCCAGCACTGTGTGAGGCTGAGGTGGGTGGTGGTGCACACCAGTCATACCAGCTACTCGAGAGGTTGAGAGGTAAGAGAATTGCTTGAACCCTGGAGGCGGAGGTTTTAGTGAGCTGAGATCGTGCCACTGCACTGCATCCTGCTAGACAGAGCGAGACTCTCTTAAAAAGAAAAAAAAGAGTTAGTGACTCAAATGGTACACTTTTATCATCACTCTGGAAAGCAAAACTGTGTAATTTTAAATATTCATACGTTTATTATCTTCAAAATCTAAATGAACTTTTGTTTTTTATTTGTTTTTATTATTATTATTATTATTATTTTGGGACAAGATCTCGCTCTGTCACCTAGACTGGAGTGCAGTGGCGCTATCATAGCTCACTGCAGGCTTGAACTCACAGGCTCAAGCCATCCTCTCACCTCATCATCCCCCCCACCAACTGCAGCCCCACCACCACCTCAGCTCCCCCACCAGTAGCTGGGACTACAGGCGTGCACCACCATGCCTGGCTAATATTTTTTATTATCTTTGTAAAGACGAGGATCTCCCTATGTTGCCCAGGCTGGTCCCAGACTCCTGGGCTCAAGTCATCTTCTGTCCTTGGTCTCCCAAAGTGCTGGGATACACCCATGAGCCACCGCACCCAGCCTGTTTTTTTTTTTAAATATTAAACTTCCTATCCACCTGGAGTAGTGTAAACTTGTTCTGTGATTTGGCAGTTTTCTTCTCAGAATCACTTGTCTCTAGCCACATGTTGGAGCAGAGAATGTCATGAAACCATTGGTTTAGGTGCTGGGTGTAGGCTCATTCTTTGCTCCTCATATAACCTAGTTAGTTAAGATATTAACAAAAGAGAAGAGGGTAATATCTAAATATAGACTTTTATATAATGAGATACTAATACATCCATTAAAACAAATGCACTCACTTGGAAAGATGCCATTATTTTACTGCCAAGTGAATAAAAATAGCTTGCAGAGCAGTAAGTACTCACTGATCTCATTTTCCTTAAAAAAATTATCTTGGTATAAGATCAGCAAAATGTTCCAAAGCACATGCAAAGAATTAAAATTTTGGGGGGCCTAATTCATTGCTTTTTTTTCGTGACTTCTAATTTGTCAATTATAAAAATATTTTCCCTGGCTGGGCGTGGTGGCTCATGCCTGTAATCCTGGCACTTTGGGAGGCCAAGGCAGGTGGATTGCCTGAGCTCAGGAGTATGAGACCATCCTGGGCGACATGGTGAAACCACATCTCTACTAAAAATACAAAAAAAAAAAATTAGTCAGGCGTGGTGGTGGGCACCTGTAGTCCCAGCTACTTGGGAGGCTTAGGCAGGAGAATTGCTTGAACTCAAGAGGCCAAAGTTGCAGTGAGCCGAGCTTGAGCCACTGCACTCCAGCCTGGGCGACAGAGCGAGACTCCGTTTCCAAATATATATATATATATTTTTTTTCCCCTAGTTTTAACGTAATACTCCCAAGTTTGTTGATTGGTTTTATTTTTTATTTATTTATTTTTTTTGTTTTACATTCAAAGCTTCTATCCAGATGAAATTTATTTTGGCATGAGGAGTAAGATAGACATTGAATTTTCTTTTTTATTTCCCCAAGTAACTGCTAGGGGACCCTAGAAATAATTGAAAGTTATTTGAATTTCTCAGGAAAATAGCACTTTGAAGTTCTCAGTTAGTGAAAGCTTTCAAAGGAAGAAAATTTTCAGAACCCTTTAAATATTGCACTTAACTGGGCATGATGGCTAGCACCTGTAATCTCAGCTACTCCAGAGGCTGAGGTAGGAGGACTGCTTGAACCTGGGAGGCAGAGGTTGCAATGAGCCGAGATCAAGCCACTACGCCAGCCTGGGCAACAGAGGGAGACCCTGTCCGTGAATTAGGTCAGTCTTGCATTGCTATAAAGAAATACCTGAGACCGGGTAATTTATAAAGAAAAGAGGCTTAATTGGCTCACAGTTTTATACAGGACTGTACAGGAAGGAGCCTGGGGAGGCCTCAAGGAGCTTTTACTCATGACGGAAGCCAAAGTGGGAACAGGTATCTCACATGGCAGAGCGAGAGCAAAGGGTGGGGAGGTGCCACACACTTTAAACAACCAAATATCTCGTGAAGTGAACCCACTCACTATAGCGAGGACAGCACCAAGCCATGAAGGATCTGCCCCCATGACCCAATCACCTCCCACCAGGCCCTACCTCAAACATTGAGGATTACAATTCAACATGAGCTTTGGCAAGGACATATATTCAAACTATATCACCCCATCTCTAAAGAAAAATTTGTAAGTAAATAAGTAAAAATAAATATTTGCACTTTTTTTTTAAAGATGCCCAGGCTGGAGTGCAATGGCGTGATCTCGGCTCACTGTAACCTCCGCCTCCCAGGTTCAAGCGATTCTCCTGCCTCAGCCTCCCGAGTAGCTGAGACTACAGGTGCCCGCCACCACACCCAGCTAATGTTTATACTTTTAATAGAGACGGGGTTTCACCATGTTGGCCAGGATGGTCTCGATCTCTTAACCTCATGATCCGCCCGCCTTGGCCTCCCAAAGTACTGGGATTACAGGCATGAGCCACAGCACCTGGCCGGTTTTTCTTTGTAGTTTTAGTAGAGACAGGATTTCACCATGTTGGTCAGGCCAGTCTCAAACTCCTGACCTCAGGTGATCCGCCTGCCTCGGCCTCCCAAAGTGCTGGGATTACACATGTGAGCCACTGCGCCCAGCCTTATCTCAACTTTTTATATTGATTACATGGTGAAATGATAACATTTTGGATATAATGGATTAAATAAAATATATTAAATTATTTTAAAAAATCAGTAGTTTGCGGAAAGGCACTTTGAGATCTTGTAAACATTCTGTTCCTCATCAAATTTTCAATGTATTCATTTATTTATATCAGTATGGACTCATGGTTCCCTATTTTATTCTATGAGTTATAGGTTATTTTTTATTTTAAAAAATTTATATTCTTTTCATCACATAAATTGGGATAGCGATGGAGAAGAATGAAGTACTGCAGCAGATCTGAATAGTCATACAAGTGAGTATGTAGAATATATGTTAGTTACCCCAGAGCATGAAGAGTGAAATTCTCATGAGCTAAACATTCACATGATGGATTTTACGGTGTTACTGTAAGTCCACCTAGCATTTCCAGTTGAGCACATCCTTCCTAGGTGAAATGATAGAAAGAATAACAAACCCTTGAGTGCTAGCTCTGTATCAAGTGCTGCCCTAAGCGACTCCACATATGAACTCACCTACATTTCACAGATAAGGAGACAGGCTTGGAGGAAGGCAGTAACTTAGCCAGGAACACAGCACGAGTGTGGGCCAGAGCCAAGATTCTAACCCAGGCAGTGTGGCTCCCACCACCACGTTCTTGCTTGTTGTTCTCTTCTGTGTCCAGAAGATTCCTTCCTGCCCCACCTTGTTCTCACCACTCTCTGGTTAATTCTATGTAGCCATGGTCTAAACCAGTTATACAATCATCCTAGGTGAGCTGCACATTTTTAAAAATTAAACTTTGATTTTGAGATCAGTGTCAATTCCCATGCAATTGCAAGAATAATACAGAGAGATCCTATGTGCCCTTCACCCAGTTTCCTCCAATGGTGACACCTTCCAGAATAACAGCACAATATCACAACCAGGATGTGGCCATTGACACAACCCCGGGATGTCTCCTGCTGCCCTTTCGCAACCACACCTGCTACACTAGTGCCTGCCGTGTATCCCCTCCAGGTTCCTAATCCCTGACACTAATCTGTTCTCTATCTCTAGAATGTTGTCATTTCACGACTGTTATAGAACTTGAATTATACAATATGTGAACTGTTGGATTTGACTTTTTTCACTCAGCATAGTTCCCTGGAGATTCATCCAAGTTGCTGCATGTATCAACATCTTGTACCTTTTTTTTTCTTCTTTTTTTGAAACAGGGTCTCACTCTGTCACTCAGGCTGGAGTGTAGTGGCACGATCACGGCTCACTGCAACCTCCCCCTCCCGGGCTCAAGTGATCCTCCCACCTCAATCAACCTCCCAGATAGCTGGGACTACAGGTGCAAACCACCACACCAGGGTAATTTTTGTATTTTTTGTAGAGACGGGGTTTTGCCATGTTGCCCAGGCTGGTCTCGAACTCCTGGGCTCAAGTGATCCACCTACCTCAGCCTCCCAAGGTGCTGAGATAACAGGCATGAGCCACTGCGCCCAGCCCATCTTATTCCTTTTTCTTGTTGAATAGTATTCCACAGTATGGATGTACCATGGTTTGTTTAACCATCCACCTATTGAAGAATGTCTGGGTTGTTTCCAGTCTTTCATTATTTCTAACATAGCTGCTATGAACATTAATGTACAGGTTTTTATGTGAATATAGGTTTTCATTTCTCTAGGATAACTGCCCAAGAGTGCAATTGCTAGGTTATATGGTAATTGCATGTTTAGTTTGTAAGAAGCTACCAGACTGTCTGGATCATTTTACATTCCCACCTGCCATGCATGAGTGATCCGTTTTCTCTGCATCCTGGCCAGCATCTCGTATTGTCACTGTTTTTTTTTTTTTAATTTTAGCCATTCTGATATTCATGACTGATAGCTGATTGTGGTTTTAATTTGTATTTTCTTTTCTTTTTCTTTCTTTCTTTCTTTCTTTTTTTTTTTTTTTTTTTGAGATGGAGTCTCACTTTGTCGCCCAGGCTGGAGTGCAGTGGTGCAATCTCGGCTCACTACAACCTCTGCCTGTTGGGCTCAAGCAATTCTCCTGCCCCAGCTTCCCCAGTAGCTGGGACTACAGGTGCGCACCACCACGCCGGGCTAATTTTTCTATTTTTAGTAGAAAAAAAATACAGGGTTTTACTATGTTGGCCAGACTGGTCTCGAACTCCTGAGCTCAGGTGATCTGCCCACGTCAGCCTCCCATAGTGATGGGATTACAGGCGTGAGCCACCACACTTGGCCTAATTTGCATTTTCTTAATGGCGAGTGATATTGAACATCTTTTCATGTGGATATTTGCCATCTGTACATCCCATTCAGTGAAATGTCTCTTCGCATCTTTTGCCAATTTTCTAAAGGGATTGTTTGCTTCTTTACTGTTGAGTTTTGAGAGTTCTTTTTATATTGTAGATACTAGCCTTTTGTCGAATATGTCATTTACAAATATTTTCTCGCAGCCTATAGCTTGTCTTTTCACAGAGCAAAAGTTTCTAATGATCAAATTTCCCGTTTATGAATTGTGGTTTTTATCTTCTGAATTCTTTTTGCCTAGTCTTAATCCCAAATATATAGTCCTAGGTTTTTCCCTAGAAGCATTATAGTTTTACACTTCACATTTAAGTCAATGATCCATCCATTTGGAGTTAATTTTTGTACTAAGTGTGATTTAGGTCCAGGTTCCTTTTTTGGTTTTTGTTTGTTTGTTTTTGCTATTGGATGTCCTATGGCTCCAGCATTGTTTGTTCCACTGAACTGCTTTTGCCCCTTTGTAAAGAATCGGTTGGCAGCCCAGCCCGGGCAACATGGCAAAACCCTGTCTCTACAATAAATACAAAAATCAGCCAGGCACGGTCGTGTGTGCATGTAGTACCAGCAACTTGGGAGGCTGAGGTGGGAGGATCACCTGAGTCCTGGAGGTCGAGGCTGCAGTGAGCCATGATCATGTCACTGCACTCCAGGCTGGACGACAGAGTGAGACTCAGTTGGTAACCTGGACAACATAGCAAGACCCCATCTCTACCAAAAATTTTTTTAAAATAGCCAGGTGTGCTGCTGAACGCCTGTAGTCCCAGCTATTTGGGAGGATGAGGTGGGAGGATCATCTGAGTCCAGGAGGTCAAGGCTACAGTGAGTTGTGATCATGCCACTGCACTCCAGCCTAGGTGACAGAGTGAGACCCTGTGTCTAACAAAAAAATAAATTAATTAAAAATAAAAATTAAAAAATCAGTTGGACACATTGGTATGGGTCTATTTCTGGGTTCTCTATTCTGTTCCATTGGTCTATGTGTCTATCCCTTCTCCAATACCACACTGTCTTGATTACTGTGGTTTGGGTTTGGTTTGGACAAATGTATAATGCATGTTTCCACCATTATTGTATCATACAGAAGAGTTCCACTGCCCTAGAAGTCCTCCATGCTCTGTTTATTAATCCCTCCCTCCCTCCAGCCCCTAACAACCACTGATCTTTTTTTTTCTTTTTGAGGCAGGGTCTGACTCTGTCGCCCAGGCTGGAGCACAGTGGCATGATCACAGCTCACTGCAGCCTCCAACTCCTGGGTGCAGGCAATTCTCCTGCCTTGACCTCCAAAGCTGGGACCACAGGTGTGTGCCACCATACCCAGCTAATTTTTGTATTTTTTTGTAGAGATGGGGTTTCACCATGTTGCCCAGGCTGGTCTGGAACTCCTGTGCTCAAGCAATCCTCCTGCCTTGGCCTCCCAAACTGCTAGGATTACAGGCGTGTGCCACTGTTCCCAGCCTCAACTATATTTTCTAAATGTTTATTTCTAGTGTATAGGAATGCAATGGATTTTGAGATATCTAGTCTGTATTACAGCAACTTTGCTGAAGTGTCTTATTTCTAAAACTTTCTCTGTAGAGTCTTTGATTTTTGTGTATAGACAATCATAACTTCTGAAAATCACAGTATTTTTTCCTTTTTTCCTATCCTTACACCCATTATATCCCCCTTTTTTCTTCCTGCCCTAGTTAAGGCCTCCAGTAAAATATTGGACAGAATAGGTGATAATGGTTACCCACATGCTTGTCAATTTCTTGGTCTTCATCTTCCTTTCGTCTCCAACCTTTCTTGTGGTATAACTGTCACTCTGCCTCAAGTACACCATTTAGAAGTTAGTTTAGTGATAGTCTGTTGGTAATAAGCTTGCTCTGACTATATTTTCTGAAATGTATTTTGCCTGCATCTTTTGTTGGGTAAATGCATTTTAAAAATCATCTTTATTGGGGTATACTTGACATATGATAAACTATATATATTTAAAGGTTACTCTTTGATAAGTTTGATGTACACATCAGTGAAACCATCACCATAGTCAAGATAGTGAACATGGCCAGGCGTGGTGGCTCATGCCTGTAATCCTAGCACTTTGGGAGGCCAAAGCGGGTGGATCACCTGAGGTCGGGAGTTCAAGACCAGCCTGGCCAACATGGTGAAACCCCATCTCTACTAAAAATACAAAATTAGCCAGGTGTGGTGGCACATGCCTGTAATCCCAGCTACTTGGGAGGCTGAGGCAGGAGAATTGCTTGAACCTGGGAGGCGGAGGTTGCAGTGAGCCAAGATCGCGCCATTGCACTCCAGCCTGGGCAACAAGAACAAAACTCCGTCTCAAAAAAAAAAAAAAAAGAAAAAAAGAAAAGATACCGAGCATATCCTTCACCTCCAAAAGTTTCCTTGGTTCTGTGTAATCCGTTCTGCCCCTTTCTGTCCCCGCTGTCTGCCAGGCAGCCACCAATCTGCTTTCTGTCACCACAGATTCACTGGCACTTTCTAGAATTCTGTATAAATGGAATCATACAGTATGTGCACTTTCTTGTGTGGCTTCTTTCATGCAGCATTACTATTTTGAGATTCATCAATGTCATTGTGTATGTCAATATTCATTCTTTTTTATTGCTTAGTAGTATTTCATTGTATGGCTGTTCCACAGTTTATCCATTCACTTGTTGATGGACATTTGGATCATTTCCCGTTTTCATCTATTACAAATAAAGCTGCTATGAACAATTCATGTAAAGCAGTATATAGTAATTTTATTTATCTGATCATTTTTGTGGATTAACATGTAAGACTACATTTGAAGAACAGTATCTAATATATTAATAACATCTATTCCAACACCACGCACAAATATTTTTTGTTGAATTTTTTTTGTCTTTTTTTGAAACAGGGTCTCTCCCTGTTGCCTAGGCTGGAGTGCAGTGGTGGAATCATTGCTCACTGTGGCCTCCAACTCCTGGGTTCAAGCAATCCTCCTGCCTCAGCCTCCTGAGTAGCTGGGACTACAGGCCCGTGCCACATGTCCGGCTTTTATTTTATTTTTTCTTTAGTAGAGACGGAGTCTAATTCTGTCATCCTGGCTGGAGTGCAATGGTGCAATCATAGCTCACTGCAGCCTCAAACTCCTGGGTTCAAGTGATCCTCCCATCTTGGCCTCCCAAGTAGCTGGGACTATAGGTGCACACCACCATGCCCAGCTAATTTTTCAAAACTTTTTGTGGAGACAGGGTTTAACTATGTTGCCTGGGCTTTTTGCTGAAGTTTTTATGATGATGTTACAAAGCAAGTTTAAAAAAAAACCTTTTAGGAGTAGCTGATTTTAAAGTCACTAAAATCAGTAACATAAAATGATATTTTTGAAGTGAGGCATGATAGAGGTGATAATATCACTTCCATGGCTCCCAGGACACTGAACTCCTGATTTTTCATACACCTCTCTCTGAGTAGTTCATTCAACATTTTATTCATCAAATAATTATGGAATTGGCCAGGTGCAGTGGCTCAGGCCTGTAATCCCAGCACTTTGGGAGGCCAAGGTGGGAGGATCACTTGAACTCAAGAGTTCAAGACCAGCCTAGGCAACATGGTGGAACCCCATTTCTACAAAAAATTTAAAAATTAGCCTGGCGTGGTGGTGCATACCTGTGGTCCTAGCTACTTGGGAGACTGAGGCTGGAGGATTGCTTGAACCTAGGAGTTGGAGGCTGCAGTGAGCCGTGATTGCATCACTGCATTCCAGCGTGGGTGACAGCGAGACCCCCATCTTAAATAATAATTACAATTATTATTATCATAGAACTATTACTCTGTGCCAGGCACTGTTCTAGGTAGTTGAGTACTTAGCAGTGAACAAATCAGACAGCATTCGTGTTCTCACAGATCTAACATTCCTATGGAAAGTTGGCTCCTCTTTGGAATTTTTTTTTTTTAAGACAGAGTCTTACTCTGTCGCCCAGGTTGGAATGCAGTGGCATCATCTTGGCTCACTGCAACCTCTGCCGCCTGGGTTCAAGTGACTCTCCTGCCTCAGTCTCCCAAGTAGCTGGGATTATAGGCGCCTGCCACCATGCTTGGCTAATTTTTGTAGTTTTAGTAGAGATGGGTTTCACCATCTTGGCCAGGCTGGTCTTGAACTCCTGACCTCATGATCCACTCACCTTGGCCTCCCAAAATGCTGAGATTACAGGTGTGAGCCACTGCCGTGCCCGGCCTTTTTTTTTTTTTTTTTTTTTTTGAGACAGAGTTTCACTCTTGTTGCCCAGGCTGAAGTGCAATGGCGAAATCTCAGCTCACTGCAACCTCCGCCTCCCGGGTTCAAGTGATTCTCCCGCCTCAGCCTCCCGAGTAGCTGGGATTACAGGCACATCCCACCATGCCCAACTAATTTTTGTATTTCTAGCAGAGATGCGGTTTCACCGTGTTGGCCAGGCTAGTCTCGAACTCCTGACCTCAAATGACCCGCCCGCCTCAGCCTCCCAAAGTGCTGGGATTACAGGCATGAGCCACTGTGCCTGGCTTGGAATTTTTAAGTAAACTTCTGATACTAAGCACAGCCCTGATACCTGAGGGTTCCCTGGCCTTTGGTTCTTGACCCTCTGCCTTCTCTCTGCGTGCTTTCATTGGGCAATTACCTCCTTGCTCATTATTTTATTTTATTTTATTTATGAGACAGGGTCTCACTCTGTCACCCAGGCTGAAGTGCAGTGGCACGATCTTGGCTCACTGCAGCCTCGACCTCCCGGGCTCAGGTGATCCTCTCACCTCAGCCTTCCAAGTAGCTGGGACCACAGGCATGCACCACCATGCCCAGCTAAACTTTTGTTATTTTTGTAGAGACACGGTTTTACCATGTTGCCCAGGCTGGTCTCAAACTCCTAGGCTCAAGCGATCCACCTGCCTTGGCCTCCCAAAGTGCTGGGATTAGAGGCGTGAGCCACTGTGTCCAGTGCTTGCTCATTGTTTTAAACTTCTATCTACACACTTCTCACTACCGAACATGTCTTAGGGTTCTGATCTCTCTCCTGTTTCATCTATGGGAATGTCCCACAGATATTTCAAGCTCGATGTATCTAGAATGATCTGTCCCCTCTACCTTCCTCTCTCATTTTCCTCCTCTGGTCCTAACACTTAAATAACTCTGAAATGCAAGTACTCCAAACCTAGAAGTTGAACTCTCCTTCCCCCACATTTCATGAAATAACAAGACTTGTGGATTTTACATCCTCAAATGATTCTGTTCTAGTCCCTCTTTTTTTTTTTTTTTTTGGATGGAGTCTCACTCTGTTGCCTAGGCTGGAGTGCAGTGGCAAGATCTTGGCTCACTGCAACCTCCGCCTCCCGGGTTCAAGTGATTCTCCCACCTCAGCTTCCCAAGTAGCTGGGATTACAGGCACATGCCATCATGCCCGGCTAATTTTTGTATTTTTAGTAGAGACAGGGTTTCACCATGTTGGCCTAGCTGGTCTGGAACTCCTGGGCTCAAGTGATCCACCCACCTAGGCCTCCCAAAGTGCTGGGAGTACAGGCGTGAGCCACCGCGCCTGGCCTAGGCCCTCTATTTTGTCCGTCTTTCGTGGCTGTAGTTCAAGTCATATGCTCCTAATCTATTCTCCCCCTTTGTTGTGGGTTGAATTGTGTCCCTCCCCCCGCCAAATTCACATGCTGAAGTCCTAATACCCAGTGCCTCAGAATGTGACCTTATTTGGAGATAAGGTCTTTACAGAGGTAACCAAGTTAAAATGAGGTCAGTGGTGTGTGAGCCCTAAACCAATCTGAGTGGTGTCCTTGTAAAAAGGGGAACTTTGTTTTTTCATTTTTTGCCTTTTTTTTTTTTGGTGACAGTCTGGCTCTGTCATCCAGGCTGGAGTGCAGTGGCATGATCTCAGCTCACTGCAACCTCTGCCTCCCGGATTCAAGCGATTCTCCTGCCTCAGCCTCCTGAGTAGCTGGGATTACAGGCGTGCGCCACCATGCCTGGCTACTTTTTGTATTTTTAGTAGAGATGGGGTTTCTCCATATTGGCCAGGCTGGTCTCGAACTCCTGACCTCGAGTGATCTGCCCACCTCAACCTCCCAAAGTGCTGGGATTACTTGTGCGCCACCACACCTGGCCATAAAAAGGGGAACTTTGGACTCAGAGACACGGACACAGGGAGAATGCCATGCGAAGATGAAGGCAGAGATGGGGTGATGCTTTTATAGGCCACAGAAGGCCAAAGATCGACAGCAACCACCAGCAGCTGGAGGAGAGGCCTGGAACAGCTTCTCCCTCACAGCCCCCAGAAGGAACCAACCCTGCCAACACCTTGATCTCAGACTTGCAGCCTCTAGAACTGTGAGACAGTACATTTTTGTCATGGAAGCCCCAGTTTGTGGTAGGTTGTTATGGCAGCCTGAGCAGATTAATCCATCCTTCTCTGCTGGTTTGTCTCCCAGTCATTCAACACTGTAGCCAGGGAAATCAGATCCAAAGAGAAATATTCCCCTGTTCTCCTGCTGAAACCCACTCAGTGGTTCTTCCTCACCTCCAAAAAGTGGCCCATGCACCTTCAAGTGGAGTCAAGGTTGTTCCTATCCTGGTCCGTCCTAACTGTCCCATCTTTCAAGCCCCCTCCCATTTCAGCCTTTTCACTGATCTGCTTATGGTCTCTTCACCACCTGGTGCTGGTTTATGTCCCTGGGTCTTGATTCCTGCTGGTCTCTCTGTTTGTAAAATTCCTCTGTGTTTCCTTCAATTGGTTCATCCTTATTCCTTCAATGCAACTTTTTAAAAATTTATTTGTAGTAGAGACAGGTTGCTCTGTAGCCCAGGCTGGAGTGCAGTGGTACAATCATAGTTCACTGAAGCCTCAAACTCCTGGGCTAAAGCGATCCTCCCACCTCAGCCCTCAGCCTCCCGAGTAGCTGGGCCCATAGGCATGCACCATCGTGCCCAGCTAAGTTTATATATATAATTTTTTTTCTAGATATGAAGTCTCCCTATGTTGCCCAGGCCGGTCTTGAATGCCTGGGCTCAAGCAATCCTCCCACCTCAGCCTCTCAGAGTGATGGGATTACAGGTATGAGCCACTGAATCTGGCCTCAGTGCTAGTCTCTTTTAGAAATAATGATACTTGGCCAGGTGTGGTGGCTCATGCCTATAATCCCAATACTTTGGGAGGCCGAGGTGGGAGGATCGCTTGAGCCCAGGAGTTTGAGACCAGCCTGAGCAATATGGCGAAGCCCCGTCTCTACCAAAAACCAACAAACAAACAAACAAAAAACAAAAAATTAGCCAGGCATGGTGGCGCTTGTATTCCCAGCTACTCAGGAGGCTGAGGTAGGAGGACCACTTGAGCTGGGGGAGGCTGAGGCTGCAGTGAGCCAAGATTGTGCCACTGTGCTCTAGCCTGTGTGACAGGCTGAGACCCTGTCTCAATAAAAAGAAAGGAAATAATGATACTCAATGCTAAAATGGAGTATAATGTAGGATTTTTAGAATAAAACAACTCACTTGGAAAGCAAAACCTCAAGGAGGGTTATGCCCTTATGCCCAGGAATCCTGCTGTGGCCAGATAGTTAAAGGGAAAAATGGAGAAACAGGTCAATGTTTCCAGATGAAATGATGAGCCTTTACTCTTAGCTGCAGCATGAGTGTTCATGTCGTGGCCTGGCCCTGGGCCACTGTGACATGGGGACCTCCAGCACAGAGAAGCCCGCTGTTTCTTTCCTGTGATTCCAGAGCCTCACAAGACAGGCATGGGACTGAGCCCCAGAACAGTGAAACCCCAGACCTGGTGGCAAAGGAGCAGCAGGAGCTGAAAGTGCCCGCTGCAGAGCTGATGGTGTGGCACCAACTCAGGGTGTGAGGGGACTGTCTTTCCGTGGGGGTCACACCGAGTGTTACCACCTCCTTCCCTATCAAACACTGGGACAGGCAATATATGTGGGGTGGGACCTTTCTCTTCCTTTCTTGTTGGTTGGGGTGGTGGTGAGTAGGGAAGAACCAAGGAGAGAAGACAAGGATGGAGTGCTTATGTGGCCACATAGGCCCAACTTTGGGCCTACTCTCCACAAGTGAGAGGAGGGGAGAGGCCCCAAGTACCAGCCTGTGACGGGGCTGTGGTCGCTCACACTGTGGTCAAGAAGGCCCAAGGCAGTTAAAATGGAGGCACTTCTGCCAGGCATGTGGGGTCAGACCCACAGGTCTCCGAGGAGCTGGAACAAGGCCTTCATCCTGGCTTCTCTCTGCAGAGAACACCCCTGGGCCTGCTTTCTGACAGAACTTGCCTCAAGGAGGGGGTGGGTGGCAACCCAGCACTTATTTGATGCCTACTGTATGCTAGGCACCATGCCAGCTGCTTTTCTGCAGCTTATCGAATTCGATGTTCACAAGAAGCTTGCAAAAGAGTATATGGCATCTGCCTCCCACGCCTCCTGCCTTGATTCAAGTCTTCATCCCCTCTCACCTGGATTATAATTTTCATTTCCTAACTGTTTTCTTTGCTTCCAGATCTTGGTTTTGTCTATTTGTCTTTATAGACAAAGTTACAGAATTTTTAACTGTATTCAAACACACAAATGGTAGCAAACTGCACTGGCAAGCATGTCACTTTTAAGGAGGTTGGGCTCTACCTCATTACCAAGAAGTACCTCAGATTCTGAGGAAAAGCAGAAACTCTCGAGGTGCCAACCTGCTTCATGGGCCTGGCCTGCTCCAGCCTCAGCCCCACAGTTACCTGGATGCTGCCTGGGCCCGGGGCAGGGGAAAAGACAGGAAGACTCTTTCCACTCAGCAGTGCTGGGGAGCTGGAGAGATTGTGGGTCACTGAGATGAGACCTCGAAACTGACAGGCAGAACTCTGGGTAGCTATCAGCCTCTCCTGGGGGTATAACAATCCATAAAGAAAGAACACCAACTTAGCCTGGCACAGGGGCTCACATCTGCAATCCCGAGGCAGGAGGACCACTTGAAGTCAGGAGTTCAAGACCAGTCTGGTGGCCAAGCATGCTGGCTCATGCCTGCAATCCCAACACTTTGGGAGGCTGAGGCAGGAGGATTGCTTGAGCCTGGGAGTTCGAGACTAGCCTGGGCAACATGGCGAGACCCCATCTACCTTTTTATTTTACAAAAAATAAAAAATTAGTCAGGCATGGTGGTGAATGCCTGTAGTCTCAGCTACTCAAGAGGCTGAGATGGGAGGATCACTTAAGCCTAGGAAGTTCAGGCTGCCGTGAACCATGGTTGTGCCACTGCACTCCAGCCTGGGCAACAGAGCAAGACTCTGTCTCAAAAAAAAGACCATCCTGGGCAGCATAGCAAGATCCCATCTCTACAAAAGATAAAAAAATTAGCTGGGCATGGTGGCGCACACCTGTAATCCTAGCTATTCAGGAGGCTGAGCTAGGAGGATTGCTTGAGTCCAGGAGATCCAGGCTGCGGTGAGCTCTGATTGTATCACTGCACTCCAGCCTGAGCAACAAATGAAGACAGAAGAAGGAAGGAAGGAAGGAAGGAAGGAAGAGGAAGGAAGGGGGGGGGAGAGAGGGAGGGAGGGAAAGAAGGAAGGAAGGATCAACTTGATTCATAAATGGATCGAATCAAATACTTTTGCAGAAATCCTAGCAAATGACTCACCCAGAATATTTAAACATTGTCATTGGGTTGCAGTGCGGGTGGAAACTTGGTGAAAACTAGCCCTCTAAAGGCAGAAAGATCATAGATGTCCATGTTAGGGCTCCACACCAGTCTGAGCTCCCCCTTAACCCACCTTCGCTCCCTGAGGTCCCCCCTTGCATACACACTGCCAGTGGCCAACCTTCCCAAACACCAGTCTGACCAAACATTTCCTCCGCTCCTCCTGTTGTCCTCTGTGATCCAGCTACTGCCCCCCACCCACCTCCCCTGCTCCCAGGCAGCCTTCTTTGTCTACTTGGCAAATCCCTTCTCACCTCCCACAGCTTAATTCTTTTTTCTCTTTTTCTTTCTTTTTTTTTTTTTTTTTTTTTTTTTTTTGAGACAGAGTATCAGTCTGTCACCCAGGCTGGAGTGCAGTGGCAAGATCTCAGCTCACTGCAACCTCCGCCTCCTTGGTTCAAGCAATTCTCCTGCCTCAGTCTCCCTAGTAGCTGGGATTACAGGTGCCCACCACCACACCCGGCTAATTTTGTATTTTTAGTGGACACAGGGTTTCACCATGTTGACCAGGCTGGTCTCGAACTCCTGAACTCAAGTGATCTGCCCGCCTCAGCCTCCCAAAGTGCTGGGATTACAGGCGTGAACCACAGCACCCAGCCCCACAGCCTAATTCTAAGGCGACTTCTTGGCAGCAGCGTTCCGGGCCCCCTTCTGCCCCTCAGGTGGAGTTGAGCAACTCGCCCCAGTGCTCCCAGCTTTTCTGCATGTGCTGTTGGCAGGCCTCCCAAGGTCCCTGACTGCACTCGGCTGTAATGCCAGCTTCTTTCTTTCCTGCCCTGAACGCCCTCTCACTCTCCTTTCATCCCAAATACCAGGACCAACATCCAGTCCACCCTATGCCTGGTTTTGCATCCTCAGATTCAACCAACCAAAGATAGAAAATATTCAGAAAAAAAATAAAATAAAAATAATACAAATAATACAGTATAGCAACTATTTACATAGTATGAAGTATTATAAGTTATCTAGAGATGGTTTAAAGTGTACAAGAGGATATGTGTGCATTACATGCAACCACTACACCATTTAATATCTGGGGTGTGAGTATCCGTGGGTTTTGGTATCCGTGGGGGTCCTGGAACCAATTTCTCCTGGATACTGAGGGATGACTGTACTTGGCGAATGTGTGGATAGAAGAATAAATGGAGGCTGGGCTGGTGGCTCACGTCTGTAATCCTAGCACTTTGGGAGGCCGAGGCGGGTGGATTGCCTGAGCTCAGGAGTTTGAGACCAGCCTGGGCAACACGGTGAAACTCCGTCTCTACTAAAATACAAAAAATTAGCCAGGTGTGGCGGCAGGCGCCTGTAATCCCAGCTACTCAGGAGGCTGAGGCAGGAGAATTGCTGGAACCCGGGAGGTGGAGGTTGCAGTGAGCCGAGATCGCACCACTGCACTCCAGCCTGGGTGACAGAGCAAGACTCCGTCTAAAAAATAAAATAAAATAAGAAGAATAAATGGAAAATGTGTGTGGATCCTGAGACTTTGTGAAGTTCAGTCATGTGTCCAAGATCTGAGATCTAAGCTTTGTGAATGAATCAGTAGAAACCCCTCGGCTCCAGTGTTGGCAGGTCTCCTCCTCCATGCAGCCCTCCCAGGGAACTGGCTCTGCTTGGGAAGTCTGTGGGGTCCCTGGGGCAGCAGCTGGGTGAGTCCTGGAATCAATCCTCATGTCTGGCTGCCGAGGGGCATCTCCTTCCTTAAAATCATTTGCGGGAGGCTTGGGTCGGGCCGTCCAGTCCTTCCTTAGTCTGGGACTGCAGGAGAAATGGTGGGGACCAAGCACACAGAGGCAGGTAGAGGTGTGGTAAGTGGCGATTCTGGGTGAGACAGGATGCTAATTGGATCCCACTTGGGGTGACTTGATAACGGGTTTGTGCAGGGTCACTGAGGACCCTCCTGGCTCCACGAGGATTCACTCAGCCTGGTGGTTGGACTAAGAGAAGGCCCTGTGGCCAGGAGCCCGGTTGGGTTTTGAGGTTATTCTGAAGAGGGGGTGCTGGGTGAGTTGGGGTATTGATGCCCGGCAGCCCAAGCAAAGGGTTCGAAGGACGCGGGGAGGTGGCTGCCTCCCGTCCCCCACAGGCTCCTCTGCCGCCTCCTGAACAGTTTTCCTGCCACGTCGAGGTGCCATGCTCGGGCATTCCCGGGGTCCTGGGCCAGGAAATGGCAGGTCCCTGGATCAGGAGGCCCGAGAGCTCTGGTCCTCGAGTCCCACTTCCTCTGCCCGCAGAGGGGACTGGAGGGGCGCGATTGTGCGCCACCCCGATTGCACCCAGATTCGGTCGTTTCCAGAACCTCTTCCCAGGAGCACGGGGAGCGGGAGAGCGGGAACCCCAAAGAGGAGCTCTGGGTCCGGCGAGTCCGGGTGGCGACTCGAGCTGAGCCCCCTCTCCCGCCGCAGCGCTGGGAGGGGCTCCGTCGCCAGCCGTGCCCTCTCGTCCTGCTCACTCACCCGGGCCTAACGACAGCAGCTGGCTCTGCGAGGGGTTCCCCGGGTTGGGGCCCCTAAATTAACACGCGGAGGGCCAGGGGGAGGCAGGGGAAGGGGGGCGGGGCAAAAGCTGCAGGGAAGCAAAACGGAGGAGGAGGTGCAGACAGGAGCGAGGAACGGCGGGCAGCGGGCTCGGCCCAGCTTCACGATGCGAACGGGAGGGGGCGCCAGAGACCGCCAGAGGCCAAGGTCCAGCGCTACTGCGGCACAGGCGCCGCCGCGTAGTCCGCAGTCAGAGGGCGGGGCCCGCCTTCGCAGCCACGGTCACGGTCGTGTTCACCCAGGCTCCGCAACCACCCGCAGAGCTCACGACGTGAAGGAGCAGCCCTCCTCCTTTCCTCTTCCCTCACCTCCTCCATCTTCTCCATCCTCCTCTTCTTTTGATAGATTGATGGATCAGAGATGGATGTGTGTGTGCGCGTACGCGTGTAAAGATACTTATCAAAGCATTATCCTTAAAAAAGGAAACATCTGAAGCCACAGGGAATATGAAATTAAAGAAACTCAGGTAGACAGTCTCTTTAAAAATATTATGGAACCATTTGAAAAATTGTTTATCAATACTATGTAACATCATGGGAAATTATTTTCATGTACTATTAAAGCAAAAAAGGCAGGATACACACACAGAAATCTCCATGTAAAAATGTGAACTATACACAGAACAGGAATGATCATCAAAACTCCCTCCAAGTACGAACAATGGTTTTCTGCAGGTGTGGTAATGCCTTTGTAGAATGTGCATAAATTCATATTAAAATAAATGGAAGCCTTTCCTTTTTATAGATAAAGGGAAGCCAGGTACATCCCAGGCTGTGGCCAGGCAGGAAAAGGAGCTGGGCAGGGCTTGAGGAGGGCACCGGGGCTCCTTGGTAAGGCGATGTCCAGATGTCACCCAGGCCTGTGGGTCGGTCCTACATATCTGTGCACCCCTTCCCCTAATACCCAGATATCCCTTTTCCTTAACAATCCCCACCCTGATATACACCACAGACCTAAACTCTTAGTCCATATGCCTCTGGAAATAAACTCCTGTCAACATTTGTCTGTTCAAAACAGTTAAGAATCTCTCAATTGATCTAATGAATTGAAGAAATCTATCCCCACGTTAGAAACATGCACATGTTGGCCCTGATTTAATTTCCCAGTAACTACAATTCCCCAGTAACTACATATGCATATGTACCGGACAAACAAGGCAGCTTTCCATTCCCAACTCCTCTTCCCTGGCTGATGGTTCTCAGGAGAATCTAGGCATCTGAGCCCTAGCCCCAGCACCCTAATGGAGAGTGCAGGGCACCTGGATAGTGGAGGCAGGCCTAGAAGCTTTTGGTGTAAAAGATGAAATTGAAATAAAAAGACCCACAGGTAACCATGTGTCAAGCACACATCTGGTACCCAATACATCTTTATGGAATAAAATAGACATTAAAATGCTACAGGTATAAGTTAAAATATTGGCAAACTGACTAGCAAGGTTTAGAAATCCACATTTAAGACTGGTCTAGTGGTGATAAATTCCGTCAGCTTTTTCTTGTCAGGGAAAAACTTTAATTTCTCCTTCATTTTTGAAGGATAGCTTTGCTTAAGACACAGGCAGAAAAATATTTCATGACTTCACTTATATGTAGAATATTTTTAAAAGAGCTCAGGCTGGGTACAGTGGCTCACACCTGTAATCCCCACACCTTGGGAGGCCAAGGCAAGAAGATCACTTGAGCCTGAGAGTTTGAGGCTGCAGTGAGCTATGATCACACCATTGCACTCCAGCTTGAGAAAAAAATAATGCTGCTCTGAATGTGGGTGTGCAAATATCACTTCAAGGCCCTGCTTTCAATTCTTTTTTATATATACTCAGAAGTAAAATGGCTGAGTTATATGGTAGTTCTATTTTTAATTTTTTGAGGAAACTCCAAACTATTTCCTATTGGTTGCACATTTTATTTTATTTTTTTAGAGATAGAGTCTGGCTCTGTCGCCCAAGCTGGAGTGCAGTAGCACAATCTTCGCTCACTGCAACCTCTGCCTCCCAGGTTCAAGTGATTCTCCTGCCTCAGCCTCCCGAGTAGTTGGGCTTACAGGCACCCACCACCATGCCTGGCTAGTTTTATGTATTTTTAGCAGAGATGGGGTTTCACCATATTGATCAGGCTGGTCTCAAGCTCCTAACCTCAAATGATCCACCCACCTCAGCCTCCCAAAGTACTGGGATTACAGGCATGACCCACTGCGCCAGCCTGGTTGCACCATTTTACAATCCCACCAACAGTGCACCAGAGTTCCAATTTCTCCATATTCTCGTCAACACTTTATTTTGGGAAAGTTGTTTTCTATGACTTGTCTCCCGCCCTTCTGCCAGTAACAGGAAGTACTAGAGACAGAGGCCCAGCTCTCTCTTCTAGCTCCTTGATCAATGCCTAGCTCCTTGATCAATGCCAGGCCCTGACTCATCCCTCCATTTATTCCAGTCACAGGGACAAGATGAAAGAGAAAGGACACGTCAGGTGCAGAAAATACAGGAAAAGAGGTCCTAACTGGGGAGAAGAGTGAGGGGAATCAAATGGGGGGAGCTTCCATTTCTCACCTCTATTCCCTCAGTCTCACTTTGAGACAGAATGAGACACTGTCTTGTAAAAAAGTGAGGGAGGGCCAGGCACAGTGGCTCGTACCAGTAATCCCAACACTTTGGGAGCTCTAGGTGGGAGGATCACTTGAACCCAGGAGTTCGAGACCAGCCTGGGCAACATAGTAAGACTTTTTGTCTCTACAAAAAATTTAAAAATTAGTCTGATGTGGTGGTGTGTGGCTGTGGTCCCAGCTACTCAGGAGGCTGAGGTGAAAGGATTCCTTAAGCCCAGAAGGTCAAGGTAGCAGTGAGCCAAGATTGCGCTACTGCACTCCAGCCTGGGCAATAGAACAAGACCCTGCCTCAAATAAAAATAACGCTATGAGCACGGGTGTACAAATATCTCTTCAAGACCCTGCTTTCAATTCTTTTTCTTCTTCTTCTTCTTTTTTTTTTTTTTAGACAGGGTTTTACTGTTGCCCAGGCTGGAGTGCAGTAGCAAAATCTTGGCTCACTGCAGCCTCAATCTCCTGAGCTCAAGAGATCCTCCCAAGGCGGGGCGTGGTGGCTCACGCCTATAATCCTAGCACTTTGGGAGGCTGAGGTGGGCGGATCACCTCAGGTCGGGAGTTTGAGACCAGCCTGGCCAACATGGTGAAACCCCGTCTCTACTAAAAATATAAAAATTAGCCAGGTGTGTGGCGCGCACCTGTAATCCCAGCTACTAGGGAGGCTGAGGCACAAGAATCACTTGAACTCAAGAGGCGAGGTTGCAGTGAGCCGAGAGCATGCCACTTCACTCCAGCCTGGGCAACAGAGTGAGACTCTGTCTCAAAAAAAAAAAAAAAAAAGAGAGAGATCCTCCTGCTTTAGCCTCTCAAGTAGCTGGGACTACAGGCACATACCACCACTCCTGCCAAACTTTTTAATTTTTTTTTGGTAGAGACAGGGTTTCACCATGTTGCCTAGGCTGGTCTTGAATTCCTGGGCTCAAGCGATCCACCCACCGCCTCAGCCTTCCAGGGCACTGGGATTACAGGCATGAGCCACCATGCCGGGCACAATTCTTTTGATGTATACTCAGAAATGAAATTGTTGGATTATATGGTGGTTCTAGTTTTAAGTTTTTGAGGAACCTCTAAACTATTTCATATCAGTTGCACCATTTTACAATCACACCAACAGTGCAGTGCACCAGGGTTCCAATTTCTCTACGTTCTCACCAACACTTGTTATTTTCTATGTTTTTTTTAAATTATAGACATCCTAATGGGTAGACACGTTTTCATGTCAGATCTACCAGCTTGTTGGGTCAGATTGTAAAATATTTCATTAATATTTTTATATTGATTACATGCTGAAATGATGCAATTTAGGAGCTATTGAGTTAAATAAAATATATGATTAAAATTAATTTCACTTGTTTCTTTTTACTTTTTATAAAGTGGTTTCAAGAAAATTTAAAATTACATAGGTGGCTCACGTTATATTTCTATTGGACACTGCTGAGCCTGGCAGTGAAAAATGAAGCAGGTTAAACATAATTATGAGGCCAGGAGCAGTGGCTCGTGCCTGTAATCCCAGCACTTTGGGAGGCCGAAGTGGGAGGATCGCTTGAGCCCAGGAATTCAAGACAAGCCTGAGCAACAGAGTGAGACCCCGTCTCTTAAAACAAAAACAAAAACAAAACAAAAACATAATTATGGTTTAAAAATTATGCCTTCAGGCCAGGCGCGGTGGCTCACGCCTGTAATCCCAGCACTTCAGGAGGCCAAGGCGGGCAGATCACTTGAGGCCAGGAGTTCGAAACCAGCCTGGCCAACATGAGGAAACCCCATCTCTACTAAAAATACAAAAATTAGCTGGGCGTGGTGGCACAGGCCTGTAGTCCCAGCTACTCAGTAGGTTGAGGCAAGAGAATCGCTTGAACCCGGGAGGCGGATGTTGCAGTGAGCCGAGATTTCGCCACTGCACTCCAACCTGGGCAAAAGAGTGAGACCCTGTCTCAAAAAAAAAAAAAAAAAAAAAATATATATATATATATATATATATATATATATATATATATCCATCCAGTTATAAAACTGTAACCTTTGGTCAACATATGACCAAAGGATTATTCTCGTTGCTGTTGTTGTTATTTTTAGACAGGGTCTCTCCCTCTGTCACCCAGGCTAGGGTGCAGTGGTGTGATCTTGGCTCACCACAACCTCTGCCTCCGGGGCTCAAGTGATCCTCCCACCTCAGCCTCTTGAGTAGCTGGGACTATAGACACACACCACTGCACCCAGCTAATTTTTATATTTGTTTGTGGAGATGGAGTTTCACCATGTTGCCCAGGCTGAACCAAAAGATTATTATATAAAACAGTATATTGATAACTATATGAATCCCAAATTCTACATTATCTTAACAAGGATCAAGAAATGGAGATGGGGAAGGGCAGAGCCACAGTCAGCTGTAGATTAGATTCTTTCTCTCAAATAGATGAACCTCAAGAATGTCATTTCTATCTTAACCATGGCAATTAGAGATCGAAGATCAAGAACACATGGGGTTTCACATCCTAATATATTCTGGATCAGAATTTGCTGTACAATGGATGGGTGGGGATACAAGTCCTGGAGGGCACTGGGGCAGCAGGGCTGAATGTCAGGGCAGCCTAGGGCATAGGGTGGAAATGTGAGCCAAAGAAAGCTGGAGGCAGGAGAGAAAATGACAAATGTCACTTCTTGGTCCCTTCAGTGACTTCCTCTCAGCCACCTCTCTAGCAACTGAATGCAGGGGTCTGACTTATCTCCCGCCTTGCTGCCAATAACAGGAAGTACTAGAGACAGAGGCCCAGACCCTCCCTCCCAGCTCCTTGATCAATGCCAGGCCCTGACTCATCCCTCCATTTATTCCGGTCACATTGACAAGCTGGAAGAGAAGGGACACGTCAGGTGCAGAGAACACAGGAAGAGAGGTCCTGACTGGGGAGGAGAGTGAGGGGAATCAAATGGGGGGAGCTTCTATTTCTCACCTCTACTCGCTCCATTTATTTTACTGCCACTTCTGCCCCATCCCCCAGGGAGCCCAGGTCCCCACGGTCCCCGGGCCAGGCAGGCAGGTGGGTTCTGGGGGGAAAAGGCGGCTCTCCCAGCACCTCTGTTATGAGATATGTCTCAGGCCTATGGTAGCTAGAGCTGTAAATCACTCTTCCTACCCTAGTCAGTTAGAAGGATGAAGACAGAGTTGTCTCCACATTGGGCCGGAAGATGCCAAGTCTTCATCCAGTGGTGCTGCCTGACAAATTTGTCCTCCTGCACCCATGTGGGGAGCACGTGGTCAGGGCTGAATGCAAATTCCTCACCATCCTGGGTCCAATATAACCAAGTGGAAGTGACTTTTAGCCTAGGCAGTGCCTGGAAGTGACTACAAAGTATATCACACACTTTGAAATTAAGTGTATATTTTATTTTTATTTTTATTTATTTATTTTTGAAACAGAGTCTTACTTTGTCATCCAGGCTGGAGTGCAGTGGCACCATCTTGGTTCACTGCAACCTCTGCTTTCTGGGCTCAAGCAATTCTCCTGCCTCAGCCTCCCAAGTAGCTGGGATTACAGGCGCCCGCCACCACGCCCAGCTGATTTTTGTATTTTTAGTAGAGATGGGGTTTCACCATGTTGGCCAGGCTGGTCTCGAACTCCTGGCCTTAAGTGATCTGTCCACCTCAACCTCCCAAAGTGGTGGAATTACAGGCATGAGCCACAGCGCCCAGCCTATTTTTATTTTATTTTTAAATAAATGCTATTGTGTATAGTTGAGGTTTGCAACATAATGTCATGGGATACGTACATGACTAGATACATGTAGATAGTACAATGATTACTATAGCGAAGCAGATTAGCATAGTATCTATCATCTCACAGTTACTTTCTGTGAGGAGAGCAGCTGAAATCCACTTATTTAGCAAAAATCCCTAATACAATTGTATCAACTTTAGTCCTCATGTTGTACATTGGCCTCCAGACTTGTTCATCGTAGGTATCTGCTATTTTGTATCCTCAGACCTTCATCTCCCCTCCAACCCCTACCCATTGTAACCATTTTTCAACCTCTGTCTCAGTTTATTTGAGCTCTTTTAATTTTTATTTATTTATTTATTTGAGACAAGGCCTTGCTCTGTTGCTCAGGATGGAGTGCAGTGGCACAATCACAGCTCACTGCAGCATTGACCTCCTGGGCTCAAGCGATCCTCCCGCCTCAGCCTCCTGAGTAGCTGGGACCACAGGTGCACGCTACCACACTCGGATAATTTTTTTAATTCTTTGTAGAGACAGGGTGTCACTATGTTACCCAGGCTGGCTTTGAACTCCTAGGCTCAAGTGATCCTTCCAGCTAGGCCTCCCAAAGTTCTGGGATTACAGGCATGAGCCATCATGCCCGCCCCCGCCTGTTTTTTGTTTGTTTGTTTGTTTTTGTTTTGTTTTGTTTTTAAGACAGGGTTTTACTCTGTCTCACAGTGAAACTGAGAGAGTAGAGGTGAGAAATGGAAGCTCCCCCAATTCAATTCCCCTCACTGTCCTCCCCAGTCAGGACCTCTCTTCCTGTGTTCTCCACACCTATGTGTCCTTTCTCCTTCATCTTGTCACTGTGACTGGAATAAATGGAGGGATGAGTCAGGGCCTGGCATTGACTAAGGTGCTAGTCAATGGCTGGGCCTCTGTCTCTAGTATTTCCTGTTGCTTGCGGAGGGGCAGGAGACAAGCCACAGAAAATAACAAGTGTTGGTGAGAATGTGGAGAAATTTGAACTCTGGTGCACTTTTGGTGGGACTGTAAAATTGTGCAACTGATAGGAAACAGTTTGGAGCTTCCTCAAAAAAATAAAAATAGATCTACAATATAATTCATCAATTTCACCTCTGAGCATATATCAAAAACATTGAAAGCCGAGTCTTGAAGAGATATTTGCACACTCATGTTCATAGCCGCAGTTTTTTTTCCCAGGCTGAAGTACAATAGCATGATCATGGCTCGTTGCAGCCTCAAACTCCCAGGCTCAAGCAATCCTCCAACCTCAGCTTCCCTAGTAGCTGGGACCACAGGCATGCACCAGTGCGCTTGACTAATTCTTTCATTTTTCATAGAGACTGAGTCTCGCTATGTTGCCCGGGCGGGTCTCAAACTCCTGGCCTCAAGCAATCCTCCTGCCTTGGTCTCCCAAACTACTAGGATTACAGGCATGAGCCAGTGCACCCAGCCTTATAGCAGCATTATCCACAATAGCCATGAGATGGAAGCAATGTCCATCAATGGATGAATAGATAAATAAAAAATGGTTTATCCATACAATGGAATATTCTTCAGCCTTAAAAAGGAGCTATTCTGATGCATGCTACAACATGGATCAACCTTGAGGACATTATGCTAAGTGAAATAAATCAGTCACAAAAAGATAAACACTGGACCGGGCCTGGGAGGCGGGCGGATCACCTAAGGTCAGGAGTTCGAGACCAGCCTGGCCAACATGGTGAAACCCTGTCTCTACTAAAAATATAAAAATTAGCCGGGCATGGTGGTGGGTGCCTGTAATCCCAGCTACTTGGGAGGCTGAGGCAGAAGAATCCCTTGAACCAGGGAGGTGGAGGTTGCAGTGAGCCGAGATTGCGCCACTGCACTGCAGCCTGGGCAACAGAGCAAGACTCCGTCTCAAAAAAATAAATAAATAAAAGGAAACATGATGTAATCAACTTATTTACACCTGCCCCATTACACCTGCCATAAATTGGAGAGCTGGATCATGCCATGTTTTGGCAGGGATGAGGGGACAGAGGAACTTCATGTCCAGTAGTTGAGAGCAGCTCAGACTCCAATAGTTGATCTGTTGGTTTACCTTTTCCTACTCATGCCTGCTCCTGATAAGCTGTGATTCTCTGTATTGCTGTCTTTCCACTTTTTCAGGGCATCAGTTTGCCCTGTGCCCTCAATTCTCTGACAAATCTGGGAAGAGTTGTTTTGTTTCCGTTTGTTCAGCTCTTTTTCTTGTGAGGATGGGAGTGACAACTTCCAAGCTACAAGATAGTGACTGGTGGGCTTCTGGGATATGGGTGCTCTAGGGGTCAGTGGTTAGAGGCCATATGACTGGTGCCTGTGGGGTAGCTTTTGTTCCATGTGGTCTGGGTGGGGCCTTAGTCTTATGAAATCTATGCTTCTTAGTGATTAAGTGTTTGTAATTAAGGGGTTTGGGGATGAAGTAAGTGAGTTTTGGGGGGACAGTAGATGGAAGTGATTATGGATCAGTGTTTGTTAATCAACACCAGATCCTGGGGTCAGTGTTGCTGAGCGTGTGAAGCAGTGATTAGGAGCCTTTGGAAGTCAGAAAACAGGGTGTTCTATGGAGGTGATTTATAGCGTGTGTACTGGGCCAGTGATTCACAGCCCAGAAATGTCAACGATTGCATCTCTAGGAGATAATTATTAAGAAATAGAATATATGACTCTTGAACATCTATAACAACTCCTTCGTGGTGGGTGGAGCAGACTGTGCATTGTAGGATGTTTAGCAGCATCTCTGGCTTCTACAAACTAGATGCTGATAGCACCTCATTGTGAAAATCAAAACAAACGTCTACAGATATTCCTGAATGTCCCGTGGGGGGCAAGACCACCCCCTGTTAAGACTCACTGCTAGACTCTCGGCTCAGCCTGGCATGGTGGCTCACACCTGTAATCTCAGCACTTTGGGAGACTGAGGCGGGCAGATCACCTGAGGTCAGGAGTTGGAGACCAGCCTGGCCAACATGGTGAAACCCCGTCTCTACTAAAAATACAAAAATTAGCCAGGTGTGGTGGTGCATGCCTGTAATCCCAGCTACTCGGGAGGCTGATGCAGGAGAATCACTTGAACCCAGGAGGTGGAGGTTGCAGTGAGCCAAGACCGCGCCCCACTGTACTCCAGCCTGAGCAACAGAGCGAGACTTTGTCCCATTAAAAAAAAAAAAAAAAAAAAAAAAAAAAGACTCACTGCTTTAGAGAGAAGGCCAAAAGCTCACACTGAATATAAATGATTTAACTCACCTAATAATGAAAGAGGATCTCAGATTGGATATATGAATGAAATAGAGCTATATCCAAGCTTAAGGATGGGAATACTTGTAATGGAGAGGTTGAAAATGAAAAAGTGGGAGACGTTTTCGTAAGCATGTTAGGTCCGGTTATGCAGTTCACTGCTGCCCTACACATTCCAATTTGGGGAAGTGACTGGAGGTTAAAGGTCATGAGAATTCAGTTCTGGAATATAGAGGAAGATAACGGTGGAGTGATGTATTCCAGGAGAGCGTGTGGTTGATGGGAAAGTTTGGAGTCTTCATCATGCTGTTAGCAGGCAGCAGATGTTTCATTTCGAGGATGTCTGTGAAAAGACAAGCATCCTTGGCCATGTGGACTGACTTGATTTTAAAGTGAGGTTTGGGGCTGGTGGCAGGTAAGCTGCTTTCTTCTATTCTTTTTGCTTGTATAAAATAGAAGGCATGGGAAGATGGCGGCGGGGGCGAGGTGAGATGTTGGCAGTGGAAAGGGGTTCGGGCTCGGGGGGCGGGGGGACGCGGAGCGATGGCCCGCGCGGCCGCAGGGGCGGATAAAAAGCCGTCGCGCTGCGGGAGTGGGCGGGAGGGAGAGGGGTTGTCCGAGGGCCACAAGAGTATGACGGGGCTGTACGAGCTGGTGTGGCGGGTGCTGCACGCGCTGCTCTGTCTGCACCGCACGCTCACCTCCTGGCTCCGCGTTCGGTTCGGCACCTGGAACTGGATCTGGCGGCGCTGCTGCCGAGCCGCCTCTGCCGCGGTCCTAGCGCCGCTCGGCTTCACGCTCCGCAAGCCCCCGGCAGTCGGCAGGAACCGCCGTCACCACCGGCACCCGCGCGGGGGGTCGTGCCTGGCAGCCGCACACCACCGGATGCGCTGGCGCGCGGACGGTCGTTCCTTGGAGAAGCTGCCTGTGCATATGGGCCTGGTGATCACCGAGGTGGAGCAGGAACCCAGCTTCTCGGACATCGCGAGCCTCGTGGTGTGGTGTATGGCCGTGGGCATCTCCTACATTAGCGTCTACGACCACCAAGGTATTTTCAAAAGAAATAATTCCAGATTGATGGATGAAATTTTAAAACAACAGCAAGAACTTCTGGGCCTAGATTGTTCAAAATACTCACCAGAATTTGCAAATAGTAATGACAAAGACGATCAAGTTTTAAATTGCCATTTGGCAGTGAAGGTGCTGTCTCCGGAAGATGGAAAAGCAGATATTGTAAGAGCTGCTCAGGACTTTTGCCAGTTAGTGGCCCAGAAGCAAAAGAGACCCACAGATTTGGATGTAGATACGTTAGGCAGTTTACTTAGTTCAAATGGTTGTCCTGATCCTGATTTAGTATTGAAGTTCGGTCCTGTGGACAGCACATTAGGCTTTCTTCCCTGGCACATCAGATTGACTGAGATTGTCTCTTTGCCTTCCCACCTAAACATCAGTTATGAGGACTTTTTCTCTGCCCTTCGTCAATATGCAGCCTGTGAACAGCGTCTGGGAAAGTAGTGGTCATTGGTTGCGTAATTTGATTTGAGGCTTGTGGAGGAAAGGACCCAAGTGACTCTGATGTTTACAAAGCACCTATGAAACCCTGTACACACCTGGTTCATAATCCTCATAATTTATCAACAAACACAAAAAAGTGTCTTACTTGAGAGTGAGTGTGTGTGTGTGGGTGTGCACGTGCACACATGTGCACGTTTGTATGCATGGAAATAAACTTATAAATGGGGACGTATTGGAGAAGGAAATACATAGACCTACAACTTTGAGCAAATAGCAGTGATGTTTTAGGAACTGAAATGTCACACTTAAAGTCTTCAGCCCAGCTACTTCCCTATTTTTGTGGGGAGAAGAGGGCCTGATTAGAACTGTTCTGGTTGTGTTTGGCGGGAGGGGAATAATTTTTGTTCAGTCCTTCTTAGTGACCAAACTTTAATTTTTAAGAATAATATATTGACTTACTGAACTGAAGCATTCTGAGTTGAAAGGAGCTCCAGAGGAGTGGAGTTCTGTGTTGCTCACATGTTAAAATCTTGCTCACCTTCAGAGCAGAGGGAATACCTATCTTCAGATATCCGTCCATTTTCATCTCTTAATTGTAGTCAAAAGTATGACTTGAGAGTGTTGCTCTGGTATTCTGGGTTCTGAAGTCTGGTATTCTGGTATTCTGGGTTCAAAAGTATGACTTGAGAGTGTTGCTCTGGTATTCTGAGAGTTGCTCTGTATTCTGGGTTCTGAAGATTATTTGAAAAATAACTCCTACTACATTGAAATGCAGACTTTTAAAAATTTAAACATTGGATTAGGCAGTCAAAAAAACCAAGCAAGCATAAAAGGTCAATAAGTTGTAATCTTGATAGTAAAGGTGGAAAACTTATTATAAATGGAAAGAAAGTTTTGGTTTCCTTTTTTGTTTGATGGGCAGTATGCCATATTATACCCAAAGTTCTTTTAAAAAATATTTCCATCAACCATTTTTATTTAAAATAAACATTTGAGGGAAGTTACCAAGGCAGCTTTTTTCCTCAAAAGTAACCTGTTCCTCTTTGGAATAGCACATTTTAGGGGCATGGTTAATACCTGAGATTTTTACTCAGTAAATCCTGATGGTTACTGTGTGTAAAATATCTTTAAGTAGGATTGAAGGCCTCTGTGGGGAAATAAAATATTACCAAAGTCTATAAAAATAAATTTTACATGTTCTCTTTTATGACAGAGAGCAGCACTGGTTCTGTTATTTTTAAAATGAATAATTGATTTCTTGATAGGTGTTTAATATTTCTTCCCTCACTGCTGATTCTTAGATAGAAACCATTCTTTATATTTGATAGACTGTTTTCAGAAAACCCTTATCAACAAGTGTACAATACTTATCTAAAACTATACATTTAGAATGGAGCAGTTTAATACTAGATCTCAGAAGTTTTGAAAAATAGCAAAGAAGACTGGATTTGGAAAGCATGGTCTACAATTGGTTGTTAAATTCTGAAGCTATGAAGAATAAATGTTTCAACTTTGGATTATGAAACCCCATTTATGATTTTTTAAATACACTTGAAATAAAAATGATTAAACTAAATTTTGGTCCAGTGACATTACTTTGCACTGCATAATCCATTATACATTGTACGACTTTTTTTTTTTGTTTTAATTTATTACTGAGAGTTTTGTGTGAAGCTACAGCATATCTAATCAGAGAATTTCTGATTCCTTATACTGTGATTATATTATATTGAGGCATTTGTAGTGCCGCTGAAGACTGAATTTATGCCTTTTGTAAACATGATAGGTATAAATGTCTTATAAACATTCTGGAGTATGTATAGCTTTAATGAATGAAATTTAATGGACCTGATTAAAATGAAGGGATTTAATCGTTGTTAAAGTTAAGTTAGTCAAATAAATTACCTACTGGAATATAGCCCAAGCCAGTAAAGGTTTATTATTTGCATTTTCATGCTTTTATTTTCTCCTTCCATTCATAAGTATATACTTGAAAGTACATCTGTAGCCTATGATTTGAGTCTATTGAAGTTCTAGGAAGAGGCAAACTACAAACTACTAGGATTCTGATTTCAGATGTAGTCATTCCAGAACCTTCTCTTTATGAGTTCACCTGCTAGTACAATCTCCACAACTTGAATGGCATTGGTTGTTCTATAATTCCTGCCACAAGCATCACAAGTTGTACATCATCAAGGCTCCCTTTGCACTCCCAAGAAGAACTGGTAATTTTAAACAAAAGTATGTGTCTTTATTTGTATTGGAAAATACTGTCTTTAAATTGTTTCTTGTTGACACTCCCCACAATGGAAAAATTACCGAATTAAACCTGTTTTATGGATGGCAGCTTGGAGCATAGCAAGAAGTTGGAGGATTTGAATTCCATTCCCAGTTCTCATTGTGTTTTGTTTCTTAAAACTATAATAATCGGTTACTGTTATAAAGTTTAAAAGGTGGTTTTAATGTGAATAGCAAATTCTGGTATATCGTGACTAACGCTTAAGAATGCCTGTCTTTGAGAGGAAGGTGTTATAATATTAATGAACAGTGCCAAATACACTGTGCATATCTGCAATTTAATCTTTGAATGTATGTTACTGGATTAGCTCCCTCCTCCTGTGTGATGGTACCATGCATAGAGTCAATCAAATCCTTGTGATGTTTTGTATGGACTTTGACAACATGTAAATAATGTGTAAAGCCAGTTTTTATGATTAAGGAATCAAATTTATTGAATTTTATTATTGAAAGTTGAAACTTAACATGTATGAACAAAAACCAATAAAAGAATATACTCTTTTCATTGAAAAAAAAAAAAAATAGAAGGCATGGCCAGGCGCGGTGGCTCATGCCTGTAATCCCAGCACTTTAGGAGGCTGAGGCAGGTGGATCGCTTCAGCCCAGTCCAGCCTGGGCAACATAGTGAGACCCCGCCCCGAACCAAATTTTTTTTAATAAAAAGAAAAGAAAAAACATAAGGCAGATTGTGCTCCTGGCATGAGGGAGTAAGGAGGTTGGCAAGTCCTCTCCCTGGAAAGCAACTCTAAAAGCTGGGGAAAAGTGTCAAAAGCAACCCTTTCAGTATTCTGGAATTCAGCTGAACACATAAGTACAAGCTGAGAGGTGTTTTATTCATCGAAACGACTCAACTTTGGCTCAGAACAGTGAGTCTATGGTGGGCTTTTTCCCAGTGTGGCTCCTATCCTTCCTCCAGCTTTGTCAGTGCCATGGTTCAACCAGGACAAGGGAGGCCATGAAAACAACAGGCTTCACTGCCGCTGCTGGAGATGGCTAACCGCATTTGGAGCATGGTCATTTTAAGTAACTGTCTCCACAGCAAGCAAATGGAGAGGGCCAGCAGCACCCTTAGATTCACCTTACAGCCTTTTTGGGGCAAGCAATGGACTGATCTGCTGGGAATTGAACATGGAGATCTGGAATGTAAGCAATCCATGGAGGACTTGACAAAGTCTCCCTCTATCTTGGGCAGACTGGAGACCATGCACATGGGTAGCAGGGATCACAGCAGACCCAAACCACCCCCATATCCGTGACCTTCTGAGCCTGTGGATGCACAGAGGAGACATGAGCAAGCCTGTCAGAAAGTAAAAGCCAGGTCTGGCTTGTAAAAGGCCTGAGGTTTGAATGTGCTCCCCGGGGCAAAGCAAGTCAAAGATGGCTTGACATGATTGAACACAACCTCTGATCAACCTTCGGTTGAACACCAAGCTGTACAGACAGGGGATGACCCCTAGAAAGCCAGCCTTAAGGATACAAAACAAGAAAAAATCACTGAGCAGAGACATCAGCAGCTGTACCTTGCAGGGGAGACAGACTTCACAGATTTCATTCAGCTGTAGAATCTGGACAAAATACCAGAACCAGCTATTTCAGGGCTCAGAAAAGTAAATAGCAGGAGGACTGAGGAAGAAGATCAACATTTGCAGTAGCACTAAAATGTAGTATTCATCCTTTTTTCCCCCTCCAGTATTCTCCAGCCTGAACTTAAGGCAGATTGAAGCCCAGAAGTGAGCACTATGGTGCAGACAGAGATCTAGGGAAGCCCTCTAGCTCTGGCTTGAGAAATAGGAAAGAGAACTCCTAGAGCTCAGAGACAGTATGAAAATCCTCCACTATTTTATTTTCTCTTGTCTCCTGTGTCCAGGCCCCTAAGCAATCTCATGGTAGCCTTGGCAGTGGCCAAATGGCACCTCATAGGAGCCACAACTCTGAGGGAGGGGAACCCTCCTCTGCCATCTGTGGAGCTGTGGTTCCAGGAAGGTGGGGCCTCTTTCCCTCCCAGAAGGGAAGAACTTGGTAAAGTGGCCCCATAAAATTGTTTGTGGCCAGGCATGGTGGCTCATGCCTGTAATTCCAATGACTTGAGAGACTGAGGCAGGAGGATCACTTGAGGCCAGGAGTTGGAGACTAGCCTGGGAAACATAGTGAGACTATCTCTAAAAAAAAGAAAATTGTGGCCAGGCGAGGTGGCTCACGCCTGTAATCCCAGCACTTTGGGAGGCCAAGGCGGGCGGATCACTTGAGGTCAAGAGTTCGAGACTAGCCTGGCCAACATGGTGAAACCCCATCTCTACTAAAAATACAAAAATTAGCCGGGTGTGGTGGCGGATGCCTGTGATCCTAACTACTTGGGAGGCTGAGGCAGAATGGCTTGAACTGGGGAGGCAGAGGTTTCAGTGAGCCAAGATCCTGCCATTGCACTCCAGCCTGGGTGACAGAGTGAGACTGCATCTCAAAAAAATAAAATAAATAAATAAATAAAATAAAAGTTGTACTGGGATGAACCTTTAGGACATTATGCTAAAAGAAATAAGCCAGTCACAGAAAGACAACTACTGTATGATTCTGCTTATACGAAGTACCTAAAGTAGTCAAATTTATGGAGACAGAAAGTAGAATGGTGGTTACCAGGGGCTGGGGAGGGGAAATGAATAGTTGTTGTTTAAGGGGTACAGAGTTTCAGTTTTGCAAGATGAAAAAGTTCTGGAGATTGGTTGCACAACAATGTGAACATACTTCATACTACTTAACTGTATACTTAAAAATGGTTAAGATGGTAAATTTAATGTTGTGTATATTTTACCACAATTAAAATGTTTAAAAGATATATTTGCCTGGTAAATTTGATATAGGCCACTATGCTACATACAATACAGTATACAAAGTTCAGTGAGAATTAACTCTAGATTTTAGTCATGATGGAATACTGGAAATACCAATGACAATCTGGGTAGAATTAATGACAGTTTCAATTCCAGCTCTTCCTCTTTTTAGGCATGAGAATATTAAAAAGTTGCTTCATTTTCACTTCATCTTAAAAATAAGTATGAAAATTCTTATCAGTCAATGCAAAGATATTTTTCGACAAAGAATACTGTATAGAGAAGTTACCAGTAATGTTCTAGACTTAAGGCAAATAATCAACAAAGTTCTCTCACTTTAGAAGAGAAATCTCAAACGAGTAATAAAATAATATCAAGCAGTGACTCCTGCAACATATGCATAAAATTGAATCTAAATGGATGATGACTGGGCATTTGGGTTTGTTGTTGTTGTTTTTGGAGACGGAGTCTTGCTTTGTTGCCCAGGCTGGAGCACAATGGTGCGATCTCTGCTCACTGCAACCTCTGCCTCCTGGGCTCAAGCAATTCTCCTGCCTCAGTCTCCTGAGTAGCTGGGATTACAGGCACCCACCACCACACCCAGCTAATTTTTGTATTTTTAGTAGAGACAGGGTTTCACCATGTTGGCCAGGCTGGTCTCAGACTCCTGACCTCAAATGATCCTCCCGCCTCGGCCTCCCAAAGTGCTGGGATTACAGGCGTGAGCCACTGCGCCTAGCCATGACTGGGCATTTGAAATAAATATTTTCTACCATAAGGAAAAAAACAGTAATAGCTCAGGACTTTATTTTTATTAAAGTAAAATAAAATATAGCTACATAAAGCCGTGTAACACCAAAGTGTAGCTTAACTGGTTCTTACAAGGCAAACACCTTAGTAACAACCACCAAATTCAAGAAAGAACTCTGCCAGCCAACCCAGAAGCCCCATCCAATTTCAACTCACCAACCTTGACCTTGACTTTATAGTAATTACTTCCTTGCATTTCTTTATATCACCCAAGTGTACATCCTCAAACATTACATGTTAGTCTTGCTCATGAAAAAAAAATGATTTGTTTTTTAAGTCTCTTTTACTTTCAAGGTCCTCACTCAAATCTGGATTTTTCACAGCCTGGATTTGGGTGATTGCATGTGCATGGCAATATATTTCTCTGTACTCCATGTTTCCTGCAAATTGGCAGGTCAATGCAGGGGCCAGATCTGGTTCAAGCTTAATTCCTTTAGCAAGACTACATGTGCTCTCATCAGGGGGCACAGAATGTCTGGTTGTCACTCTTGTGATGTTAGCAGCTGAGATGCTTCAATGCCTAGAAGATCCATGAAATTGATTGGTGGTTGCAAAATGGTGATATACAAATTCCAACCAACAATTCTTTTTCATTTATTAATTGCAACACTTTTATAGAGATGCTTTTGTTCATTTATCATTTGGTTACTGATACTACAGTTTATTTAGGAAAGGCAACATAAATGCTTTATTCTTTGTCCCTTTATCAGTTTTCAAGAAAATGATTTGGTTCCCTATCATTCCCCAAAGGTAACTATTTTTAAAAAGATCATTGTGAACTCATGAATTTAAGCATATTAGGCAGGTTTCAGTCAAATTGCATTTATTAACTTCTTGAAGCTCAAATTATCTCATCTGCGGCCCGTGAGAGACTCCTGGAGTTGGCTCCCACACCCTTTTGACTTGACCCTAATAGATATTAACAGCTTTCTCACTATCGGCTCTTATGACAAGATTCCAGGATTATCTTGTACATTTCCAGTACCAGATCTGGTACTGATTCCTTTTCATGGGAAATGGAATGTCAAGGCCACAATTTGGGTGCCAGGGTTGCTCATTACTGCTGTGTTGGTCGTTGTTTGTAGGCCTCTTCAGCAGACAGAGCTATGAAGTGTGTGTGTGTGTGTGTGTGTGTGTGTGTGTGTGCACATTCTTTTTAAAAATAAACTGTTGTGAGATCATATTGATATGTCCAACTCAAATTCAGGAATATAGGTTTTTTTTTTCCTTAAGCTCTCTTTTATATTGTATCTGTATTCCATTTCTTTTTTTTTTTTTTTTTTTTTTTGAGACGGAGTCTCGCTCTGTCACTCAGGCTGGAGTGCAGTGGCGTGATCTCAGCTAACTGTAACCTCCGCCTCCCGGGCTCAAGCGATTCTCCTGCCTCAGCCTCCCGAGTAGCTGGGATTACAGGCAGCCGCCACCATGCCTGACTAATTTTTTGTATTTTTAGTTGAGACGGGGTTTCATCATGTTGGCCAGGCTGGTCTCAAACTCCTGACCTCAGGTGATCCACCCGCCTCAGCCTCCCAAAGTACAGGGATTATAGGCATGAGCCACCACACCCGGCCTGCATTCCATTTCTCTCACAACAAAATTACAGGTTCTCATAGACGCAGGGATGATAGAATTGGAATATCTCATAATTATTAATTTATCCCATTCTGTTGGGGGGTCCCAGGGCCACCCCCCATGTTCAGTGACTTGCTGGAAGAACTCATAGCACTGAGCATAGCATATAATTGTCCTCACAGCTAAGGTTTATGACAGCAAAAGGATATGTGACAGAATCGTCAAGGTAAAAAGACACAGGCAGAATGTGAAGGATGCTGTACACAGGCCTCCTCATGCTGTCTCCCCCTCGCAGGAGGCTTGCACAGAGCTGTCCTTCTAGCAACAAAAATCCAGGAACACATGTATAATGCTTCTCCCCAGGGAAGCCCATTAGAGGTTTGGTGCCCAAAGGTTTCACTGGGGGCTGGTCACTAGGCACCCTCTACCTAGTGCTTACCAAAATTCCAGGCTCCCAGAATGAAAGCCGGTGATCAGCAGAAACCACTGTTTGCACAAACAGGTTGGGAAGAGTAAGCCATCCTTATCAGTTAAGGAATTCTGGGAATACTCCCGAAATCCAAGTTCCTAATTGCCAGCCAAGGGCCAAGCTTGTAAGCAGGACTTTCAAAGGACAATAGTTACAGGACTGCTATGTTAACCCCCTTCTGCTTAGTCCACCCCTTGGTCCTGGCATCTTCACAGCAAAATTATCAGTAGGACCCCATGCAGCCAGGTGAGACCACCCTGCAGATTTAACCTCACTTATACCCTCCAGGGGTCCTGGATTTAGCCAGTTAAAACAAATTCCAGGTGGGGCACAGTGGCTCACACCTGTAATCCCAGCACTCTGGGAGGCCAAGGCAGCAGGATTGCTTGAACCCAGGGGTTGGAGGGCAGCCTGGCCAACATAGTGAGACCCCCTGTGATGGTTAATACTGAGTTGTCAACTTGATTGGATTGAGGGATACAAAATATTAATCCTGGGTGTGTCTGTGTGGGTGTTGCCCAAAACAGATTAACATTTGAGTCAGTGGGCTGGAAAAGGCAGATCCACCCTTAATCTGGTGGGCACAATCTAATCAGCTTCCATCGAATATGAAGCGGGCAGAAAAATGAGAAAAGAACAACATGGGCCTAGCCTCCTAGCCTCCATCTTTCTCCTGTGCTGGATGCTTCCTTCCCTTGAACATCGGACTCTAAGTTCTTCAGTTTTGGGATTGAGACTGGCTTTCCTTGTTCCTCAGCTTGCAGACAGCCTATATATATACACATATATCCTATTAGTTATGTCCCTCTAAGGGAACCCTAATACACCCCCCATCTCTACAAAAAAAAATTTTTTTTTAATTCAGCTGGGCATGGTGGCATGCGCCTGTAGTCCCAGCTACTTGGGAGGCTGAGGTGGGAGGATCACTTGAGCCCAGGAGTTTGAGGCTGCAGTGAGCTGATCACACCACTACACTAAAGCCTGGGCAACAGAGTGAGACACTGTCTCAAAATACACACACACACACACACACACACACACACACACACACACAAAGAAAAAAAAATCCATTAACCAGAAAAGTTCATCTTTGAAAGTCAGGGGGCTTCTTCCTTAAATTTCTGTATTATCCCCTTTTTGCCCAGCCTGCCACATCAATTCAGGCTCAGCACCACTCTGGCCAGTAAACTGAAGCTGATGTCAATGTCTTCCAGGCTGAGGCAGTGTCAGGACAGTTAGGGTGCACATGCAAGTACAATCCCAGAGGGAACACGTGATAGCCCTGGAAACCAAGAGTTTACAATTGTTCAGGTACCCCGAGCAGGGCATACATTAGTCAGACAGGGCAGGTTAACAGGGTTCCCAGTGTGGCCTCCCACGGGGAAAACTCCCACCGAGTCTAATCCAAATAATTCAGTTTGGTCCTTGGTTTCAGCGGGACTGCCCAGAGGTAGTCAGGTTCCCTCAGTTTTGCTTATCCGTGACATCAGTTCATCCCTCTCATGTGTGTGGATGGCATCTGCAGGTGTTCTGCCGGCAAATCACAGGAGCAGGTGCCACCCCTGCTGTGTCATAGTCAGTGCTGTCAGGGGTGATCAGAGGCTCAGCAGCCAATTTACATTCAAAGCACTCACAGCAGCTTGGAAATGAAACATGGGGCATTCTTCTACAGAAAGAGGGGAAAGCTGCCAGGAGCAGTTCTGAAAAAACAAAGATCATTAATACACTCTCTACACCCCGGCACCTCCATAGGCTTTTCTTTTTTCTCCATTGTTACAAAATCAGTGAGTCTCATTCAGTAAGACTTCATGACTTACTGAAGAAATATGACTTCATATTTCCCAATCATTTTACTCTCATCCAGACCATTTGTCTGGAAGGGTTATATGCTAGAAGGAAAGAAACATTTTTCCAGGAAAATATTTTTATGCAATTTAACCAGAAAGACATATCATGTCCAGAAATAGGTCAGGAAGAATCCGGAACTTTCCAATTTTTTCAAAATGGGTTTCCATTAACTTCCCATTCCTTTCCTCCTCATCATTTACCCAGTGAGCAGCCTAGGGAAAAAAAAATCAATCTCTTGCTGGGGACAGCTGCACTGAATAATCAAACTGTTTCACTAAGATGTGTGCACTAGGAGAAAGGTGAGGGTAGTAGGCTGGGCTCAGTGGCTCACGCCTGTAATTCCAGCACTTTGGGAGGCCAAGGTGGGCGGACTGCTTGAGCTCAGGAGTTCGAGACCAGCCTGGGAAACATGGCGAAACCCCATCTCTTAAAAAAAAAATTATCTGGGTGGCAGGAGCCTGTAGTCCCAGCTACTTGGGAGGCTGAGGTAGGAGGATCACCTGAGCCCGGGAGATCAAGGCTGCAGTGAGCCATGATCGTGCCACTGCACTCCATCCTGGGTGACAGAGTGAGACCCTGTCTAAAAAAAAAAAAAAAAAAGAAAAAAAGAAAGAAAGAAAGAAAGAAAGAAAGAAAGAAAGAAAGAAAGAAAGAAAAGAAAGGTGAGGGAAATAGAGTCAGGCTATCAGTCCATTGGCACAAACTGCATCTAATCCTGAAAGCTGAATGATGCAACAAGTCAACAGCAATGAGACATCTCAAAGAGGGGCACCAGTCCAATCTGTGTGAAGTAGGTGAAGGGGTCACATTCTCTGTTATGTGTCCGTCCCCAACCTGAAGCTTTCAAGAGAAATCACAAGTTAAGAATGCAATTAGTCTCTGTATCAGAAATCTAGAGCCATTCAGCCACCCAATTTTAGATGGTTTCATGAGACCACACCCTTTCCTGTTGGCATTTTTATGTGACCCAGACAATCCGGTCAGCATCTGTATTTTCGTCATTTATAGCCCCACAGAGGCTGTCTTAAATGGGCAACAATTCAGAATCTGAGTCCTGTTCTTTGAGATGAGCCTTCAGTTCCGCACAGCTCACCGCAAGGCCGAAACAGCTGCAGAAGACAGCATCAAGTTTCAGCTCAGAGGCAGGCACAGGCAATTAGGATCTGTGAATCTGGGATTTTTAAAAAGCCCCTGGCTTTCCTTCAGTAGCAGCAAAGCTGATACAAGGAAGAGCCAGACAGCTGTATACCAAGCCCAAGTGACAAACAAGACTTTTCTAAAAGTCCTTTTTATCTTGTTCATTTTAGAGGCCAAATAGACCTACTCAAACATATGCACAGCAGGCTGAAAACCATTAGCCTCTATGGGTCAGGCAGTTCATGGCAGCAAGAGCACATTAGCAAACTAAAAGCTGTTTTTGAAAACTCCCAAAGCATGTTTCTACCCGGAGATTGCCTCTCTTTTTATGTTCTCTCCCTTTTTCCAGAGGCTCCAATGGGCAAAAATCAGTGGTTATGGAGACTTGTTCTGTTTCCAATCCTCAAAGAGTTTAAATTGCAATCCACCCACAGGCAGCAAAAAGCAAGGGAGCTCTGATTCCACAAACACTGTTTTTTTTTCTTTGCAGCTTTCCCTATTAGGATGATTTGTCTAATGTTGATGAAATAAAGCAGATAACATTTTACATTAAATTTTATCATACACCCAGATGCGACAGCCACAAAATACAAAGCCTTTGAATAAACATTCCCCTCTGTTTTCCCCAAACCCCTAGCTGTAAAATCAGCATGTTCCACAGTGAGCAGGTCTATACAAAACTACCCCCAAAGTCCCAGGAAGCTGAGAGGCCAAAGAAAGAGGCTGACATATCCAATTTCTTAGAAGGAAACATTTAATAGGGACTTGCAAACAGAAGCCATGTCTGCGTCTCAGGTAGCGGTAAGAGGAGAAAGTGGATCCCTGTGCCATCAACCCCAGACTCAGGGCTTATATACCATAGGGAAGGGGTGATTCAGAAGTGATGTGTAGAATTGAAGAACGATCACATTGAGGTTATTTAGACCTAAGGGCAGGATTTGTGGTAAGTATGTGCTCTTACACAAGGAAAGATAGCTAGACTGGAAATCTGAGAGGCCTTCCTGGCACTGGAGTTAATCTGAAGTCAACATCGTGGATTAGCATCCAAGATGGAGTTGCTTTAGTTTCCACACCGCATTTACAAGGTTAACATTACAGCTGCTGGAGATGAAGGTTGCAGTGTAAGGAGGGCTTTGAGTTGCAGAGGCAGCTACTAAGCTGTAGAAAAGGCTAGAGTGGTTTTCTTGTTTGGGGGGAATGTTTTTTACTCTTTCTCCACCTCTGGTTTATCTAAAGCCTTGCTCCAGCCCTGGGAACTGATTTAACTATTTTTCTTCCACTTGGAGGAGCGAGCAATGCAAACTTTGAACGTTCTTGATTCACCCAAAACCTGCCTTCAGAAATTTTCTGACCCTTCCCCCTCCCACCTAGGAGAGAGAGCAACTCCAATTAACTGTTATTGTCTTTTCGTTGGTTTTGTTTTGTTTTGTTTTGTTTTGTTTTGTTTTGTTTTGTTGAGACAGAATCTCGCTCTGTCGCCCAGGCTGGAGTGCAGTGGCATGATCTCAGCTCACTGCAACCTCCACCTCCTCGGTTCAAGCCATTATCCTGCCTCAGCCTCCTGAGTAGCTGAGACTGCAGGTGCATGCCACCACACCCGGCTAATTTTTGTATTTTTAGTAGAGACAGGATTTCACCATGGTGGCCAGGCTGTTCTCAAACTTGTGACCTCAAGCAATCTGCCCACCTTGGCCTCCCAAAGTGCTGGGATTACAGGCGTGAGCCACTGCACCTGGCCTGTCTTTAGTGCATAGGAAGCTCACTGGGGGGAATGTCTGGGCCCTTTTTCCTCCCAATTGGAGGAGAGAACAAAAACCAAAGTCATCCTTTGAGCTGCACTTCTTCCTATCTTTAGCCAGCATGGCCAAAAGCAGCCAGGAGATCCAGCAAGCCAACTGTCTATGACTGGATTTATCATTTTCAAATGCCACGGGTAACTTCTACCTCTCATAAGAGATAGCAAGCAGGTCAGCTGCTGTTTTACACCATAGGTAACTCCATAGTGACCCAGGCATGATTTACTCATCCATCTTCCCTCTTCTTCCCTCCCAGGAAGGCTCCCACATAGTGCACCCTCCCCCAGCATCAAAAATGCAGCAACAAGCGTGTCATGTTTCTGCCCAGAAAAGCCCATTAGAGACTCAGTGTCAAAGGTTTTTATTGGGAGTTAGGCACTAGGTGCCCTCTGCCTAGCACGCACTAATATTCCAGACTCCTAGAAGAGAGGCAGATGGCCAGCATAAACCAGATTGTCAGCACAACGTAGACACAGTGAGACACCCTTATCAGTTAGGGAAAAGTGGGAACCCTCCAGAAATCCAAGTTCCCAGACACCAGCCAAGGGCAAACCTTGAGAACAAGCTTTTCTCAGCATAACAGTCTCAGGCCTGCTCTGTTAATCCCTTTCTAGGCACCCACGTTAACCAGTCTCTGAATAACAATACTGAAATGCCCTTGCAAAAATTATAACTGAAAAAAATATGACAGTGAAAGAGATCTGAGCTAACCGACCCCATCTTGCCCTTAACCTCCAAACTGCCCTTGTTCATTCCCGGGCATAGGCCAAGCTAACTATAGGAAAAATTTAGTGTATATATATATTAATTTTTTTTTTTTTTTGAGACAGGGTCTCACTCTGTCACCCAGGCTGGAGTGCAATGGTACAATCTTGGCTCACTGCAACCTCTGCCTCCCGGGTTCAAGCAATTCTCCTGCCTCAGCTTCCTGAGTGGTTGGGATTACAGGCGTGTGCCAACATGCCTGTCTAATTTTTTAATTTTTTGGTAGAGACGGGGTTTCATCATGTTGGCCAGGCTGGTCTCAAACCCCTGACCTCAAGTGATCCACCCACCTCGACCCCTAAAGTGCTGGGATTACAGACATGAGCCACTGTGCCCAGCCTTAGTTTATAGTTCAACTTTGAAACAAAGATGGTAACAGCCCTTTCCCAAAACAAACCCCCTTTTTGCCTGGGGACCAAACAGCCTTTGTAAAACCAACAAATTAGCCACAAGAGTAGAAATTCTGGTTTAGAAGTCATGTGGCCGGAGGTCACAAAATTCCTAACCTCCACAATTGCTCCTTTTGATAACATCACTATTGTAAAACCTAAGATTGGTGCTTGAGATATTTTTCAGACCTGCATTCTTTTCTTTTTTTTTTTTTAATTCCTTTTTTCGAGACAGGCTCTCACTCTGTCACCCAGGCTGGAATGCAGTGGTGCAATCTCGGCTCACTGCAACCTCGGCTCACTGCAACCTCCGCTTCCTGGGTTCAAGGAGTTCTTATGCCTCAGCCTCCCGAGTAGCTGGGACTACAGGTGTGTACCACCTTGCCCGGCTATTTTTTGTATTTTTAGCAGAGATGGTGTTTTGCTATGTGCCAGGATGGTCTCAAACTTTTGGCCTCAAGTGATCTGCCCGCCTTGGCCTCCCGAAGTGCTGGGATTACAGGCATGCGCCACCACGGCCGGCCCCATTGTTTCATATATTTTATCATTTTTGTAGTTGTTTCAAGTGGAAGAGTAAATCTGGTTCCTGTAACTCTATCTTGGCCAGAAGGAAAAGGAAGTCTGATGTGCTCTTTCAATATGTAGTTTCAATTCTTTTTTAATTCCAGGAAGTTTTCTTGAATTATAGTTTTTAGTATTTGTTTTCATCCTTTTGCCCTTGTTTTCTTCAAGGACTCCTAGGGTATATGAATTGGATCTTCTTTTTATAACTTTGATATTTGCCATTTGTCCTCAAATACTATTCTTTTGCTTTTTAAAAAATATGTTCATCCTTTCCACCTTCTATTTCTTTTAAGCCATCATGTGTTATGTTTATTTGCTCTGTGTTCCTTGCAGTTTAATTTTCTATTCTGAAAGATTTTTTCTTTTATTTCCAAATATTTTCTGAGATCTATCATAAATTGAGTTTTTCTAGTTCTTATTTATGTTATTCTTTCATTGTCTTGCATCATTTTCTTAATGTTGTTTAGCTTGTTCAAAATAGTTGGCTATAATTTTGATCCATTCTGTGAGCATGTGTTTTCGGCATTCTTTCATTGTGTCCAAGAATGGTATTCTACCCCTTATTTTTTTATTCTTACAGCAATATTGTATGGGATTTGTCCTCTGTATATTCTTCTTTATATCAAATTAGTTTTCCTGAACTTTCAGAAGGAGGTGGGGGTTCAGGGTAGCTTTTCAAATGTCAGAGCTCCCTCTTCTGTTGTTTTTGCATAGTGCTAAAAATTATGGAAGCTTGTTTCTGAGATTCTTGGCTCTGTTTCCCCACTTTTATTTAGACAGTCTCTTCCCTTATTGAGGTAGGCCGAATAATGACTCCCCAAGAGAAATCTCTGGAACCTGTGTATGTTACCATATGATAAAAGGACTTTTGGGGTGTGATTAAGTTGAAGATTTTGAGATGGAGAGATTATTCTAGATTATTAACATAGGCCCTAAATGCAATCACAGGTGTCGTTATAAGAGGGAGGCAGAGGAAGATGACACAAATAGGAGAAGAAAATATGAATACAGAGGCATAGATTCGAGTGCTGTGGTCACAAGCCAAGGAATGCCAGCGGCCACCAGCAGCTGGAAGAGCCAAGGAATGAAGAGAGTACGGCCTTGCCAACACCTTGATCTTGGCCCAGCCATACTGATTTTAGATTTCTGGCCTCTAGAATTGTGAACAAATAAATTTCTGTTGTTTTAAGTCACCAAGTTTGTGGTAATTTGTTACACTAGCAATAGGAAACGTTTGGTAGCGAAAGTGGGGTGTTGCTGTAAAAAATACCCAAAAATGTGGAAGTGGCTTTGGAATAGAGTAATTAGATAATAGGTAGAGGCTGGAAGAATGTTGAGAAACATTATAGAAAACTCCTAGATTACCCAAAACACCCTGTTGGTAGAAATATGGATGTTGAAAGCACTGCTGGTGAGGACTCAGAAGAAGTAAAGAAGATGGTAGAGAAAGTCTATATCATCTTAGAGAAGACATGTATCATCATAAGCATGTTAGTATAAATATGACCATTAAAAGTGCTGCTGGTGAGGGCTAAGAAGGAAAATCTTATTGGAAACTATAGGAAAGGTGATCTTCATTATAAAGTGACAGAAAACTTAGCAATTAAGTTAATTGTGTCCTACAGTTATGCTGAAAGCAGACTTATAAGCAGTGAACTTGCTTATTTAGCTAAGGGGATTTCCAAGCAAAGTGTTGAAGTGCAGCCTGGTTTTTTCTTGCTGCTTATGGTAAAATGTGATGAGAGGAAAGTGATAAACTGAGAGAAGAACTGCTAAGCAAAAATGAATCAGGGCCAGGCGCGGTGGCTCCCGCCTGTAATCCTGACACTTTGGGTGGCCAAGGAAGGAGAATCACTTGAGGTCAGGAGTTCAAGACCAGCCTGGCCATCATGGCAAAACCCCATCTCTAATAAAGATATAAAAATCAGCCGGGTGTGGTGGCACGCACCTGTAATTCCAGTTGCTCTGGAGGCTGAGAATTGCGTGAACCCCGGAGGCAGAGATTGCAGTGAGCCAAGATTGCACCACTGCACTCCAGCCTGGGTGACAGAGTGAGACTCCGTCTCAAAAAAAAAAAAAAAAAAAAAAAAAAAAAAGGAAAACAAAAGAAGAAAGAAAAAGAAAGAATCAGGAGTTGATAATATGGGAAATTCTTAGCCTATCCAGGTTGCCAAAGCTACTAAAATTAGGACATTTGCTTTTAGGAAAGCATGCTCTGGAGAGAACAAAGGTATGGCTGGGTAACTTTTTGCTACTACCGAAGAGATTAGGCATGTAATTCATGGATCCTCTCAATCTTCACAGCAGAAGCCAGGAGTAGAGATGAGATTAACGAGGAAAAGCCTGTGGCCCTCCTGCCTGATAGTGTGAATCCCTGTGACATATACAGGAGATCCACAAGGTTTTCAAAGAATGTTATGCCAGCAGAAACATTGCCAGCTTATACTGAGAGACAGAGATGGAATGAAATGAAGGAAGGCTTCCAGATTCCAAAAATTCTGCAGGCAATAAAACTACTAAGCTTCAAACCTGAGCTACCCTTCAATAAAAGGGATGGAGTTTTGGGCCCATAGTGTCAATTCATGAACTACTGAGGATTATTTCAAGGCCTTGAACCCTAATGGAATCTCCCCTGCTGGGTTTCAAAGTGGCTTGGTAACTATGACTTCTTAATTCCTTCAATTTTTCTCCCTTTTAGAATGAGAATGTCTATAACTGTTATCTGATGCCTGTCCCATGCTTACATTTTGGGAATAGATAACTCATTTTCTTGTTTCACAAGGTCCACAAATGAAGGGGAATTGTCCCCTGGGTTGCCATAGAGTCTCACTGAAACCTGATTTACATGATAAGATTTGAGACTTCTGAGCTGATGATATTTAGCTAAGATTTTGAACTTGAGTCGATGCTGTAATGAGTTGACACTTTTGAGGGTGCTGGGATAGGGTGAATGTACTTTGTAGGTGGGATGAACATCAATGTTTGGGAACCACAGAGTGGATTGTGTAGGTTGAATAATGACTCCCTAAAAGATATAGTATTTGGCCATAATTTGGCATATTTGGCTATATTATTTGGCCAAAAAAAGGACTTTGCAGATGTGATTAAGTTAAGGAACTTGCCATGAGGAGATCACCTGAATTATCTAGATGAGCCCTAAATGCCATCATAAATGTTCCTATTAGAGAGAGGTAGAAGGAGATGGCACAAAAGAGAAGACAATGTGACTACAGAAGCGGAGGCTGGAGTGATGTGGCCATAAGCCAAGGAATCCTGGCAGCCTCTGGTGGGAGCAGAGCCCTGCTGATACTTGATTTTGGCCCAGTGATATTGATTTCAGACTTCTGGCCTTTATAACCATGAGAAAATAAACTTCTGTTGTTTCAAGCCACCAAGTTTAAGGTATTTTGTTACAGTAGCCAAAGGAAATGTATATGCAAGTTCAAGAGATCTATTGTACAACATGGTGACTATAGTTAATAACAATTGATATGGTTAAGCTTTGTGCCCCCACCTAAATCTCATCTTGAATTGTAATTCCCATAATCCCTATGTGTCAAGGGAGACACCAAGTGGAAGTAATTGAATCATGGGGGCAGTTTCCTCCATGCTGTTCTCATGATAGTGAGTGAGTTCTCACAAGAGCTGATGGTTTTATTATGGGTTCTTCCCCCTTCGCTCAGCACTTCTCCCTACCGCCTTGTGAGGAAGGTGCCTTGCTTCCCCTTCACCTTCTGCCATGATTGTAAGTTTCCTGAGGCCTCCCCAGCCATGCGGAACTGTGAGTCAATTAAACCTCTTTCCTTTATAAATTACCCAGTCTCAGGCAGTTCTTTATAGCAGTATGAAAACAGGCTAATATACAATGTATTGTATACATGAAAACTGCTGAAAATAGATTTTAAGGGCTCTCACCACAGATAAATATTTGAGGTTATGTATATGTTAATCAGCTTGATTTGGCCATTCTACAATGTATACATATTTCATAACATCATGTTGTGCTCCTGTGATATTATGATTTATAATAAGATATATATATATTTGGTCTTCATCACCTGATATGGTTTGGATCTGTGTCCCTGCCCAAATATCATGTTGAATTGTAATCCTCAGTATTGGAAGAGGGCCCTGGTGGAAGGTGACTGGATCATGGAGACAGTTTCTTATGAATGGCTTAGCACCATCCCCTTGGTGCTAAGTTCTCAAAAGATCTGGTTGTTTAAAAGTGTATGGAACCTCCACCCTCTCTCCCTCATGCGCTGGCCATGTAAGACATGCCTGCTTCCCCTTTGACTTCTGCCGTGGTTGTAAGTTTCCTGAGGCCTCCCCAGAAGCAGAAGCCGCTATGCTTCCTGTACAGCCTGTGGAACTGTGAGCCAATTAAACCTCTTTTCTTTATAAATCACCCAGTCTCAGGTATTTCTTTATAGCAGTACAAGAACAGTCTAATACATTCCCCATTTCCTGGCACAGAGTTCCTAAAAGCCTTGGAATCTCCAGAGTGATGAGTGACTTTTTACACTAATGAGATGATGATGACTGGTGGCCCCCAGATAGCCTCAGGATGGTGGATGGTCACCAGAAAGACCAAGACATGATTACAGGATTGAGACTTGCAGACTCACCATAAACTCTGGGGAGGGGAGAAGGGCAAAATGTTGAATTGATCACCAATGGCCAATTACATAACCAATCATGCCTACATAATGAAGTTTCCATAAAAGCCCAAAAGAACTGGCTTTGGATGAGCTTCCAGATAGTTGAACACAGTGAGATTCCTAGAGGGTGGCATGACTAGAGAGGGCATGGAAGCTCTGCACCCCTTCCCCCATTCCTCACTCTATGCATCTCTTCCATCTGCTATTCATCTGCATCCTTTGTAATACCCTTGATAATAAATAGGTAAATGTAAGTAATGTTTCCCTAAATTCTAGGAGCTGCTCTAGCAAATTAATTGAACCCAAAGAGGGGGTCATTGATTTATAGCTGGTTGGTCAGACGTGTAGGTCACAACCTGGGACTTACAATTGGCATCTGAAGTGGGGGCAGTCTTGTGGTATTGAGCCCTCTAATGGCAGTATTTTCAGGTAGCGTCAGAATTGAATTGGAGGACACCCAGGTGGTATCCACTGGAGAATCTAATGTCAGAAGTGTTATGTTGGCTGTGTTAGGGTAAGAGAAACACTGTTTCGGCCAGGCGTGGTGGCTCATGCCTGTAATCCCAGCACTTTGGGAGGCCGAGGTGGGCAGATCACCCGAGGTCAAGAGTTCAAGACTAGCCTGGCCAACATGGTAAAACCCCGTCTCTACAAAAATACAAAAATTAGCCGGGCATGATGGCGGGTGCCTGTAATCCCAGCTACTCAGGAGGCTGAGGCAGGAGAATCGCTTGAACCCGGGAGGTGGAGGTTGTAGTGAGCCAAGATCACGCCACTGCACTCCAGCCTGGGAGACAGAGCAAGACCCCATCTCAAAAAACAAAAAAAAAAAGAAAAGAAAGAAAGACTGTTTTTTCCCTCTACCTCTATTAATACCATAAATATATACAATTTTTCTTTGTCAATTAAATAATAATAAAAACAAAACAAAACAAACATGAGAGGCTGGGTGCAGTGGCGAATGCCTATAATCCCAGCAATTTCAAAGGCCGAGGTGGGTGGACTGCTTGAGCCCAGGAGTTTGAGACCAGCCTGGGCAACACAGTGAAACCCCATCTCTACAAAAAAAATACAAAAAATTAGCCAGCTGTGATGGCATGCACCCGTTGTCTCAGCTACTCAGGAAGCTGAGGTGGGAGTATCACTTGAGCCTGGGGAGGATGAGGCTGCAGTGAGCTATGATCGCACCACTGCACTCCAGCCTGGGCAACAGAGCAAGACCATCTCAGAAAAAAAACAAAACAAAAAAAATTACATTTACTATTGCCCTATCTTGCTTAATTTTTGTTTCACTCCCAGTAGTTTCTTAGTGTGGTCTGCTGTCCTAGAAGACAGCCCTGGTATGTCATCATACAGTAAAGAATTAACTTAGGAGGTCTGGGTTGTTTAAACCTTGTGCATTCCAAGGAAAGGTTTGGCCCTTGCCCCAGCTCCTGGGATATAACCTGTAAGTCAGGGGTCCCCAACTGCCAGTCCACAGACCAGTATGAGTCCAAGGCCTGTTAGGAACTGGGCCGCACAGCAGGAGGTGAGAAGCAGGCAAGGGAGCGATACTGCTTGAGCTCCACCTCCTGTCAGATCAGTGGCAGCATTAGATTCTCATAGGAGCACAAACTCTATTGTGAACTGCGCATGCAAGGGATCTAGGTTGCACACTCCTTATGAGAATCTAACGCCTGGTGATCTGAGATGGAACAGTTTCATCCCAAAACCATCCCCCTCCACCCCGCTCCATGTCCATGGAAAGATTGTCTTCCACAAAACTGGTCCCTGGTGCCAAAAAGGTTGGGGACCACTGCTCTAAACCCTTGGAATATACTGCCTGTTAAGAAATCTTTGTTTACTTGAGTGCATGAGCCATGCCAGATAGCTGTGATTCTTGGTGAGTCTTGGGCTGTGCAGTATCAGCGTGAACCTTGGAAGGACTGAGTAAGGTCAACCACACAGGTAGTTGGCCATGCCTGAAACTGACTCCAAATAAAAACCACAGACACCGAGGCTAAAGTGAGAGCCCATGGTTGGTAATATTTCATGTATGTTACCCCACATCTTGCTAGGAGAATTAAGCACTGGCCGTATGACTACACCAAGAAGGGCGAACCCAAAGCTTGATCCTTGTTTCCCCTGGACTCTGCCCTATGTGCCCTTTTCCATTGCTGAATTCTGAGTCCTTCATAGTCAATCAGTGAACCTGAGGTTGGTCCTGGGAACCCCCCAAGCACAGTCCGTCTTAAGAGTTCATAGAAGGCTGGGCATGGTGGCTCATGCCTGTAATCCTGGCATTTTGGGAAGTTGAGGCAGGAGGATCACTTGAGCTCAGGAGTTCAAGACCAGCCTGGGCAACATAGCTAGACTTTGTCTCCACTAAAAATTTAAGAAATGAGCTCAGTGTGATGGCATGTGCCTGTAGTCTCAGCTATTCGGGAGGCTGCGGGGAGAGGATTGCTTGAGCCTGGGAGGTTGAGGCTTAGGTGAGCCAAGATCATGGCACTGCACTCCGGCCATGATCCAAGAAAAGAAAAGAAAAGAAAGAAAGAAAAAAGAGTTCCTAGGAATTATTATAGTCTGCTCCAACCCCTTCCAACCTTCCTGCAGACCCCTCTCACTCGTTGCTGAATTTTGCAAAATTCCTCCCAGTTTCAGCTGCTGAATTCAAGTTGGTCTGCCATGCCCATTGGCTGTTTTGGTATTGTGTTCTCAGGTCTGGCAAATACTGCTTACTTCCCCCTGCTTTTTCCTATACAGATAATTGTACCATGAAGTTGTTGTGGCTGTTGGTGACTTGGGCTTACTCATGTGTATTTTGATATTCATGGATATTTCAGCTATCTATTGCTGTGTAAGTAAACCACACCAAAACTTAGTGGATTAATAACTATTTTATTGCTCACGAATCTGGGCATGGCTCAGTGGGGATGGCTCGTTTCTTCTTCTTCTTCTTTTTTTTAAGAGGTGGGATCTTGTTCTGTTGACCATTGGAGTACAGTAGTGCGATCATAGCTCACTGCAGCCTCAAAATCCTGGGCACAGCAATCCTCCCACCTCAGCCTCCTGAGTAGCTGGGACTACCAGCATGTGCCACTGTGCCTGACTAATATATTTTAGTAGAGATGAGGTCTTGCTTTGCTACCCAGGCTGGTCTCAAACTCCTTGCTTCACTGCTTCAGATGATCTGCCTGCTTCGGCCTACCAAAGTGCTGGGATTACAGGTGTGAACCACCACGCCCAGACTTGTTTCTTCTCTATATGATGCCTGGAGAAGCTGGAATGGTACTGGAGGATGCAAGATAATTTCATGATACGACTGAGACCTCAGTGCTAGCTGCCAGCTGGGGCCTCAGTTATGTACATGGCCTATATTTAAGAGTCTCATGCTCTACCAACTGAGCTAGCTGGGTGGCTGCCACAGCGCTGCATGACCTATTTTTAAAAAGTGTCTCATCTTCCAGGACCTCTGTCTTCAGAAGGACAGCACAGACCTCTTTACAGGGTATCTTGATTCCCCTCTCACTAAAGCAAAAGTTCAATGTCTTTTAAGGTTGGGCTCAGAAGTCCCAGAATGCCATTTCTACCATACCTTATTGGTCAAATGGAACACAAGGCCAGCCCAGACACAAAGGATGAAAAAATAGGCACCATGTCTTGATGGGAGGGTGGCAAACACATACAGGGTTGGAAATACAGCTGGCAGCCCTATCTGCAGAAAATCTGCCACACTGGGGACACTGTGTCTACTGGCCTCACCGTAAATATTACCCATGGGTTTTGATTTTGTCATCTGGTTGCTCTGTCTGTATGCTGGCATAACAAGAGAGTGAAAACTACGCTGCTGTCATCATGCTTCCAGCGTCTCTTCTAATTAAAAAAAAAAAAAACTCAGAAAAAAAAAGATCTGTTCTTTTCTAAGAACAGAAATTTTGGGTGAGGGCAGAATGAAGAGGTAAAAACATTCTAAATGGTTCATTCTCCTGAGAAATTAGGAGTAAAGGCCAGTAACACACCTGTGTGTGTGTGTGTGTGTGTGTGTGTGTGTGTGTGTGTGCGCCCATGTGTGTGCTTAATCTACCAATAGAGAAAATGTGAATTATGCTTATAAGGAATGGAAAGATAATCATCAGAAGAATTGATAAGCAGAGTAGAACTTCCAAATTACTAAGGGAGGGAGAAGGGGAATAAACAGAAGCTTGAGAGAGCCAACAAATGTAAGAAAATTGAAAAGGTGGAAACAATAACAAAATCGAAAAAAGGAAACAAAGTCCGATGGAACACACAAAAACAGGCATATCACTGATAAACTGAATGGATTGGGTTCTCCTATAAGAGAGGGACTGTAACATTGGGTTATAAAACAAAAGTTATGTGTTATTTACTAGAAGCACTTTTTTTTTTTTGAGATGGAGTTTTGTTCTTGTTGCCCGGGCTGGAGTGCAATGGCGTGATCTCGGCTCACTGCAACCTCCGCCTCCTGGGTTCAAGCAATTCTCCTGCCTCAGCCTCCCAAATAGCTGGGATTACAGGCATCCGCCACCATGCCCGGCTAATTTTGTATTTTTAGTAGAGACAGGGTTTCTCTATGTTGGTCAGGCTGGTCTCGAACTCCTGACCTCAGGTGATCCACCCACCTCGGCCTCCCAAAGTGCTGGGATTACAGGCATGAGCCACCATGCCCAGCCTAGAAGCACATTTAAAATAAAGAGACTGGGGCTGGGTGTGGTGGCTCATGCCTGTAATCCCAGCACTCTGGGAGGCCGAGGCAGGTGAATCACCTGAGGTCAGGAGTTCGAGACTAGCCTGGCCAACATGGTGAAACCCTGTCTCTACTAGAAATACAAAAATGAGCTGGGCATGGTAGCAGGCACCTGTAATCCCAGCTACTTGGGAGGCTGAGGCAGGAGAATCACTTGAACCCAGGAGGCGGAGGTTGTAGTGAGCTGAGATCACGCCACTGCACTCTAGCCTGGGCAATAGAGTGAGACTCAGTCTAAAAATAACAATAATAATAAAATAAAGAGACTGGAGGGGCAGGGTGGCTCACGCCTGTAATCCCAGGACTTTGAGAGGCCAAGATGGGAGGATCACTTGAAGCTGGGAGTTTGAGACCAGACTGAGACCTCATCTCTATAAAAATAAAAATTAGCCTGGCATGGTGATGTATATCTGTAGTCCCAGCTTCTCAGGAGGCTGAGGCACGAGAATCACTTGAACCCGGGAGGTGGAGGCTGCAGTGAGCTGAGATGTCACCACTGCACTCCAGCCTGGGTGACAGAGCGAGACTCTGTCTCAAAAAAAAAAAAAAGAAAACTACTTAAAATGGACAACACTATTTTCCAAAATTTGCCAGAAAACTTTATACTAAACGGTAAAATGTTTAAATCATTTCCATGAACACTGGCAACAAGATAGGGATGTTTTCTATCACATCTATTACTCAACATTATTTTGAAGGATTTATCTCAGCATTGTCCAATACAACTGAGGCTCTATTTCAGCATTGTCCAATACAGCATTGTCCATCATTCTGCAATGATGGAAATGTTTCTATATTTAGCATCATCCAGTACAGTAGCCACTAGCCATATGTGGGTACTGAGCACTTGAAATGTGGCTAGGCAACTGAGAAACCGAATTTTAAGTTTTATTTAACTTAAATTTAAACAGCAGGCCAGGCGTGGTGGCTCATGCCTGTAATCCCAGCACTTTGGGAGGCCAAGGCAGGTGGATCCCTTGAGGTCAAGAGTCTGAGATCAGTCTGGGCAACATGGTGAAATCAAGTCTCTACAAATACAAAAATTAGCTGGGCGTGGTGGTACATGCCTGTAGTCCCAGCTACTTGGAGGGCTGAGGTGAGGGGATCACCTGAGCCTGGGAGGTAGAGGCTGCAGTGAGTAGAGATCGTGCCACTACACTCCAGCCTAGGTGACAGAGTGAGACCCTGTCTCAAAAAATAATAATAAAAAATAAAATAAATAGCCAATGAGCTTAGACGCTACCTTATTAGACAGCTAATACAGTGAAAAAAGAAGAAATATATCAAATGTCAGATAGGAAATATTATCTATATCTGATACAACTGTACAATTAGAAAACCTAGGAAAAAACTGTAATAAGAAGCTACCAGAATAGGTAGATAGTTTTGATAAGGAGTTGGATACAAGATAAAATTATCACCTGTAGTCCCAGCCATTAGGGAGGCTGAGGTGGGAGGATCACTTGAGTCCAGGAGTTTGACACCAGCCTGGGCAACATAGGGAGAACCTATCTCTACGGAAAAATTTAAAAATTAGCTGGGTCTGGTAGTGCACACCTGTAGTCCCAGCTACTTGGGAGGCTGAGGAAGGAGGATCATTTGAGCCTGGAAGGTTAAGGCTACAGTGAGCTGTGATCATGCCAGTGAACTTCAAGGCAAGATCCTATCTCAAAAAATAAAAATAAAAGAGAAAAGTACAAAAATAGGTTATTCCTATACTAGCAGTAACCAGATGGGACTAGCAAAAATAAGTCTTAATGACAACAAAAATATAAATATGCAAAAAATAAATTTAACCAAAAAAGATAAAAAGATGATGGATTTATAAGAAGAAAAATTATAAATATCATTGCAGCATATAAGACGTAATCAAACAGACACATAAAATCCCTAGATACAAAGAAAGGCTTAATGTAATAAAAACATTAAATCTCCCCAACTATTATATTCATATAAATATAATTCCAATAAAATCATAATAGTTTATTTATTTTTTTTTTTGAGACAGAGTCTTGCTCTGTCACCCAGGCTGGAGTGCAGTGGCACGATCTTAGCTCATTGCAACCTCTGCCTCCCGGGTTCAAGCAATTCTCCTGCCTTAGCCTCCCGAGTAGCTGGGATTACAGGCGTGCGTCACTGTGCCAATTTTTGTATTATTAGTAGAGATGGGGTTTCACCATGTTGGCCAGGCTGGTCTTAAACTCCTGACCTCAAGTGATCTGCCTGCCTGGGCCTCCCAAAGTGCTGGGATTACAGGTGTGAGCCACCTCACCCAGCAATAGTTGAGGGTTTGCTTTTTTTTTTTTTTTTTGAGAGAGTCTCACTCTGTTGCCCAGGCTGGAGTGCAGTGGCGTGATCTCTACTCATTGCAACCTCCACCTCCTGGGTTCAAGCAATTCTCCTGCCTCAGCCTCCCAAGTAGCTGGGATTACAGGTGCCTGCCACCACGGGTGGCTAATTTTTTTATTTTTTAGTAAAGACAGGGTTTCGCCATGTTGGCCAGGCTGGTCTCCAACTGCTGGCCTCAAGTTATTTGCCCACCTTGGGCTCCCAAAATGCTGGGATTATAGGCATGAGCCACCTCGCCCAGTCACAACAATTTAGTTTTGCTGTGTTTTTGTTTTTTTTTGCGGGGGGTGGGGGACGGGTTGGTAGCATTCATTTTTGATTAAATGATTTTAAACTTCAGAGAATTCCTAGAAAATAAATTTGCAAGAACAAAAATCCCTTGAAATCAAATAGACTACAGACACAAAATAGAGTTCAGGTCAAGCTAAGCATATTTGTGAACTTATATGACAGAAGCAATATTTAATTCAGTGGTTACAAGGTGGTGTGTTTCATAAATGGTGCCAACTGGCAATACTGAATTTTACCTCATCCTGGTGAGCAGTGCAGGTCAAGAAATCCCCTTACTCCAAAGGGAAAATGGCTTTTCTGGAAAATGGCTTACTGCAAAGAACCATCCTTCCCCATATGACTTAGAAGTCACGGATGTCCCCTGTTTACCTATGAGAAGGCCAGACACCCACTCTCCAAATTCCCATTCTTTGCCTCATAGATGACAAGCCTAACTGCTTGTCTCCACTGATCAATTGGAACAAAATGCTCTTTAGCCAAACTTGAACCAGGCTTCTTTCCTACAAGCTCCTAACTCTGCTTGCCCCCGAGCCTGGGCAAGCATCAAAAAAAGTCGAAATTCCTCCCCTCCCAATGGACCCTGCTTCTCAGCTTCTCCTGGGAATGGGCGCACCACTGTGGGACAATTTCCTGGCAGACCCCACTGGCCATTCCCCCTTGTTTGTGCAGCTTCCTTTCCACAGATTCTGCTTATCTCTGCCTGCCTCCTTACCCTCTACAAGAAAAGCCTTTTTCTGTTTGGTTTCAAGATGCTCTCAGGTTTCTGAGATGGGAGCATTCTCCCTTTTGCAATAGTCTGTCTTTCTAATTAAAGTCTCTTTTTATTTGACACAGAAAAAAGTGTGACACAGGCTTCTTGTTCAAGCTTGATCTTGATTTCATACCATATACCAGAGTAAATTCCAACTAGATTAAAGTAGAAAAAATTAAAGCAATAAAAACACTGAAATACATGTTAAGATTATCTTTCTATCTGGAATAGGGAAGTGAAACTAGGCAAGATGGGATATACAAAAGCCATAAAAGAAAGTTTAGACATATCTGATCAGAGGCTACATTTCACTAGTTACATATTACACATACAATTTTTCTTTCTTTTTTTTTTTTGAGATGAAGTCTTGCTCTATCACCCAGGCTGGAGTGCAGTGGCCCGAGCTCAGCTCACTGCAATCTCCACTTCCCAAGTTCAAGCGATTCTCCTGCCTCAACCTCCCGAGTAGCTGGGATTACAAGCGCCCAACACCATGCCCGGCAATTTTTTTTTTTTTTTTTAGTTGAGATACCACGCCTGGCTATTTTTTTTTTTATTTTTAGTAGAGATGGGTGCTGGGATTACTGTGCCCAGCCCATATAAAATTTTTCTAATTGCACATTTAAAAAAACATAAAATGCAAAAGACAAAAAGAGTTTAGGGAAAAATACTGCAATGTAACTGACAGATGGTTAATATCCTTAATGGACAAAGATGTTAATATCTCTAATGTAATATCCCTAATGTACAGTGTAACTGACAGACTGTTAATATCCCTAATGTACAATGTAATTTGTACACTGTTTACAAATTGATACGAAAAGGAAAAATCACCCTAAAGAAAACTGGACAAAGGATATGAACATTTGCAAAAGAGAAAAGCCAAATGGCCAATAGACCAAAACAATCCTCAATTGCACAAAGTAGTCAGAAAAATACAAAATTAAAGACAGCATCAACATCCAGCGCTGGAGGGGATTTGCCTTAATGAACTTAATGATTTTGCTGGTAGGACTAGGAAACTTTATAATCTTTTGGGGGAAGGAATTTGGCTATATCTATTCAGTAATGAAACCTGCAGTTAATAATAAAACTTCAAAACATAGGAAGCAAAAATTGAATAGCACAAGGAAAACCTGCCAGTACAGTCTCTCTCTCTCCTCTCTCTCTTTCTCCCTGCCACATCACCCCCAGTTGACAAGCTGAAGGGAATTATCAGGAAACACACATTTTAAAAGGCCCAACGCACAAGCTTGAACCAATAGAGCCGCAGAGTACGATAAATCCAACAACTAGAAGATACAGTGTTTTCAATCAAGGCACAAAACCATTTTTGAAAGCTGGCCTCGTACTTGAGCCTTAAGGCAAGTTTCATCAAATTTCAAACTCAACGTTCTTGGGCCACAAGGCAAATGGGCTTAGAAATCACTAACACAGGGATTAACTTCTTGTTCGTTTGCGGAAATGCAAAATGGTGTTAAGACCTGTAACATTTTCTGCAGTCCCTCTAAATTCCTTCTTTGAATAATCGATTCCTAGAACAGGACGCGACGGACCAAGCTGGGTCAAACTGCCGACAGCTCCATTGGGCAGCATGTCCACCCCTGATGACCAAATCCCACCAAACGTGCAGCTGGCACTCGGCCGCCTTTGTTTCCTTCCCCTAGAATAAAACTCCGCTGCTTTCCCACGTTCCTGGAGCAGCAGCCGGAATAAAGCGCCCATGGCCTTGCCCTTTGAGTCTCGGAGGATGTTTGCCACTCCAACAATGGACTTTTAAATAATTCAGGGGTCAAAAGGCGTGTGTGGGGGGGGGAGAAAAGTTACAAATCAGCACTTGAAACCGAACACAAACAAAAATCAAACAAATCCGAACTAATATAACAAATCAAAACTTTGATCTTTAGAAGAAAACTTCAACCTTAATGCTTCCAGGAGGAAAGCAGAAAGGATAATGACTGAATTGTGAAAACGAGCCAAAATGTTCCACCACTGATGTCACACACACCTATGACTCCCTGCACAGATCCACGGTCCCGGGCGCTGAATCCCCGCAACCCTCTGCGCCCACAGAGGTTAAACTCTCGCTGCTGGCGACTTCCGCTTCCTGGCCTAAATCTGACACGCACGACTCCCCCCGCGGCAACTGCACAGGTTCGGTGACAGCCGAGACGCCGAGTGTTTCCCGCAGCCGGCCGGGGTCCAGGTCGGAAATGTAGCCAGTGGGGCCGCCAGGTGGGCTCCAGACGCGGTGGGCGCGGGGTCCCGGCCGCCGCGGGAGAGGGGTCGCCGCGTCCCACAGAGCAGTGCGGCGGCAGGGGCGGGGGCGGGTGCGTCTCGCGACCTGCTCCTGGGGGTGGGGGCTGGGCGATATTTAAAGAGGCGGAGGCTCCCCGGTAGGGACGGCCTGAGGCCGAGGGCACCCTGAGGGCGGAAGAGGCAAAGCGCCTCGCCCGCCGGGGCCTCGGAGGTGACTAACTCCTAGAGGCTGCGGCGGAGGGGAGAAGCCTGGTGGTACATTCCATGGCCCAGTGCCTCGGCCACTGGAAAATCCCACAGGGGTATATCGAGTAGGGGACCGCGGGCTCCGCGGCAGAAATGACCGCCCTTCCAAGATGGCGGCTCCCGTAGAGACACTCCCAAGGAGACAGCCATGTTCCTTGCCTGAGAGTCACTGAAGGAAATTGGAAAGCCCGCCTCTCCTTCGACGCACACGCGCACGCGCACGCACGCACCGGCGCGGTGTAAGGGCACCCACCAGGTGTAATTGTGGGCGAGCGGCCGCTTCGGAGCTGACACTAAGCATGTGCAGATCAAGTCCAGAAGCGCCGGGGTTCCTCGAAGCAGTTTTCAGGACTTAAGGCTCTGGGAGTGAGTTTAACAGACGGACTTAGGGCCACTTAAGCATTGAGATAAATATGGAGATGTTATGACATGGATCAAGCATTAAGATAATTATGGGGATGTTATGACATGGATTTTGTACTCGAAGATGCTCAGTAGGATGAGTAAGGAGGCTTCTCTGGGGTCATTTATAGGGAGGTGCAGAATGAGTGATTGGGGTTTGTGGGTGAGTGATGGGTCACTAGAGAAAGTTGATGGGTAGCCTGTGGGATGAGTGTTGGGGACACCGGAGTGAATAATAAGGGGGTCTGTGGGGTGAGTGATACAGGGTCTCTAGGGTGAGTGATAAGGTATATGTGAGATGAGTGATGAGAAGTCCGTGGGGGTAAGAAAGGGCTGTGCGGGGTGACTACTGGAGGTCTGTGAGGTGTGGGATGGGGTTTATTGGGTGATTGACCAAGGTTCCTGCTGGGTGAGTGATGCGTTTCTTTGGGACTAGTGATGGGGGGCTGTGGAATCAGATATGCAGCTTCCTGGGGTCAGTGATAGGTGGTCTTTAGGTCTGAGATGAGGTTATTTCAAAACCTACTTTTGACTTTGTTGGTCCTCCTGTATCTTTGTTTCTCTGTCATTAATATCTGCCCTTAACTTCGTTATTTCTTTTCTGTTTTTTAATTTTGTTCTCATTTTTAAAGTCCTGAATTTAATGCTTATCTTACTATCCAGTCATTTTATTTTATAATATAAACATTCAGTTTATAAATTTTTCTCTAAGAACACTTTAGCTCCGTGTCACATGTTTTGTTGTGGTTGCTGCTGTTCGGTTTTATTTTGTTTTGAGACAGGGTCTCACTCTGTCGCCCAGAGATGGAGTGCAGTGGCACGATCATGGCTCACTGCAGCCTCAACCTCCTGTGCTCAGTCGATCCTCCCAACTTAGCCTCCCAAGTAGCTGGAACTATAGGCATGTGCTGCCACACCCACTAATTTTTTATTTTGTGTAGACACGGGGTCTCACTATGTTGCCCAGGCTGATTTTTGTTTTAAAGATACAAGAATCTCTCTCTGTTGCCTAGGCTGGAGTGCAGTGAAACCATCATGGCTCATTGCAGCCTCAACCTCCTAGGCTCAAGTGACCCTCCCACCTCAGCCTCCCAAGTTGCTAGGACTACAGGCAGGCTTGCCCAGCTAATTTTTAAATTTTTTGTAGAGATTGGGGTCTTGCTATGTTGCCCAGGCTGGTCTTGAACTCCTTGGCCTCAAGCAATCCTCAAGTAGTCCTCCCACCTCATCCTCCCAAAGTGCTGGAACTACAGGCGTGAGCATCTGACCCACAAGTTTTGATATGTAGCATCTCCACTATAGTTTCCTTCTAATGTTTTCTAATTGCAGTTGCAATGTTCACTCTTACCACTGGGTTATTTAGATATGAGATTTTGATTTCCCAAAACGTTGACATTTTTGTTATTGATTTCTAAATTGTGGTTAGAGGCTGTCACCTGAGTGATCATTACGTGCAGGAATGATGCTTTTAAGTTCAATACATACCACCAAACTACTTTCCAAAACTTTTGTAAAATTGGAACTCCCACCAGCAACATATGAGAAGGCTTCTTCCAAAATCCTGTTCCACATTGGATTTTTTTTTAATTTACCCCATTCTGAGGGCCAAACACAAGGGTATCTAGTTTGCCTTGATGTGCGTTTTCCTGACAACTAGTGACTGAACATTATTTCATTCTTATTGGCCATTGAAATATATATTTAAACTTTTTCATATCCTTTGCCCTTTTTTTCCTTTAGGTGGTTTGTCTTTCTTACTAATTTGTGAATATTAACCTATATTGTAACTATATTTCCTCTATCTCTATATTTTGACTTTGAAAGGTGTCTTCACATTTGATTTTTAAAAAATCATCTATTAAGATATATCTGCCTTTTTCCTTTACAGGTTCTGAGTGTCTTGTCTTGCCTAGTGACTTCCTCATTTCATGTTCAAACAAATACGCCTTAAATTTATTTTTAATATATTTATTTCAATTTTTTAAAGTTAAATTTTAATCTAACTGGAATTTATTTTGGTGTATGGTATGAGATGGAATCAGTTCGTATATTCCATTTGGATAGCTAATTTTCCAGCACCAGTCGTTAAATGAATACCCTTTTCTAATTCAATTAAATGTCACTTTTGTCACATAAGTTCCCAAATGTGTATTGTTTTATTTCTGAACTCTGTTTAGTTCTTCTGATATATGTATCTACTCCTTTTTAAAAAATCATATTGACTTTAGAAATAGTTTTAACATCATGTAGAACTAGTCCCCCTTGCTTTCTTTTTGGTTGCTTTAATTAATTTTCTTGTGCGTTTATTCTTCTTCTTTTTTTTTTGAGATGGAGTCTTGCTCTGCTGTCACCTAGCCTGGAGTGCAGTGGCGCAATCTTGGCTCACTGCGACCTCCACCTCCCGGGTTCAAACAATTCTCCTGCCTCAGCCTCCCAAGTAGCTGGGACTATAGGCGCGTGCCACCCTGCCCAGCTAATTTTTGTATTTTTAGTAGAGACGAGGTTTCACCATATTGACCAGACTGGTCTCAAACTCCTGACCTCGTGATCTGCGTGCCTCGGCCTCCCAAAGTGCTGGGATTACAGGCATGAGCCACCGCACCCAGCCTTATTCTTCCATGTAAATGTTAAAACTATTTTATCTAGTTTCAAAAATAACCACTAAAACTATAATTTTTATAGTTTTCTTATGGGTCCAACACCTTTTTTTTTTTTTAACAGTTCATCCTTAGATATTTTACCTTTGTTTTTATCATCATTGTGAATAGCATATTTTTTTTCTATTTCCATAGGGAAAATCTATTTTTATAATTTTATTTCATATTCAATCCAATTACCAAATTATCATATGAATGTAGTTGCTTTTTACAGTCTCTTACTTTTCCTAGCTATCGTATTCCATCCAATTAAAAATGATACTGTCTCTTCCTTTCAAATATTTATTCTGATCACCTCATCTTCTGTTGCACTAGTTAGAGCTTTCAGAACAATGTTGAGTGACATTTAATAGAGGGTATTTGCTATCTTGTTGCTAATGTTAATGAAAATAACTTGGGCATTTTTTATTTGAATGTGAAAGGTGTTTATTCATTAATCTATTCAATAAACATTTATTGAATACCTACCCCTTGCCAGACATTGGCTTTGCAACCCTGCTTGGCACTTACTAGCTATGATTTTTTTTTTCTAACAGCTTTATTGTATCATTCATCTACCATAAAATTCACCCATTTAAAGCTTACAGTTCAGCAGTTCTTAGCATATTCACTGAATTGTGCAACCATCATCACAATCTAATTTTAGAGTATTTTATCATCCCAAAAGGAAACATCGTACCCATTAGCAATCATTCCTCATTCCCAACCCTCACCCCTAGCCACAGGCAACCACTAATTTACTTCCTGTCTCTATAGATTGGTCTATTCTAGACATTTTATATAAATGGAATCATAAAACGTGGTCTTTTATGATTGCCTTATTTATTTATTTTAGACAGAGTCTCACTCTGTCGCCCAGGCTGGAGTGCAGTGGCCGGATCTCAGTTCACTGCAGCTGCCGCCTCCTGGGTTCAAGCAATTCTCCCTGCCTCAGCCTCCCAAGTAGCTGCGATTACAGGCGCCTGCCACCACGCCCGGCTAGCTTTTGTATTTTTAGTAGAGACATTGGCCAGGCTGGTCTTGAACTCCTGACCTCAGGTGATCCGCCCACCTCAGCCTCCCAAAGTACTGGGACTACAGGCATGATCCACTGTGTCCGGCCATGATTGTTTTCTTTAACTTAGCCTAATGTTTTCAAAGCTCATCCGTGTTATAGTATGTATTAGGACCTTATTCCTTTTATTATTTTGTTTGTTGTGGTACGAACACTTAACATGAAAGCCACCCTCTTAAATTTGGTTTGTTTGTTTTGTTTTGTTGTGACAGAGTCTCGCTCTGTCACCCAGGCTGGAGTGCAGTGGCATGATCTCGGCTCACTGCAACCTCCACCTCCCAGGTTCAAGCAATTCTCCTGCCTCAGCCTCCCACGTAGCTGGGACTATAGGTGCGTGCCACCACACCTGGCTAATTTTTTGTATTTTTAGTAGAGACAGGATTTCAACATATTGGTCAGGCTGGTCTCGAATTCCTGACCTCAAGTAATCTACCTGCCTCGGCCTCCCAAAGTGCTGGGATTACTGGTGTGAGCCACCGCATGTGGCGTATTCTCTTAAATTTTTAAGTGCACAATACAGTACTGTTAACTATAGGTGCAATATACAGCCAATCTCTAGAACTTCCCTCTTGTATACCTGAAATTTTAACCCGTTGAATAGCAACTTCTTATTACCCCCTCCTCTCAGCCCCTGGCAACCACCATTCTACTATCTGTTTCTATCAGTTTATTTTAGAAGTACTTCATGTCTTTTTATTCCTGAATGATATTTCATTGTATGGATACACCACATTTTGTTTATCCATTCATCAGTCGATGGACATTTGGGTTGTTTCCACTTTTTAGCTATTATGAATAATGCTGCTATGAGCATTTGCGTACAAGTTTTTGTATGGACATATGTTTTCATTTCTCTTGGGTGGATACCCAGGAGTGGAATGACTGGTATAAGGAGTGAGGTAGAAATTTACCTCTTCCCTTTTAGGATTTCTTTTTGTCTGGGCCTGAAAGTTAAATTGACATATGACAGATCAACAGAGAAAAGTGTACAGATTTATTTAATACAAGTTTTATGTGGCACAGGAGCCTTCATAAAGAAATGAAGACCCAAAGTAGTAGTTAGAGTCAATCACTTATATACTGGATTGGACAAAGAATACTTAAGTTGTGAAAAAGCAACTCAGTTATGTGGGGAGGCTTAAAACATAAGAGTTTTAAAAAATTTTTTTGGCTTATTTCTCCAAGAAAAAAAGTTATTTTTCATAAGATCTGTACACAATTCTCTTGCTCTCAATTTCCTGGCCTTGATAGTAAGAATGTGGCATTCCAGCTGGGCACGGTGGCTCACGCCTGTAATCCCAGCACTTTGGGAGGCCGAGGTGGGTGGATCACCTGAGGTCAGGAGTTTGAGACCAGCCTGGCCAACATGGTGAAACACCATCTCTATTAAAAATACAAAAACTAGCTGGGCGTGGCGGCGGGCGCCAGTAATCCCAGCTACTTGGGAGGCTGAGGCAGGAGAATCGCTTGAGCCCGGAAGGCAGAGGTTGCAGTGAGCAGAGATCGTGCCACTGCACTCCAGCCTGGGTGACAGAGCGAGACTCAGTCTCCAAAAAAAGGCCGGGTGCTGTGGCTCACGCCTGTAATCCCAACACTTTGGGAGGCCGAGGCGTGCGGATCATGAGGTCAGGAGATCGAGACCAGCCTGGCCAACATGGTGAAACCCCATCTCTACTAAAAATACAAAAATTAGCTGGGTGTGGTGCGCGTGCCTGTAGTCCCAGCTACTCAGGAGGCTGAGGATTCTTCTGCCTCAGTCTCCCAAGTAGCTAGGATTACAGGCACCCACCACCATGCCCAGCTAATTTTTGTACTTTTAGTAGAGATGGGGTTTCACCATGTTGCCAGGCTGGTCTCGATCTCCTGACCTCAAGCGATCCACCCGCCTCAGCCTCCCAAAGTGCTGGGATTACAGGCATAAGCCACTGCGCCCAGCCTTCTATTTTTAACATTTTGAAGAATTGCCAAACCATTTTCCAAAACGGCTGCACCACTTTATGTCCCAGCAGCAATGTATGAGGGTTCCAGTTTATCACATCCTTGCTAATGCTTATTGTCTTTTTAATTCTATCCTTCCTAGTAGGTGTGAAGTGGTATCTTGTGGTTTTGATTTCCATTTCTCTAGTGGCCACTGATGTTGACCATCTTTTCCTGTACTTATTGCCCATCTGTATATCTTCTTTGAAGAAATATCTATTCAAATCCTTGGCCTATTTTTAAATTGAATTGTCTTTGTATTATCAAGTTGTAAGAGTTCTCTAGATAATCTCGATAGAAGTCCCTTGTCACATATGCGATTTGCATGTATTTCCTCTCTTTCTGTGGGTGTTTGTTGTTGTTGTTGTTTGTTTGTTTTTCTGAGACAGAGTCTCGCTCTGTTGCCTAGGCTGGAGCGTAGTGGTGCCATCTCGGCTCACTGCAATCTCTGCCTCCCGGGTTCAAGCAATTCTCGTGCCTCAGCCTCCCAAGTAGCTGGGATTACAGGTGCGCATCACCACACCCAGCTCATTTTTGTATTTTTAGTAGAGACAGGGTTTCGCCACTTCAGCCAGGCTGGTCTCGAGCTCCTGGCCTCAAGTGATCCGCCTGCCTCGACCTCCCAAAGTACTGGGATTACAGATGTGAGCCACTGTGCCCAGCCCAGCCTCTGTGCCTTTTCACTTTCCTGATGGTGTCCTTATAGTTTTCATATGTTCCTATCTTGATTTGTATTTTTCTTAGGAATGGCTCTTGAATTATGTCAGATGCCTTTTTGATGTAATAGCCTAATGGTGTTATTTTCCTAAATTGGTTGTTGTAATGAATGATATTGATATATAATGTGGATCCATCCTTGCCTTCCTGGGATAATTCTGTTGGTCAAAGGCAATTTTCCTTATGAGTCATGGTCAGATTTGAGTTAGTAATGTATTTTTTTCTTTTTCCTCAACTCCATGTCCCTCCATTCACAATTCAGACCAGGACTAGAGCCTGGGCAGAGGTGTATATAGGGTAGGAGCTCTTCTCTTTCTATACAGTCAGTACAAGAACAGAGAAGGCAGGCCCACTTCTTTTTCTATACAGTCAGTGTAAGAACACAGCCTGTGGTAAGCACCAGGAGGCCTGAGTTAGTAATATTTTATTTAGAATTTTTGCCACTATAAAAAATTTGCTTATAGTTTTCTTGTTTTTAGTATATTTAACAAGTGTTGGTATTAAGGTTATGCCAGTTATTAAAAGGAAATCAGGAGATTTCCATTTTTTATGTGTTAAAATAGCATAGACATTCTCTTAAGTTCGACTATATACACATTTAGAACTGATGCCTTTTTTAAAATGGCAAATTTTAACTATTTTATTTTCTCTGATTATTGCTCTACAGATTTCTGGTGGGGGGGATTAATTTTGGTAGTGTATGTTTGCTAGAGATGTTATGTTTTTGTGCATCTGTGCATAATGCTTCATTAATTTACCTTGATCATTTCCATACCTGTGGCAATAGCTTCTTTTTTCACTCCTAAAACTGTGCATGCTTGTGAGGTGTGTGGGTGTATATATACATATATATATATTTTTTTTCCTTTCTCTTTTACCTTGATCAGGGTTCTCATGAATATTTTGTTGTCTTCTTTTAATTTCTTTTTTTTTTTTCAACCTCCCGAGTAGCTGGGATTACAGGCGCACACCACCACACCCGGCTAAATTTTTGTATTTTTAGTAGAGACGGGATTTCACCATGTTAGCCAGGATGGTCTCAATCTCCTGACCTCGTGATCCACCCGCCTCGGCCTCCCAAAGTGCTGGGATTACAGGCATGAGCAACTGTGCCCGGCCTACTCTTTTTTTTTTTTTTTTTAGACAGGTTCTCACTGTGTTGCTCAGGCTGAAGTACAGTAGGGCCATCATCACTCACTGCAGCCTCCAACTCTTGGGTTCAAGTGATCCTCCCGCCTTGGCCTCCTGAGTAGCTGAGACTACAGGCGCATGCCACCATGCCTGGCTACTTTCTAAATTTTTTGTAGAGATGGGGGTCTCACCATGTTGCCCAGGCTGGTCTCAAACTCCTGGCCTCAAGCGATCCACCCACCTTGGCCTCCCAAAGTGCTGGGATTACAGGCACAAACCACTGTACCCAGACCTTTTATAGTCTTTACTCCCACTGCCATCCCTAACCCCTGGCAACCAACCATCTGTTTCTCATTTCTCTAGTTTTGCCATTTTGAGAATGTTATATAAATGGAACCATACAGTCTGTGATTTTTTTTTTTTGAGATGGAGTTTCACTCTGTCACCCAGGCTAGAGTGCGGTGGCACAATCTTGGCTCACTGCAACCTCCTCCTGGGTTCAAGTGGTTGTCCCGCCTCAGCGTCCTGAGTAGCTGGGATTACAGGTGCCTGCCACCATGCCCAGCTAATTTTTGTATTTTTAGTAGAGATGGGGTTTCACCATGTTGGCCAGGCTGGTCTCAAACTCCTGATCTCAGGTGATCCACACACCTTGGCCTCCCAAAGTGCTGGGATTACAGGCGTGAGCCACCGCGCCTGGCCCAATGTGTGTGATCTTTTCAGGTTGGTTTTTTCACTCAGCATAATGTCCTTGAAAACCATCCAAACTGTTGCTAGAACGATAATTCATTTCTTTTTGTTGCTGAGTAGTATTCCATATTATAGATTTACTACAGTTTGTTTAGCCATTCACCTATTGAGGGCCATTTTGCTTGTTTCCAGTCTGAGGCTATTACATATCAAGCTGTAACGAACAGTCTTGTACAGGTTTTTGTATACACATAAGATTTCCTTTCTCTGGTATGAATGCCCAGAATTGCAATTGCTGGATCAAGTGATAAGTATTTTAGTTTTTAAAGAAGCTGCCAAACTATTTTCCAGAGTGGCTGTACCACTTTACATTCCTGCTGGCAATATGTTAGAGATCTAGTTTATCTGCATCCTCTCCAACATTTGGTAAAGACCAAAATTCAAAGAAAGGAAAATAGTTAAAATGTACCATTTTTAAAAGGTACCAGTTCTAAATGTGTTTATAGCTGAACTTTAAAGAAGATAATATCTATGCCATTTTAACACATAAAAATAAATTTCCTGAGTTCCTTTTGAAAACTGGCATAACCTTAATAGCAACACTTGTTAAATATAATACAAAAACAATTATGATTTTTAAGACTTCATGTGGTTTAATGCATTTGTGCTGGTTTTATTTGTATGCGTTGAATGATCCTGAAGGTTTATGCCAGTTAGTACTTCTTTATTGTTTCTTTTATTATTAAAAGATATTCCCCTTTTTTGTTAATCTGTTGAGTGCTTTGGACCTTAATTTCCCCCACGATAATTGTATTTTCAGATCTTCTTTCATTTTCTTGGTATTTGCCTAGTAAATTGTATAGTTTTAAATCCTCATTGAAATATAATACAGAAAAGTACACACATTGTGCATATTTAGCTTGATGATTTTTTAACAGACCAGACAAACCTGCATAGCCACCACCTAGATGAAGAAATGTTACTAGCTCTCAAGAAGTCATGTTTTTTAGCTGGGTGTGGTGGCATGCACCTGTAGTCCCAGCGACTTAGGAGGCTGAGGCAGGACGATTACTTGAGCTTAGGAGTTTGAGGCTGCAGTGAGCTGTGATCATGCCACTGCACTCCTGGCTGGGTGACAGAGCAGGACCCTGTCTCTAAAAAAAAATTTTTTTTGTAGGCCAGGCGCAGTGGCTTATGCTTGTAATCCCAGCACTTTGGGGGGCCGAGGCAGACGGATCACGAGGTCAGGAGTTCGAGACCAGCCTGACCAATATGGTGAAACCCCGTCTCTACTAAAAATGTAAAAATTAGCCAGGCGTGGTGGCAGACGCCTGTAATCCCAGCTACTCAGGAGGCTGAGGCAGGAGAATTGCTTGAACTCAGGAGGCAGATGTTGCAGTGAGCCAAGATCATGCCACTGCACTCCAGCCTGGGTGACAGGGCAAGATGCCATCTCAAAAAAAACAAAAAAAGTTTTAAAGAAGCCATGTGTCTTTCTTTGGGAGGCTGAGGCACTCAGATCATGGGGTCAGGAGACTGAGACCATCCTGCCCAACATGGCGAAACCCCATCTCTGCTAAAAATGCAAACATTAGCTGGGCATGGTGGCGCACGCCTGTAGTCCCACCTACTTGGGAGGTTGAGGCAGGAGAATCGCTTGAACCCTGGAGGTGGAGGTTGCAGTGAGCCAAGATCTCACCACTGCACACCAGGCTGGAGACAGAGTGAGACTCTGTCTCAAAAAAAAAAAAAAAAAAAAAAAAGAAGCCATGTTTTTAAACATAATCATATGGCATTGCTTCATTGCTTTTTTGAGTCTGGCTTCTTTAGTTTAACAGAGTGTTCATGGGATGAGACTCATGCTTGTTGAGTATGGCAATTTATTCTTTCTCATTGCTGTGTAGTATTTCCTTGTATAAATATAACACAACTTGTCTATCCATTCTGATGTTGATGGGCATTTACATAATTTTTAGTTTTGAATAAAGCTACCATGAGCATTATCATCTCTTTTAGTAAACATATATTTGCATTTCTCTTGAGTGAGAGAGAACTGGAGTCAAATAGCAGGGTCATAGGATGTTGCATGTATTCACCATTAATAGATACTACCAAACAGTTTTTCAAAGTGTATGTACTAGTTTATGATCCTAACAAGCAATCTATGAGTTTTGGCTGCTCCACATCCTTGCCCACTCTTGTTTATTTCCCATCTTTTTCATTTTGGCAATTTCTGGTGGGATTATCTTATTGTAGATATGGAGGATTATGTGGAGGATTATCTTATTGTAGTTTAACTTCTATTTCCTTGCCAACTGGTGAAGTCGAGCATCTTTTTATAAACTTATTTGCTGTTTGGATATTTTCTTTGTGAAATGCCTGTTCCTTTTGCCCTTTTTCTGTGGCTCTTAGTGATTTCTAGACATTCTTGATATATTTGAGATATTAATCATTTGTCAAATATAGGTATTACAATTACCTTCTGCCACTGTAGGATTTGCCTTTACATTTTTAATTTTATCTTCTGATGAACAGAAGTCCTTAATTTTAATGTAGTCCAATTTAGGTATCCTTTATCAGGACTTAATATAAAGCACATTAATTAAGACTATAACACTGGTCCCAGAATAGACAAATAAACCAATGGAAATACAGAGTTCAGGAATGGCCCCCACATATATGATCACAAGGAGACACTACAGAGCAGTGGAGAAAGGATAGTCTTTTCTTTTTTTTTTTCTTTTTTGGAGACAGAGTCTCACTCTATCCCCCCAGGCTGGAGTGCAGTGGTGAGATCTCAGCTCACTGTAACCCCCGCCTCCCAGGTTCAAGCAATTCTCCTGCCTCAGCCTCCCGAGTAGCTACAATTACAGGCGTCTGCCACCACGCCTGGCTAATTTTTGTATTTTCAGTAGAGATAGGGTTTTACCATATTAGCCAGGCTGACCTCGAACTCCTGAGCTCAGGTGATCCACCCACCTCAGTCTCCCAAAGTGTTGGGATTACAGACATGAGCCACTGTGCCCGGCCATGCGTAGGCTTTTCAATAAATGGTGCTGGATCATCTTGCTTCCATATGAAAGAAATGAATCTTGACTCTAACACATACCACATGCTAAAATCCTTCCCAGATGGACTGTGGACCTAAATGTGAAAGCTAAAATGATAAAACTTTTACATGACCCTGAGGTAGGTGAAGGTTTCCTAACAAGCCAACCATTAAGGAAAGAATGATCAACGATATGGTGTGTTTCTATCAAATGCTTCATTTCACATCTTCATCATTTTGTTTTAGACATGTTGCAACTATATTTTGTTTTTTAGCCCAGTCCCATAATCTTTGTCTTTTGTAGCAGAATTCAACTCATTTCAATTTCTTTGCATTATAACATACTTGATTTTATGCCTCCTATTATTTTTTTTCCTTTTTTTCTCCTATTATTTTTTGTTTACTATTTTTTTTTTTTTTGAAATAGAGTCTCACTCTGTCCCCCCAGGCTGGAGTGCAGTGGCACGATCTCGGCTCACTGCAACCTCCGCCTCCTGGGTTCAAGCGATTCTCACGCCTTAGCCTCCCGAGTAGCTGGGATTACAGGCACCTGCCACCACGCCCGGCTAATTTTTGTATTTTTAGTAGAGATAGGGTTTCACCATGTTGACCAGGCTGGTGTCAAACTCCTGACCTCAGGTAATCTGCCTGCCTCAGCCTCCCAAAGTGCTGGGATTACAAGTGTGAGCCACTGTGCCTGGCCGGTCGTGTTTCTCTTTTTTTTTTTTTTTTTTTTGAGACGGAGTCTCGCTCTGTCACCCAGGCTGGAGTGCAGTGGCACAATCTCAGCTCACTGCAACCTCCGCCTCCTGGGTTCAAGCAATTCCCCTGCCTCAACCTCCTGAGTAGCTGGGATTACAGGCACACACCACCACACGCAGCTAATTTTTGTAATTTTAGTAGAGACGGGGTTTCACCATGTTGGCCAGGATGGGCTTGAACTCCTGACCTCGTGATTCGCCTGCCTCGGCCTCCCAAAGTGCTAGGATTACAGGTGTGAGCCACTGCGCCCGGCCTCAGTCATGTTTCTCTTTCCTTTTAGGTTTTTATTACTTTTGAATTTTGATTGTTTGGAATTTTGATTATTTTTTAATCAATTTCTGCTAGTAGTTGCCTTTACCTTCCTTACAAATATGATTGTATATATTTTCTATATTACTAAATCCAAATAATATGGTACCAATATCTGCCCATGGAAATTTGTAATTTGCCTTCTCCTCATTTCACTCAGTAAATTTTCCAGGGAATTTGTTTGTTCGTTTGTTTGTGTTTTTTTGAGACAGTCTCTCTCTCTCTCTCACTCAGGCTGGAGTGCAGTGGCACGATCTCGGCTCACTGCAACCTCCGCCTCCCAGGTTCAAGCGATTCTCCTGCCTCAGCCTCCCAAGTAGCTGGGACTACAGGTGCGTGCCACCACGCCTGGCTAATTTTTTATATTTTTAGTGTTTCACAGTGTTAGCCAGGATGGTCTTGATCTCCTGACTTCGTGATCCGCTCGCCTTGGCCTCCCAAAGTGCTGGAATTACAGGCGTGAGTCATGGCACCCGGCCAGGGAATTTTTAAATTTCCACATAGTTAATAGTAACAGCCTTATTTACTACAAATGCCCAATTACATTGTTTTTCTTTATCCAGATATAATTATATATCAATTGCAAGAATCCTTTCTCAAAACTGCTTTCCTGTTTTGACATTTCTGTTTCTATTCCATTTACCATTGTTTAGACTATTCCCTTGAGTGTTCTCCTGAGATTGGAATATTGGCATAAAATGCTAGAAATGCTTTTATATCTAAAATTGTCTGTCTTTTTTTTTTTTTTTTTTTTTTTTTTTTTTTTGAGACGGAGTCTCGCTCTGTCGCCCAGGCTGGAGTGCAGTGGCGGGATCTCGGCTCACTGCAAGCTCTGCCTCCCGGGTTCACGCCATTCTCCTGCCTCAGCCTCCCAAGTAGCTGGGACTACAGGCGCCCGCCACTACGCCCGGCTAATTTTTTGTATTTTTAGTAGAGACGGGGTTTCACCGTTTTAGCCGGGATGGTCTCGATCTCCTGACCTCGTGATCCGCCCGCCTCGGCCTCCCAAAGTGCTGGGATTACAGGCGTGAGCCACCGCGCCCGGCTAAAATTGTCTTTCTTTTGCTCTGACAAAAGAATGGTATCTAGCTAGGGCAGGTTTAGAATTCTTGGATGTCAGTCCTTCTGTCTCAATGATTTGTAGAGTTTTCTTCTAACATGGCTTCTGTTGTTGCAAATAAATCTAGTGCCATTGTGATCCCTTTTCCTTGTAAATGACGTGTTGGTTCTGCCTGGAAGTGTTGGAAATGTCAGTATCTGAGGTCATCGATTCAGTCCATGAGAGTTTATTGATTGGGGTGCTAAGGTGGTGAATGATTGCAAGTCTGGGATTCACAGGGATTACAAGTCAGTTTTGGGGGGCCTGTAGCAGTCCTGGATTGGGACCTATGGACATTGGTTATCATAGTACTGTGTGAGTTGCTTTGTAATGGACTAGAACTTCTATTACTGAGGGTTTTATGGGAGTCATTGATCCTATTGATGGTGTGCTGCCTGGGTTGGTGATAATTTGAGGAGCCTGTGGAAACCAGTTGATGACACCATTTGGGACACAGTTTTTTGTCAACGGTGTGGGCTATAGGGATTTGGGAGCCTGTGCAGACCTGCAGGTTTTCAGGGCCTGATGGGAAGGGATAAGTATGAGTTTTCATCTTTGACAGAAGAAGATGGGCTCTATCCTTTGCATAGAATGTACACTGAATTACACAGAAGCTCAGTTTATGCTCAAGTGGCATGGTCACCCCTCAGCCAGAGCACTTTGAAGGTAGCAGGAACCACAGTGTTTATTGTGATTCTGCCATGTATAGAGTACCAAATGGCTCAATAGTTAAGAAAGTATGCTTTGGAGCCAGGCATACCTGGGTTTGAATCCTTGTCCTTCCCCCTTATCTGAGTGATCCTGGGGCAAATTTCTTAATATTTCTGAACAGCTCTATCTGATGGTAAATGGGATTAGTAATAATAGTAATGCCTAGTCCACAGGATGAGTGTGAAAATTAAATGAGGTACCTAATAAAACATGCCTCGCACCTTGTAATAATAGCACTATTTAATATGAGTTGAGCATGTTCCAGGTACCAAGTAGGTGTGCGTAGAAGCATCATTTCATTTAATTCTAACAACCCTATGAGATAGGTATTTTCATCCTGTTAAAGATGAAGAAACTTCACATAAAGTGACTTCCCCAAATTCTAGCTAGAACATAGAAGAGCTTAAATACAAACCCTCATTCATTTTACACCAGATCTTGTGAATTTTCCCCATGTTTTGCTTTAATACTTGGTGTGGGTTTTACCGAACTTTTCTCTTCCGCAGCATCCAGCACAGTGAGCGGCCCCTGGGCACCACCAGAAAACATTTGTGAGTGAACGTGGAGTGATGACCATGTGGACACTGTCTTTCCAGGGTTTCTTGGAGCCTCTGCAGAGTCTGGGGGCCAGGCTTCTTAGTGGAAACTGCAGGATCTTCCTTCTGACCCCTGCTTGCCTCGCCCCAGCAGCTCCGGTTGAGTCCACAGATGCCAGCTCAGCTTCCAGCTTGGGGAAGAGTGGGGTTGTCAGCAGGAGAGCCTGAGGGCTGAGGCCCAGCGTGAACATGGCAGCTAATGGGGACTCTCCCCCATGGTCCCCGGCCCTGGCTGCAGAGGGACGTGGCAGCTCATGTGAGGTGAGGAGGGAGAGGACCCCAGAGGCAAGAATTCATTCAGTGAAGAGATACCCTGACCTGTCCCCAGGGCCTAAGGGCAGAAGCAGGTGAGTCAGAGGAAGTGGCAGATTCCGGACCTGCCACCCTGGAGACAGATCAGGGTCCTCTTGCTGAGAGTGAGCACCACTTGGCTGATGAGGCCACATCCAAAGCCCCGTGTGTTTCAGTGGACAGTGTAATGTGGCTGATTACACTAGAGGAGAGGGAGAATGTGGAAGGTGAGCCCTACAGCCTAGGGAGTGGGGGCAGCTCCCTGCAGGGCAAATGAGGGTGAGGTCCAGGTAGAAGCAGCCACTATCCATAGCCAGGGAGCCTCCATCCCCCACCACAGCACCAACCCTTCCCTCTCCATCGGCTCTTTACAGATGTCGGCTGATCCCCACCAGTGCCCCTTTCCCCCAGGTCTCTGGGGATCTGGCGATTTCTCCTCTATCCTGATTTAGGTAGAGAAAAATCCTTTTTCTTTGGAACTTAGAGACTGGCAGGGTAGTAGGGCCACCACAGTCTCTGGGGCCGTTCTGGCTGTCCCTTCTTTCAAAGACGAATAAAATGGCCGGGCACGGTGGCTCATGCCTGTAATCCCAGCACCTTTGGGAGGCCGAGGTGGGTGGATTGCTTGAGGTCAGGAGTTCAAGACCAGCCTGACCAACGTGGCGAACCCCCATCTCTACTAAAAATACAAAAAGTTAGCTGAATGTGGTGGCACATGCCTGTAATCCCAGCTACTTGGGAGGCTGAGGCAGGAGGAGAATGGCTTGAACCTAGGAGGTGGAGGTTGCAGTGAGCTGAGATCATGCCACTGCATTCCAGCCTGAGTGAGACTCAAAAAAAAAAAAGATGAATAAAATGCCCCAGAAGACACATGACTCGCCCAGGCCTCTCAAGTTGGCGGTGACAACACTAGACTGGAGCCAGGTCTCCTGACTGTGTCTTCCACCCTCACCGCACCACAGCTGAGATCAGGTTTCCCGCTCAGAGCTCCCTTTCAGATCAGAGTTCCCATTGAGATTCTATAAGCCGAGGAGGACCACGAGCGAGCCAGACCCTGCCCGACAGCTCCCTCCTTTCAGACCTACCTGTGGATGCTGTTGGCTCTGGAAGGGTTCATTATCTCAGGGACTCAGGGTCATGCAGTCATTAGGATAATATTAAACTTTTAAATTTTTTTTTTTGGTCATTTTATAACTTCATAATAAAATATTAGAAAGTATACGTTAGCAAATAGAAGAAACTAAAAAATTACTTGTCGTTCCAACATTACCCAAAGTTAACCAGTGTTAACATTTAGCTGTATTTCCTTTCAGTTGTTTTTTCCTTTGTATGTGCATGTGTGCATGTGTGTGAGTATACGTGTGGGGCCAGAGTGTGCTACATACTATACACATACACATATATAGCTAAAGTTTTAAAACAGAATCATACTCTTTGGTTACCTCATTTTTAACTGGGCAGTTTAACATAATTTGCTAAGCAGCAAGTATTTTTCTTCATACACTTATGATGTCCATAATTTAGCCAGTTCACTATTTTTTTAATTTTATTTATTTATTTTAATGTTTTTTCTCTGAGGCAGTCTCCCTCTGTTGCCCAGGCTAGAGTGCAGTGGTGCAATCTCAGCTTACTGCAGCCTCAACCTCCTGGGCTCAGGCGATCCTCCCACCTGAGCCTCCCAAGTAGCTGGGACTACAGGCACATGGGACCACACCCAGCTGGGCTCAAACTCCTGGGGTCAAGTGATCTTCCTGCCTTGGCCTCCCCGAGTGCTGGAATTACAGGCTTGAGTCACCACCATACCCTGCATATTTTATTTTTAATTGACGAATAATAATTATGTATATTTATGGTGTACAATGTGATGTTTTGATATTTGTATACATTGTAGAATATTTAAATCAACCTAATTAACATATCCATTACCTCAAAGACTTATTTCTTTGGTGATGTGAACATTTAAAATCTGCTCCCTTTGCAATTTTGAAATAACATTACATCATTATTAACTATAGCCACCAAACTGCAATAGATCTCAAAAACTTATTCCCTCTAACAAAACTTTGTATACTTTGACCAATGTCTCCCCATCCCCCCACAACCAGTCCACTAATAATGTGCATTTAGGGTATTTCAAGTTTTCTATTGTGATTAAAACTGCTATGATAAAATTCCTACATTTAAATCTTTCTGCCAGCTGGGCATGGTGGCTCATGCCTATAATCCCAGCACTTTGGGAGGCCAAGGCGGGCAGATCACTTGAGCTCAGGAGTTTGAGACCAGCCTGGGCAACATAGTAAGACCCTATCTCAACAAAAATACAAAAATTAGCCAGGTGTGGTGGTGTGCACCTGTAGTCGCAGCTACCTGGGAGGCTGAGGTTGGAGAATCATTTGAGCCCAGGAGGTTGAGGCTACAGTGAGCCGAGATCACACCACTGCACTCCAGCCTGGGTGACAGAGTGAGACTCCATCTCAAAATAAATAGTAAATAAATAAATCTTTCTGTCAAGTCATTGAAATTATGTTTTTGAGTCAAAGGTATAGGGTCATTAAATAGCAAGGGAATCAATGCTTGACAGTAGTACACTTCAACCTTGTCTAAGCTCTGCTCAATCATGTCAGTCACGGACCCACAGGTTAGGGCCATGACAATGTGGTCCTCCCCACTCCTGCACATGGCCTCTTGCCCAGCCAATAGTAGGGATTTCTAGACGAATGATTCTGGGCTCTGCAAGGCACATTTCTCCATTCATCTCTTCTTTCCCAACCACAGATCTCTGACCCACCTCAAGAGATGGAAATGACCGAGACCCTGGGGGGAATATTATTTATTGACTTATTTATTGGTTAGGTTCTTGGTTTTTTCATTAAACATCAGGGAGCGGGGTATAGGCAGAGATACCTAGGAACCAATAAAAATATCCCCAGGGTTTGAGGAGCAGCCAGTTGTACCAAGAAACAGTGGCTGAAGATGGAGAAGAAGCAGAGGGATCAGTAAGGTAAAGAGGGCTGGGAGGAGTCACAACGGAATAAGGAACAGGTACCATGGTGCACTTACTAGAGATGAAGAATAGCCAAGGGGTCCAGGGTATAGGTGGAAGAATAATGAAGCAAACAGGACATGAGTCAGACGCTGGAGCCAGAGACCAAGAAACAGTTTCTGAGGCTGGAGAAGTGGTGATCACTGAGGAGCAGGGAAGAGCCGAGGGTTAAAGAACAGTGAGAAGGATCATGAAATAGGAGGAGGTATCAGGAAATAGAGGAACCAAATAGCAGCCAGACGGAGCAGTCAGTATCCAGAGGGGTGAGGAAGCAGAAGAATCAGATAAAATGGAAAAGGCAAACATATCCAAGGAACTGGGTATGAGCCTGAGGGACAAGCAACTTCCCGAGGAACCAGGAAGCAGTTCCTTGGTTTAGAAGAGAGCTTGAGGGCACAGGCAAAAGACAGTGATACCAGGGAACAAGAAATGTGAAATACGACCCAGAGAATGGATTGCAGTCAGAGGAAGCAGGAGACAATTGCTGAGGCTGTAGAATGGGCAGAGGGATCAGGGAAGGGACAGAGCCCATGGAACAGGTGGAAAGATGAGAGAAGAGCCTCTGAAGCTGCAGAATGGCCTAGAGTACTGTGGAACACCTGGAGCAAGGAACAGTCACTGAGGCTGGGGGGCAGCCAGAGGGAGCAGCCAAAATGTGCTTGGGGCTGAGGGTCCACCAGAGGCCCTGGGAAGTAACCAGAGGAACTAGGGAACAAGTCAAGTGAGCATTAAACATGTATCCAGTGTGGGTAGCAGCCTGATTGACCAGTGGCCAGCTAGAGAGACTAGAGGAGAGCCAGAAAGAATGGTATAACTGAAGCGAGTTAACAGCCCGAGGGCCCATGCAGTAGTTACTGGGGTGAAGGCACAGTTGGAGAGTCTGGGAAACAGCCAGAGTTCCCAGGACCATCCTGGTTTGCCTGTGACTGAGGGGACATGGGACTTCCAGTGCTAGAACAGGAACATTCCTGGGCAAACTGAGACACTTGGTCACCCTACCCAGGAAGCAATCAGAGGAACCAGCCAATAGTTAGATGTAATGTTGAGTAATGGAGGCAGTGGAAGTACAGAATCCAGCTGTGGCATAGAACACGCAATAGTGCACTTTAGTGGGTAAGGGCATAAGCTAGCTAGTTAGGTACTACTCAAAGTGTGGTCCACAGACCAGATGCATGAACATCACGGGAGAGCATAGTAGAAATGTATTCAATGGCCAGGCACGGTGGTTCGCACCTGTAATCCCAACACTTTGGGAGGCCAAAGCGGGAGGATTGTTTGAAGACCAGCCTGGGCAACATGGTGAAACCCCATGTCTACAAAATAAATAAATATATGTGTGTGTATGTGTGTGTGTGTGTGTGTACACATATGTGTGTGTGTGTGTGTGTGTATATATATATATGTGTGTGATATATATATATATATACATACAAAAAAAAAATCAGCCGGGTAGGGTGGTACTGAGGTGGGAGGATCATCTGAGCCTGGGAGGTGGAGGCTGCAGTGAGCCGTGATTGTGCCACTGCACTCCAGCCTGGGTGGCAGAGTGACGCCCTGTCTCAGAAACAGGAAGGGAGGAAGAAAAAGAAGGAAAGAATGGAAAGAAAGAAATGTACTCAAGGAACTGTCCAAGGACAGGGAAGAATCAGGAGACTAGAGATTAGTCAGCAGAATCCAACAGCAGTCAGTCTGTGTGAGCCAGGAACAGCTGGAAGGAACAAGAAAGGCCCTTAGGGACCAGGGAACAGTCAGGTAGACTAGCACACAATCAGAATGGTGCCACAGAACAAGGATCAGCTGGAGGGACAACAAAGGGAACACAGGACAGTCAGAACAGGAAACAGGAGGCATGAATAGTTAGAGCGATCCAGGTAGAGTCAAAGAAAGCGATAAAAGAACGGGGGTACTCGGAAGGAACAAGAGACATTTAGAGGGAATAGGAAACAGAGGGACCAAGGAAAAGTCAGAGGGAACAACGACCAGCAAAGGGAGCAGGGACAGATCTGGGCAGGCAGCAAACAGCTGTACAGGAAGCAGCAAGGGAAGCGGGGAAAGCCAGAGGGAGGGAAGAGCAGTTGCAGGGCCACAGAGAACAGTCCCGGGGAACAGGAAACACTCAGATGGACAGGGAGGAGTAAAAGTAAAAATACAATTTAAAAATTTAAAAATTAGCTGGGCATGGTGGGGTGCACCTGTAGTCTCAGCTATTCAGGAGGCTGAGGCCGGAAGGATCCCTTGAGCCCGGGAGTTTGAGGCTGCAGTGAGCCATGATTGCACCACTGCCCTCCAGCCTGGGCAAAAGTTTTTACAGCTGGGTGCTGTGGCTCATGCCTGTAATCCCAACTACTTAAGAGGTGAAAGGGTTGCTTGAGCCCAGGAGTTTGAGGCCAGCCTGAGCAACACTGTGAGACACCCTCCTGCACCACCATCTCTACAAAAAAGTAAAAATAAAATTTAAAAATTAGCTGGGCATGGTGGTGTGCACCTGTAGTCTCAGCTACTAAGGAGGCTGAGGCGGGAAGGATCCCTTGAGCCCAGGAGTTTGAGGCTGCAGTGAGCCGTGATTGCACCACTGCATTCCAGCCTGGGCAACAGAGCAAGATCCTATCTCAAAAAAGTAAAAAAAGAGGCCAGGCACAGTGGCTCACACCTGTAATCCCAGAACTTTGGGAGGCCGACTGGGCAGATCACTTGAGGCCAGGAATTCTAGATGAGCCTGACCAACATGGTGAAACCCCATCTCTACTAAAAATACAAAATTAGCCAGGCACTGTGGCAGGCATCTATAATCCCAGCTACTCAGGAGGCTGAGGCACTAGAATTGCTTGAACCCGGGAGGCAGAGGTTGCAGTGAGCCAAGATTGCACCACTGCACTCCAGCCTGGGCGACAGAGTGAGATTCTGTCTCAAAAAAACAAAGGAAAAAAAGAAAATATCCTGGCCAGGCGCGGTGGCTCAAGCCTGTAATCCCAGCACTTTGGGAGGCCGAGCCGGGTGGATCACCTGAGGTCAGGAGTTCAAGACCAGCCTGGCCAACATGGTGAAACCCTGTCTCTACTAAAAATACAAAAATTGGTTAGGCGTGATGGTGGGTGCCTGTAATCCCAGCTACTAGGGAGGCTGAGGCAGGAGGATCACTTGAACCCGGGAGGTAGAGGTTGCAGTGAGCCAAGATCAAGCTACTGCACTCCAGCCTGGGCGACAGAGTTAAGATCCTGTCTCAAAAAAAAAAAAAAAGAAAAGAAAAGAAAATATCCTTAATTTTTTTTACGAAGACAGTTGATACTGTACATATATTGAATACTGATTTTTTAAAATCACTGTTTTTAAACCTTTTTATCATGAAATATTATACATATTTTGAATAACGCCACTATAAATATTCTTGAATGCATCTCCTGTTGTACATGTGCACATATTCCACGTGGGCATATATATTTCCATGAGTGGACTCACTGTGTCATATTGCCTGCATGTCTTCAACATTACCAGTTAGGGCCAAAATACTTTCCAGCACAGTTGTAGCAATTCCCACCTCCTCCATCAGCAGTATGAGAGTTCTTGCACCATATTCTCTTCAACACTTGGTATTATCAGTCTTTTTCATTTAAGACTTTCTAGGGGTTGTGTAATGCTATCCTTTGTGGTTTTAATTTGTATTCCCTGGCTACTAAGAAGGTTAAACCTTTTTTTATGTTTATTAAAGCCTTGGATTTCCTCTTTTGTAAAATGAATGCTTCACCCATTTTTCTACTAGGTGGTCTCTTTTTTTCTTATTGGTTTGTACAAGTTCTCTACATCTTCTAGCTGAGCCCTTTGTTGATAATGTATGTTGGAGATATCTTCTACTCTGTGACTTTCCCTTTGTTCTCTTTTAATGCTGTGTTTTAAATGAATAGTAGTTCTAAGCTTTGTTGTAGAAAGACTTATCAATTTTCATGGTTCATGTTTGAGAACTATTTTCCTAATTCAAGGTCATGAAGATAGCCATCTGTATTATCTTCTAAAGGCTTTATAGTTTTTGCCTTTCACATTTAAGTCTATAATACATCTGGAATTTATATATACTTTTGAAATGGGATCTCACTCTGTCACCCAGACTGGAGTACAGTGACACAAACATGGTTCACTGCAGCCTCCACCTTCCAGGCTCAAGAGATCTTCCAGCCTAGCCTCCTGAGTATCTGAGACTGCAGGTGCTTGCCACCCCACTCAGCTAATTTTTATATGTGTGCTATATATTTTATTTTTTTGTAGAGACCGAGTCTCGCCATATTGCCCAGGCTGGTTTTAAACCTGGACTCAAGCAATCCTCCTGCCTTGGCCTCCCAAAGTGCTGGGATTACAGGCATGAGCCACTGCACCTGGCCTTGGAATTGATTTTTTTTTTTTTGAGATGGAGTCTCGCTTTTGTCACCCAGGCTGGAGTGCAATGGCGTGATCTCAGCTTACTGCAACCTCCGCCTCCCAGGTTCAAACAATGTTATTGTTTTGGCATGTAATGTGAAATAGAGCTCAGATTTTACTTTATTTTTTCTATACACAACCTTGTCTTCTTTTCTTTCTTTCTTTTTTTTTTTTTTTTTTTTTTTTTAGATAGGGTCTTGCTCCGTCACCCAGGCTGGAGTGCAGTGGCACAGTCATGGTTCACTGCAGCCTCAGCTTCCCAGGTTCAGGTGATTCTCCCACCTCAGCCTCCTGAGTAGCTGGGACTACAGGCACACGCAACCATGCCTGGCTAATTTTTTGTGTTTTTTGTAGAGATGGGGTTTTGCCATGTTGTCCAGGCTGGTCTCAAACTCCTGAGCTCAAGTGATCCACCTGCCTCAGCCTCCCAAAGTGCTGGGGTTACAGGTGTGAGCCTCCACGCCCAGGCCCTGGCAACATTTGTTGAAAATATTTTTCCTCACTATCTGCCTGGACACCTTTGGCATAAATCAGGTGACTGTATATGTGGGTCTGTTTCTGTACTCTTTTTTCTTTTTTTGAGACTGAGTCTCACTCTGTTGTCCAAGCTGGAGTGCAGTGGCCCGGTCTTGGCTCACTGCAACCTCCGCCTTCCAGGTTCTAGTGATCCTCCTGCTTCAGCCTCCCAAGTAACTGAGACTACAGTCACGTGCCACCATGCCCATGTAATTTCTGTATTTCTAGAAGAGACGAGATTTCTCCATGTTGGCCAGGCTGGTCACAAACTCCTGACCTCAAGTGATCCACCTGCCTCAGCCTCCCAAAGTGCTGGGATTACAGGCCTGATCCACTGCACCCGGCCTGTACTCTATATTCTGTTGCAATGGATTATTTGTCTATCCTAGCACCAGGACAACAATGTCTTAAATTTCCATTGCTTTGTAAGTCTTGAGGTCTTGTAAAGCATGTCCTCCCACATTGCTTTAACTATTCAAGAGTGTCTTGGCAGGCCGGGCACAGTGGCTCACGCCTACAATCCCAGTGCTTTAGGAGGCTGAGGCAGGTGGATCACTTGAGGCCAGGAGTTCTAGACCAGCCTAGGCAACATAGGGAGACCCCTGTCTCTACAAAATACAAAAAAAAAAAACAAAACAAAAAAAAAACGAAGCAGCATATGGTGACGTATGCCTGTGGTTGAGGCTGCAGTGGGCTGTGGTTGCGCCACTGCACCCTAGCCTGGGTGACAAAGTGAGACCATGTCTCTGAAAACAAGATACAAAATAATTTTTTTTAAACGCCTTAGCTATTCCTGGCCATTTGCACTTCCACAGAAATTTTAGAATTGGTTTGTCAGATTTTACAAAAATCCTGTTGTGATTTCAATTGGGATGGCATTGAATGTATTGATTTCTGCTTTTTAAAGATTTTTTCTCTTGGGCTTTACTCTATTGTTATTTTTATAATGTCTTTATTTCAATGCTTAATGCATGGAATTTTGGACTTTATTCTTTTGTAATATGAGCACTGGAGACCCTAATTTCCACTTTAGTTACCATTTCTTAATCCAATAAATTCTTACATGTACTGATTACATTGATATTGAGTGTATCTTCTTAGACGATCAGTTATTTTGAACTGTATTTTTAAACTTTAAAATGATGATTTCAGAAAAGTTTCGTCTTATTACTGATTTCTGACTTAAATACACTTGGTTTAGAGATGGTCTGTAAGAGATGGTTTCTGTATCGTCTCTATCTGTGTGCCCTTCCTGGTTCGTCTCATCTGTTTCCCAGCTCTATATGAGAACTCCCAAATCTTACCTCTATAATAGCCCAAAAGCTTATTGTATAACTCCCTGCATGTTTTACCACCTTTATTTCAACATGGACAAAATGTAACATTATGTTTCATTCTCTTCCCCACTCCCTTCCTAATCTACTAGCCCCTCTCAGTATATAACACCACTGTCTGCATGGTTGTACAAAACCGATAACTGAGAATTGCCCTAGAATTCTTTTTCTCACTCCCATAATTCAGGCTCTTTAAAACACAGCATGAACACCTTCTTTTTGTTTGTTTGTTTGTTTGTTTTTGAGATGGAGTCTCGTTCTGTCGCCCAGGCTGGAGTGCAGTGGCGTGATCTCAGCTCACTGCAACCTCCGCCTCCTGAGTTCAAGCAATTCTCCTGCCTCAGCTTCCCGAGTAGCTGGGATTACAGACACCCGCCGTGCCCGGCTAATTTTTGTATTTTTGGTAGAGACGGGGTTTTTGCCATGTTGGCCAGGCTGGTCTCGAACTCCTGACCTCAGGTGATCCGCCTGCCTCAGCCTCCCAAAGTGGTGGGATTACAGGCATGAGCCACTGCGCCCAGCCAACACCTTCTTTTACTTGCCCATGACAACCACTGCCTTAAGTCCAGATTGTCTTATTCTCTCACATAAACTCTGTAGTGCATCTCCAGACTGATCTGGACTCACCCATTTCAAACATTCCTCGTGATCAATCCTTTTTTTTTTTTTAGACGGAGTCTCACTCTGTATCACCCAGGCTGAAGTGCAATGATACAATCTCGGCTCACTGCAACCTCCACCTCCTGGGTTCAAGCAATTCTCCTGTCTCAGCCTCTCAAGTAGCTGGGATTACGGGCGTGCGCCACCACGCCCAGCTAACTTTTGTATTTTTAGTAGAGACGGGGCTTTACCATATTGGTCAGGCTGGTCTCGAACTCCTGACCTCAGGTGATCCACCTGCCTCAGCCTCCCAAAGGGCTGAGATTACAGGAGTGAGCCACCATGCCCAGCCTGATGTATGTTGAATACTGTTTGAAATCACACAATTACCATCATGTCTTTTCCTGCATATAAATTGCAGTCCATTCTCTATTAGAAAAAAAGACTTGTTCCTTTTTCTGATGCTAGTATATCTCTACTGGATTTTCCTCATAGTCACCTTCTCAATATACTATACAGACTCCTTTCCTTTATATGGTACTACTTGCAGTTCCCAGAATCCACCATGTATTTTTCTATTTTCCTTTCTCCACACTGTTGCTCATGCTTCTCCCTTCTAGATAACTCTCGCCCCACTGTCTCTATGAAATCTAACCTTATACCTCCTATACTTTTCTTCCAAATTCCTAAAGCTCCCTTTGTGTCTGCTGTTGGTTATCCAAGTCTTTAAGTTGCTTTATATTTTACTCAACTCTTTATCACCATTGCCTAGCACATCATCTGACACATAATCGGCCAGTATCTTGTTTTTAAGTTAGCTGGAGGACTTAAAGAGAGCCCATTTAAAATCCTCATTTTGAAAAGAGAATGAATGAATAAATGAATTAATGTAGTACACAACAAATGTCAAGATACTTTAATAAGTTTTTTAGCTCTCACAAAATAAAATACAAAACTAAGTACTTAGTGAAAACCCTACATGATACATTATGGTAAAAAGCATTAAAAACAACTTGCTATCTACCTTCTTCCATCCCCCAGTGCTGACCATGCTGCCTTGAACAGCATTGTGTCGTTACAGGCTTCAGTGTCATTTGAGGACGTGACTGTGGACTTCAGCAAGGAGGAGTGGCAGCACTTGGACCCTGCCCAGAGACGCCTGTACTGGGATGTGACACTAGAGAACTACAGCCACCTGCTCTCAGTGGGTAAGCACGGCCGCCCTATGCATCTGCTAATGAGGGTATTTCCATTCTTGGCTGCTGAGTGCTGCCCGACACCTAACCTATGTGATGGTGTCATCCTGGATTTGTCTGGGATTCAGTTCCTTTTCACCTCTGTGATTATTACTCTGTTCCCAGTGAAATGTGTTTACTTTTCTGAAAAGCAAAGGGAAAGTGTCACTGAAAGGCCCCTGAAACCCAATCAGCTGGACCCAATCGTGTATCATGTCCTGTTAACAGGGTACCAAATTCCCAAGTCAGAGGCTGCCTTCAAGTTGGAGCAAGGAGAGGGGCCATGGATGCTGGAGGGGGAAGCCCCACATCAGAGCTGTTCAGGTGAGTGAGCATGACCCAGACAGATGGGGACATGGAAGTCAGTATCACTTTCCCTAGGAAAGCCCGATGCCTTTGAAACACTCTGAAGATAACCCATCTTGAAAGTTCTAAACTTTTGGAGTCAATTGGAGATAGTTGACAATAGCCCTCAAATACCTAAATGCCATTTCCATGTATGACCCTTGCCACATTATTGTCTTCTTTGATTGGCCTTTTGGCAAGAGAGCTGTCTCTAGTCTCTGTACTCTGTATCACATACCACCCTGTCTTATCTAGGACCTTTTTATTCTTCCTACTCTACCCCTGCCCCCCATCTTAGTCTTTTCTTATACATCCAAGTGTTTTAAAATTTCTGTGGCCCAGGCTGGAGTGCAGTGACATGATCTTGGCTCAATGCAACCTCCACCTCCCAGGTTCAAGCGATCCTCCCACCTCAGCCTCCCAAGTAGTGGGGACTACATGCACATGCCACCATGCCCAGCTAATTTTTGTATTTTTTGTAGAGACGTGATTTCACCATGTTGGCCAGGCTGGACTCGAACTCCTGGGCTCAACTGATCTGCCTGACTCGGCCTCCCAGAGTGCTGGGATTACAGGTCTTTGCTGGGATTATGGGTCTTTTTTTTTTTTTAATTTTAATTTTAATTTTTATTTTTATTTATTTATTTATTTTTTGAGACAGAGTTTCGCTCTTGTTGCCCAGGCTGGAGTGCAATGGCACGATCTCGTTTCACTGCAACTTCTGCCTCCCAGGTTCAAGCGATTCTCCTGCCTCAGCCTCCCTAGTAGCTGAGATTACAGGCATGCGCCACCACACCCAGCTAATTTTGTATTTTTAGTAGAGATGGGGTTTCTCCATGTTGGTCAGGCTGGTCTCGAACTCCCAACCTCAGGTGATCTGCCCGCCTCAGCCTCCCAAAGTGCTGGGATTACAAGCATGAGCCACCGCGCCTGGCCAGGTCTTTTCTTTTATTCCAATTCTCCATATCCATTCTTTATGCCTCCTCCCATGGGCAGCTGATCTAATGTGTTTGAACCTTGAAATTGTGTGATATTCTCTTAAAGCCTGAAGTATTGGTTTATGAGTATGTATTTTTATTATATATTAAACATATTGTACTATGTTTCTCAATTCTGTTCCTTTTTTTTTCACTCATTCCTATGGTCTCTCCATATTTTAGTGTGTTTGTCTGGCTTTGTTCTTCAAATTGCTACATAGTATTTCACAATGTCCCCAGCACCACATCATACTTAACCACTCACCTAGTCATGGAGGCTGATCATTGTGTCCAAGTCCCATCTAATACAAACAATTCTGCAATCAACTTCTACATAAATGTTTCCTTACAGGGTATGAGAATTTCTCAGGGATGTGTAGAGAAGAGAGGATTTGCACCTAATCATGGAGTACCTCATCCAGAATAGGACTGAGTACCACCATATTATTCTCAGATTAGCTGCACTGTACAAGTGTTCTGGCTTCCCCAGTGTTTCTGCTAACAATTAGTAGTACCAGAGTTTCTCATTTTTTGGTCAATAGTGGGTATAAAGGGGTAGCTCTCTGTTTTTTTTTTAACCTCGTGATGCAACAGTAGGGTATCTAATTTTTAATTTGGACATTTCATGATTTACCTGATACCTCTTTGAGCTTCCCTCCTATGAATTACCTTGTTCATAACATTGCCCTGGTTTCAATTGTGCCTCCTCAATTGTCTGTTTCTTACTGATCTGCATCCCATTTATTATTTGCCCCTTTTTCAGCCTTCTCTTCCTCATTTTCCCCATAAGCAAGGTTTCCCTAGGGACCTTTTCTCCTGTTCAGTCTTTTTCTTTTCTTTTTTTGTTTTTTGAGACAGAGTCTCACTCTGCCACCCAGGCTGGAATGCAACGGTGCCATTTCGGCTTACTGCAGCCTATGCCTCCTGGGTTCAAGCGATTCTCCTGCCTCAGCCTCCTGAGTAGCTGGGATTACAGATGTGCACCACCATACTCTGCTAATTCTTGTATATTTAGTAGAGATGGGGTTTTGCCATGTTGGCCAGGCTGGTCTCGATCTCCTGACCTCAAGTGATCTGCCTGCCTCAGCCTCCCAAAGTGCTGGGATTATAGGTGTGACCCACCGCGCCCGGCCAGCTCCATATTTTCTGCTGCCTGAATTGTAATTATTCTATTCCTGATTTTATTTGCTGATTCCATTGTTTTTACTAGTTCATATTAAATGCTAATGACAGATATCTTTACCTAAAACATTCTATTTCTCTTGTCATGAGCATTATGAAACAAACCTACAATTGTTCTCCATTACCTAGTATATGACAATTAAACTCTTCTTTCAAAGAAATAAACAACATGGCCACATATTTCCAGTTCAACTCGTATCTGTATATTTTCTGTAACCTCTGCTCAACTCCATTTTTAATATTTTCTTAATGTTGACCATATCTGATAGTCCTCCCTGAATCTGTTTATTCTGTGCTCTGTCTATTCAGATGAGACATTTTCCACCTTGTGATCAGTTCTCACCTGTCTCACAAAATGGCTTTTAATTATTCTAGTCTGTATGGCTCTTTCCTTTTTCTCATCCTCCATCCCACAAGAATTCTGAGAAAATCACAGGATTTTAGTGTATAGGGTAACTGAGGCTTTTACCTCTATGTTTTTAGAAAGTCTCCGGAATTAAGAGCCTGTTTCAGGCTGAGTGTGGTAGCTCATGTCTGTAAACCCAGAACTTTGGAAGGCCGAGGCGGGAGGATCACTTGAGGCCAGGAGTTCAAGACCAGCCTGGGCAACACAACAAGATTCCATCTCTATTTCAAAAAAATAATTTAAGAAAAAAGAGCCTATTTCTTTTTATAGAAAAATCTATTAATTTGACACATAAGAATTGTATGTATTTATCATGTACAACATGATGTTTTGAAATATGTATACATGAAGAGCCTATTTCTTGTAGTATAACTCAGGGTCTTACCGAGGGAGAAACCACAGACTAATGTGAACAGAGAATGGTTAACATAAAGATTCTTTGCAGCCAGGCGTGGTGGCTCACACCTATAATCCCAGCACTTTGGGAGGACAAGGCAGGTGGATCACCTGAGATCAAGAGTTCAAGACCATCCTGGCCAACATGGTGAAACCCCGTCTCTACTAAAAATACAAAAATTAGCTAGGTGTGGTGGCCCACGCCTGTAATCCAGTTACTCAGGTGGCTGAAGCAGGAGAATCGCTTGAACCCAGGAGGCAGAGGTTGCAGTGAGCCATGGGACTGGAATAATGAGGGATTTGCTAGCAAAAAAAGAAACTCTGAAGAATAAAGGAATAGCAGATAGAAAGCACAGCAGGTTCTTCTAGGGTTGTGAGCAAGCATCCAAGGAAGAGGCTCCCTACTTCCCAGGGATGAAATTCAGACCTTGTAGGGAGGGCACAACCATGGCTCGAGGCAGGTAGAATACTTGCTGTGGTGCTGTGCTGGTGGAACTTGCTGGAAACCTGCCCTCTAGGATTCCAGGGAAAGCTATTGATGCGGAGGTGACTCACTGGAGCTATTCCACTACAAATCGTCTGAGAGTAAACTGGGGGGTGTTGGGTGCTGCTGACTGTACAGCACTGCGGGGGCCTGCAGGAACTAGGTGCTTGGGAAGCCATATGAGCTGCAGGAGCTGGGTGCTGGAGAAGTCACCCACACTGCAGGAGCCGAGCTCTAGAGAAGACCGCGAGACCTGGGTACTGGGGACACTACATGTGCGTCAGGAGCCAGATGTTGGCAAAGATGCCCACACTACATGAGCCTGGTGCTAGACAGCCTGCCCCTGCTGGATGAGCCTGCTGAGTGAGCCCCCTAGAACCAGGAAGCAAACCCTCCTCATCCTGCAGTGTCTCTCTAGCATCTTACACTGACAAAGTTTAATATCGTGCCAGCTGGCAGAAGAAAAAAATATTTAAAGAGATCGAGATCCACTTTTTAAAGTTTTAATTTTTATGGGTACATAGGTATATATATTTATGGGGTACATGGGATATTTGGGAGTTTTGGAGTTTTTTATTTTTGAGACAGAGTCTCGCTGTCACCTAGGCTGGAGTGCAGTGGTGCAATCTTGGCTCACTGCAACCTCCACCTCCCGGATTCAAGCAATTCTCCTGCCTCAGCCTCCCGAGTGGCTGGGATTACAGGTGCATGCCACCATGCCTGGCTAATTTTTGTATTTTTAGTAGAGACAGGGTTTTGCCATGTTGGCCAGGCTGGTCTCTAACTCCTGACCTCAGGTGATCCGCCTGCCTTGGCCTCCCAAAGTGCTGGGATTACAGGCACATGCCAACATGCCCAGCTAAGTTTTGTATCTTTAGTAGAGACGGGATTTTGCCATGTCTCAAACTCCTGGCCTCAAGTGATCCACCCACCTCAGCCTCCCAAAGTGCTAGGATTACAGACATGAGCCACCGCACCCAGCCTGCATGGGATATTTTGATACAGCATACGATGTGTAATAATCACATCAGGGTAACTGGGGCCAGATCCGTTTTTGTTGAGCAGGCAAGGAAGGGTGAATTTGGAACTGAGAGGCAAAACATTGATAACCAGCATACTTATTCTTCAGTTTCCTGAAGTGGAGCATGTAGAAAATATTTAGTAAATGAATTTATTGAATTTGGGGATATAGGCAGAGGAGGAGATTTTTCCTCTTTCAGATGAAATTTTCAAGTGTCTGCTCAGAGGAATTCAAAGGAACATACATTATATTTGGAAAGGGAAGATGACTGCATGAAATGTTAACACTCTCACCCTTTGTGTATTTGTCCTTTCTGTTATAAAACTGTGCCAAACTGAGTATCAATATGAATGGTACAGTGTCTGCTTTACAAATTCATAGCAAACATAAGCTCCCTAGAGGTATACCAAAATTAGAGCTAATATTTAGAAAGACAATACATTTTGGATATGCACAGAGGAACAAAACAAGAGGCTAAATATAGATGTATGTCTTCCCCTACATGATAATTCTGAGGTGAATGGGTCCAGTTCAACAAGTCAACTCTAATCCTGATGGGTCATTCAGGGACCATGTTCTAAGTCACTCCTCTGGCATCTCCTGGGGCATTGTTGTCACCTGCCTGGTTAATGATGGGTCACTGTGTAGTCCAGTGGGAAGAGGGAAGAGGAAATAGAGGACATTTGCCCACTGTCTTAAGGCTGGCCTGCAAGTAGCATATATCACTTCTGCTCATATTCCACTGCTGAGAACATAGCGAGGCCAGTGGATGTAAGGCCCAGCTACATTCTATTCCTGTAAAAGAAGGGGAGAATAGATCTCAGGGGAGGGCCTGCAGATTCTGCCACAGATAGCTTTCCCTTTCCTCTTTTACACGCCTTGTTATAAGCATGTATTCCTGGAACCAATAGAAACTGCAGCTGGGGCCGGCACGGTGGCTCACAGCTGTAATTCCAGCACTTTGGGAGCCCGAGGTGGGCAGATCACTTGAGGTCAGGAGTTCAAGACCAGCCTGGCCAACATGGTGTAACCCCGTCTCTACTAAAAATACAAAAATTAGCTGGGCGTGGTGGTGCATGCCTGTAATCCCAGCTACTCGGGAGGCTGAAGCAGGCGAACCACTTGAACCCGGGAGGCGGAGGTTGCAGTGAGCCGAGATCGCACCACCGCACTCCAGCCTGGGTGACAGAGCAAGACTCCATTTCAAAAAAAAGAAAGAAAGAAAGAAAGAAACTTGCAGCTGGTTATAAAGTTGGAGTGCAAATGTCTATTTACTGTTTGTCTATGTCAGGATGGCATGTTGCAACTAGTTTTCCTATAGATATAAAGGAATTGGTGTTTGAGGCATATAGATTTAATGTTCAAATTAACATTAAATTTGAAGGGCTCCACTCATAATGGTATAGAGGGAAAAGCAAGAAGAAGCAGAGAGCTTAGTAAAGTGGTGGAGCTGATATGTATTAAGAACATAAATTCTGAAATATTTCTTCCATGCCAAGCTTCCCCTCACAGGCTGCAGTTTCTTCTGGTTACTCTACTCACAATCCAGGCCTCTTACATAGTGGAGCTGGACTCCCAGAGTTCAAATCCCATCTCTCCCACTTATTTAGCTATTCGATATTCAGCAAGTTGCATGACTTCTCTGTGCCTCTGTTTTCTAAATTGTAAAACAAATGATAATCGTAGCTACCTCATAGGGTTTAGCTACCTCATAGGGTTAGTTAAATGAGCTGTTTCATGTAAAGCACTTGTAACAGTCTCTGTGCATCATAAATGGTATACAGTTGTTTTGCATTTATTAAGTGTTCTATAAGAATGTTGTGTTGCTACATTATTACTACTATATTGTCCTATGGGCTCTTCCATTTATCTGTGTTCATCCTGTCTGAACTACATGTCCCCTCTAGCCTCTGCTGATTGTTCTTTGTGTCGTTTTCATTTCTTTCATTTTCTTTTTAGGTGAGGCTATTGGGAAAATGCAGCAACAGGGAATTCCTGGAGGAATTTTCTTCCACTGTGAGAGATTTGATCAACCCATAGGAGAAGATTCATTATGTTCTATTTTAGAAGAACTGTGGCAAGATAATGACCAGCTAGAGCAACGTCAGGAAAACCAGAATAACCTTTTAAGTCATGTGAAAGTATTGATTAAGGAGAGGGGCTATGAACATAAAAACATTGAAAAAATAATTCATGTGACTACCAAGCTTGTTCCTTCAATTAAAAGACTCCATAACTGTGACACAATTTTGAAGCATACTTTAAACTCACATAATCATAATAGAAACAGTGCAACAAAGAACCTTGGCAAGATTTTTGGAAATGGTAACAATTTCCCCCATAGCCCTTCCTCTACTAAGAATGAGAATGCTAAAACAGGAGCAAATTCCTGTGAACATGACCACTATGAAAAACATCTCAGCCACAAACAAGCTCCCACCCACCATCAGAAAATTCATCCTGAGGAGAAGCTTTATGTGTGTACTGAATGTGTAATGGGCTTCACTCAGAAGTCACATCTGTTTGAGCATCAGAGAATTCATGCTGGAGAAAAGTCCCGTGAATGTGACAAAAGCAACAAAGTCTTCCCCCAGAAACCCCAGGTTGATGTACATCCAAGTGTTTATACAGGAGAAAAACCCTATCTGTGTACTCAATGTGGGAAAGTCTTTACCCTCAAATCAAACCTCATTACACATCAAAAAATTCATACCGGGCAGAAACCCTACAAATGCAGTGAATGTGGAAAAGCCTTTTTCCAGAGATCAGACCTCTTTAGACATCTGAGAATTCATACAGGAGAAAAACCTTATGAATGCAGTGAATGTGGAAAAGGCTTCTCCCAGAACTCAGACCTCAGTATACATCAGAAAACTCATACCGGAGAGAAACACTATGAATGCAATGAATGTGGGAAGGCTTTCACAAGAAAATCAGCACTCAGGATGCATCAGAGAATCCACACGGGAGAGAAACCTTATGTATGCGCTGACTGTGGGAAGGCCTTCATCCAGAAATCACATTTCAACACACATCAGAGAATTCATACTGGAGAAAAGCCGTATGAATGCAGTGACTGTGGGAAATCCTTCACTAAGAAGTCACAACTCCATGTGCATCAAAGAATTCACACCGGAGAGAAACCCTATATATGTACAGAATGTGGAAAGGTCTTCACTCACAGGACAAACCTCACCACACATCAGAAAACTCATACTGGGGAAAAACCCTATATGTGTGCTGAATGTGGAAAGGCTTTTACTGACCAGTCAAATCTCATTAAACACCAGAAAACTCACACTGGAGAGAAACCCTATAAGTGCAATGGCTGTGGAAAAGCCTTCATATGGAAGTCGCGCCTCAAAATACATCAGAAATCTCATATTGGAGAGAGACACTATGAATGCAAGGACTGCGGGAAAGCCTTCATCCAGAAATCAACACTAAGCGTGCATCAGAGAATCCATACAGGAGAGAAACCGTACGTTTGTCCTGAATGCGGGAAGGCCTTTATCCAGAAATCGCACTTCATTGCGCATCATAGAATCCATACTGGAGAGAAGCCTTATGAATGCAGCGACTGTGGGAAATGCTTCACTAAGAAGTCACAACTCCGTGTGCATCAGAAAATCCACACAGGTGAGAAGCCCAATATATGTGCTGAATGTGGAAAGGCCTTCACTGACCGATCAAATCTCATAACACATCAGAAAATCCACACTAGGGAGAAACCCTATGAATGTGGTGACTGCGGGAAAACCTTCACCTGGAAGTCACGCCTCAATATACATCAGAAGTCTCATACTGGAGAAAGACACTATGAATGTAGTAAATGTGGGAAAGCTTTCATCCAGAAAGCCACACTAAGTATGCATCAGATAATTCATACAGGAAAGAAACCTTATGCTTGTACAGAATGTCAGAAGGCCTTTACTGACAGATCGAATCTCATTAAACACCAGAAAATGCATAGTGGAGAAAAACGCTATAAAGCCAGTGACTGAGAAAGTCTTCACCTGGAAATCACAACTGGGTATGCATCAGGTATCTAATAGCAGGGAGGAGGAAGGCCTGTTGCTGCAATCATTGTACAGGGGGAAATGGGTATGAGAGACTGAGGCTTGAGTGAACTGAAGGCAAACAGAGCCAAGTATCCTTCAGTCCACTGGAAAGACAAGTTCCTGCATCACCACAGTGTATATGCAATTCTATGCATAGGAAGAGCCTTTAGAGAAAGCATTTGAGCGAAAGTCATGTTTGGTGACATGATTCATACAGACCTCTTGAGCTCCTGGAAATAGTAGAATTAAGACCTGAGGAGATGACTCGTCATCTCTTATGCTTCACTTTTTGGATAAAGAACTTTTTAAATTCAGTACTGATTGGTTCAGCATATCCTGGGACATAAAAATACTCACTACTGGGAAAAACTTTTTCAAATTTCTAGGTTGAGGAGAAGAGTTTTCATTGTCCAAACACTGGCAGGGCACTGACATCAAGGCAGAAAACCTACTTGGGAATGCAGATATCTGTTTTTGTGATCATTGGCACTTAAGACATAGAAAAGATTTCCATGAAAAACTTTTTTCTTTTCCCTTGGGAAGTCCTCATGGTATATATATTTTAAGTGCAATGGAATTTTTAAATTTAAAGATATAACTTTATGAATTGAGAAATTAGGCCTAGCTCTAGGCTATGTTACAGAAATATAGTCATTGAATGATACAGACATATAAAGGTAGTAGTTGTCTCATTATTAATTCCCTGCTGGGAGAGCAGATGAGTCATACCCTATAAGAAGTATGCATGCCTTCTAACCTATGTCCCCAAAGCTGTCATTTGCATAAGCTGCAGGCCATAGATTCCTGATTCCCTCAGTAACTGACCCTACGACAATGGAACTGATCCACGGCACTCTAGATTTTCAGGCTAACCCACCAACACCCCTGCTTTCCTTGGGATTTCCTGAAAAAGAATGGTTGAAAAATTGAGTTTCACTTCCTAATATTTTGTTTTTCTTCCTATTTGGTTAAGGTATATTCATTTCCTACATGCACATTAAGGGTAGTTTTGTGTAGACTGCTATGTGATAAAGTCATGTTGCATTGCAATTAGTTATTCTAAGACATAATTACAGTTTATCATAGTTGAATAACTGGAAGACTTCTCAAGAAAGAGCACTGCTCTTTTTTAACACTGATATATAGACACGTTCTCATTTTCCCTTAAACATTTTTTACAATACTCATAAAAAGGAACTTTCTTTCTAGCATGCAATTGTATTTTTATTTTATTTTAAAATCTTTTTATTAAACTATAATGTATACAGAAAATGCATATATCATAAACATACAGCTCAGTGCATTCTCAAAAACTGAACATACTCAGATCAAGAAACAGAACATGACCAGCACCCCAGAAGCCTTCCCCACTTTCCCTTCCAGGCAAGCCCCCAAGGGTATACATTATCCTGGCTTCTCACAGCATAGATTCATTTTGCCTGTTTTGTATTTTATATAAATTGAGTCAATTATATATCATATAATTGAGCCATATACTCTTTAGCATCTGTCTTCTGTCATTCACATTATGTATGTGAGAGTCATCCATATGTTGCATATAGTTGTAGATAATTCATTTTCATTGTCATGTTGTATCCCATTCTGTGAATATGCTGCAATATAATTTATCCATTCTACTGTTTGTAGACATTTGGGTTGTTTGCAGCTTGGGCTATTAGGAATTGTGTTGCTGTGTATTGGTGAACATATGTATGTATTCCTGTTAGGTATGTACCTAAGTGTATCCATATGTTCAGCTATATGTTATAAAACCAGTTTTCAAGTGGTTGTACCAATGTACACTCCCACCAACCCAGTATGCGAGTTCTAGTGCTCCACATACTTGCCAACATTTGGCATTTTCCATCTTTTTTACTATAGCCATTAGTGGTGGGCATATAGTGATATGTCAGTTTTAGTTTTCGGTTTTATTTTCTTGTCCTCCAAACCATTGTAGTATCTCCCCAGGATAGATGAGTGATGGCTGAGACCTGAGACCTAGGCCTGTTCCTCACATGACTGCACCATTTTACATTCTATCAATGTATGAGGTTTCCGGTTTCTCCACATCCTTACCAACTCTTATTATTATTAGTCTTTTTTATTATAGCTATCCTAGTACATGTGAAGTTATATTGTGATATTAATTTACACTGCCCTAATGATTAATAATATTGATCATCTTTTATTGAGAATCTTTGATGAAGTGTCTGTTTAAATCTTTTGCCCATTATCAGTTGGGTTATTTGGGTTTTTTTATTGTTGAGCACTGATAGTTTTTAAAAATATATTCTGGGTGTAACTTCACTATCAGTCCATTATCCTTGCAAAGGTTTTCTCCCAGTCTCTGGATTGTCTTTTCATTCTCTTAAGAGTGTCTTTTGAAGAACAGAACTGCTTATTTTGATGAAGTCCGTTCTTTCCATTTGTTCATTTCTGGGTTGTGCTTTGAGTGCTGTATCTAAGAAATCCTTGCCTAACCAAAGATTACAATGATTTTTTCCTGTGTTTTCTTCTAAAGGTTTAAGTTTTACATCTAGATCTAGCATGTATTTTGAGTTATATGGTGTGAAATATGGATCCAAGTTCTTTTATGTTTTTGTTTTGTTTTGTTTTGTTTTTGCTTATGGATATTCAAATGTTTCCACACCATTTGTTTAAAAATACTACCCTTTCTCAATATTTTGACTTTTGTCAAAAGTCACTTGTCCAGGCCAGACATGGTGGCTCATGCCCTGTAATCCCAGTGTTTTGCAAGGCTGACATGGGGGGATCACTTGAGGCCAGGAGTTCAAGACCAGCTTGGGCAACATGGCAAGATCCTGTCTCTAAAAAAATTCTTTTTAAATTACCCAGGGGTAGTGGTGCATGCCTATAGTCCCAGTTACTCAGAAGGCTGGGGTGGGAGGATTGCTTGAGCCCAGGAGCTAGAGGCTGCAGGGAGCTATGATCCACACCACTGCACTCCAGCCTGGGTAACAGAGTGAGACCCAGTCTCTTAAAAAAGAAAAACCATCACTTGTCCAGAGGTGGAGCTTCTGGAATGGTAGGGTGAGGAGCTCATCAAAACCCCTCCCCCAAAAGCTTTTTTTAAATGGTCAAAAACTACCAAACCTTGATAAGAATAGTGGGGTCTATGGCATTTAGACTTGGAGCTGCTCCCATCCACAGCTCTGTGGGCATGGTAGCCATGAGGAATGGAAGCCTCACTGTAAATGGAGGGAGCTGACCTGACTCTGAGCTCCAGAGAAAAGCTCCATGCCTAGGGGTATTGTCAAAAACAACAGCAATGTTGGTAGCAAGTAATTGGGGAAGGCCAACCTCACAGCTGCCTGAGGCTGCAACATTGTTTGAGTGAGCAGCAGACCAGACAAAAAATTAAAGGGATATGGAAAATAAGACAGCAGTAGTGGGAATTGATAAGTCCATGCATATGCATGAGGATGTGGAAGGCTGTGTACATGACCACAAAATATCAGGTACCTAGATGAATGTGAGACCCTATACAAGCCGAAATGAATGCCAGCACAGACTTACAAGCAGACCGAACTTAATATGCGTACTCAAACTCACACAGTTATCCCCTTAGTGGAAGCCATACTGGTTTGAGGTGTATAATCACAACTTCTAAGCAATCATTGGATAAAAATAAGCTATGCAGACCCACAGGTGACCCCAAGGAAGCCAGGCATAAAAACGGAAAGAATTATTTAAAAACTAAACAGCCAGGTGTGGCGGCTCACACCTGTAATCCCAGCACTTTGGGAGGCTGAGGCAGGAGGATCACCTGAGGTCAGGAGTTCAAGACCAGCCTGGCCAACATGGTAAAACCCCATCTCTACTAAAAATATAAAATTAGCCAGGTGTGGTAGCGCATGCCTGTAATTCTAGCTACTTGGGAGGCTGAGGCAGGAGAATCGCTTGAACCTGGGAGGTGGAGGTTGCAGTGAGCTGAAATCGCACCACTGCACTCCAGCCTGGGCAACAAGAGTGAAACTCCATCTCAAAAAAAAAAACTAAGCAGAGACATCAGTAACTGCACACTGAGGGATGAAAAACTCTACAGAATTAGTCCCCATGAGTCCCTAAACAAACAAAAAACAACAGCAACAATAATAACTGTGGAGGGTGGGGTCATAATCCAGAATTACTAAAATATATATTATCTACAGTGTCAACTTTTTAACAATTATGAGACATGCAAAACAAACAAACTGCACACACAGAGAATTCTGGTCCATACACAGGGGAAAAAAAAATACCAGTCCACTAGAAACTGTCTCTGAGGATGTCCACATGTTGCATTTAATAGTTAAAGACTTGGTGTCTTTATATATTAAATAGCCACGTGTGGTGGTACATGCCTGTGGTCCCAGCTAATCAGGAGGCTGAAGCAAAAGGATCGCTTGAGCCCAGGAATTGGAGACTGCAGTAAGCCATGATAGTGTCACTGCACTCTAGCCTGTGCTACAGAGCAAGACACTGTCTCAAAAATAAAAAATAAAAAAAAATAAAATATCTAGTTCACCAAAAAAAAAAAAAGAGAGAAAGAGAAAGAACAAAAAGATATGAGAGCTAAGGAAAACAAATCTCAAAATGGCAGATGTAAATCTATCCATATCAATAATTATATTCGAAATAAATGGACTAAATTCCCCAATCAAAAGGCAGAGACTGTCATATTAGGATGAAGACAGGATCCAACCATATGCTACCTGTAAAAGCCACACTTTAGATTCAAAGTTACAAATACGCTGAAAGTAAAATGATGGAAAAATATCTAACATGCAAAGAGTAACATAAATGAGCTGGAGTGGCTATACTGATTTCTGGCAAAATAGAAATTTAGTTGGAAAATGTTACTAAACACAAAAGGGTCATTTTATAATGATACTATGGTCAATTCATCAGAAAAATATTTTTTTAATTTTATATAAATTTATAAAATTGTATATCAATGTATATTTTATTAAAAATATAATATATATTTATAAAACTATATATATATATATCTAACAAAGGAGCCTCGAAACACACGGAGCAAAAAACTGACAGAAACAAAGGGAAAAATAGACAATTCAGAAATAGCAGTTGGAGAATTCAATAACCCATTCTCAGGAATTAATAGAACAACTAGAAATAAAATCATCAAGGATATGGAAGACTTGAACAACACTATAAACCTGATGTGACCTAATTGACACCAATAGAACACTGCACTCAACGACAGCAGAATACACATTATTTTCAAATACATATGGAACACACTCCAGGATAGATCTATGCTAGACCATAAAACATGTTTCAAAACATTTTAAAGGGCTTAAATTCTACAAAATATGTTTTCTGACTATAACAACTAGAAATCCACAAGAGAAGGAAATTGGACAAACCCACAAATATTTAGAAATTAACACATTTTGTTTTGTTTTGTTTTGTTTTTTGTTTTTGAGACAGAGTGTCGCTCCATCGGCCAGGCTGGAGTGCAGTGGCATGATCCCAGCTCACTGCAACCTCCACCACCTGGGCTCAAGCAATTCTCCTGCCCAGCCTCCTGAGTAACCGGGATTACAGGCGCCTGCCACCACACCTGGCTTATTTTTGTATTTTTATTAGAGACGAGGTTTCACCATGTTGGCCAGGCTGGTCTCGAACTCCAGATCTCAGGTGATCCACCCGCCTCGGCCTCCCAAGTAGCTGGGATTACAGACAGCCACCGGGCCCGGCCAGAAATTAACACATTTCTAAATAAGCCATGAATGGGAAATTAGAAAGTAATGCATGAAAATGAAAACACAACATACCACAATTTATGGGATGCGACTAAAGCAGTACTTAAAGGGAAATGTATAGCTTTAAATGCCTATATTCGAAAAGGAGAGGGTGGCACGGTAGCTCGTGCCTGTAATCCCAGGACTTTGGGAGGTCAAGGCGGGCAGATTGCTCAGGAGTTCGAGATGAGCCTGGCAAGAATGGCAAAACCCCGTCTCTATAAAAATTAGCCAGGTGTGGTGGCACGTGCCTGTAGTCCCAGCTACTTGGGATGCTGAAGCGGGAGGATCGCTAGAGCCCGGGAGGCAGAAGTTGCAGTGAGCTGAGATTGTGCCACTGCACTCTAGCCTGGGTGACAGAGCGAGACTCCATCTCAAAAAGAAAGAAAAGAAAAACGGAGAAAGATTTCAAACCAATAATCTAAGCTCCCACCTTAAAAATGTAGAAATGTAGCAATCTACACTTAAAGCAAGCAGAGGTAAGGAAATGATAAAGATTTGGATGGAAATCATTGCAATGGATAAATTTAAAAAACAATAAAGAAAATTCGTGAAACCAAAAGTTGATTCTTTGAAAAGATCAACACAATTGACAAATATTTAGATGGACCAAGAAGAGAGAAGACACATCACCAAAATTAGGAGGCAAGACCACTGACCCTACAGAAAGGAAAAGGATGACAAGATACTTCTATAAAAACTTTATGCTAATAAATTAGACAACTTGGACAAAATGGGCAAATTTGTAAAAGTGCACCAATTATCAAAACTGACTCAAGAAGTCATAGAAAATATGAATAGAGCCAGGCACGGTGGCTCATGCCTGTAATCCCAGCACTTTGGGAGGCTGAGGTGGGCAGATCACAAGGTCAGGAGATTGAAACCATCCTGGCCAACATGGTGAAACCCCGTCTCTACTAAAAATTAGCTGGGCGTGGTGGTGGGCGCCTGTAATCCCCACTACTCGGGAGGCTGAGGCAGGAGAATCGCTTGAACCTGGGAGGCAGAGGTTGCAGTGAGCCGAGATCTCGCCACTGCACACCAGCCTAGCAACAGAGCGAGACTCCATCTCAGAAAATAAAAAAAAAAGACAGAAAGAAAGAAAATATGAAAAGAGTTGTAATAAGTAAGTTAAAATCTGTTCACACAAGAAAAACCCAAAGCCAGATAGTTTAACTGATTAATTTTATTAAACATTTACAGGAGAAATAATACCAACACTCTACAAAATCTTTCAGAAGATAGAGGAGGCATGAACACTCTCCAACCCTATGAAGCCAGTATTGAGACCTAAGAGACCTCTGAGATGTAAGCCAAACAAACACATCACGAGAAAACTATATAGCAAATTAAATTTAGCAACCTATCGAGAATTATACATCATGACCAAGTGGGGTTTACTCCAGTGACTCAAGGCCGTTTGAATTTTTTTTTTTGAGACAGGATCTCCTTCTGTTGCTCAGGCTGGAGTGCAGTGGGGTGATCACTAGGCTTACTGCAGCCTCAACCTCCTGGGTTCAAGTAATCCACCTCAGCCTCCCAAGTAGCTGGGACCACAGGCGCATGCAACCACACTCAGCTGATTTTCGTATTTTTTGTAGAGACAGGGTTTCACCATGTTGTCCAGGCTGGTCTGAATTCCTGAGCTCAAGCAATCCACCTGTTTCAGCCTCCCAAAGTGCTGGAATTACAGGTGTGTGCACCCGGCCAACCTTCAAAATTGAATCAAAGTAGCTTGCACCAATGTGATTCTGTGTGACTGTTCTCTGGAACAGTAGTCGTTTAGCTCCATCCACCTTCCCTCCTATCTAAGTGCATGCCACCACCCCATGGAAGATTCAGTGGACATGGATATGAGCCCCCTGAGCTCCCAGAAGTATCTTTTTGGTTGCAAACTAAAGGCAGACAAAGATTGATCACTTTAAAGTGGATAATGATGAAAATGAGCACCAGTTATCTTTCAGAAAGGACAGTTTAGGGGCGGGTGCAAAGGGTGAATTGCACGTTGCTGAAGCAGAGGCAATGGATATGAAAGCAGTCCAATTAAAAGTAACACTGGTTGGCCAGGCACAATGGCTCACGCCTGTAATCCCAGCACTTTGGAAGGCCGAGGCAGATGGATCCCCTGAGGTGAGGAGTTCAAGACCAGCCTGGCCAACATGGTGAAACCCATCTCTACTAATAATACAAAAATTAGCCAGGCGTAGTGGCGGGTGACTGTAATCCCAGCTATTCGGGAGGCTGAGGTGGGAGAATCGCTTGAACCTGGGAGTCAGAGGTTGTAGTGAGCCAAGGTCATGCCACTGCAGTGAGCCAAGGTCGCGCCACTGCACTCCAGTCTGGGCGGCAGAGCAAGACTGTCTCTAAAAAAAAAAAAAAAAAGTAACACTGGCAACTTTGCAAATGTTTGTACAGCCAAAAGCTTCTCTTGTGGGCTTGGAAATAACACTGGCTATTGTCTTACAATTGAAGTGTGGTTTAGGGCCTATGCATATTAGTAGCACTTAGAAGCTGTGGAGGAGTCAGATGAAGAGGAGGATGCCAAATCCCTAAGTCTATCTGGAAAGCAATCTGCCCCTGGAAGCAGCAGCAAGTATCCACATAAACTAAAACTTGCTACTGATGAAGATGAATATGATGAGGAAGATGATGAAGATGGTGAACATAATGAGGAAACTGAAGAAAAAGCCCCAGTGGAGAAATCTATACGAGGCACTCCAGCCAAAAATACACAAAAATCAAACGAGATGAAAATGACTCACTACCATCAACACCAAGATCAGAAGTCAAGAATCCTTTCAAAAACAGGAAAAAACCTCCTAAAACATTGAAAGGACCTAGTTCTATAGAAGACATTAAAGCAAAATGTGGCCAGGTGTGGTGGCTCACACCTGTAATCCCAGCACTCGGGGAAGCCAAGACGGGAGGATCGCTTGAGCCCAGGAGTTCAAGGCTGCATTAAGCTATGATCACACCACTGCACTCCAGCCTGGGTGACAGAGTGAGACCTTGTCTCAAAAAAAAAAAAAAAAAAAAAATGCAGACTGGGAGAAAACACTGGCAAATCATGTATCTGATAAAGGGCTTGTATCCAGAATGTATAAAGAACACAACTCAGGCTGGGCACCGTGGCTCACGCTGTAATCCCAGCACTTTGGGAGGCCAAGGCAGGAGAATCACTTGAGCCCAGGAGATGGAGACCAGCCTGGGCAACATTAGGGAGACCTCATCTCTAATTAAAAGAATTCAAAAAGAAGACAAACAACCCAGTTTAAAAATGGGCAAAAGAGGTTGGGTGTAGGTGTCAGTGTCCCCATGCTGAAGGCAAAGGGATTGCATAGGGTAGGGAAGTGCCAGGTTGCCCCCGCACTCCTCACGGCCACTCTGTCCCAGGCAGATGCTCCTGCTGGCCCCTGCCTGCCTCGCCACCCGCTCAGCTCCAAGCAGGCATGTCTCTGGCCGGGTCAGGTTCCTGCCTGCTAGGGTTCTGCTGAGCGACCCTGGTCTGTCCTACTCCTCTCTGAGCCGAGACTCCTCCTTGGTCACTAGAAGATGAGAATGGTGTGGCATACCTTATACCAGAAGAATAAGAAAATAAAGTGTTTAGTGTGTAGTAGAGAAGAACCAGAAACATCCTGAATGCATAACTTGGGTATTGGTTGAGAAACTGGGGCACATCCATACGGCAGGGGCGCACGGTGACACTAATGAAGAAACATTGCCGGGAGGAAAAACCAAATTACAGAATAGTATGCGCAGCAAGACCTCATTTATGTAAAAACACACAGCAAACACAGTTTTTGATGTTTGTTTCTATAAATGCACAGTGAAAGGTCTGGAAGGTCATGTCAGACTGTTAATGGGAAGAGTATGCAAGTGCACTGAGGAAGGAAGTGCTTCTCTTTATATGGTTTTATACTGTTTTATTTTATTTTATTTTATTTATTTATTTATTTATTTATTTATTTTGAGACAGAGTCTCACTCTGTCACCCAGGTTGGAGTGCAGTGGTGTGATCTCGGCTTACTGCAACCTCCGCCTCCTGGGTTCAAGCGATTCTCCTGCCTCAGCCTCCCAAGTAGCTGGGATTACAGGCATGCACGATAAGGCCCAGCTAATTCTGGTATTTTTAGTAGAGACGGGGTTTCACCATGTTGGCCAGGCTGGTCTCGAACTCCTGACCTCAGATGATCCATCTGCCTCAGCCTCCCAAAGTGCCAGAATTACAGACATGAGCCACCGCACTTGGCCAATTTCTATACTATTTAAATCCCCCTTTTTGTTACAATGGTTTGTATTTTATTGTTGAAAAAAAAAAATTAAGAAAATTCCAAAATGTTTTTAAATGGACAAAAATATTGAAAAGACATTTCACCAAAGACAATATACAAATAAACACATGATACTTTGGGAGGCTGACGCAGGAGGATTGCTCAAGCCCAGGAGTTCGAGACCAGCCTGGGCAACAAAGCGAGACCCTGGCTCTACACAAACTAATTTAAAAATTAGCTGGGCTCGATGGCACAAGCCTGTAGTCCCAGCTACTTGGGAGGCTGAGGCAAAAGGATCCCTTGAGCCCAGGAGATCGAGGCTGCAGTAAGCTGTGATGGAGCCACTGCACTCCAGCCTGGGTGACAGAGTGAGACCTCGTTTCAAAACAACAACAACAACCTATAACACATGAAGAGATGCATAGCATCATAAGTCATTAGGGAAATGCCAATTAAAACCACAATGAGATACCACTTGATATACACTAAAGTAGCTTTAATTAAAAAGTCAGTTATAAGAAATGTTGGCAAGGATGTGGAGAATAAGAAACCTTCATACATTTCTGCTGTGAATGTAAAATGTAATAGCCACTTTGGAAAAGTTTGGCAGCTTCTTAGAAAATTGATCAAAAATTTGACCAGGCCCAGTGGCTCACACCTGTAATCCCAGCACTTTGGGGGCCAAGGTGGGTGGATCACCTGAGGTCAGGAGTTCAACACCAGCCTGACCAACATGCTGAAACCCCATCTCTACTAAAAAATACAAAAATTAGCTGAGCGTGGTGGCAGGTGCCTGTAATCCCAGCTACTTGGGAGGCTGAGGCATGAGAATCGCTTGAGCCCAGGAGGCAGAGGTTGCAGTGAGCCAAGATCATGCCACTGCACTCCAGCCTGGGTGACAGAGCGAGACTCTGTCTCAAAAAGCAAAGAAAGTTGATCAAAAATTTACCATATATACAACCCAGCAGTGCTACTCCAAGGTATCTATCCAAAAGAAATGTGACAAATGTTCACACAAACACTTGCACTTGAATCTTCGGAACAGCATTATTCAAACTAGCTAAAAGGAGACAATCCAAAAGCCTGTCAACTGGCAAATGGATAAACAAAATGTGGTACATTTACCAAGAAAAAGGAATAAAATGTTGAGAAATACAACAGGGATGAACCGCAAAAACATACTAAGCAACTAAAAATACAAAAATTAGCCGGGCATGGTAGCGTGTGCCTGTAATCCCAGCTACTCAGGAGGCTGAGGCAGGAGAATTGCTTCAACCTGGGAGGTGGAGGTTGCAGTGAGCCGAGATCGTGCCACTGCACTCCAGCCTGGGTGACAGAGCAAGACTGTCTAAGAAAAAAAAATCTATAGAGATCTGTAGATTACTGGTTGTCTGAAGGTGGGAATTACAATTAATGGATATTAACTGTAAATTAGCACAAGGTGCCAGGCACAGAAGTTAACGCCTAAAATCTCAGCGTTTTGGGAGGCTGAGGTGGGAGGATTACTGGAGCCCAGGTCTTTAAGACCAGACTGGGCAACAAAGCAAGACCCTGTCTCTATAAAAAAAAATGTTTTTTAATTAGCTGGGCATGGTGATACATACACGGCTGCTGTCCTGGCTACTCGGGAGGCTGAGGTGGGAGGACTGCTGGAGCCCAGGAGGTTGAGGCTGCGGTGAATCGTGATTGTGCCACTGCACTCCAGCCTGGGTGAGAGACCGAGACCCTGTCTCAAAAAAAAAAAACACACACACACAAGGGATCTTACTGGGACTATATAAATGTTTTAGAACTTGAATGTAGTGACGGTTGCACAAGTAGGTAAATTTAATAAAGTCAGAGCTGTGTTGGCTGTTGTAGGTCCTTTACATTTCCATATGAATTGTAAAATAAGTTTATCCAATTCTGCAAAAAAAAAAAAAAAAAAGGCCGTTGTGATTTTTATTGGGATTGGTTTGAATCCATAGATCAATTGGAGAGATTTGAAATCTTTTTTTGTTTTTGAGACAGGGTCTCGCTCTGTCGCCCAGGCTGGAGTGCAGTGACTTGATCTCAGCTCACTGCAGCCTCAACCTCCTCGGGCTCAGAGGATCTTCCCACCACAGCCTCCTGAGTAGCTGGGATTATAGGCGCGAACCACCATGCCCAGCTAACTTTTGTATTTTTTGTAGAGATGGGGTTTCGCCATGTCGCCCAGGTTGGTCTCAAACTCCTGGGTTCAAGTGATTCACCCACCTCGGCCTTCCAAAATGCTAGGATTACAGGCCACCACACCTGACCAGAATTGAAATCTTAACAATATTGAGTTTTCTTTTTTCTTTTTTTCTTTTTTTATTTTTTTGAGACGGAGTTTCACTCTTGTTGCCCAGCCTGGAGTGCAATGGTGCAATCTCAGCTCACTGCAACCTCTGCCTCCCGGGATGGAGCAATTCTCATGCCTCGGCCTCCCGAGTAGCTGGGATTACAGGCACACATGACCACATCCAGCTAATTTTTTTTTTATTTTTAGTAGAGATGGGGTTTCACTATGTTGACCAGGCTGGTTTCGAACTCCTGACCTCAGGTGATCCACCCGCCTCGGCCTCCCAAAGTGCTGGGATTACAGGCGTGAGCCACTGCACCTGGCCAATATTGAGTTTTCTGACTCATAAATCAGGATACCTCTCCATGTCTTTCTTTTCTGTTTCTGGTTTTTTTGTGTGTTTGTTTGTTTGTTTGTTTGTTTGTTTGTTTGTTTTTGAGACAGTTTCACTCTGTCATTCAGGCTGGAGTACAGTGGCATGATCATAGCTCACTGCAGCCTCCAACTCCTGGGCTCAAGCAATTCTCCTGCCTCAGCCTTGAGAGTAGCTGGGACTACAGGCATGTGCCACTACACCTGGCTAATTTTTTAAAAATTATTTTTTGTGGAGATGGGCATCTCACTATATTGCCCAGGCTGGTCTCAAAATCCTGGCCTCAAGCAATCCTCCCACCTCAGCCTTCCAAAGCACTGGGCTTACAGGTGAGAGCCACTATGCCCAGCCCCCTCTCCATTTCTTTAATTTCTCTCAGTAATATTTTGTATTTTTCAGTGTACACATCTTTCACATATTTTGACAAATTATCCCCTAAATATTTCATATTTTTTATGCTGTTTTACTTGATATTGTTCTATTTCCACTTTATTGTGTGGTATTCATTTTTAAGTTCAATTTCTTATTGTTAATTGCTAGTCTATGGACAATAAATGGATGTTTGTAGTTTATCTTGTGCAAAAGTTAGAGGGAATAATCACCATACAAGACTGTATCCACCTCTGACACCAATTGCAAACTCAAAGGTCTCCAAGACCCTCAGATTCAACAATTCACTAGAGGCTAGGCTGGTGGCTCATGCCTGTAATCCCAGCACTTTGGGAGGCCGAGGCTGGTGAATCACCTGAGGTCAGGAGTTCGAGACCAGCCTGGCCAACATGGTGAAACTCCATGTCTACTAAAAATACAAAAATTAGCTGGCGTGGTGGCAGGCGCCTCTAATCCCAGCTACTCGGGAGGTTGGGGCACGAGAATTGCTTGAGCCCGGGAGGCAGAGGTGCGATGAGCTGAGATTGTGCCACTGCACTCCCGCCTGAGCGACAGAGGGGAGACTCTCTCTCTAAAAAAAATAAATAAATAAATAAAAAATAAAAAAAACAATGATTCACTAGAAGGACTCACAGAACTCACTGAAAGCCATTATACCCATGGTTTCACTTTATTACAGTGAAAAGATACAGATTAAAATCAGCCAAGGGGTGAAATACACAGGGCAGAGTCCAGGAAGGTAATAAATGCAGAGCCTCCGGTTGTCCTCTTCTGTGGAATCACAACAGCAATACTGTCTCAGCATTGTTGTGTGACAATAGCATGGAGTGTTACCAATCAGGGAAACTCACTCAAGCCTTGGTGTCCAGGGCTCCATCATGTAGGAAAAATTGACTGTCCACGTGGTTGATTTCAGTTTCCAGCCCTCAGGAGGTCAAGCCCCTACCCTAAATCACATAGCTATTATCTGGCTGGGCTAAATCCCCTACCCTAAATCACATTGCTTCAATCCGACTGGCCCAAGACCCCCAAGCAAACAAAGAGACAGACTCCTATCAAACACAACAGTCCAAGGGCTTAGAGATTACCAACTGGAATCTGATGGCAAAGGCCAGACCTCTCTTCAGATAAAGTTAAATTCCTTAATACACAGGTGACCCCTGGCCTTTGGCCAAGACTCATTCACAGCAAAATGATCGTATTTGTCTGGGCATCTACTTTTGGTATAGCATTTATGTGACATATAATAATAGTAAAAAACTAATTCATCCTATCAAACCATTATATACATCTTCATATTTTTGTACTAATTTTATTTTTTGTTTGCTTTTTGGGTTTTTTTTAATTTTTTTTTTTTTTTTTTTTTTTGAGACAGTGTCTCTGTCACCCAGGCTGGAGTGCAGTGGTGCAGCCACGGCTCACTGCAACCTCCGTCTCCCGGGCTCAAGTGATCCTCCCATTTCAGCCTCCAGAGTAGCTGGGACTATAGGTGCATGCTACCACACCCAGCTAATTCTTTGTATTTTTAGTAGAGACAGGGTTGTGCCATGTTGCCCAGGCTGGCCTCAAATTCTTGGATTCAAGCAATCTGCCCGCCTCAGCCTTCCAAAGTGCTGGGATTACAGGCGTGAGCCACCAAGCCCGGCTTTTTGAACTAATTTGATTATTCTTCCTCTTTGATCTCCCTCTATTTGTATCTTATGTAAACTTGTACAAAACTATTTAGCAGGCTGGGCGTGGTGGCTCACGCCTGTAATCTCAGCACTTTGGGAGGCCGAGGCGGGCAGATTACCTGAGATCAGGAGTTTGAGACCAGTCTGGTCAACATGGTGAAATTCTACTAAAACACAAAATTAGCCGGGCATGGTGGCATGTGCCTGTAATCCCAGCTACTTGGGAGCCTGAGGTTTGAGAATCGCTTGAACCCAGGAGGTGGAGGTTGCAGTGAGCCAAGATCATGCCGTTGCACTCCAGGCTGAGCGACAGAGCGAGACTCCGTCTTAAAAAACAAACAAACAAACAAACAAACAAAAACTGTTTAGCATAGAAATTAGCTGATGGTTAGCCAAAACCAGTTTTTCCACAAGGCAGTCATTTTCTATTAGTATTATATCTTGAAAAGGCTTTAACTCAATTTACCAATATGTTTGACCATCAATATAGACATTATAATCTTAGCAACAATGCCAGTGTTACATTATATCATGCTATGGTAGTAAATGTAACCTGCAGAGTAAGAGTCAAAAGATACTGGCACATTACTGGAGTTCCCTTAACAATTGGTCCAGTTCATCTCCCAGAGCAATGCCACTGAGGTTTACAGGCATCGACCTTGTTAGGTTCTAAATGTTGAGGTTAGTTTTCGCAACATACGGTTTCATTGTGGTTTCATTCTTTTTTCTTTCTTTCTTTTCTTTTCTTTTTTTTTTTTTTTTTTTTTTTTTTTTGAGACGGAGTCTCGCTCTGTCACCCAGGCTGGAGTGCAGTGGCACAATCTCAGCTCACTGCAAGCTCCGCCTCCCGGGTTCCCACCATTCTCCTGCCTCAGCCTCCCAAGTAGCTGGGACTACAGGTGCCCGCCACCACGCCCGGCTATTTTTTGTATTTTTAGTAGAGACAGGGTTTCACCGTGTTAGTCAGGATGGTCTTGATCTCCTGACCTCGTGATCCACCCACCTCCGCCTCCCAAAGTGCTGGGATTACAGGCGAGAGCCACTGCGCCTGGCCTTTTTTTTTTTTTTTTTGAGATGGAGTTTTGCTCTGTTGCCCAGGCTGGAGTGCAGTGGACTCAATCTCAGCTCACTGCAGCCTCGACCTCCTGGGCTCAAGCAATCCTCCCACCTCAGCCTCCTGAGTAACCTGGACTACAGGCATGCACCACCATACTTGGCTAATTTTCGTAATTTTTGTAAGCAATGGGGTTTTGCCAGGTTTCCCAGACTGGTCTTGAACTCCTGACCTCAAGCAATCCTCCCACCTCAGCCTCCCAAAGTGCTGGGAGTACAGGCTTGAGCCACCGCGCCTGGCCACTTAATTCTTTCAGATATCCGGTATAATTGAGCCAATAAATAAAGTCACCTCTTGTTCTCGGCCTCTTTCAGGGCATCAGTGTAATGACTTTTCCTTATTGCACAACACATTTCTTCATTCTTTTACTCTCAGGTACCATTCCTCTTTCTCTCCATTTATGGCTGAATTTGACCCAACTTTTCCACCTTTGGAAGGGACATTAGGTTCAGCCTCTGTGCTAGTCTAGATTATCAGCAGCAATACCAGTCTAGCAAATGCTTCTGCCTCGGTCTACCCCCATCCATGTAGGGTATAGTTACATAGGTGTGGAACTAGCGGGCTACCTCAATCACTAGGTAACACAGCTGCATGCATTCACTGTTTACCCTAATTTGCCAGATGAGGTGAAGGCGCAGTCTATCATGTTAGGCCCTGTGTTAGGCTGTTCTTGCATTGCTATAAAGAAATACATGAGACTGCGTAATTTATAAAGAAGGGAGGTTTAATTGGCTCACAATTCTGTGGGCTTTTGTTTTGTTTTGACACAAGGTCTCACTGTCACCCAGGCTGGAGGGCAGTGGTGAAATCTCGGCTCACTGCAACCTCCAATCCCCGGGTTCAAGCGATCCTCCCACCTCAGCTTCTCAAATACCTAGGACCCAGACGCACACCACCACACCTGGCTATTTTTTTGTATTTTTAATACAGATGGGATCTCACCATGTTGTCCAGGTTGGTTGCGAACTCCTGAGTTCAGGGAATCTGCCCAACCTTGGCTTCCCAAAGTACTGGGATTACAGATGTGAGCCACGGCGCCCGGTCTAGTTCTACAGGCTTTACAGGAAGCATGGTGTTGATGTCTGCTCAGCTTCTGGGGAGGCTTCAGGAAGCTTCCAATCATGGCAGAAGGCAAAGCGGGAGCAGGCGTCTCATCTGGTGGGAGCAGGAGAGCAAGAGACAGCATGGCAGGGGGAGGTGCCACACACTTACCAACCAGATCTCAGGGGAACTCACTCACTATGGTGAAGACAGCACCAACCCACAAGGAATCCACCTCCATGGTCCAAACACCCCCCACCAGGCCCCACCTCCAATACTGGCAATTACATTTCAACATGAGATTTGAGGCCTGGTGTGGTGGCTCATGCCTGTAACCCCAGCACTTTGGGAGGCCGAGGCGGGTGGATCACTTAAGCCCAAGAGTTCCAGACCAGCCTGGCCAACATAGCGAAACTGCGTCTCTACTGAAAAAACAAAACAAAACAAAACAAAAAACAGATTTGGGCAGGGACAAATATTCAAACTATATCAAGCCCTTAGGAATTCTGACATAAACATGTAAAAGTACAGTTAAAGTTTCTTGCTTAGGGCTCATCCCTGCTTCTGGAAGCTACAGTTGCAGTTCTGGTCCTGAGACTACTGCATCAGGTAGGGAAAAACAGAAAGATGAGATGTTGTGGGAGGAAACTGTATATTGTACCAGCATCCACTCTGACTTCCTCTTCCCCAGATCCTTCTATAAAGTGAATGAATCCATCTGGTGGAGACCCTCCCTTGGCCCTCCTCATTTTGATGGTGAGCACACAATTGTGAAGGTGTGTACATTAGCCCTTCATGCCTTTATTGCCCCCAGTTTTTTTGTTTGTGTTTTTCTTTTGTTTTTTTTTTGTTGTTGTGTTGTTTTGTTTTGTTTTGTTTTTGAGACGGAGTTTGGCTCTGTCACCCAGGCTGGAGTGCAACAGCGTGATATTGTCTTACCACAAACTCTGCCTCCCGGGTTCAAGCGATTCTCCTTTCTCAGCCTCCCAAGTAGCTGGGGGTACAGGCATGTGCCACCACGATCGGCTAATTTTTGTATTTTTAGTAGAGACGGGGTTTCACCCTGTTGGCCAGGCTGGTCTTCAGCTCCTGACCTCAAGCAATCCACCTGCCTTGGACTCCCAAAGTGCTGGGATTACAGGCGTGAGCCATCACACCCAGCCGAGGGTTGTTGATACAGACTGAATTGTGCCCTCCCAAATTCATATGTTGAAGCCCTAACCCTCAATGTGACTGAAAGAGAAGGAGATAATTAGGGTTAAATTAGGTTAAAAGGGTGGAGCCCTAATCCAATAGGACTGATGTCCTTATAAGACGAAGATTGTGGCAAGCATTCAGTTAATTAAACATATATGTACACACGTATATATACATATATACACACATATATACATATATACACACATATATACATATATACATACATGTATACACATATATACTATATATACATATATACATATACATATATACATATATATACACACATATATATTATTTTTTTAAAAGATAGAAAGAAGAGGATGGCCAGGTGCAGTGTCTCATGCCTGTAATCCCACCACTTTGGGAGACCAAGGTGGGTGGATCACTTGAGGTCAGGAGTTTGAGACCAGCCTGACAAACATGGTGAAACTCGGTGTCTACTAAAAATACAAAATTAGCGCCAGGCACGGTGGCTCACGCCTGTAATCCCAGCACTTTGGGAGGCCAAGGCGGGTGGATCACGAGGTCAGGAGTTCAAGACCGGCCTGGCCAAGATGGTGAAACCCCGTCTAACAAAAATTAGCTGGGCATGGTGGCAGGTGCCTGTAATCCCAGCTACTCGGGAGGCTGAGGCAGAGAATTGCTTGAACCCGGGAGGCAGAGGTTGCAGTGAGCTGAGGTCATGCCACTGCACTCCAGCCTGGGCAACAGAGCAAGACTCCATCTCAAAAATAATAATAATAATAATAATACAGAATTAGCTGGATGTGGTGGCACATACCTGTAATCTCAGCTACTTGGGAGACTGAGGCAGGAGAATCGCTTGAACCCGGGGGGTGGAGGTTCCAGTGAGCCGAGATTGTGCCATTGCACTCCAGCCTGGGCAACAAGAGCGAAACTCCATCTCAAAAAAAAAAGGAGGAAGATACCACCCCCAAGAATCTGTGTGTTAGGCCTTTCTTGCATTGCTATAAGGAAACACCTGAGACTGGGTAATTTATAAAGAAAAGAAGTTTAAGCTGGGCATGGTGGCTCATGCCTGTAATCCCAGCACTTTGGAAGGCCAAGGCTGGCAGATTGCTTGAGCTCAGGAGTTCAAGACCAGCCTGGGCAACATGGCAAAACCCTGTCTCTACAAAAAAACACAAACATTAGCCAGGTCGTGCTGGTGCATGCCTGTAATCCCAGCTACTTGACAGGCTGAGGCAGGAGGATTCCTTGAGCCCAAGAGATTGAGGCTGGAGTAAGCTGTGCCCATACCACAGCACTCCAGCCTTGGTGACAGAGCAAGACCCCATCAAAAAAAAAAAAAAGGAAAGAAGTTTAATTGGCTCACAGTTCTGCAAGCTGTACAGGAAGCATGGTGCTGGCATCTGCTCAGCTTCTGGGGAGGCCTCAGGAAACTTACAATCATGCCAGAAGGTGAAGGGGGAGCAGGTGCAACACAGAGCCAGAGCAGGAGCCAGGTAGGGGGGAAATGCCACACTTTTATTTTTATTTTACTTTATTCTTTTTGAGATGGAGTCTCACTCCATTGCCCAAGCTGGAGTGCAGTGGTATGATCTTGGCTCACTGCAACCTCCACCTCCCGGGTTCAAGCGATTCTCCCTGTCTCAGCCTCCTAAGTATCTGGGATTACAGGCACCTGCCACCACACCTGGCTAATTTTTGTATATTTAGTAGAGATGGGGTTTTGCCATGTTGGCCAGGCTGGTCTCAAACTCCTGACCCCAGGTGATCCACCTGCCTCAGCCTCCCAAAGTGCAGGGATTACAGGCGTGAGCCACTGCGCTCAGCCCAGAATCTTCTGTTTGTTTTAGAAACATCAATCCAGGATTTTTAGTTATACTTAGTGGGAGGAACGGGGAAAAACGCATCTACCTCATTTTCCCAGAAGTAGAAGTCTTATAAAGTTGATTTGGGTCTTTTACAAACATTTCCCATGTCTCTACTAACTTTGTGAGCATATGCAATAGGTACAATAACTTTTAATATCCTTGTCTGCTAATTTTAACATTTGTGTCAGCTCTGGGTCAGTTTATTGATTGATAGATTATTCTCAATTGTGTCCTGTTTTCTACTAGGAGGCTGAGGCGGGAGGATCACTTGAGTTCGGGAGGTCAAGGCTGCAGTGAGCTGTGATTACGCCACTGCACTCCAGCCTAGGTGACAGACTGAGACTGCATCTCAAAGGAAGGGAAGGGGGAAGGGGGACGGGGGAAGGGGAAAGGGGGAAGAGGGAAGAGGGAAGGGAGAAAGAACGAAAGAAAGAAAGAAAGAAACAAAGAAATTACAAATAAGAAATATGCCAGTGGGCGTTTATTAACAAGAGTTTTCAGTGGAAGTCATCTATGGGCGATATGTCAATGTGTTTATTTCTAAATGGGGAGATTTGTTAGGAGGGGTCATGAATGGGACATTTTGATAGATGTTTTTGAATGGGGTGATTTTTTTTTTCCGCAACAGGTTCATGAATGAAAGATTTGCCAATGGGTAGATATCTCTGAAAGGGGAGATTTGCCAGTCAGGGGGTCATCAATGGGGATATGTCGGTGGGATATTCATGAAAAGGAAAGGCTCAGAAGCGGCCACAGTAGGCAGAATTCTAAGAATGTGCCCCCATATCCCTCACCCCTGTATAAACTCCTTGATTGTAGGTAGAATCTGTGAATATGATGAGATCTCACTTGTGGTTATATTACATTATATAAAAAAGGGATCTTGCAGATATAACTAAGGTTGCTCATCAGTTGACCTTAAAATAGGGAGACTATTCAGATGAGCCTAATCTAAGCACATTAGCCCATCATAAAAGCAGAATTTTCTCCTGCTGGTGGCAGAAGAGGAAATCAGAGAGATTGGAAACATGAGAAGCATTTGACACGTCCTAGCTGGCTTCGAAGATGAAGAGGCCCACACGGTGAGAAATTCAGTCACCCTCTAGGAGCAGAAAACAGCCACTGGCTGACAGCCAGCGAGGAAATGGGGACATCAGTCCTACATACTGCAAGGAGCTGAAGTCTGCCAATAACCTGAACAAGGTTAAAAGTGGGTCCTTTCTGAGAACCTCCAGATAAGAGTCCAGCGTAGCAAATGCTTTGACCTTGGCCTTGTGAGACCATTAGGGAGAGAACCCAATACAACCTGCCAGGACTTCTGACCTACAGAACTGTGAGATAATAAATGGGTATTGTTTTAAGCTGCTAAGTTTGTGGTAATTTGTTATACATCAATAGAAAACTAATACAGCTGGTCAGGCAAGGTGGCTTATGCCTGTAATCCTAGCACTTTGGGAGGCCAAGGAGGGCGGATCACTTGAGGCCAGGAGTTTGAGACCAGCCTGGTCAACATGGCAAAACCCCATATCTACTAAAAATACAAAAATTAGCCAGGCGTGGTGGCGCACCTGTAATCCCAGCTACGGGGGAGGCTGAGACATGAGAATCGCTTGAACCTGGGAGGCAGAGGTGGCAGTGAGCTGAGATTGTGCCACCGCACTCCAGCCTGGGTGACAGAATGAGACTCTGTCTCAAAAAAAAAGAAGGAAGGAAAGAAAGAGAAAGAAAGAAGAAAGAAAGAAAGAGAGAAAAAAAGGAAGAAAAGAAAAGAAAGAAAAAGAAAAGGTAAGGAAAACTAATACAGTTAGTATTTGCCAGTTGGGTATTTGTAAAAGAGGACATATGTCACACTGAGGAGAGGGGGCTCTTTAAGAGAATTGTTTACCAAGGGCTTAGGGATTTGCAAGTTATCGTCTTGGCAATAGTTGGCAATAGTACAGATCTTTATTTATCTACTTTTTGTAGAGATGGGTATCTCCCTATTGCCCAGGCTGGTTTCCAACTCCTCGCCTCAAGCAATCTTCCCACCTTGGCCTCCCAAAGTGGTGGCATTAGACTGTGCCCAGCCCAGTAGAGATTTTTAAACCTGGAGATTTATCAAGTGAGGACTGCATACTGAGGAACTGTTATGGGTTGAATTGTGTCTCCCCAAAAGATGCATTGAAGTCCTAACCCCCAACACTTTAGAATGTGAAAACAGGCACATTATCATCGGGAGAAACTGTGCTCAGAAGTCTTTGAAATGTCGCTACTTGTCAGTGGGGAGATGTTCATACTAAAAATTAGCGTACAAGCATCATAATAAGAATGAAAACATTACAGGCCGGGCCTGGTGGCTCACGCCTGTAATCCCAGAATTTTGGGAGGCCAAAGCAGGCAGATCACTTGAGGCCAGGAGTCCAACACCAACGTGGACAACATGGCAAAACCCCATCTCTACTAAAAATACAAAAATTAGGCCAGGCGTGGTGGCTCACACCTGTAATCCCAACACTTTGGGAGGCTGAAGTGGGCGGATCACCTGAGGTCAGGAGTTCGAGACCAGCCTGACCAACATGGAGAAACCCCGTCTCTACTAAAAATACAAAATCAGCCAGGCGTGGTGGTGCATGCCTGTAATCCCAGCTACTTGGGAGGCTGAGGCAGGAGAATCACTTGAACCCAGGAGGCTGAGGTTGCAGTGAGCCGAGATTGCGCCATTGCACTCCAGCCTAGGCAACAAGAGCGAAACTCTGTCTCAAAAAATTAAAAAAAAAAATACAATAATTAGCCGGGCATGGTGGCGTATGCCTGTAATCCCAGCTACTCAGGAGGTGAAGGTTGCAGTGAGCCAAGATCGCGCTACTGCACTCCAGCCTGGACGACAGAGCCAGACTCTGTCTCAAAAAAAAAAAAAAAGAAAGAAAACATTACAAATGAACATATTATATTTGTGACATCTTTGGGAGAGATTCTCAAAATCATTGAGTTAAACTTGTCAGTGTGAATAAAATTATTGCTACAAATATCATAAGTTGCCATTACTAAAATGTATCACTACTAAGTCATAAATTAAATTATATTTGCCATTACTACTACTAATATAACTAATACAGAGAGCTGGATATGTGCCTAGCATTATTCTAAGCACTGTACATTTATGACTTCATTGTCCCTCAGATTTAGGCATTATTTTTATCCCCATTTTACAGATGCAGAAACTGAGGCATAGAGCGGTAAATATGATTTCCCCAGGGACACATAGCTAAGACAAGGCAGAAACAGAAATGTTTTTCCCTAAAGTTTTATGCAGGCACTAATTAAATTTTTTCTTTTCTTTTTTTTTTTTTTGAGACGGAGTCTCGCTCTGTCGCCAGGCTGGAGTACAGTGGCGTGATCTCGGCTCACTGCAACCTCCGCCTCCCGGGTTCAAGCGATTCTCCTGCCTCAGCCTCTTGAGTACCTGGGATTACAGGCATATGCCACCATGCCTGGCTAATTATTATATTTTTTTTTTTGAGATGGAGTTTCACCCGGCTAATTATGTACTTTTAGTAGAGACGGGGTTGCACCATGTTAGCCAGGATGGTCTCGATCTCTTGACCTCGTGATCCGCCCACCTTGGCCTCCCAAAGTGCTGGGATTACAGGCATGAGCCACCACGCCCTAAATTTTTTTCTTAATGAGGTGGGGTGTGGTGGCTCACACCTGTAATCCCAGCACTTTGGGAGGCCGAGGCAGATGGATCAACTGAGGTCAGGAGTTGGAGACCAGCCTAGCCAACATGGCGAAACCCCGTCTCTACTAAAAAAATACAAAAATTAGCAAGGAGTGGTGGCGTGTGCCTGTAATCCCAGCTACTAGGGAGGCTGAGACAGAATCACTTGAACCCAGGAGGCGGAGGTTGCAGTGGGCCGAGATCGCGCCTCTGCACTCCAGCCTGAGCGACAGAGCAAGACTTCATCCCAAAAATTAAAAATAAAAGTAAACAAATAAATAAATAAATTTTTTTCTTAAAGATAATATTACAAAGACTCAACTTTAAAAAATACTGACCTAGTTCAAATCTTTATTTTTATAATTTCCTATTTTTTAAACTTTATTGAGATGTAATTCACACACGTACAGTACAATTCATCCATTTAACATCACAATTAAATTAGCTTTAGTACATTCAGAGTTGTGCAACCATCACAATAGAATTTTAGAATATTTTCATCACCCCCAAGAGAAACCCAGTACCTGTGAGCAGTCACTCCATTTCTACCACCTACCCCCACCCGAGTCCTAGACAACCACTAATCTACTTTTTGTTTCCCCAGTTTTGCCTACTCTGGACATTTCATATAAATGGAATTATACAATATGTGGTCTTTCCCAACAGGCTTCTTCATTTAACATGTTTTCAAAATTCATCCACATTGGCAGAATGTATCAGCACCTCATTTCTTTTTATTACTGATTAATATTTCATTTTATGAACATACCACATTTTGTGTATCATTTCATCAGTTGATGGACATTTGGGTTGTTTCCACTTTTTGGCAAGTAGGAATAGCACTGCTGTGAACATCTGTATTCAGGTTTTTGTGTGGACATATGTTGGCATTTCTCCCACATAGATACCTAAGGATGGAATTGCTGGATCACATGGTACATTTATTTTTAACATTTTCAGAAATTGTCAAGCTGTTTTACAAAACAGCCGCACTATTTTACATCCTACCAGCAATGTAGAAGGTTCCAATTTGTCCACATCCTCTCCAACACTTGTTGTTATCTGTCTTTTGGATTCTAGCCACCCTATGGGTGTGTAGTGTTATTGTGGTTTTGATTTCCATTTACCTGATGGCTAATTACGTTGAGCAGTTTTTTGTGGGCTTATTGGGCATTTGTATATCATCCATGGAGAAATGTCTATTTGAGTCCTTTGTCCATTTTTATTTATAGTTATTTATTTATTTGAGATGGAGTCTCACTCTGTCAGCCAGGCTGGAGTGCAGTGGCACAATAGCTCACTGCAATCTCTGTCTCCTGGGTCCAATTGATTCTCCTGCCTCAGTTTCCTGAGTAGCTGGGATTACAGGTCCATGCCACCACGCCTGTCTAATTTTTGTATTTTTAATAGAGACGGGGTTTCACCATGTTGGCCAGTCTGGTCTCGAACTCCTGACCTCAAGTTCCACCCACCTTGGCCTCCCAGAGTGCTGGGATTACAGGCATGAGCCACTCCACCCAGCCTTTGCCCATTTTTTAGTTGGGTTATTTATGGTTTTTTTTTTTTTAAGCAAAGTTTAAGTGTTCTTTATGTGTGCTTTTTGTCCCATACCTAAGAAACCATTAAGGCACAGGATTTGAATGAATATCTGGCTCCAGCATTCATGTTCTTAGCCATTACACTACACTGCCTGTCTAGAAACTAAAGGCTGTTAGTAATATTGCACATTAAGTTATTATAAGGGTTTCATGTTGTGAACTAAAAAACACCCATGGGGCAGACACCCTATATTCATCCTCCAACATCAGCATGGACTTCTGAAGGATTCTGGGCTGGAACTGTGATGCCATGTATTAGGGAGAAGGAATGAGGCTCGGGCAAGAGCAGGACTGGTCCCCATGCTGCACACCACACACCACTGTGATCTCCATGTGCTTCCTCTCGGCCGTCACAGTCTCTCCCAAACAGAGATTCACACACAGACACCCCTAATGCTGGGAGGTGTTCACTTTAATGAATTTTCTAGCAGGGTGATGGAAGCAAATCTAGTGACTCTTGGGCTATAGATATCCTGCCAGGAGGCCACACCAGGGCTCTGAAGCAGGCAGCGTCTCTGCAGGGACTGTTTCCCCAGGGCATCCACAGCTAAAGAGGTCTACCTGGAAGGAAGGTGCTCCCCCTGCAGCCTGCCATTCCCACTTGCTGTTTAATGCCCCCCAGCTGCATCCAGGGTATGCAACAGTCCTTGGGATGGAGAAACAGTAGGAGACCAGAAAAGAGGCAAGAGGAAGTATGAACATACCCAGGATTGAGGTAGCAAGAGGGAGGGTAAGGTAGCCTATTCTAGGCACTGGGGAGTCACTAGAAGCAGCTCGAACAGTCTGGTTCCAGACAATAGCCAAGGGCTGAGTGAACATGCCAGGACACTAGAAAACAGCCACGGGGACTGAGAAAGAGTCTTGCAGTGACATGAACAGCCCGAGTACAGTCCTTGTAGTTGGGACAGGCAAAGACTCTACAATAGTCAAACAGAAGAGGAAATTGTCACCACATGTCATGCAACAGTGAGAACTACCTTGGAAACAGCCAGAGAAATAAACAAACAGCCGGAGGCTTAAAGGAAAAGTGTCTGGCCTTGAGGAACAGCAGGATTGTTGAACATCTGGAGACCACAAACAGTCCTCGCATTTGGAAGACAGAGGAAAAGGGGATAAGACTCCACAGCCAAAAAGACCAAGGGACAATCCCTGATGCTAAATAAACAGTCAGAAAAATAAGAAAACAGCCTGAAGGCCTGGGGAACTGCCAGAGTTGAAGGAAACATTGCTGAGATTGAAGGAAACATTGCTGAGATTGAAAGAACAGTCAACAAACCAGTGTACGGAGATCAGGGAACAATAACTGCACCTCATAGAGGGTAATCAGAAACTGTATGGTGTCATCACAGAGATCAAAGCCACTATGTTGATGACCAATGAGGATTCAACAGACACAGTGTTGGGAGCTATGATAGCATCAGCAGACATGGCTGTGGGAACTCATGAAGGTTAAAGACACTGTACCGGTAGCTAATACAGGATCATCTGAAACCATGTTGTACCCTTCATGAAAATGAAGGGTAGGCTCTAATGAACCCCAGGCATTATGCCAGGGCTCATGAGGTCAGCACACTGTACTAAGGGACAATGACACATCAGTGTGGCAGGGATGGGGCTAATACCACGATGGAGACAAAACCACTTTAGTGGTGGCTAATCAGCAGAGTGACTAAGGGCTAATGTGGGGAGAGCAGACAGGCTGATTTTTTATGAAGATTGAAGACACTGTACTTGTGACCAAGATTAGCAGACACATAGCTGGGCATGATGGCGGGTGCCTGTAATCCCAGCTACTGGGGAGGCTGAGGCAGGAAAACTGCTTGAATCCGGGAGGTGGAGATTGGAGTGAGCCGAGATTGCACCATTGCCCTCTAGCCTGGGCAACAAGAGTGAAATTCCATCTAAAAAAAAAAAGATTAGCAGACACAGTGGTGACACTAATATAGGGTTGGCAGATACTGTGATTGAGAAACATGAGGCAGACTCCATAGTGGTGTCTAGTAGTCGGCAGACACAGTGTTGAGGCTCATATAATCAGATTAGCAGACAGTGATGGGCTGCAATGCAGGACAGCGTGTGCTGTGATGGGGCATCATTGCATTCAAAGACATTCTATGCATGGTTGATGGAGGATCACCAGGCAGTGAAGGCAGTCAATACAGGGTCAGCAAACACTGTGATTGGGTCTTATGAGAGCCAAAGCCACTGTATTCATGGCCAATGGGTGACCAGAAAGCCAAAGCTAATGTGGAATCGGCAGACACTGTACTGGGAGTTCATGGAGGTTAAAGTCTCTGTTCTTATGACTAAGTGGGGATCAGTAGAGTGAGAGTTGCTAAAGTTGGGTCAGCAAAGACATTGTTGGGGCCTCATGGGTGCTGAGGAAACTGTACTGTTGGCTAATGGAGGAGCAACAAACAGTGATAAGGGCTAATCTGGGGTCAGCAGACTCCACCAAGGCCTCAGTGGGCCAATGACACAATACTAGTGGCTAATGGGGGGATTCAGCAGACACAATGATTGAACTATGGTAAGGACAAAAATATGGTGATGGGTCCAAAAGCAGGGCATCTGTGCTGGTGGCAAGTAAATCAGAAGACATTCTCTGTGCTGGTGGAAAGTAAATCAGAAGACATTCATGTATGGTCAGCAGATATACTCATGGGCTGTAATACATGGGCAGTTGATACACCATTAGGGGCTATTTTTGGGGAAGCAGACACCACTGGGTCCTCAAGCTTAAAAATCTTGCAACCTGGTAATGGGGGATCAAAAGACAGTGACATGGTCATGCGAGTTCTGGAGACACTGTGCTGAGGCCCAAGAGGACCAAAGTCATCATATTGGTAGCTAATTGGGGAACAGCCATTGGGTGCCATTGTGCTGTGCTGAGCCCACTGTGCTGTGTGCTCATGTGGCAAAGACACTGTACCCACAGCTAATAAAAAAAATCAGCAGACAGGCCTAGCATGGTGGTTCACACTTGTAATCCCAACACTTTGAGTGGCTGAGGCAGGAGGATCTCGAGTCCAGGAATTTGAGACCAGCCTGGGCAACATAGCAAGATCCTGTCTCTACAAAGAAATTTAAAAATTAGCCAGGCCTGGTGGCACATGCCTGTAGTCCCAGCTACTTGGGAGGCTGTAGCCAATGGGGAATTAGCAAACAAAATGGTGAAGCTAACATGGAGTCAACAGACACTACATTAGGTCAACAGGAAGACAAAACACAGGGCTGTGAGCTAATGGGAGTCAGCTGTCACCATGCTAAGTCTAAAGGAGGGAAGTAAGACATGATACTGACTTAATGGAAGACCATCAGACACTAAGCTGGGGTTGAAGGTAGGTGATAAGATATGATGTGAGCTAATGGGTGATCACACATCGTGCTCTGGCTTAAAGGGGTGGTAAGAACTGCTGTGAATTAATGGAGGGGTTAGTAGACACTGGACTGCTGACTGATGGGGGTAAAAACTACTATGATGGTGGCTACTGGAGGATTGGCAGAGACTATCCTTAGGCTCTTGGGAGTCAAATCTACAGTGCAGTGTTGGCAAGTGAGGGAGCACCACGGATGGTGACGTTAGCTAATGAAAGTCAGTATACCCCAGACTGGGGCCTCAGAACATGTCATTTTCATGGAGCAAGACAATTTCTAAAGCCTTAGGAGGACCAAGTTGCCCACTGCCAAGAGTCTTTTATTTGCTCTAGCGATCAGTATTCCTGTTGTCCTCCCAGGCAGCCCAGACATGACTCCTGAAATGGGAACAGGGGATGTTTTATTGCTTTGTTTTCACATTTCAATTGAGATATAATTTATATACAATAAAACAAATAAACCTTAAGTTTACCCACTTGATGACTATTGCATTCACACTCCAGTGAAGATATGGAGTATTTCCATCGCCCCAGTAAGTTCCCTCCTACCCCTTTCAAGTCAATTTTCACCCCAGAGGCAACAACTATTCTGTTTTGTGTCACTATAAATTATCTTATTTATGGTTGGCATATTCCATAATAAAAATTTAAAAACATCAGCTGGGTGCGGTGGCTCACGCCTGTGATCCTGGCACTTTGGGAGGCCGACGCGGGTGGATCATCTGAGGTCAGGAGTTCGAGACCAGCCTGACCAACATGGTGAAACTCTGTCTCTACTTAAAAGACAAAACATTTAGCTGGGTGTGGCGGCACATGCCTGTAATCCCAGCTACTCAGGAGGCTGAGACAGGAGAATCACCTGAACCTGAGAGGCAGAGGTTGCAGTGAGCAGAGATCATGCCATTGCACTCCAACCAGGGCAACAAGAGCAAAACTCCATCTCAAAAAGAAAAAAAAGGCGGGGGGGTGGTGAGCTACAGATCGGAAGTATTGATGAAATGGCATCTTGATATACTTAATTAATACTTAATAGAGTGAGGGCATACTGCACAGAAAACACAAAGTGTATTTTATATATATTCAAATATATGCTGTATTGTGGGGTATCTGATGAGTAATTCAAATACCTTGGATGACGATAATCATTAAAGGACACTCAGGAAAAAAGTAAAAAAGTACTTAATTTTTTAATTTTTTTTTGAGATGGAGTCTTGCTGTGTCGCCCAGGTTGGAGTGCAGTGGCACCATCCCAGCTCACTGCAACCTCCACCTCCCGGGTTCAAGTGATCCTCCTGCCTCAGCCTCCCGAGTAGCTGGCATTACAGGCATGCACCACCAAACCCAGCTAATTTTTACTAGAGACGGGGTTTTACCATGGTGGCCAGGCTGGTCTCAAACTCCTGATCTCAAGTGATCCACCCGCCTTGGCCTCCCAAAGTGCTGGGATTACAGGTGTGAGCCACTGTGCCCAGTCAAGTACTTAATTTTTTATCAGTTTACTGTGACATAGTGCTACCAAATATTTAAGGTAAAGGATTCACTTTTACTTGTAAAAAAGTGTGGAGTCCCGATGAGATAAATAAGCAAGAAGGTGGGGAAGAACCATTGTTCTGAGAGACGACTAATCACAAACAACCTGCTGGCACAACAACCTGTTCCCAAATACCTTGTTCTGTGCAAAGCCCCAGCAGCACAAACTCATTCCTCACATAGTCCCTCCAGCACAACCCTATACAACTTCCCTCCAGCTCTTGCCTCTTTGCAGACAGCCCCTTTCTCTGCTGTGCTGCCCATTGCCTCCTTGCAACCTACTTTCCCTCTAATAGACTTGGTTTCTTTAATTCATGACTGTCTTGGTAAATTCTTTTACCACCCGTGATGCCGGCCCCAGCCAGTGACAAAAGGTACAATGAAAAACATTTTTAGACAAAACTGAGAGGCTCACCAGCAACAGACTCTTACTAAAGGATACTCTATGGAGTATTTTTCAGGCAAAGAAGAAAATGATCCTGGATGAAACGCAGAAAGTAATGAAGTGCAACCAAGGTGGTAAATATTTGGGTAAAATGAAATTAAAACTGCCCACATCAAACAAAAATGTTGTGTGGGGAGATGTGTCTGTGTATGAGAGAGAGACACAAATATTATATGTAAGTATATATATAAACCCCACAACATCATTATATTTTGAAATATATATATGTATACCTGTATAAATGCAAAACTGCTATTAAAAAATTAACTTTCATAGACAATTTCTTGGAGAAAACCACAAAATACTATTGAAGGATAGGAAAGATGAGTTAAAAAATAAAGACAGGCCAGGTGCAGTGGCTCACTCCTGCAATCCCAACACTTTGGGAAGCCGAGGCAGGCAGATCACTTGAGGTCAGGAGTTCGAGACCAGCCTGGCCAACATAGCAAAACCCTATCTCTATTAAAAATACAAAAATTAGGTGGTCGTGGTTGTGTGCACCTATAGTCCCAGCTACTCGGAAGGCTGAGGTACGAGAATCACTTGAACCAGGAAGGAGAGGTTGCAGTGAGCCAAGATTGCACAACTGCACTCCAGCATGGGTGATGGAGTGAGACTCTGTCTCAAATAAATAAATAGGCCAGGCGCAGTAGCTCACGCCTGTAATCCCAGCACTTTGGGAGGCTGAGGTGGGCAGATCACCTGAGGTCAGGAGTTTGAGACCAGCCTGGCCAACATGGTGAAACCCCGTCTCTACTAAAAGTACAAAAATTAGCTGGGTGTGGTCATGCGTGTCTGTAATCCCAGCTACTCGGGAGGCTGAGGCATGAGAATTGCTCCATCCCGGGAGGCGGAGGTTGCAGTGAGCCGAGATCACGCCATTGCACTCCAGCCTGGGCAACAAGAGTGAAACTCCATCTCAAAAAATAAAAATAAAAAAGAAAAGAAAAGAGAGAGAGAGAGAAAGAAAAGAAAAGAACAAAAGAAAGAAAGACAAACCACATTCATGGAAGCCAAGGCTCAAAGCCATTTCAGACCTTACAGATTGGCAATAATTTAAAGGACTGATAATAAGTGCTGCTGAATGGCAAAATGAAAACTTTCTCAAACTGCTCATGGGAGTATAAATTAATACAATTTGGAAGGGAAATGTCAATACTTAATAAAGTTAAAAAACCTTCTGTATCAATCAGAGCCCAACTAGGAGACAAAAACCACACTAGTTATTTTAACAGAGAGAACTTATAAATAATTTTAACTAGTTATGAGGTTGTAAACCAAATAACTGAAGAGACAGAGAACATTCAAGTTATCAGGGAGGTAGCAACTGCAGAAAACAGCTGGGCTGGAATAACAAAGGGAAGAAGTTGACAATTTTTTGGGAGACAGGGTCTTGCTCTGTTGCCCAGGCTGGAGTGCAGTGGCACAATCATGGCTTACTGCAGCTTCAACCTCCAGTCTCAGACTCCCAAGTACCTGGGACCACAGGTGTGGTCCCATGCCTAGCTGATTTTTGAATTTTTTTTGTAGAGGTAGAGTTTCACCATATTTCCCAGGCTGGTCTTGACTCCTGGGCTCCAGCAATCCACCCACCTTGGCCTCCCAAAGTGTTGGGATTACAGGCATGATCCACTGCACCCAACCATAAATTGAAATTACTAAAACTTAGAAGGGGGAGGAGGGGTCCCATGTGACTAGAATTCACATCTCTAAGGAGGTGACACCAGCCAGCTGATGCTTGTGTCTCAGAGGGGATGGGCTACCATCTGTGAGTGCTGGAAAGCTGCAAACTAGATTAAACTGCTGCTGTGACAAGGAACTGCTGGTGTCTGAGTGAAGAAGCAATGCTGAGCGGACACTCCAATGACCAGGAAGCTAATAGGAATAGAAAAAAAAGGAGCAAGTCCCTTCTTCCCTCTCCAGCCCCAAAGTTTATATCTAGTATCTCTTATTGGCAAGGCCCAACAGGGAGCAGTTGACAAAGCCAAAATGTGGTTTGTAAAGTCACAAAGCACAGTCAAGAAGGGTGGGTTTGGAGCTCGGACACAATAGCTTAATAACCAGCACATTGCCTAAATCCTATGACCCATCAGTTCCACTTCTAGATTTAGACACTAAACTCGAAAAAGATACAAATGTCTTTTACTAGGGGAATGGAGAGATAAATGACTAGCCAGACCTATACTTATCAACAAGGACAGATCTTGGAAAGGTAACATTACATGAAAAAAGCAAGCTGCAGAACTTTAAATACAGTGTGAGCCCATTTATGTAAAATTATATAAAGACAATATAGTAGTATGTATTGCACACTTCATGCTATAACAAAAAAATCTCACAGGAGATTAAAATTCTAAATGTTGAAAGGAAAACCTTTAGAGGAAAGTATAGGTGAATATTATCACCTTGAAACTGATAATATTAAAATATAAAACTTTAGCCGGGCACGGTGGCTCACACCTGTAATCCCAACACTTTTGGAGGCCGAGGCAGGTGGATCACCTGAGGTCAGGAGTTAGAGACCAGCCTGGCCAACATGGTGAAACCCCGTCTTTACTAAAAATACAAAAATTAGCCAGGCATGGTGGTGCACACCTGTAATCCCAGCTACTTGGGAGACTGAGGCAGGAGAATCGCTTGAACCCGGGAGGCGAAGGTTGAAATGAGCTGAGGTCATGCCATTGCACTCCAGCCTGGGTGACAGAGTGAGACTCCATCTCAAAAAAATAAAAAATAAATAAATAAAATATAAAACTTCAGCAGAAGAAAACAGATGGCAAAATTTAAAAAACCAACGACAGTCTGGGAGAAGATATTTGCAACACATATGACTGAAAAAAAAAGGATTTTTATATTCTCATATGTTAAAAAACAACATTTAAACCAAAAAGCAAGAGATGAACAGCCCATTTGAAAACAATGAGCAGAGGACATGAACAGTCAATGCACAGAAGAAAAAACCCAAATAGCCAATCAACAGATAAGATGTTCACACACCACTAATTAGGGAAATCTGAATAAAAACAATGAGCTATCCCCTAAGGGGATCAGGACATACTTTGATACAAATGTAGGTGCCAAATTTTCACAGGCACACTGTGTGCCCTGGTGATCATATGCCCCCAAGGAGCTTGATCCAATGGTGAGGGAAGTCTTCAGTGAGAGGCTTTCTTCATTGTACAACGCCAGGACCAGCCTATGTGAGTTCTCTGATGTTCTGTGAGGTGTGCTTTCCGGCAGAAAGCTTTCCCACATTCTTGACACTCAAAGGGTCTCTCTCCTGTGTGAATTCGCTGATGTTCAATGAGGCGTACTTTCACATAGAAGGCATTTCCACATTCACTACATTCATAAGGTTTCTCTCCTGTGTGAGTTCTCCGGTGTTGACAAAGGGATTTCTTCATACTGAAGATTTTCCCACATTCACTACATTCGTAGGGTTTCTCTCCTGAATGCATCCTCTGATGTTCAATTAGGCGTGCTTTCACATAGAAAGCATTACCACACTCATTACATTCGTAAGGTTTCTCTCCTGTGTGAATTCTCTGATGGATCCCAAGAGATGAGTGCACCCTGAAAGATTTCCCACATTCATTACACTGATAGGGCTTTTCACCTGTGTGAGTTCTTTGATGATTATTGAGAGTCATCTTCATTCGGAAGAATTTCCCACATTCACCACACTCATAGGGTTTCTCACCTGTGTGAATTCTTTGATGCTGATTTAGGGATTTCTTTGCACGGAAGTTTTTCCCACACTCCCCACATTCATAAGGTTTCTCCCCTGTATGAGTTCTGTGGTGTTGGGTAAGGGATATCTTTACACGAAATGTTTTCCCACATTCACTACATTCATAGGGTTTCTCCCCTGTGTGAGTTCTCTGATGAATCGTGAGGGTTGCCTTCTCAGAAAAGGTTTTCCCACATTCAGTACATTCATAGGGTCTCTCTCCAGTGTGTGTTCTTGTATGTAGGATGAGTTGTGACTTCCTGCCAAAAGATTTCCCACATTCATTACATTCAAAGGGCCTCTCCCCTGTGTGAGTTTTCTGATGAGCAATGAGGTATGATCTTGCACTGAAGGTTTTTGCACATTCACCGCATTCATAGGGTCTCTCTCCTGTGTGTATTCTCAGATGTTCAACAAGGTTTGACTTCCTACAGTAAGCTTTCCCACATTCATGACATTCAAAGTTTTTATCTCCTCTGGGTGTTCTTTTACGTCTAACAAAGCCTGTTTTCTCATGGAAGGCTTTCCTGCATCCATTATATTCAACATTTTGATCCAATGTTTGAATCTTCTGATGGTGAAGAAGGTCATTATCATGCCTGAGGGCATTATCCCCAACAGAACCATTGCCACACAGCAGTGAGAGAGATCCTTTAAAAATAAATCACAGCATGTCACTCTTTTATGTAAAATCCCAAACTGGCTTCTCTTGTCACAGTATAAAATTAAACTCCTTAACACAACCTTTAAAACTCTATTCCAGCCAGGCACAGTGGCTCACGCTTGTAATCCCAGCACTTTGGGAGGCCAAGGCAGGCGGATCACTTGAGGTCAGGAGTTTGAGATCAGCCTGCCCAACATGGCAAAACTCCATCTCTACTAAAAATACAAAAATTAGCTGGCCATAATGGTGCCCGCCTGTAATCCCAGCTACTCGGGAGGCTGAGGCAAGAGAATCACTTGAACCCAGGAGGTGGAGGTTACAGTGAGCTGAGATCGCACCACTGTACTCCAGTCTGGGCGACAGAGTGAGACTCCATCAAAAAACAAACAAACAAAAAACCCTCTATTTCCTAAAAATCAGTATCTATCCTTCTTACCTTGCACTGATTTTCTTTTCACCATCAAACATATGATGTATTTGTTTGTTTCTGGTCACTTTCCCCCACTATATTGTAAGCTCCAAGAGAACAGAGATATTATTTTATTCACTACCAGTTTCCCACACCTAGAACATACACAGCATATAACTGATACTCATTTAAAGTTTCATGGATGACTAAATGAATATATGAATGAATGCCTGATAACAGAAAGCATCCAAGGCAATGGAGGGAAGAAAGAATAAATGTTGCCAGGTGTGGTGGCTCATACCTCTGACCCTAGCACTTCGGGAGGCCATGGCAGGTGGATCACTTGAGCCCAGGAGTTCAAGACCAGCCTGGGCAACATAGTGAGATTCTGTCTCTACAAAAAAAAAATAATAATAATACAAAAATCAGCCAGGTATGGTGGTGCGTGCCTGTAGTCCCAGCTACTAGGGAGGTTGCCCTGGAAAGGTCGTTTAAACCGGGCAGGTGAGGTTTTAAGTTGAGGTTGAGCCATGATTGCACCACTGCACTCGAGCCTGAGCAACAGAGAGACACTCTGTCTCAAAAAAATAAAAGAATAAATGTTTAAGATGAGGCAGAGATAAATAAGAGTGGTAAATAACTTAAAAATCAAGATAAAGGCTAGGTGCGGTGGCTCACACCTGTAATCCCAGCACTTTGAGAGGCCAAGGCAGGCAGATCACTTGAGGTCAGGAGTTCGTGACCAACCTGGCCAACATGGTGAAACCCTGTCTCTACTAAAAGTACAAAAATTAGCCAGGCGTGGTGGCACGCACCTGTAATCCCAGCTGCTCAGGATGCTGAGGCAGGAGAATCGCTTGAGCCCGGGAGGTGGAGGTTGTGGTGAGCTGAGATCGCACCACTGCACTCCAGCCTGGATGACAGAGTGAGACTCCATCAAAAAAAAAAAAAATCAAGATAAAACCGGAGAAAGCACTGAAGTTTGAGTGTGATATTAAGATGTGTGACTTTGGTATCTGAAGCATGTAGACCTTCCGTCCTTATTTTCAAAGAGCTAGGAACTCTAAAAAGAGATTCCTAGAAAGTGTTGCACAAGCATACCCTTTGACCTGAATTCCTGGGCTCTTATTTCCCCTATTTTCCATATGTCCAGTTCTTGCCCAGTACTTACCTGAGTAACCATGGCCTGAGGATTCCTCCTCTAATATCCACAGCTCTTCTCCTCGCTCCAACTTGAAGATCATCTCTGGTTTGGCCACGCAGAGGCCTGTTAATGGGAAATGGCACAGGACGTGGGCCAAGTTGTCTGAGCTCTAGGGCCTCTGATGGAGGAGGAAGGTGCATCTTCATGAGCTGCACAAGGAAGGGGGCCCATTTAAACCTTTCATTGGGGAAGTAAGAACGCACACATTTTTTCTGGTGCCCTAAACTGATTACTCATCTGTGACTCTTAATATCATTAAACCCTCGCAAGGCTGCACATGTTACAGCAACCAAGAAAGGAAACACACGCTCTCAGGAGTTACACGGACAATCATCCTCACCCACAGATGCCAGGTTGCTGTAGGTCTCCAGCATCACATCCTTGTGCATGGTCCTCTGAGCAGGGTCCAGTCTGTGCCACTCCTGTCGGGTGAAATCCACAGCCACATCCTCGAATGACACGGACCCCTGTAATAACAATCTCCAATGATCAGAATGGGATGCATGAAAAAGATGTGCAGGAACTAATCTTCTCAATGGAGCCCTGTTGAAAGTTGACTAAATAGAGCTACACTGGATACCTGATTTTGTGTCTCGCTTGATATACTTTTGGGGTGGGGGGTACCTGGAACAGCTCTGTTACTGTGTTAATTTATTAATGCATGAAAAAAAGATCACTGCACTCCTGAGTTAACACTATGTGCCTCAGTAAGCATATTTCTGGAAAACCAATGAAAAAACAAACACTATGTGCCTGGACGTGTGCAAGTTGCTGGGTTAAAAAATGAAGAAGGAGGCTGGGCGCGGTGGCTCACGCCTGTAATCCCAGCACTTTGGGAGGCCAAGCTGGGTGGATTGCCTGAGATCAGGAGTTCAAGACCAGACTGGCCAACAGAGATGGGGTGAACCCCATCTCTACTAAAAATACAAAAATTAGCTGGGTGTGGTGGTGCACATCTGTAGTCCCAGCTACTCAGGAGGCGGAGGCAGGAGAATCACTTGAACCCAGGAGGCGGAGGTTGCAGTGAGCCAAGATCACACCACTGCACTCCAGCTCGGGCAACAGAGCAAGACTCCGTCTCAAAAAAAAAAAAAGAAGCTGGCTGGGCATGGTGGCTCATGCCTATGATCGTAGCACTTTGGGAGGCCGAGGCAGGCGGATCACTTGAGGTCAGGAGTTCGAGACCAGCCTGGCCAACATGGTGAAACCCTATCTCTACTAAAAATACAAAAAAAAAAAAATTAGCCGGGCATGGTGGCAGGTGCCTGCCATCCCAGCTACTTGGGAGCCTGAGGCAGGAGAATCACTTGAACCCGGGAGGTGGAGGTTGCAGTGAGCTGAGATTGCGTCACTGCACTCCAGCCTGGGCGACAGAGAGACCCTGTCTCAAAACAAAGAAACAAAATATATTTATACTTATAAATGATACAGAAGTGCTGTTCTGTGGGAGAAAGGGAGACAGTATTGCTCCCAGGATAACTGCATGAACAGCTGGGATGAGGCTGGAGCCATGTATAGACATTAGCAAAACAGGAGAGACAATGAGTTCATGGAAGAAAAACTGAGATAGACTTTGGAGTGTTTATGGAACATACTGACAGAGATGTCCAGCTGGAGCTCAAGAGAGAAGGCTAGCAGAGGCCAAGGTTTGGGGGGTAAGATCATTCCAGTACTAGCTGAAACCACCAGAATAAATTGGATAGCTAAGAAGGAGCACAGTTTGAGAGAAGCACCAAGTACAGAGTTTGAGGGAACACCAATATGCTATGAAGGTTGCAGAGTAAATTCCTGATATGGTTTGGATCTGTGTCTCCACCCAAATCTCATGTTGAATTGTAATCCCCAGTGTTGGAGGTGGGGCCTGGTGGGAGGGGATTGGATCATGGGGGTGGTTTCTCATGATTTAACACCATCCTCCCTTGGTGCTGTCATCGCCATAGTGAGTTCTCATGAGATCTGGTTGTTTAAGAGTGTGTGGCACCTGTGCCCCAATTCCTCCTGCTCTGGCCATGTAAGATGTGCCTGCTGTCCGGGCGCAGTGGCTCATGCCTGTAATCCCAGCACTTTGGGAAGCTGAAGCAGGTGGACAGCTTGAGCCCAGGAATTTGAGCAGACTGGGCAACATGGTGAAATCCTGTCTCTACAAACAAACAAACAAAAATTAGCTGGGCATGGTGGTGCATGTCTATAATCCCAGCTACTTGAGGGGCTGAGGCAGGAGGATCACTTGAGCCCAGGAGGTTGAGACTGCAGTGAGCCAAGATCACACCACTGCACTCCAGCCTGTGTGACAGAGCGAGATCCTATCTTACACACACACACACAAAGATATGCCTCCGGGCACGGTGGCTCACGCCTGTAATCCCAGCACTTTGGGAGACTGAGGTAGGTGGATCACCTGAGGTCAGGAGTTTGAGACCAGCCTGGCCAACATGGTGAAACCCCATTTCTACTAAAATACAAAAATTAGCGGGGCATGGTGGTGCACACCTGTAATCCCAGCTACTCAGGAGGCTGAGGCAGGAGAATCAGGAATCACTTGAACCCAGGAGGCGGAGGTTGCAATGAGCCGAGATCGTGCCCTTGCACTCTAGCCTGGGTGACAAGAGTGAAACTCCGTCTAAAAAAAAAAAAAAATTTCTTCCTTCTTCCTCTTTGCCTTCTGCCATGGATTGGAAGTTTCCTGAGGCCTCCCCAGAAGCCGTTATGCTTTTTGTACAGCCTGCAGAACCATGAGCCAATTAAATCTCTTTTCTTTATAAGTTACCCAGTCTCAGGTATTTCTTTATAGCAATGCAAGAACAGACTAATACAATTATTAGATGGTAGAAATAGAACCAGGAAAGTGTGGGGTGTTGGAAGGTAGGAGGGGAGACACTTTCAAGTAACAGTGCCATTTCCAGTTTAAAGTGATAGGTAAGAAATGAGCTGGGTATGGTGGTGCAGGCCTGTAATCCCAGCCACTTGGGAGGCTGAGGCAGGAGAATTGCTTGAACCCGGGAGGTGGAGGTTGCAGTGAGCCAAGCTCCATCTCAAAAAAAAAGAAAAAAAGAAAAGAAAACAAAGAGATATTACTATATACCTCTAACGACATTAAAATGAGAGTAAGAGAATGCCACGAACATTTTTATTCACATAAATTCACCAACTTAGATGAAATGGACCAATTCCATGAAATATACAAAACACCAAAACTTACCCAAAGAGAAACAGACAACTGAATGGAATATCAATTAAATAAACTGAACTTGTGGTTTAAAACCTTCCAAAAAAGAAATTCCCAGGCCTTGATAGTTTCACTAGTAAATTCTACCAAATATTTAAGGAATACATCAATTCTATACAGTCTTTCCTCTTCCATTTTCTAGACAAGGACACTTCTCATTTTATGAGGCCATCATTATCCTGATTACAAAATCAGACAAAGACATGACAAGAAAAGAAAATTGCAGTCCAATATCCCTTATAAACATAGAAGTAAAAAGCCTCAACAAATATTAGCAAATCAAATCAAGCAACATATGTAAACACATAGCATGATCAGTTGGTGTTTATCCAGAGAACGTGAGGCTGGCTGAACATTTTTAAATCAATCAATATAATCCACCATATTAAGAAACTAAAACAGAAAAACCACACAATCATCAATTGATATAGAAAAGTCATTTGACAAAATTCAACATTCATTCCTGACAAAACCTCTCATCAAAGTAGGAATAGAAGGAAACTTCTTTAACCTGATAAAGATCATCTACCAAAAACCTACAGCTAACATCATATGTAATGAAAAAGACTGAATGCTTTCCCTAGAAGATCAGGAAAAAGGCAAGAGACGTCCACTTTTACGAATCCTATTCGAAATCAAAATCCTATTCAAAGTCCTACTTTAGTGAAATCAGGCAAGAAAAAGGAAATAAAAGGCATATAACTGGTTGGAAAGAATAAATAAAACTGTCTCTGTTCTCACACAATATGATTGTCTATGTAGAAAATCCTAAGGAATCTACAAAGAAGCTCTTAGCAAGACTGCAGGACACAAAGTCAACTCATCGAAGTCAATCATGTTTCGGCCGGGCATAGTGGCTCACGCCTGTAATCCCAGCACTTTGGGAGGCCCAGGCAGGCATATCAGCTGAGGTCAGGAGTTCAAGACCAGCCTAGCCAACATGGCGAAACCCTGTCTCTACTAAAAATTTTTAAAATTAGCCAGGTGTAGTGGTGCGTGCCTGTAATCCCAGCTACTCAGGAGGCTGAGGCAGGAGAATCGCTTCAACCGGGGAGGCCAAAGTTGCATTGAGCCAAGATCTCGCCACTGCACTCCAGTCTGGGTGACAGAGTGAGACTCTGTCTCAAAAAAAGAAAAAGAGAGAGAGAGAGAGAGAAAGAAATACAGTAAATAAAATATATACCACAGTGATTATAACATAAAATAAAATGAGAGAATTGAGACCAAGCTTAACAGTAACGCGAATAAATACGAATGGGCTTAATTCGCTTATTAAAGGAAAAAGGGAGCCAAATGTGGTGGCTCACACCTATAATCCTAGCACTTTGGGAGGCTGATGTGGGAGGATTGCTTGAGGCCAGGAGTTCAAGACCATCCTGGCCAACATAGGAAGATACCAACTCTATCTATTTAAAATAATAATAATAATATTTTTAATAAAACATTAAAGCAAAGCTATGAGGACACAAAGGCATAAGAATGATACAATGGACTTTGGGGACTGAGAAGAAAGGGTAGGGGGGTAGGGATAAAAGACTACACATTGGGTATACTGCTTGTGTGATGGGTGCACCAAAATCTTTGAAGTCACCACTACAGAACTTCTTCATGTAACCAAACACCAACCATTCCCCAAAACCTATTGAAATAAAAAAGAAACTGAAAAATAAAAATGAAAAAAACCTAAAAATATGTAAAAGCTATGTTTTCCATGTAAAAGCAAAGTACAAAAGACAAATGTATTTGATTACTATTACGTATGTCTGGCTGGGCTGTTCTATTGATGGGTCAGCAATGTTTAGGTGAGTAATAAAATAAAAACCTATACAATCAAAAAAATAAATAAAATAAAAAGGGTTTAATATTGCCTCATAAAGCAAAGCCCAGCACTATGCTGCATACAAGAGACATGATTAAAACACAGTCATGCAAAAGGCTAAAATTAAAGGGTTGGACAAAAATTTACCAAATGCCTAATAAACTTGCACATGTTCCTGATGTGGTTTGGCTCTGTGACCCCATGCAAATCTCATGTTGAATTATGATCTTCAGCGTTGGAGGAGGGGCCTGCTGGGAAGTGATTGGAACATGGGGGTGGATTTCCCCCTTGTTCATTTTTTTTTTTTCAAGACAGAGTTTTGCTCTTGTTGCTGAGGCTGGAGTGCAATGGTGCAATCTTGGCTCACTGCAACCTCCACCTCTGAGGTTCAAGCGATTCTCCTGCCTCAGCCTCCTGAGTAGCTGGGATTACAGGCGCATGCCATCATGCCCAGCTAATTTTTTGTATTTTTAGTAGAAATGGGGTTTCACCATGTTGGCCAGGCTGGTCTTGAACTCCTGACCTCAGGTGATCTACCCGCCTCAGCTTCCCAAAGTGCTGGGATTACAGATGTGAGCCACCACGTCCGGCCTCCCCCTTCTTCTTGTGATAGTGATTGAGTTCTCACAAGATCTGGTTGTTTAGTGTGTGGCACTTCCCCCTTTGCTCTCTCTCTCCTGCTGCCATGTGAGACATGCCTTGCTTCCCCTTCACTTTCCACCATAATTGTAAGTTTCCTGAGTCCTCCCCAAAAGCAGAAGCCTGTCCAGCCTGTGGAACCATAAGTCAATTAAACCTCTATTCTTTATAAACTACCCAGGTCGTTCTTTATAGGAGTGTGAGAACAGACTAATACAGTACCCGAAACCTAAAATAAAAGTCAAAAAAAAATTTAAAAAAATAAATAATAAATAAACAAAGTCAAGACAATAGAGAATAAGAATAATATCCAGGGCACTTGGTTAGGAATTAGAGAAAGCCATACCTGAAACCCAAGTCTAGATATCTAGACTGGCATTATGGTTCACAACATCATATTCAGTCACTCATTTATATATAGATAATGCAGGCTTTTTTCTATGCTTAAGTTCATTGATTCCTTTTTCATCTGCATTCTGCTGTCGAGTCCATTTCTGAGTTTCCATTTTGATTATTGTATTTTTAATTTCTAAAATTTCCATTTGGTTACTTTTTATGGCTGTTTGTTTGTTTCAGACAGATTCTCCCTCTGTCTGCCAGGTGCGGTGGCTCAAGCCTGTAATCCCAGCATTTTGGGAGGCCGAGGCAAGCAGATCACCTGAGGTCAGGGGTCTGAGACCAGCCTGGCCAACATGGTGAAATCCCATCTTTACTAAAAATACAAAAATTAGCAGGGCATGGTGGTGCGCGCCTGTAATCCCAGCTACAGGGAGGCCGAGGGGGCAGAATCGATTGAACCTGAGAGATGGAGGTTGCAGTGAGCCGATATCAAGCCACTGCACTCCAGCCTGGGCAACAGAGTGAGACTCTATCTCAAAACAAACAAACAAACAAACAGTCTGGCTCTGCCGCACAGGCTGCAGTGCAGTGGCTCCATCTCAGCTCACTGCAACCTCCACCTCCCAGGTTCAAGCAATTCTCATGCCTCAGACTCCCAAGTAGCTGGGATTACAGGCGCTTACCACCACACCCAGCTAATTTTTGTATTTTTAGTAGAGACAGGGTTTCACCATGTTGGCCATGCTGGTCTCCAACTCCTGACCTCAAGTGATCTGCCCGCCTCGGCCTCCCAAACTGCTGGGATTACAGGCGTGAGCCTCTGTGCCCGGCAACTTTTTATGTCTTTTATTTCTTTGCTGGGGATTTCTATTTTTTTATGAAAACTTTCTTAAAAAGTTTGTTTTGAGTGTGTTCATAATTGTTGAAGTATTTTTATGATGGCTGCTTTAAAATCCTTGTCAAGTAATTCTAAACTCTGTATCATCTCAGTGCTGGCACCCATTGATTTTTTTCTCATTCAAATTGAAATGTTCCTGGTTCTTGATATAACTTTTGGATTTTTGTATAATGAGTAAACAATATCTTGGTCAGGTGAGGTAGCTCATGCCTGTATCCCAGCACTTTGGGAGGCTGAGGCAGGCAGATCAATTGAGCCCAGGAGTTCGAGACAAGCCTAAGCAACAGAGCAAAACCCAGTCTCTACTAAAAATACAATAAATTAGCCAGGTGTGGTGGTGCACACTTGTAGTCTCAGCTACTTATGAGGCTGACGTGGGAGAATCACCTGAGCCCAGGCAGTCGAGGTTCCAGTGAGCCGAGATCCTGCCACTGCACTCTAACCTGGGTGACAAGAGTGAGACCCCATCTCAAAAAATAATAATAACTAGATACTGGGGTATTATAGTACAAGACTCTGGAGCTTATTTTTTTGTTTGTTTTTCGAGACAGAGTTTCACTCTTGTTGCCCAGGCTGGAGTGCAGTAGCGTGATCTCGGCTCACTGCAATCTCTGTTTCCTGGGTTCAAGTGATTCTCCTGCCTCAGCCTCTCTAGTAGCTGGGATTACAGGTGTCTGCCACCACACCCAGCTAATTTGTGTGTGTGTGTGTGTGTGTATTTTCAGTAGAGACAGGGTTTCACCATGTTGGCCAGGCTGGTCTCGAACTCCTGATTTCAGGTGATCCACCTGCCTCGGCCTCCCAAAGTGCTAGGATTACAGGCATGAGCCACTGTGCCCAGTCTGGAGCTTATTTAATCATCTGATTTAATGTACCCTATTCAGGTGATGGTGACACTAAAAGCCCAGACTTCACCACTCTGCAATATACGCATGTAACAAAGCTGTACTTGTATCCTCTAAATCCATACAAAATCTTTAGGCCGGGCACGGTGGCTCACGCCTGTAATCCCAGCACTTTGGGAGGCCGAGACAGGCGGATCACAAGGTCAGGAGATGGAGACCATCCTGGGTAACACGGTGAAACCCCATGTCTACTAAAACTACAAACAAAAATTAGCCGGGCGTGGTGGCGGGCGCCTGTAGACCCAGCTACTCGGGAGGCTGAGGCAAGAGAATGGCGTGAACCCGGGAGGCGGAGCTTGCAGTGAGCTGAGATCATACCACTGCACTCCGGCCTGGGCGACAGAGCAAGACTCTGACTCCAAAAAAAAAAAAAAATTAAAAAATTTATCAAATGCAAACAATAAAGTAACATCAACAGCCTATATAAGCCGAAAACTACAAGAATGAAAGAAGAAATAGAAATATTCTCTAATGGGAGACTTTTAACATACCATTCACAGAATGAGACAGATTAAATAGACAAAATATAAGTAATAATATAAAAGACCTAAACCACATAATCAGTAAGGTTGATCTTTTGGATCCCTGATCATACAGAATATACTTTTTCTCACGTGCACATAAAATATTCACAAAATTTGGTCAAATACTAGGGCACAAAGAAAACAACTTCGGTAGGTTCCTTAAGATACATATGTTACAAACAACATTGATCACAATCAATAAAACAAAATTAATAATTAGAAATTGACAAGCTGCTTCTAAAATTCATATGGAAATTAAAAGGGCCTCGAACAGCCAAAGCAATTTTGAAAAGGAAGAAAAAAGCTAGAGGATTTATATACCTAATTTCAACACTTACTATAAAGCTACCGTTCTCGGTCAGGCATGGTGGCTCTTGCCTGTAATCCCAGCACTTTGAGAGGCCGAAGCGGGAGGACTGCTTGAGCCCAGGAGTTCAAGACCAGCCTGGGCAACATAGTGAGACCCTGTCTCTCCAAATATAAAAAATTAGTGGGTGTGATGGCACACACCTGTGGTCCTAGCTACCTGGGAGGCTGAGGTGGGAGGTTTGCTTGGGGCAGAGAGGTGGAGGCCGCAGTGAACTGTGATTGTGCCACTGCACTCTGGCCTGGGCAACATAGTGAGACCTTGTCTCAAAAAACAAAAAACTGAAGAGCAAGCTAGGACTGACTTAAATAGAATAGTGACATACATGACCAACAGAGGTGGTTGATAAATGCGACAAAAATCCAAAGGCCCACTCAAATGGTGAAATTCTTAGGAATAACCTGGGCAGGATCCACCCCTAACATTCCCCAAGCAAGAAAAAAATGAACTGCTGTCACTGCCTACTACCCCTGGTACTACGTGAGAAACACAGTACCTAATCAGGTTACTTGTCATTTGCAGGATGCATGTTCCACATCTGAGAATATTGCTAGCTTCCCTCCATTAAACAGCACAAAAGAAGGCCATATTTACGCAGGCTATGTCTGAATTGCAAAGAGCAGACACTCTCTTGATGCTTTTGAGCCCTTATATAAGATCCACAGGCAGACATGATTTTGAAAATGTCTGCAACTTGTATTTATAGAGACTGGAGATTGTGGCAAAAGCCTGTGAGTGCTACCCAACAGCAATGGCTGAGGTTTTGGATCAGAGAATTTCCAGATGTGGTGGTATGGTGATTTTTTTGTGAATGAAAGATAAAATAATCTTGAAACCTGAAATACCCATAATGTCCTAGGTGATGTCAGAGAAACATTCTAATAAGGAAGGCAATGCCCAGAAGAGTTCCATAATATAATGCAAACAGTTTATACGAGGACATGCTACTGGAGGATTGCAAGGCAGTACTCATCGTATTCAGCATTTCCTCTAAGACCAACTTTGAAACCACCAGAGGAACTGACAGCTCCTACTGCCACATGGATGGCACCCTATGAACAGCTCTCATGACTGAGCACAGGGTCTCATGCCTATAGTCCCAGTACTTTGGGAGGCCGAGATGGGAGGACTGCTTTAGGCCAGGAGTTCAAGACCAGCCTGGAGAACACAGGGAGAACCCATCTCTACAAAAAATATAAAAAATTAGCCAGGCACGGTGGCACATGCCTGTAGTTCCAGCTACTCAGGTGGCTGAGGCGGGAGGATCGCCTGAGCCTAGGAGGTCGAGGCTGCAGTGAGCCCTGATAGCACCACTGCTCTCCACCTTGGTTACAGAGCAAGGCTCTGTCTTGAAAAAGAAAGAAGAGAAAAGAAAAGAAACAGAAGATACTACACCAATTTAGACTGCCATGTTACATCTCTTCAGATCAAGGAACACACCTTACAGCATAGTATCCAACAATGGGCAAAAAGATAAAACACCAAATGGACATATTATGTTGCATATCATCCTCAGAGTTGTAGTTTTGCACAGAATTGGAATGGACAATTAAAACATCTGTCAAACGCTGGGTCCAGTAGCTCATGCCTATAATCCCAGCACTTTGGGAAGCCGACTTGGGAGGATCCCTTGAGCCCAAGAGTTTGAGACGAGCCTTGGCAACATAGCTAGACCCTGTCTCTAAAATAATAATAATAATAAGAGAGATAGAGAGAGACAGGAAAGGCTGGGCACAGTGGCTCACGCCTGTAATCCCAGCACTTTGGGAGGCCAAGGCAGGCAGGCAGATCACCTGAGGTCAGGAGTTCAAGACCAGCCTGACCAACATGATGAAACACCGTCTCTACTAAAAATATAAAAATTAGCTGGGTGTGGTGGTGCGTGCCTGTAGTCCCAGCTACTTGGGAGGCTGAGGCACGAGAATCACTGAAATCCGGGAGGCAGAGGTTGTGGTGAGCCGAAATTGCGCCACTGCACTCCAGCCTGGGTGACAGAGCAAGACTCTGTCTCAAAAAAAAAAAAAAAAAAAGAGAGAGAGAACAGAAACTGGGCAATGTGGCTCATGCCTGTAATACCAACACTTTGGGAGGCTGAGGCAGGAGGATCACTTGAGCTCAAGAATCTGAGGCCAGCCTGGGCAACATAGGGAGACCACATCTCTACCAAAAATTCCAAAAATTAACTAGGCATGATGGTGTATGCCTGTAAACCTAGCTGCTCAGGAGGCTGAAGTGGGAGGATTGCTTCAGCCCTGGAGGCTGAGGTTGCAGTGAGCCAAGGTTACACCACTGCACTGCAGCCTGGGCAACAGACCCAAACCCTGTCTCAAAAAAGAGACAGAGAGAGAGAGAAAGAGAGAGGAGACATGGGCTTAAAGAGCTGGCTTACACACCTTCCCAAGTTTGTGCTCACAGTCAACATGAGCAGAATCAATGGAACATTCTTGCTAGATAGATTCCGAGATTCCTCCACTTTTCTGAGAGATGAGGTGTAAAGGTGATGGGGGAGGATGCTAATATGACTATACAATTCTCCCCTATATTACCTAAACTTTCTTTCTTACTCCTTGTTGCAATGGTTCCAGGACCAGGGCTACAACTGTGGGTGCTGGAAGCAGAGATGATCCTTAGCAAGAATCTGTAACTATACTTTAAAAATATATATATGCCAAAATTCCTATGGGCCTAATGAGATAGATTGTGCCTTCACCCCATCTGACAAAATTGCGGTTGACAGTGAATCCAGATGCACTGTCTAGTGGTTGAGATACCCCATGAGTTTGGTACCAATATAACCATATGCTATATGAATGGGAAAAGACCAATGGGGAGGCATTTGCTAGACCAATATTGTTGCCAGCAACCTGGACCAGAACAGTGTGTGGGTAGAAATCAGTGACAAATAGAGAGAAATAGAAAGAATAGGCTGGACACGGTGGCTCACACCTGTAATCCCAGCACTTTGGGAGGCCAAGGCGGGCGGATTACCTGAGCTCATGAGTTCGAGACCAGCCTGGCCAACATGGCGAAACCCCGTCTCTACTAAAAAATACAGGCCAGGTGCAGTGGCTCACTCCTGTAATCCCAGCACTTTGAGAGGCTGAGGCGGGCAGATTGCCTGAGGTCAGGAGTTCGAGACCAGCCTGGCCAACATGGTGAAACCCTGTCTCTACTAAAAATACTGGGCATGGTGGCAGGCGCCTGTAATCCCAGCTACTCGGGAGGCTGAGGCAGAAGAATCGCTTGGGCCTGGGAGGCAGGGGTTGCAGTGAACCAAGATCGCACCATTGCATTCCAGCCTGAGTGACAAGAGTGAGACTTCATCTAAAAAAACACACACACACACACAAATTAGCTGGGTGTGGTGGCATGAGCCTGTAATCCCAGCTACTCGGGAGGCAAAGGCAGGAGAATCGCTTGAACCCAGGAGGTGGAGGTTGTATTGAGACGAGATTGTGCCACTATACTCCAGCCTCCAGCCTGAGAGACAAAGCAAGACTCTCTCTCAAAAAAAAAGAAAAAGAAAAAGAAATAAAAAAAGAAATAATAGCTGAAAGTAAAGGAATGAATACATGGGTTATGCAACAAAGGAAATCCACCATCATGGTATTCCACAAAGCATTGCTTCTGACCAAGGAACTTATTTCACAGCAAAAGGAGTGGGGCAATGGGACCATGCTCATGGAATTCACAAGTCTCACCATGTTCCTCACCATGCTTTTTGAAGACTCAGTTACAGTGCCAGCTAGGTGGCAATACCTTGCTGGGCTGGGGCAATGTCCTGCAGGAGTCTGAATATTCTCTGAATCCGCATTTAATATATGGTGTGATTTCTCCCATAGCCAGGATTCACAGGTCCAGGAATCAAGGAGGTAAAAATGCAAATGGCTCCCAGCTACTCAGGAGGCTGAGGCAGGAGAGTCACTTGAACCCAGGTGGAGGAGGTTGCAGTGAGCTGAGATCATGCCAGTGCACTCCAGCCTGGGCAACAGAGCAAGACTCCGTCTCAAAAAAAAACACAAAAACAAACAGAAATGCAAATGGCACTACTCACTATTACCCCTAGTAACCTACTAGCAAAATTTTTATTTCCTACCTTCATGATATTATGCTCCACTGGTGTAGGGGTCTCTGTTCCAAAAGGAGGAAAGCTTCCACCAAGAGATACAACAGTGATTTCATTGAACTGGAAGCTAAGACTGCCACACGGCCACTTAAGGCTTCTCATGCCTCTGAAGCAACAGGAAAAGAAGGGAGTTGCTGTATTGGCTGGAGCATCTGATCCTAACTACCAAGATGAAATTGGCTTGCAGCAGGGCACGGTGGCTCACGCCTGTAATCCCAGCAATTTGGGAGGCCAAGGCGGGCAGATCATTTGAGGTCAGGAGTTCTAGGCTACCCTGGCCAACATGGTGAAACTCTGTCTCTACTAAAAATACAAAAATTAGCTGGGCATGGTGGCAGGCACCTGTAGTCCCAGCTACTTGGAAGGCTGAGGCAGGAGAATCGCTTGAACCCAGGAGGCGGAGGTTGCAGTGAGCCGAGATTGTGCTACTGCACTCCCAGCCTGGGTGACAACAAGACTCCATCTCAAAAAAAATAAAAAAATAAAAAAATTAGGCAGGCATGGTGTTGCATGCCTGTAATCCCAGCTACTTGGGAGGCTGAGGCAGGAGAATCACTTGAACCTGGGAGGCGGAGGTTGTGGTTAGCTAAGATCACATCACTGCACTCCAGCCTGGGCAACAGAGTGAGACTCCATCTCAAAAAAAAAAAAAAAAAAAGAAAGAAAAAAAGAAACTGGGTTGCTATTAAACAATGAAGATAAAGAAGAGTAGGCCTGGAACACAGAAGACCCCTTAAAGCACACTACAATGCCCTGTGATTAAAGTCAATTGAAAACTACAACAACCCAATTCAGGCAGGACTAACAGTAGCTTGCTGATAGGGTTTGGCTGTGTCCCCACCCAAATCTCATCTTGAATTGTTGCTCCCACAATTCCCATGTGTTGTGGGAGGGACCCAGTGGGAGGTAATTGAATCATGGAGGCAGGTCTTTCCTGTGCTGTTCTCATGATAGTGAATAAGTCTCACAAGAATGGATGATTTTATAAAGGGGAGTTCCCCTGCACATGCTCTCTTGCCTGCCACCATGTAAGATGTGACTTTGCTCCTCTTTTGCCTTCCGCCATGATTGTGAGGCCTCCTCAGCCATGTGGAACCATGAGCCAACTAAACCTCTTTCCTTTACAAATTACCAAGTCTTGGGTATGTCTTTATTAGCAGCATGAGAACAGACTAATACACCCAGACTCTGCAATAATAAAGGTTTGGGTCACCCCATCGGGTAAAGAAGCAGCTCAGGTGTCTGCTGAGGGCAAAGGGATCTGGAATGGGTAGAAGAAGGCAGTTATAAATACCAGCTATGACCATGTGACCAGCTGCATAAATTACGACTATATATAAATATATAACTTTTTTTTTTTGAGACGGAGTTTCGCTCTTGTTGCCCAGGTTGGAGTGCAATGGCGCGATCTCGGCTCACTGCAACCTCCGCCTCCTGGGTTCAAGCGGTTCTCCTGTCTCAGCCTCCTGAGTAGCTGGGATTACAGGGATGCACCACCACGTGCAGCTAATTTTTTCTTTTCAGTAGAGACAAGGTTTCACCATGTTGGTCAGATTGCTCTGGAACTCCTGACCTCAGATGATCTGCCCACCTTGGCCTCCCAAAATGCTGGGATTACAGGCATGAGCTACTGCACCCGGCCAATATATCATTTTTTTTAGAGGTAAGGTCTTGCTTCGTTACCCAGGCTGGACTGGATCCTCTTCCCTCAGTCGCCCAAGTAGCTGGGACTACAGGCGTGCACCACTGCCCCTGGCTACAGGACTGTAATTTTTATGAGTATTTCTTCCTTATTTTATTAGGCATACGTGTGTGGATATATAAATATATATGCATATACATCACAAGTATTTGTTTTGTTCCCTCTCTTATCCTCTTATCATCTAACATGAAAACTATTAATACTTAACATTATAGTACAATATTCATTTTTTGAGACAAGGTCTCGCTCTCTCACCCAGGCTGGAGTGCAGTGGCTCAATCACAGCTCACTGCAGCCTCGACCTCCAAAGGCTCAGGCAGTCCTCCCACCTCAGCCTCCTGAGTAGCTGGGACCACAGGCACACGCCACCACACCTGGCTAATTTTTGCATTTTTTGTAGAGATGGGTTTTCACCATGTTGCCCAGGCTAGTCTCAAACTCCTGACCTCAAGTGACCCTCCCACCTCGGCCTCCCAAAGTGCTGGGATTACAGGCGTGAGCCACCACTCCTGGACCACAATATTTATTTATTTAAGTTACAGGACATCAGGGGAAAGTGTGAGCATCACCCACTGACTTTGTCTCCTCTTCTGAGGAAAAGAAGGTGTTTTTAGTTGTATACTTGAGAATTGCATCATGTTACGCAGAAGTATGAGCTTGTTATCTTTATTTAGAGATTAAGTATGATTTAAAGAGATATGTAAAGGTGCCAAGATAATGAGGGGTGGATTGCAATAATCAATTTGATGTGTCAGTTGGACTGGATATATGCCCCAGTTATTCAATCAAACACTAATCTAGGTGTTGCTGTGAAGGTATTTTGTAGATGTGATTAACATCTACAATTAAGCCAGGCATGGTGACATACACCTGTAGCCCCAGCTATTCAAGACGCCAAGGCAGAAGGATAGCTTGAGCTCAGGAGTTCAAAACCAGCCTGGGCAACATAGCAAGACGCCCATTTCTTGAATAAAAAAATCTAGCCAGGAGCAGTGGCTCGTGCCTATATTCCCAACACTTTGAGAGGCTGAGGCAGGAGGATCTCCTGAGCCAAGGAGTGTGAGCAATGCCTGGGCAACATGGTGATGCCTCCACACCTGTAACCCCAGCACTTTGGGAGGCCAAGGTGGACGGATAGGTTGAGCCCAGGAGTTCAAGACCAGCCTGGGCAACATGGTGAGACCCCATCTCTACCAACAAAAATACAAAAAATTAGCTGGACATGGTGGTGTGCTCCTGTAGACCCAGCTACGTGGGAGGCTGAGGTGGGAGGATCACTTGAGCCTGGGAAGTCAAGGCTGCAGTGAGCTGAGATCACACCACTGTACTCCATCCAGCCTGAGCAATAGAATGAGATCTTGCCAAAAAAAAGAACAAAACAAAACAAAAAAAACACTGCTGAGGAGGGCTCAGAAGGAGGAAGTAACACAACTAAGAAAGCTTCTATCATCTTACAGAATACAAACATCATCCCGCACAAAATGTTGGAAATATGAATGTTAAAGGTGCTTCTAGTTTTGACTCAGAAGGAAATGAGGAACATGATATTGGAAACTAGATGAAAAACCATCCTTGTTATATAATGGCAGAAAACTTAACAGAATTTTATTCTGGAAATACCCAGAGGTACTTTCCACACAAATACTTCGGTATTTATTTAGCTGAGAGATTTTCGAGCAACGTATTTGAAGGGGCGGCCTGGTTTTTTCTTACAGCTTTCAGGAAAATGTGAGACATAAGAGATACATTGAGTAAGAAACTGTTAAGCCAAAAGGAACCAGTACTTGATGATTTGGGAGATTCTCAGCCTATCCAGATTGTAAAAGATGCTAAAATTAGAAAATTCACTGTTGGCCAGGTGCAGTGGCTCATGCCTATAATCCCAGCACTGTAGGAGGCCAAGGTGGGAGGATCACTTGAGCTCAAGAGTTCGAGGGGCCAGGCGCGGTGGCTCACGCCTGTAATCCCAGCACTTTGGGAGGCCGAGGTGGGCAGATCACGAGGTCATGAGATCGAGACCATCCTGGCTAACACAGTGAAACCCTGTCTCTACTAAAAATACAAAAAAATTAGCCGGGCGTGGTGGCGGGTGCCTGTAGTCCCAGCTACTCGGGAGGCTGAGGCGGAGAATGGTGTGAACCTGGGAGGCAGAGCTTGCAGTGAGCTGAGATCGTGCCACTGCCCTTCAGCCTGGGCAACAGTGCAAGACCCCATCTCAAAAAAAAAAAAAGAGTTCGAGACCAGCCTGGGCAACAAAGTGAGACCCCGTCTCTACAAAAAATAAACAGAATTAGTTAAGTGCCTGATTGGGGTTGGAACTTTGAGCCCCATACTCAACCTCCTGGGAGGGGAGAGTGGCTGAAGGTTGACTTGATCACCAGTGGTCAGTGGTTTAATGGTTTAATCACTCCAGCCTGGGCGACAGAGCAAGACTTTGTCTAAAAAAAAAAAAAAGGGCGGGGGAGGGTGGCGGGGATGGTAGCTCAATCCGGTAGTCCCAGCTATTTGGGAGGCTGAGACAGGAGGACAGCTGGGTTGGAGCCCAGGAGGTTAAGGCTGCAGTGAACGGTGATCATGCCACTGCACAGCAGCCTGGATGACAGAGTGAGACCTTGTCTCAAAAAGAAAAAAAAGAAAGAAAATTCACTGTTGGGAAAGCATGCTCTTTGTGATACTCAAGGATCCGATGACCCATTTCAGCAGAATCAGGAATAGAGATGGGATTATCCAAGAAAGCTCTGTGGACGGCCTTCTTCTCTAATACGAACACATACAGGAGAGTGACAAGGCTTTTGGGAATGTTATACCAGTACAAACACTGCCAGCTTAAACAGAAAGAAACAGAGAAAAGACAAAATGACAGAAGGCTGTCAGACTTCCAAAACTTTATAGGCAGGAAATGGGCTGATCGAACTATCTGGTTATAAGCATGTGCTACCTGCAACACAAAGGAAGAATGACTCCAAGGGCAGAACCGCAGGTGCAGAGGCATGGGCGAGGCAGAGGCCAAGAGAGCAGAGCAACAGGAGATTTTTTTTTTTTTTTGAGACAGTCTCACTCTATCCCCCAGGCTGCAGTGCAGTGGCAGGATCTCGGCTCACTGCAACTTCCGCCTCCCAGGTTCAAGAGATTCTCCTGCCTCAGCCTCCTGAGAAGCTGGGATTACAGGCGTGCGCCACCATGCCTGGCTAATTTTTGTATTTTTAATAGAGACGGGGTTTCACCATGTTGGCCAGGCTGGTCTCGAACTCCTGACCTCAGAGATCCACCTGCCTCGGCCTCCCAAAGTGCCAGAATTACAGGCATGAGCCACCATGCCCGGCCTCAACAGGGGATATTTTTCAGGCCTTAATCTAACGATATTTTCCCTACTGGGTTTCAAACTTGATTGGGACCAGTGAACCCTTTATGACTTCCAATTTCTGCCTTTTGGAATGGGAATATCTGTCCTATGCCTGTCCCACCATTGTAGTTTTGGAAACAGATAACTTGTTTTCCAGTTTCACAGATCCACAGGCAGAAACTGATGCCGTAATGCATTAAGACTTTTGGGTATGTTGGAATGGGATGAATGTATTTTGCATGTGGGATGGACATAAATTTGGAGGCTAGAGAACAAACTATAGTGGGTTGAATGGTGCACTCCCCCAAAAGATGTATCCACATCCTAACACCCAGGCACGGTGAATGTTACCTGGGTGTTATTTGGAAAAAGGATCTCTGCAGATGTAGTTAAGGATCTGAGTTGAGATCATTCTGGATTAACTGGGTAGCCCCTAAATTCAATGACAAGTGTCTTTTTCCAGAAGAGGAGAGGGGAATGATGCTATACTTCCAGGAAACCATTCAGGTTGCCATCACAGTGGCCAAGAGTAACATCACAGTTGTCATAGTGTCATGGCAGCTGATGATAAACAGCCTACACAGATGGCTGCAGGTTAGGAAGATGACAAAGTGACAGAAGCATCCTCAAACAGTTCTGTTGCTATTAACAGCAATGCAGGTTCAGGGCCGGGCACGGTGGCTCACGCCTGTAATCCCAGCACTTTGGGAGGCCCAGGCAGGTGGATCACGAACTCAGGAGATCGAGACCATCCTGGCTAACACGGTGAAACCCTGTCTCTACTAAAAATACAAAAAATTAGCCGGGCATGGTGGCGGGTGCCTGTAGTCCCAGCTACTTAGGAGGCTGAGGCAGGAGAATGGCGTGAACCTGGGAAGTGGAGCTTGCGGTGAGCTGAGATTGCACCACTGCATTCCAGCCTGGGCGACAGAGCGAGACTCCCTCTCAAAAAAAAAAAAAAATCAATACAGGTTCAGTATCCACAGTCCAAAAATCCAAAATCTTGGCCAGGCGCAGTGGCTCATGCCTGTAATCCCAGCACTTTGGGAGGCCAAGGCGAGTGGATCACCTGAGGTCAGGAGTTCAAGACCAGCCTGGCCAACACGGTGAAACCCAGTCTCTACTAAAAATACAAAATTAGCCGGGTGTGGTGGCACATGCCTGTAGTGCCAGCTACTCAGGAGACTGAGACAGGAGAATTGCTTGAACCCAGGAGGCGGAGGTTGCAGTGAGCCGAGATCGTGCCACTGCACTCCAGCCTGGGCAAGACAGAACAAGACTCTGTCTTTTTCCAGAAGAGGAGAGGGGAAAAAAAATCCAAAATCTGAAATGCTCCAAAATACAAAACCTTTCAAGCACCAACATCATGCTCAAAGGAAATGCTCATTAAAGCATTTTGGATTCAGATTTTCAGATTAGGGATCCCGAATCAGTGAATATAACTCAAACGTTCCAAAATAAGAAAAAAAATCCAAAACACTTCTGGTGCCAAGTATTTCAGATAAGAGAGTAAACCAAAAGATGCAGTAACTAAAAACTGAAACATGAGTTGCAAATGGGAGCCAGTCAGAAAGTTTAGTCACTGTTTCATCCCTCATTTGAACCCAGTAACACTTGTAACACTTTGGAAAACTTTCAGTGCAGAAATGTTGAGTTTTGTGATACACCACCTACCTCTCCTGACACAAAGTCATATATATTAAACAAGAGGAAACAGATCAGGGCATGTCATTGCCTCAAAGGGAGCTTAGAGGAAGGTCAAATCAAAAACCTACCAAGAACCTCACTGTCAGAGTGAACAGACTAAGACTAACCAAAATACTTGAAAAGGTAAGTGGAAGAACAAAGAGATCAAGAGGGAAATTGAGAAGGAAAACTGAAAGAGAAATGCTGTATATCAAAAGAAACAAGAACAATTGACAAAAAGAATGTAAGAACAAAGAAACAGGAAAGGCAGAATATAGGGCAGCTGAAAGACATATGAAACAGACAACTGCATGGAATCACGCAGAGTGCTGCTCATTTCACAAAGACCAGATGAGAGAGAGAGAGAGACAGAGACAGAGAGACAGAGAGAGAAGCTGCCAAAGCTGCTGCTCTGCTAAAAACAGGCAGAAATGGAATTCAAGAGGAAAACGTTTTTTCTTTTGAGACGGAGTTTTGCTCTTGTTGCCCAGGCTGGCGTGCAATGGCGCAATCTGGGCTCACTGCAACCTCCACCTCCCAGATTCAAGTGATTCTCCTGCCTCAGCCTCCCGAGTAGCTGGGATTACAGGCATGCACCACCACACCCAGCTAATTTTGTATTTTTAGTAGAGACGGGGTTTCTCCATGTTGGTGAGGCTGGTCTCGAACTCCCGACCTCAGGTGATCCGCCCGCCTCGGCCTCCCAAAGTGCTGGGCATTTTGTGCAGGCATGAGCCACTGTGCCCAGCCCAAGAGGAAATCTTATACAAGACAAAGAAGCACTACTGCAGTCATTCAATTCTGTCTTTTTGATGGTTCTCCCTTCACAAATCAGCTTCCCTTTGGAAGCTCCTTAAGAAGCAGCACAGCAGTTTGAGGCACAGATAGGAAGACTGACTATATCCAAGGTATGCTCATCCCGTGGGGACACTGGATCCCTGTTGGGAACAATACTTTATCCATTTCTAGTCATCTGGATATTGACTAGCACTTCCTTATTTAGTAATGCTCCTCCCACACAGGCTTCTTTGAGAATAAAATCATCAGAAAACTCAAATTGTGCACCATCTACCAACTCAGAAAAAAATAGAACCAGCCAGAAAAAGAGTGCTGGAAAAGCATGAAGACATCAAACAGGAAGGGAAGATAGACTGAAGATTCAAGAGGATGGTAAAGATGAAAATACGTGGAATGCAAATTCTACTCAGTGGTAGCGAGACAAGTACAGTACAATATGCAATAACCACTGCTTCCTTTTATTTTTCTTTGAGACAGGGTCTCGCTCTGTTGCCCAGGCTGGAATGCAGTGGCATGATCTTGGGTCACTGCAGCCCCAACCTTCTGGACTCAAGCAATACTCTCACCTCAACCTCCCAAGTAGCTGGTACTACAGGCATGTGCCACTACACCCAGATAATTTTTGTATTTTTAGTAGAGACGGGGTTTTGCCAAGTTGGCCAGGCTGGTCTCAAACTCCTGACCTCAAGTGATCCACCCACCTCGGCCTCCCAAAGTGCTGGGATTACAGGCATGAGCCACTGTGCCCGCCCTTCATCCTGTAGTTTTTAAAATCTTACTTAAAAACTGAATGAGACCAAGGAGAGAGACTGGGGAACATAGGGAGACCTCCTATCTACAAGAAATTAAAAAATTAGCCAGGCATGGCGACGTGCGCCTGTAGTCTCAGCTAGTCGAGAGGCTGAGGTGGGAAGATCTGCTTGAGCTTGGGAGATTGAGGCTGCAGTGAGCTGTGATCAGGCCACTGCACTTGAGCCTGACCAGCAGAGCAAGACTCTGTCTTGGAAAAAAAAAAAAAAATTAATGGCTCCCAGCTACTTGGAAGGCTGAGGCAGGAGAATCGCTAGAACCCAGGAGTCAGAGGTCACAGTGAACTGAGATCTGCCATTGCACTCCAGCCTGGGCGACAGAGCAAGACTCTGTCTCAAAAAAAAGAAAAAAGAAAAAAAATTAATGAAAAAATCTTTTCAAATGACAAATAGCCACAGAAGACCTGTAATATCACTTATGACAAGGTTGTAATTGAAAATATTGTTTCCGGCCGGGTGTGGTGGTTCACACCTGTACTCCCAGCACTTTGGGAGGCCAAGGGCGGATGGATCACTTGAGGTCAGGAGTTCGAGACCAGCCCAGCCAACATGGTAAAACCCTGTCTCTACTAAAAATACAAAAATTAGCCAGGCGTGGTGGTGCTACTCGAGAGGCTGAGGCAAGAGAATTGCTTGAACCTGGGAGGTAGAGGTTTCAGTGAGCTGAGATCGCACCACTGCACTCCAGGCTGGACAAAAGAGGGAGACTCCATCTCAAAAAAAAGAAAAGAAAATATTGTTTCCATCATCCGTATGAAGATTTAACAAAAGATTTCTTTTTTTCACATGTGGGGCATTTGTTCATAGAGAGGTCACAAGTTTTGTGCCCCCCGTCACAATGACCCCAGATTCCTATTGGGTGTGTTGTAAACAGAAGAAGCATTCTTCAGGCCCCCTGCTCTGAGCACACCCCAGAGGATTTCTTGACACTCAAGTATTAGGAACTGCTGCATGCAGTGGCTCACACCTGTAATCCCACCAACTCAGGAGGCTGAGGCAGGAGGAGTGCTTGAGGCCAGGAGTTCGAGACTAGCCTGGACAACATAATGAGACTCTGTCTCTACAAAAATAAAAATTAAAAAATTAGCCAGGCATGTTGGTGTGCGCCTGTGGTCCCAGCTATTCGGGAGACTCAGGTGGAAGACTCTGACTCAAAAAAAAAAAACAAAAAAACACATAGCCAGGCACAGTGGCTCAGGCCTGGAATCCCAGCACTTTGGGAGGCTGAGGCGGGAGGATGACTTGAGCTCAGGAGTTCAGGACCAGCCAGGGCAACATAGACCTCATCTCTACTAAAAATCAAAAAAATTAGCTGGGCGTGATGACAAGCACCTGTAGTCACTGCTACTCAGGAGGCTTAGGTGGGAGGATCACTTGAGTGCAGTAGTTCGAGGCTGCAATGAGCTATGATTGTGCCACTGCACTCCAGCCTGGGAGATGAAGCAAGACCCTGTCTCTAAGAAAATAATAATAATAAAGTAATAAAAAAATTTAAGTATCAGGAACTCTCCACTATAAAGGAATTACTGATTTCTCTGTAGAAGCATTGTAATTCTCTAAGAAAATAATAATAAAGTAATAAAAAAATTTAAATATCAGGAACTCTCCACTATAAATGAATTATTGATTTCTCCGTAGAAGCATTGTAATTCTTTTTTTTTTTTTTTTTTTTTTTGAGACAGAGTCTTGCTCTGTCACCCAGGCTGGAGTGCAGTGGCACAATCTCAGCCTCCTGTGTTCAGGTGATTCTCCTGCCTCAGCCTTCCAAGTAGCTGGGATTACAGGTATGTGCCACCATGCCTGGCTAGTTTTTGTATTTTTAGTAGAGATGGGGGTTTCACTACATTGGCCAGGCTGGTCTCGAACTCCTGAGAACACCTCAGCCTCCCAAAGTGCTGGGATTACAAGTGTGAGCCACCGCGCCCGACTGAGGCATTGTAATTCTTGATTGCAGCTCCTGCTCTGCTGTGTCTTCCTAGAATATACAGATTAAGCAAGACTTCAGGACCAGGCATGGTGGCTTATGCCTGTAATCCCAGCACTTTGGGAGGCTGGGATGGGCGGATCACTTGAGCTCAGGAGTTCAAGACCACCCTGACCAACATGGTGAAACCCCATCTACTAAAACTACAAAAATCAGGCTGGGCATGGTGGCTCATGCCTGTAATCCCAACACTTTGGGAGGCTGAGGCAGGTGGATCACCTGAGGTCGGGAGTTCGAGACTAGCCTGACCAACATGGAGAAACCCCGTCTCTACTAAAAATACAAAACTAGCCGGGCATGGTGGTGCATGCCTGTAATCCCAGGCTACTCGGGAGGCTGAGGCAGGAGAATCACTTGAATCCGGGAGGCGGAGGTTGCAGTGAGCTGAGATCGTGCCACTGCACTCCAGCCTGGGCAACAAGAGCGAAACTCTGACTCAAAAAAAAAAAAAAATTAGCAGGGCATGGTGGTGCACGCCTGTAGTCCCAGCTACTTGGGACGCTGATGGACGAAATCGCTTGAAGAGAGGTTTCAGTGAGCCAAGATCACACCACTGCACTCCAGCCTGGGCAACAGAGTGAGACTCCATCTCAAAAAAAACAAAAACAAAAAAAAGACTGCAAAGTTTTCTTGTTCAGTAGGCTCAGTAGGATTGCTGACAGGCATGCCTACTTTCTAAAACTTGTATTGATATTTTCTTCTTTTTTTTCTTCCTTTTATTCTAATACGTATTTATTTATACTTAGAAGCATCCTAAAATACACAGGAAACAAAGGCAACAAGCAAATAAATAACAAATAAATAAAGGGCAAATTGGGAGCCGGGTGGCGTGGCTCATGCCTATAATCCCAGCACTTTGGGAGGCTGAAATGGGCAGATCACTTGAGGTCCAGAGTTCAAGACCAGCCCGGCCAACATGGTGAAACTCCATCTCTACTAAAAATACAAAAATTAGCCGGGTGTGATGGTGCACGCCTCTGGTCCCAGCTACTTGGGAGGCTGAGGCAGGAGAATTGCTTGAACCTGGGAGGCAAAGGTTGCAGCAAGCCGAGATCGCACCACTGCACTCCAACCTGACGACAGAGCAAGACTCCATCTCAAAAAAAAACAAAAAAAGTCACATACTGTATACTTTCATTTATATAACACTCGTGAAATGACAACATTCTAGAGATAGAGAACAGATTAGTGTCGGGGTTAGGAACCTCGAGGGGATAGATGGCAGGAACAAGGGTAGCAGGTGTGGTTGTGAAAGGGCAGCAGGAGACATCCTGGGGTTGTGTCAATGGCCACATCCTGGTTGTGATATTGTGCTATTGTTCTGGAAGGTGTTACCATTGGAAGAAACTGGATAAAGCGCACATACGATCTCTCTGTATTATTCCTATAATTGCATGGGAATCGATACTGATCTCAAAATCAAAGTTTAATTTTTAAAAATGCATAGCTCACCTAGGATGGTTGTATAACTGCTTTAGACTGTGGCTATGCAGAAGTAACCAGAGAGCGTCGAGAACAAGGTCAGGTAGGAAGGAATCTCCTGGACACAGAAGAGAACAAGCAAGAACATGGTGGTGGGAGCCACGCTGCCTGGGTTCAAATCTTGGCTCTGACTCACACTCGTGCTATTACTCTGGCTAAGTTACTACCTTCCTCTGAGCCTCAGTCTTGTCATCTGTGAAATTTGGGTGAATTCATACGTGGAATCATGGCCGGGTGCAGTGGCTCACACCTGTAATCCCAGCACTTTGGGAGGCCGAGGCAGGTGGATCACCTGAGGTCAGGAGTTTGAGACCAGCCTGGCCAACATGGTGAAATCCTGTCTCTACCAAAAATACAAAAATTAGCTGGGCGTAGTGGCACGCACCTGTAATCCCAGCTACTCAGGAGGCTGAAGCAGGAGAACGGCTTGAACCCGGGAGGCAGAGGTTGCAGTGAGCCAAGATCGTGCCACTGCAGTCCAGCCTAGGCAACATGAGCAAGACTCTGTCTCAAACACACACACACACACACACACACACACACACACACACGGAATCGCTTAGGGCAGCACTGATACAGAGCTAGCACTCAAGAGTTTGTTATTCTTTCTATCATTTCACCTAGGAAGGGTGTGCTCAACTGGAAATGCTAGGTGGACTGGACTTAGAGTAACACCGTAAAATCCATCATGTGAATATTTAGCTCATGGGAATTTCTCTCTTCATGCTCTGGGGTAACTAATATATATTCTATATACTTACTTGTATGACTATTCAGATCTGCTTCAGTAATCATTATTCCAATTTATATGATGAGAAGAATATAAATTTGTAAATACTTAAATACTATTATTTAATTAAATCTTCAAAGAGTTATGAGAGGCAAAGAAGGAACCTTCTCAACTGAATAACACTAAAGTGATGACACGTAAATGCTAAACATAATCCTAAATTGGATCCTTTTGCTATAATGGACGCCATTGGGACATCCAAACACGATGCAGTCCATTCGCCTTGGAACTGCCATCCACAAACCAAGCATCTTTTTGTTGGTCAGTTGAGAGCTGGAGCATTGTCCAGTCGATGACAGAACCGACCAGCTCCTCCTCCATCAGTCCCGGCGGAAAGGAGTCTACCTGGTTGTGAAAACCGCTAATTCCGCACTCCCCTGGCAGCATATTCTTGTACGAACCATTTCCATGTAATTATGGAACTACTCTGGGCACTGCACTCCCTATTGGAGCGTTACACCATCACCCAAGACATCATGGATATTTTAGGTTTCAAAATTATTTTATGTCCTTCAATCATAAGGGCACTTTCAATTAATGTCTAATCCAAGCTCAACTGGAAATTCTCTAGTCCAAAGTCCCAGGTTACCACTAGGAGGCGCTCTTAGGCTTTTGCCATAAGCGCCGGTCTCTGCTCCACAAAGGGCTATTGTACAGGTAATCTGTCTGTGCGGCACCCCAGGTTCTATTGTATACTTCGTGGGCTTCGGCAATCTTACTGGTTCCCGTTTAGCATGTTCAAGTAATACTGGTTGAAGGGTGAATTTACAATACTAGAGAGGGGAAACATTCCACAGTCAGATACAATTTCAATCTCCATAATACATTGAGGTAAAAGAGATGCAACCATTTCAAATAAAGCCTGTTCAAATCTACAAATTTTCCAAACTTCCACCTTAATCCCATCAACCCTTACATTCCTCCATTGGGATTTCATCAACAGGTTTGAGTGTCACAATACTAGTTAAGGGAAGTGTTCCCTGTCAGTCATAATATCCATTCCCATAAAACATTCAGCTAAAACCTGTTTATTTTTATTTTTTAAAAAAAACTTATTTATTTATTTGAGACTTTGTCTCGCTCTGTCACCTAGACTGGAGTGCAGTGGCGCGATCTCGGCTCACTGCAGCCTCCTGAGAAGCTGGGAGTACAGGCACATGTCACCACACCCAGCTAATTTTTTTTTTTTTTAATTTTCAGTAGAGACAGGGTTTCACCATGTTAGCCAGGCTGGTCTCAAACTCCTGACCTCAAGTGATCCACCCGCCTCGGCCTCCCAAAGTGGTGGGATTACAGGGGTGAGCAACCGCACCCAGCCACAAAGCCTGTTTAAACACATTCCAATTTTCACCCAAATGTACACCTTAATCCTATCAACTGTTACATTTCTATATTCTCCCAGTCTAGTTGTAGCCCATGTTACAGCTTCACTAATGGATTTTGGTACCTCCGTGTATGAGGCTTCCATATAAAGGGGTCCCAGAAAGTTCTCTTTTCCTCCCATTTTACCCAGAAACTTCTCTTCACCACCCATTTCATGTGCACAAAGCTTTGGGTCCCCATCCCGGGGTGGAGCCAAAGAACCTTTGCCCTTGGTCTTTTTTTTTTTTTTTTTTTTTTTCTGAGACAGAGTGCAGTGGTGCGATCATGGCTTACTGCAGGCTTGACCTCCCCAGCTCAAGTGATCCTCCCACCTCAGCTTCACAAGCAGCTGGAATTACAGGCGTGCACCACCATGCTCAGCTAATTTTTTTTATTTATTATTTTTTTTTTGTAGAGATGGGATTTCGCTATGTTGCCCAGGCTGGTTTTGAATTCCTGGGCTCAAACGATCCACCTGTCTCAGCCTCCCAAAGTGCTGGAATTACAGGTGTGAGCCACCAAACAAAGCCCAGCCATCCCATTTCTTTTTTTTTTTTTTTTTTTTTTTTTTTGAGACTGAGTCCCTCTCTGTCACCCAGGCTGGAGTGCAGTGGTGCGATCTCAGCTCACTGCAACCTGTGACTCCCGGGTTCAAGCAATTCTCCTGCCTCAGCCTCCCAAGCAGCTGGGACTACAGGTGCCCGCCACCACGCCTGGCTAATTTTTTTGTATTTTTTAGTAGAGATGGGGTTTCACCATATTGGCCAGGCTGGTCTCAAACTCCTGACCTTGTGATCCGCCCACCTCGGCCTCCCAAAGTGCTGGGATTACAGGCATAAGCCACTGCGCCCGGCCATCCCATTTCTTAATAGCCACTGAGAGATTTCCACTTTGCTGGTAGACTTGACCCTTCCCTAGGCTTCTCCCCATTTTCACGTTAACTTAATGTTTTCATTAGCAGCTGTGGGATCCCTGAAGGGAAGCTGAGGCAGCAAATTCAATGAGGCTTTTGGGTCTATTGCTGTATTTTGCAGCTGTAAGTTTACATGGGGTGCCTATGCAAAAAGACCCCTTAACCATAGCTGAATATGGCCTGGGTAATGGGCATATTCAGTGGGTGAATATCATAGGCACCATAAAGCCAGTCCCACATGGCCTGCATATGAAGCCTATCAGCTGCTTCATCAGGGGTGCTCCTCTTGGCATATGTTACACAGTCCTATACTTAGGGTTGTGAAGGAAAATAAATCTCAGGACTCCAAAATCATTAAGCCAAAGGGTGTTAGGCAAACCTGCTTCACATTTTATTCCCAAATAAGATAGCTACAAAGATTAAAAAAAAAAAAAAGGCTACATGCCTCCCTCGCAATTTGCCCACAAGAAAAGACCTTGTGGGCCTCAAGACCTTTACCTTAAGATGTTCTGGGCTGGGTGCGGTGGCTCATGCCTGTAATCCCAGCACTTTGGGAGGCCGAGGTGGGCGGATCACGAGGTCAGGAGTCCGAGACAAGCCTGTAATCCCAGCTACTCGCAGGCTGAGGCAGGAGAATCGCTTGAACCCGGGAGGCAGAGGTTGCAGTGAGCTGAGATCACGCCACTGCACTCCAGCCTGGGCAACAGAGCGAGACTGCGTCTCAAAAAAAAAAAAAAAAAAAAAAAAAGTTCTGTTGAATTTCACCCTGGCAACGTAAATTGATAGCTTATCTTCACAGGTGCAGGATGACAAAGGACAGACAGAACTCAATGTCCTCCCTCTGCTCACCTGAGACAAATGGGTATCTGATTGCTTCCTCTGCCCTGTTGTTTCATTAGGCAGACTATTCTATCCCCTCTCACATGTAAATTATGTATTCAGTGAAAAGCTGATCAAAGACCCAAGAGAATGCAACCTTTTGTCTCTTATCTACCTGTTACCTGGAAGCCCCCACTTCAAGTTGTCCCGCCTTTCCGAACCGAATCAGTGGACATCTAACACATACCTTGGGCACCTGTTCTCAGTATCTCCTGAGTGCTGGTTTGGAATAAGTCTCTTCAAATATTTTACAGAATTTGACTCTTTCCGCTGACAGGGTAAACACACTTTACAGTGGCTTTGAGCAAGTCTGGCATGCTAGGTCTTCCCTCATGAATAACTTCTTGTGTTTTTGTGTGTCTGGCTCAAGTACAGCCATCTGTGATTGGTCACTATGAGCTGTGGGTCCTGCATCAACCCAGACATGCTCTTCCACTCTACAGCATTCAAAATCAAACATACTACCCCTATCATTTAGCTACTCTCACAATCCATTTCAGTAAAGGATTTTCTGGCACTATTAAGTGATTATAGTAAAGTCACAGGATACAGGCTTAATAAAAGTCAATTGTTTTCCTATATACCCGAAATGAACAATTGATATTTAAAATTAAAAACATAATACCATTTACGTTAGCACCAAAAAGATAAAATATACATAAACCTAACAAAATATGTAGAAGACATACATGAGGAAAATCAAACAAAATTTGACATGAAATATATCAGAATATATAAGTAAACAGAGAGATATTGCATGTTTATTGACAGAAATGTTAGAGTAATTAGGTAGTTAGGTAGTTAGACATGAGCAGAGCAGGAGAGCACCCCCCCTCAAACCCCACCAGGAGGTGATGGTCAGGCAGTTGTTAAAACTGTCTCTCTAAAATAATAATTGCTCCCTGCTCCTCCTCCTGCTCCTCTTCCTCCTGCTGCTCCTCCTCCTGCTGCTTCTCCTCCTCCTGCTCTTTCTCCTTCTGCTCTTCCTCCTTCTCTTTCTCCTCCTCCTCCTGCTCCTCCTCCTCCTGCTCTTTCTCCTTCTGCTCTTCCTCCTTCTCTTTCTCCTCCTCCTCCTGCTCCTCCTCCTCCTGCTCTTCCTCCTTCTCTTTCTCCTCCTCCTGCTCCTCCTCCTCCTGCTCCTCTTCCTCCTCCTCCTCCTTCTCTTTCTCCTCCTCCTCCTGCTCCTCCTTTTCTTTCTCCTGCTCCTCCTGTTCCTCCTCCTTCTCTTTCTCCTCCTCCTGCTCCTCCTTCTCTTTCTCCTCCTCCTGCTCCTCCTTCTCTTTCTCCTCCTCCTGCTCCTCTTCCTCCTCTTTCTCCTCCTCCTTTCTCTCCTGCTCATCCTCCTCCTCCTGCTTCTCCTGTTCCTCCTAAAAAAAAAAGAAAAATAATAATAAAAAAGAAAAATAATAATAATAAATAAAAATAATAATTGGTTGCAGCTGGCGCCAGGGAAAGGCAGTCTCTCAACAGATACCAAAAAACCTGAAACTGGTGATCAGCAGCTTCCCAATAAGATCTCAGGAGTTGGGCCAGTGGGCTCAAGACATGTGCACTACGATGCAAAATGGCCGAGTTTAACTGGTATATAACCTTCCTTTAGGAACACTCCGCTGGTAAGGGAAAAACTCCTCAAGTGAGCATGCGTAGAACTTCAGTAACCACAATGCGCATGCGGCCCCTTCTCAAGCGCTGACAAGCCACAGCACATGCGGACAGCCCACCCCAAGGTAAGAATCAAAGGAGGGGTAATATAGACCCAGGAAGCATAAAACCCCAAGTCAAAGTCAAACCGCACATTTGATCTCTGAAGTCGCCTGCTTGGCCCTCTTCCAAGTGTAGTTTGCTTCCTTTCATCCTTGCTCTAAAGCTTTTTAATAAACTTTCACTACTGCTCTAAAACTTGCCCTGGTCTCTCACTCTGTCTTATGCCCCTCAAATTCTTTTTTCTGAGGAGGCAAGAATTGAGGTTGCTGCAGACCCGTATGGATTCTCTGCTGCTAAAGGGAAGACTCAATACTGTTAACATGTCAATTGTCCCCACCTTGATCAGGAGATTCAACATAATCCCAATCAAATTCCCACCAAATTATTTTGTGGCTATCAACAAACTGATTCTAAAGTTTATATGGAAAGGCAAAAATCCAAAGTAGTCAACATAGTACTAAACAAGAACAAAGTCAGAGGACTGAGACCACCCAACTTCATGACTTACTATAAAACTAGACTAATCAAGACAGAGGTATTGGTGAAAGAATAGGCAAATAGATCAATGGAATAGAATAGAGAACCTAGAAATATATATACACACAAAAACAGCCAACTGATCATTGACAAAGGAGCAAAAGAAATTCGGTGAAGAAATAAGTCTTTTCAACAAATGGTGCTGGAACAACTGGACATCCATATGCAAAAAAAAAAAAAAAAAAAGCATCTAGACACAGTCCTTATATGTTTCACAAAAATTAACTCAAAACTGGGAGGCCAAGGCAGTGCATCACTTGAGGTCAAGAGTTCGATACCAGCCTGGCCAACATGGTGAAACCCCATCTCTACTAAAAATACAAAAATTAGTCGGTTGTGGTGGTGTGCACCTGTAGTCCCATCTGCTCCAGGGGCTGAGGCAGAATTGCTTGAACCCAGGAGGCAGAGGTTGCAGTGAGCCGAGATCGCACCACCGCACTCCAGCCTGGGTGACAAAGGCTGGAGTGCAGACCCTGTCTCAAAAAAAAAAAAAAAAATTAACTCAAAATGGATTATAGATCTCTATGTAAAATGAAAAACTATAAAATTTCTATAAGATAACAAAGAAGAAAATCCAAGTAACCTTGGGTTTGGTGATGAGTTTTTAAATACAACACCAGCCAAGTGCAGTGGCTCATGCCTGTAATCACAGCACTTTAGGAGGCTGAGGTGGGTGGATCGCTTGAGCCCAGGCGTTCAAGACCAGCCTGGGCAACCTAGTGAGACCCCATCTCTATAAAAATATATATGTATATGAATACAACACCAAAAGTATGACCTGTGAAAGAAAAAAAAAACAGTACGTTGTGCATTATTAAAATTAGAAACTTCTCTTCTGTGAAAGACGCTGATGACAGAATAGACAAGCCACAGACTGGGAGAAAATATTTGCAAAACACTTATCTCATAAAGGACTTGTATTGAAACTACCGTTGTAAAATTATAATGAGAAAATTATTACAGTGAAAGAGATCCAACCTAAACCAACTCCGTCTTGCTTCTAACCTCCAAACTACCCTTGTTCATTCCTGGGCACAGACCAAACTAACTTTGAGAGGAACTTAGTTTTTTTTTTGAGACAGTCTGGCACCGTCGCCCAGGCTGGAGTGCAGTGGCACGATCTCGGCTCACTGCTACCTCCGCTTCCTGGGTTCAAGCGATTCTCCTGCCTCAGCCTCCCGAGTAGCTGAGATTACAGGTGCAGGCCACCACGCCCAGCTAATTTTTATAATTTTGTAGAGACGAGGTTTCACCATGTTGGCCAGGCTGGTCTCAAACTTCTGACCTCAGGTGATCTGCCTGCGTCGGCCTAAGTGCTGGGATTACAGGCATGAGCCACCGCGCCCAGCGTGAGAGGAACTTGGCTTATAGTTTAACGTTGAAACAAAGAGGATAACAGCCCTTTCCCAAAACAAACCCCCTTCCTGCCTGGGGATTAGACTGCCTTTGTAGGACTAAGAAATTAGCCACAAGATTAGAAGTAATGATTTAGGAGTCATGCAACTAGAGACTACAAAATTCTGACTCTAGCCAAATTGTTCCTGGGAATAACATCACAATTGTAAAACCTAAGATTAGTGCTTGAGATATTTTGCAGACTCTGCACTTAATTGATCAGTTGGGACCACCCAGATCCGTAAACTGGCTCGATCTGGTCTTGTGGCCCCCACCCAGGCACTGACTCAGCACAAGAGGACAGCTTCAACTCCTATGATTTGATCCATGACCTGACCAATCAGCACTTCTAACTCACTGGCCCCTACCCACCAAATTATCGTTAAAAACTCCGATCCCCAACTTTTCAGGGAGACTGATTTGAGTAATAATAAAAATTCCAGTCTCCCGTACAGCTGGCTCTGCGTGAATTATTCTTTCTCTAGTGCAGTTCCCCTGTCTTAATATCAGCTCTGTCTAGGCAGCGGGCAAGGGGAACCCATTGGGAGGTTACAGTATCCAAAACGTACAAAGAACTATTAAACTCAACAATAAGAAAACAAACTACTCAATTAAAAAGTGGGCAAAAGATCTGAAAAGATGACCTCATCAAAGACATTCAGATGGTAAATAAGCATATAAAAAGGTCCTCAACATCATGTCACTAGAGAATTGCAAATTAAAACAAGGAGATAGGATCACACACCTATTAGAATGTGGTTTTTTTTAAAAAAAAAAAAAAAAAGGCTGGGCATGGTGGCTCACACCTGTAATCCCAGCACTTTGGGAGGCTGAGGCGGGAGGATCATTTGAGGCCAGGAGTTCAAGACCAGCCTGGGCAACATGGTGAAACCCCATTTCTACTAAAAATACAAAAATTAGCCAGGCATGGTGGCACATGCTTGTAGTCCCAGCTACTCTTGGGAGGTTGAGGTGGGAGAATCACCTGAACCTGGGGAGGTTGAGGCTCCAGCGAGCTGTGATCATACCACTGCACTGTCTCAAAATAATTAATTAATTAATTAAAAAGCTGACAATACCAAATGCTGGTGTAACTGCCCAATGGCTTCACCTTGCCTGTTACCCAGACAGAGCAGATTTATTAAGACAGAGAAACTGCAATAGAGAAAGAGTAATTCACACAGAGTAATTCACAAAGACCCAGAGTTGTATTAATACTCAAATCAGTCTCCCCGAGCATTTGGGGATCAGAGTTTTTAAAGGATAATTTGGTGGGGTGGGGGGCAGGGGTAGGGGAGAGCCAGTGTAAGCCGGGAGTGCTGATTGGTCAGGTCAAAGATGAATCCGTAGGGAATGGAAGCTGTCTTCCTGTGCTGAGTCAGTTCCTGGGTGGGGGCCACAAGATCAGATGAGCCAATTTATCGATCTGGGTGTTGCCAGCTGATCCATTAGGTCCAGGGTCTGCAAAATATCTCAAGCACTGATCTTAGGAGCAGTTTAGAGAGGGTCAGAATCTTGTAGTCTCCGGCTGCATGACTCCTAAACCATAATTTCTATCTGGTGGCTAACTTGTTATTCCTACAAAGGCAATCTAGTCCCCAGGCAAGCAGGGGATTTGCCTTGGGAAAAGCCTGTTAACATCTTTGTTTTAAACTACAAACTAAGTTCCTCCCTAAGTTAGTTCAGCCTATGCTCGGGAATGAACAAGGACAGCTCGGAGGTTTGAAGAAAGATGGGGTTGATCAGATTAGATCTCTTTCACTGTCTCAGTTACAATTTTGCAATGGTGGTTTCATTGGTGAAGATGAGGAGTAACAGTAATACTCATTCATTGCTGGTGGGAATGCAAAATGGTGAAAAACTTGGGAAGACAGTTGGGAAGTTTCTCTGTTTTTTTTTGAGACGGAGTTTCACTCTTGTTGCCCAAGCTGGAGTACAATGACGCGATCGTGGCTCACTTCAACCTCTGCCTCTCAGGTTCAAGCCATTCTCCTGCCTCAGCCTCTCAAGTAGCTGGGATTACAGATACCTGCCACCACACCCAGCTAATTTTTTGTATTTATAGTAGAGACGGGATTTCACCATGTTGGCCAGGCTGGTCTCGAACTCCTGACTTCAGGTGATCCACCTGCCTCAGCCTCCCAAAGTGCTGGGATTATAGGTGTGAGCCATTACGCCCTGCCTGGGCAGTTTCTTATAAAGTTTATAAAGCTTATATGACATAGCAATTATGCTCCTAGTTATTTAGCCAATTGAGTTCAAAACATGTTCACACAAAAATCCGCACATGAATGTTCATAGTAGCTTTTTTCATCATTGCTAAAACCTACAAACAATGAAAGTGCCCTTCGGTAGGTGAAGGAATAAGCAAACTGTGGTACTTCCAATTCATGGAACTATCAAACCACAAAAAAACATGGAGGAACCTTAAATACAAATTGCTAAGTGAAAGAAGCCAGTTTGAAAAGACTACATACTGCATGATTCCAACTACATGACATTTTAGAAAAGGCAAAACTAGACCTGGCATAATAGCTCACATCTGTAAATCCCAGCACTTTGGGAGGCTGAGGTGGGCAAATTGCTTGAGCCCAAGAGTTCAAGACCACACTGGGCAACATGGTAAAACCGTGTCTCTATAAAAAATACTGAAAATTAGCCAGACATGGTGGCATGTGCCTGTGGTCCTAACTACCCAGGAGGCTGAGATGGGAGGATCACCTGAGCCTGGGAGGTAGAGGCTGCAGTGAGCAGTGATCACACCATGGCACTCCTGCCTGGGCAACAGAGTGAGGCACAGTGTCAAAAAAAAAAAAAAGGCAAAACTACAAAGACAGTAAAAAATGAGTGGTTGATAGAGGTTCGGGCAGAGGGAAAGGCAGGATGAATCGCTGAAGCACAGGTGAAACGGAATGAAACTGTATGAAGCTGCACTGGTGGATATATGTCATGATCTATTTGCCAAAACCCCTATGTACAACACAAAGCAGTGAGCCTTACTATAAACTGTAGGCTAAAATTAATAGTAATATATCACTATCAGTTCATTAATTTTTACAAATGTACCACACTAATGCAAGATGTGAATAATAGGGAAAACTGCACCAGTTGTGGGGGGGGTTGAGGAGGTGACAGCATATGGAATTATAGGTACTATCTTAACTTTTCTGTACCTCTAAAACTGTATTAAAAATGATTATCAGCCAGGCACCATGGCTCATGCCTATAATCCCAGCACTTTGGGAGGCCGAGGTGGGTGGATCACAAGGTCAGGAGTTCAAGGCCAGCCTGGCCAACATGGTGAAACCCTGTCTCTACTAAAAATACAAAAATTAGCCAGGCATGGTGGTGCACACCTGTAATCCCAGCTACTCGGGAGGCTGAGGCAGGAGAATTACTTGAACCCGGGAGGCAGAGGTTGCAGTGAGCCAAGATCGTGCCACTGCACTCCAGCCTGGGTGACAGAGCAAGACTCTGTCTGAAAAAAAAAAAAAAAAAAAAAAAAAAAAAAAAAAAAGATTGTCAGCCGGGCTCAGGGCTCACGCCTGTAATCCCAGAACTTTGGGAGGCTGAGGTCAGGAGCTTGAGACCAACCTGGCCAACATGGTGAAACCCCATGTCTACTAAAAATACAAAAAAATTAGCCAGGCATGGTGGCGGGTGCCTGTAATCCCAGCTACTTGGGAGGCTGAGGCAGGAGAATAGCTTGAAGCTGGGAGGCAGAGGTGGCAGTGAGCCGAGATTGCATCACTGCACTCCAGCCTGGGTGACAGATCGAGACTCCATCTCACAAAAAAAAAAAAAAAAAAAAAAGATTGCTGGGCGTGGTGGCTCACACCTGTAATCCCAGCATTTTGGGAGGCCAAGGCGGGTGGATCACCTGAGGTCAGGAGTTGGAGACCAGTCTGGCCAACATGGTGAAACGCTGTCTGTACTAAAAATACAAAAAATTAGCAGGGTATGGTGTTGGGTGCCTGTAATCCCAGCTACTCAGGAGGCTAAGGCATGAGAATCGCTTGGGCCGGGGAGGCAGAGGTTGCAGTGAGCCAAGATCACATCACTGCACTCCAGCCTGGGTGATAGAGTGAGACTCTGTCTCAAAAAAAAAAAAAAAAAAAGATTGTCTATTAATTCTGTTCTATATGCACTTGGCATACAATCCCACAATTGTTCTCACATGCATTTACCCCACTGTGTAGGAGTAGAAATACAAACACAGTTTCTCCTACTAGACTCTCATAACATGCTGTGACAACAGATGAGTGAGGGATTTTCCTCACACATCAAGCAAGAGGTCAATTCTGCAGTAGACAACAGCTGGGTGTCCTCCAATTCAATTCCATTCTGACACTATCTGCCAGGATATAGCATCAGGTCCCACAGGTTGAGGGCTCAGTTCTGAAGACTACCCCCACTTCAGACTCCAGAGCTTCGTACTGACCAGCTACAAGTCAAGCTTCCCACAATCCCCTCCTAGGGTTCAATTAATTTGCTAGAGTGGCTCATAGAACTCAAGGAAAGGCTGGGAGTAGTGGCTCATGCCTGTAATGCCAGCACTTTGGGAGGCTAAGGAGAGAGAATTGATTGAGGCCAGGAGTTCAAGACCAGCCTGGGAAACAAAGTGACACCTCATCTGTTAAAAAAAAAAAAATTTTTTTTAATTAGCCGGGCGTGGTGGCACACACCTGTGGTCCTAGCTACTTGGAAGGATCACTTGAACCCGGGAGGCTGAGGCTGCAGTAAGCAAGCTGTCACTGCACTCCAGCCTGGGCGACAGAGAGACCCTGCATTTAAAAAAAAAAAAAAAAAACTCAGGGAAATGTGGAGTCCTAATTAGGGAAAAGGAGTTGCTCCAGGACATATAAACAAAAAGAAGATGCAGATAAGTTTAAGTTATAGGTCTGTCTTTCTTTATGGCCCAGGACATATAGTCTTCTTGAGCAAATAATGTACATAACTCACAAACTTCCTGCTTATCATCAAACACTCCAATTCATCATCAAACACCTTGGCTGACAGAAGAATGCAAGTTAGCTCCCTGCTACCTTGGCGTTATCAAACAGCCCAAGAACCATCCTATAAAATCTCCAGCAAGCCTTCATTTCCTCGAAGTCAGTTCCTCTTTTGCTGATTCTACCTGTTGCTCTCTTGCAATGTATTTTCCTCCTTTCTCTAATAAATCTGCCTTTCTTTACCTACAACTGTCGTGGTAAATTCTTTTACCTGTGAGCCACCGGCCCAGACAGTGGCCGCTCACCCTCAACAGGAAACACAAAACTGACTATGTTTACTGATTTATTATAAAGGATTTTTTTTTAAGACAGAGTCTCGCTCTTTTGCCCAGGCTAGAGTGCAGTGGTGCGACCTCGGCTCACTGCAACCTCCGCCTCACAGGTTCAAGTGATTCTCCTACCTCAGCCTCCCGAGTAGCTGGATTACAGGTGCCCGCCACCACACCCAGCTAAATTTTGTATTTTTAGTAGAGATGAGGTTTTATCATGTTGGTCAGGCTAGTCTTGAACTCCTGACCTCAAGCGATCCTCCCACCTCGGCCTCCCAAAGTGCTGGAATTACAGGCATGAGCCACCGTGCCCCACCTGAGCTTTATTTTTTGTAGTAATGAGGTCTCACTTTGTTGCCCAGGCTGGTCTTGAATTCCTGAACTCAAGCAATTCTCCGGCCTCTCCCACCAATAAAGGATATTTTAAAGAATACAAATTCAGGCCGGGCATGGTGGCTCACACCAGTAATCCCAGCACTTTTGGAGGCCAAGGCAGGTGGATCACCTGAGGTCGGGAGTTTGAGACCAGCCTGACCAACATGGAGAAACCTCATCTCTACTAAAAATACAAAATTAGCTGGGCGTGGTGGCATATGCCTGTGATCCCAGCTACTTGGGAGGCTGAGGCAGGAGAATCACTTGAATCCAGGAGGTGGAGTTTGCAGTGAGCCAAGATCACGCCATTGCACTCCAGCCTGTGCAACAAGAGCGAAACTCCATCTCAAAAAAAAAAAAAAAAAGAATACAAATAAATCACAGCCAAATAAAGAGATACATAGGGCAAGGCATGTGGGAAGGGGCCTGGAGTCTTCATGCGCTCTCTGGGTGCACCACCCTCCAGGAACCCCCATGTGTTCGGCTACCCAGAAGCTCTCCAGACTTTATCCTTTTGGGGCTTTAGGGGGGCTTCATTATGTAGGCATGATTGATTAAATCATTTGCCCTTGTGGATCGACTTGACTCTCAGCACCCTCTCCCCTCCCAGGTGGTTGGAGGGTCCCAACCCTCTAAACCTACCTTAGTCTTTCTGGTGACCAGCCCCATTCGGAAGCTGCCTAGGGACTGCCAGGCATCAGTCAACTCATTAGCATACAAAAAGACACTTTAGTACTTTAGAGATTCCGAGGATATTAGGAGTTGTTTGCCAGGAAAGACCAATTATATATTTCACAGTATCACACCCCTACAAAAACCTTACACAAACTATTATAGGATCTTTATTCATAATATCCAACAACTAGAAACAACCAAGATGTCTTTCAACCAGTGAATGGTTATACTGTTTGGTACATCCATGCGATGGAAAAGTATCAGCAATAAAAGGAATGGGCAGGGCACGGTGGCTTACGCCTGTAATCCCAGCACTTTGGGAGGCTGAGGCAGGTGGATCACGAGGTCAGGAGTTCAAGACCAGCCTGGCCAACATGGTGAAACCCCGTCTCTACTAAAGATACAAAAAATTAGCCAGGTGTGGTGGCACGCACTTGTAATACCAGCTACTCGGGAGGCTGAGGCAGGAGAATAGCTTGAACCCGGGAAGCAGAGGTTGCAGTGAGCCAAGATCACGCCATTGCAGTCCAGCCTGGGTGACAGGGCAAGACTCTGTCTCAAAAAAAATGAATGAACTATTGATATACTGTTAGCTATTGATATCTCCACAGAATTTTGCTGAATGACGAAAGCCAGTCCCAAAAGGTACATACTGTACAATCTGATTAATATAACAGTCTCTCTTTTTTGTCCTTTTTTTCCTTTTTGTGGAGAACAGGGTCTCACTATATTGCCCAGGCAGGTCTCAAACTCCTAGGCTCAAACTATCCTCCTGCTTCTGCCTCCCTAAGAGCTGGGATTACAGGCATGAGCTGCCATGCCCGGCAAATAAAACTTTTTTTTTTTTTTGAGACAGGGTCTCACTCTGTCACCCAGGCAGAGTGCAGTGGCACGATCTTGGCTTACTGCAACCTCCGCCTCCAGGTTCAAGCGATTTTCCGGTCTCAACCTCCCGAGTAGCTGGGAGTACAGGTGCGTGCCACAACACCTGGTTAATTTTTGTATTTTTAGTACAAACAGGGTTTCACTATGTTGGCCAGGCTGGTCTCAAACTCCTGGCCGCAAGTGATCCACCCGCCTCGGCCTCCCAAAGTGCTGGGATTACAGGTGACAGGCGTGAGCCACCACGTCCAGCCACAACATTCTTGAAATGAAAAAATTATAGTATTGGAGAACAGATTGGTGGTGCCCCAGGGTTAAGAGGGGAGTGATGGAGGAAGTGAAGTGGTTGTGTCTATTTAATGACAACATGGGGGATCCTTGTGGGGATGGAAATGCTCTGCATGTCAATATCCTGGGTATTACGAGATGTTACTACTGGGGACAAAAACTAGGTAAATGGTACATTGCATTTGAATCTACAATTATCTCAAAATATAAATTTAACTAAAAATAAATAAAAAAATAAAGAACATATAGAAAAAAATAGGATCCTCCTCCTTACCTCAAAAGATCTGCCAGGTTCTCCTGGAATCAGGGCAGGGAATCTCTGGGGTGATGTCCCATTAGCTGGCATGTTCACCCTGGGCCTCAGCCCACCTTCCGTGCTGGACAGCTGTCTGTGTGTAGAGGGTCCTGCAGCCTCCAGTAAGGGGTAAGGCTCAATGGCTCCACAGAGACACCAAGAAATCCTAAAAGGACAGTATCCATATCATCAGTGTCATCCCACATTCACGCCACAATGTTCAGCATCCCCAGAGCATGAGTCAAGGTGGATTACAAAATGATCAAATTTGGGGCCAAATTAATGAGCTTGGGGTCCCTTCTTGAGTGGCTCTACCAGGTGCTTCACTCGCTACTCAGCCAGCCTACACCTCAGTTCAAGTTCAAGGCAGATCTGGGTTTAGGAGAAGTAGAACTGGGGCAGTGCTTAAGGGTGCTTAAGGCCCATGGGGTGGGCAGGTTCAAGGGGACCTGGTGGGTGACTGTGAGGGCAGGAAACCTGGAAAGCTGATAATCTAAATGAAAGGAAATCGGCTGGTCCTTTCTTCTGCCGTCTTTTGTTTTTTTCCACTCTTAGATGAAATATCCCTCTTAAATTCTTTTACTGGGAAGCTTTTAGCCTCTTCTTTCCAGAAAAAAATGGTTCAATCTTAATAATGTTATGTATTTTTTCTTTTTTTTTTTTTTTTTTTTGAGATGGAGTTTCACTCTTGTCACCCAGGCTGCAGTGGAATGGTGCGATCTCAGCTCACAGCAACCTCCGCCTCCCAGGTTCAAGGGATTCTCCTGCCTCAGCCTCCCTAGTGGCTGGGATTACAGGCGCCCGCCACCACGCCCAGCTAATGTTTGTATTTTTAGTAGAGACGGGTTTTCACTATGTTGGTCAGGCTGGTCTCGAACTCCTGACCTCAAGTGATCCTCCCGCCTTGGCCTCCCAAAGTGCTGGGATTACAGGTGTGAGCCACTGCACCAGGCCTAATGTTATGTATTACATCAACAAATTACAGAGGGAAACACTCTGCTGTTAACTTACACCAAAAAAGCATCCAACGCAATTCAGCAGCCATTACTAATATAAGCTCAAACTAAAATCATGGAAAAAGTAAATAACTTAAGTGCCACAAAAATCAATTATGAAACATAACTCTGAAACACCATGCTAAAAAGTAAAATGATGAAGCTATTGCCACAAAATTAGTACTGTCTGCTATAACCCAAAATTGTTTTGTGGGCTCTAGCTCACACAAGAGAAGATGAAATAGAGTGGGCTGGGCACAGTGGCTCATGCCTGTAATCTCAGAACTTTGGGAGGCCAAGACAGGAGGGTTGCTTGAGTCCAGGAGTTCGAAACCAGCCTTGGCAACAAAGTGAGACGCTGTCTTTACAAGAAATAAAATAATCCGAGTGTGGTGGTCCACACCTGTAGTGCCAGCTACTAAGGAAGCTGAAGCAGAAGGATAGCTTAAGAAGCCTGAGAGGTTGAGGCTGCAGTGACCTCTGATGGCGCCACTGCACTCCAGCCTGGGTGACAGAGCAAGACTTTGTCTCTAAAAGAGAAAGAAAAAGAAAGAGAGAAAGAGAGAAAGAAAGAAAGAAAGAAAGAAAGAAAGAAAGAAAGAAAGAAAGAAAGAAAGAAAGAAAGAGAGGAAGGAAGGATGGAAGGAAGGAAGGAAGGAAGGAGGGAAGAAAGGAGAAAAGAAGAGAAAAGAAATAAATAATCAGGCCAGGTGCAGTGGCTCACGGCTTTAATCCCAACACTTTGGGAGGCCAAAGCAAGAGGATCCCTTGAGCCCAGGTGTTCAAAACTAACCTGGACAACATGGCAAAACCCAGTATCCTTAAAAAACAAACAAACAAACAAAAACACACACACAGAGTTGCAGTGCATTGAGATCACTCCACTACACTCCAGCCTGGATGACAGAGTGACACTTTGTTTCTATTAAAGAAAAAAAAAAGAGGCCAGAGGAGGCGGCTCACGCCTGTAATCCCAGCACTTTGGTAGGCCAAGGCAGGCTGATCACCTGAGGTCAGCAGGTCAGGAGTTCAAGACGATGGTGAAACCCCGTGTCTACTAAAAACACAAAAATTAGCTGGACATGGTGGCACACACCTGTAATCCCAGCTACTCAGGAGGCTGAGGCAGGAAAATTGCTTGAACTCGGGAGGCAGAGACTGCAGTGAGCCGAGATCACGCCACTGCACTTCAGCCTGGGTGACAGAGCAAGACTCCACCCCAAAAACAAAACAAAACAAAACAAAAAAAAAAAAAAAGAAAAAGAAAAAGAAAAAAAGGCAGAAAGAAAAAAGAAAATAATAATTAGGGTGAACATGAACATTGGGAAGAAATGAAAACGAAAATGTAGCTTTCTATCCAATAAGATGATTTTATACATGGAAAACCTACCAGACTGCTAAAAGACTACTAAAATTAATAGGGTATAATATAATGTAAGGGGCTGGATACAAGGTAAAATTACAAAAGCAGATAGTTTCTTTTCTTTTTTTTTTTTTTTTTTTTTGAGACGGAGTCTCACTCTGCCGCCCAGGCTGGAGTGCAGTGGCACGATCTCGGCTCACTGCAACCTCTGCCTGGGCTCAAGCGCTTCTGCGATTCTGCTGCCTCAGCCTCCTGAGTAGCTGGAATTACAGGTATGCACCACCACACCCAGCTAATATTTGTATTTTTAGTAGAGATGGGGTTTCACCATGTTGGTCAGGCTGATCTCAGACTCCAGACCCCGTGATCCTCCGACCTCGGCCTCCCAAAGCGCAGGGATTACAGGCATGAGCCGCCGCACCTGGCCAAAAGCAGATAGTTTCTCTCTATAATAACAATGAGGCAATGGAAACAAAATTGCATAAATAATGATAGCAAAAACTATATAAAATACGTAAGTGTAAGTATAACTTTTTTTTTTTTTTGAGACAAGGTCTCCCTCTGTCACCCAGGCTGGAGTGCAGTGGTGCAATCACGGCTTTCGGAATCAGGCAATCCTCCCACATCAGCTTCTGGAGTAGCTGGGACTACAGGAACGCTCCACCACGCCCAGCTAATTTTTCTTACTTTCTTTCTTTCTTTCTTTTTTTTTTTTTTTGTACAGACGGGGTTCTCCCTGCGTTGCCCAGGCTGGTCTCGACTCCTGGACTCAACCGATCGCCATCCTCGGCCTTCCAAAGTGCTGGGATTACAGGAGTAAGCCACCGCGCCCAGCCAGAATAAACATTTTAAGGAGGTGGGCCTATACGATTACAAAAAGAAAAAAATTTTGACTAATATAAAATAGTCGGCCTGGGGCAGTGGTTCACGCCTGTAATCCCAGCACTTTGGGAGGCTGAGGCGAGTGGATCGTTTGAATCCAGGAGTTGGAGACCAGCCTGGGCAACATGGCAAGACCACCATCTCCACTAAAAATATAAAAATTAGCTGGGCGTGGTAGCGTGCGCCAGTAATCCCAGCGACTCGGGAGGCCGAGGCACGAGAATCGCTGGAAACGGAGGCGGAGGTTGTAGTGAGTGGAGATCGCGCCACTGCCCTCCAGTCTGGGCGACAGAGCGAGACTCCGTCAAAAAAGAAAGAAAGAAAGAAAGAAAAGATGGTGTATACAAAATATTCTTGATTGCAGCTAAAGAGATTCTTAAGGAAAAACGCATGCTCTTAAAAATTTTTTTAACAAAGAAAGGCTGAGCATTAATGAATTAACATCCAATTTAAGAAGTTAGAGAAAACGGTACAGATAAGAGCAGAAATTAAAGAAATAGGAAACGAAGGTACATCAGAAGAGATCTGTGATCAGAGGAGCAACAAGGTCAAAAGTTGTTTTTTTGGAAAGGCTAATAAAATTAGCAAACCTCTGGGAATACTGATAAAGGAAAAACCTAAAGCGCACACTATTAAGGCTGGACATCAAGACACAGCAGGGAATCTAAAACCTGACTACTCCAGAGGCCCTCATCCCTGACACTCATAGATTCCCATTCATTAGGTTCTTTATTTCCCCACCAATTGACACCACAACTGCCAATGCATCATCCCCCGAAGCCAACAAAACCTCAAAATCACCTGAGCGACTATCACGCCATAAAACCTCGTGCACTGCATTTAGCATCGCGCGCCAAGAAGACTTAAACGGCCTCTGAGGGGGATTTCCGTTTCCTGTCCTCACCCCTGACACTGCACCTTCTAGGGCTGTTGATTTTGCACACGATCATTAGGACTGAGAGATTGTAGTCTACTCACTGAACACAGCGCTGTTACGGATCGGCGGAGACTTGGTCCATGAGTGGCGTTGTCAGGCGAGGAATATGGCTGCGCTATGTCGTGTCTCTTGGGAGCCGCCATCTTAGCACCCATTCCGTACAGTGGGCTGTTCCACAGAAGGCGGGGGCGAGAGGGCGTTCACGGGTAGAATCCCTCTAAGGGCAAGATTCTGGGAGAAGCTGGTCTTTGGAACTCGGTTCTATAAGTTTGGGCAAAGTTTAAAGAAGCAGAGGTGCGCCTCCTACCCAGGGAGGAGGGGGGCGTGTTCTGATGCTCAAGGGAGACACCACTGGGCAAGAGGGGGAAGAAGTCAGGGTGGTACAATCCCCCCCTTGGCGATACCACTGGGAAGAGGAGGAGTAATCAGGTTAACACAGGTGCCCGTCGTGGGCGATACCACTGGAGAAGAGGGGAAAGGAGTCAGGGTGTACAATCTCTCGATGTGCTGCAGTTACCATGGAGAAGACTTGAATTCCCCCCATCTCCGTTACCCTCCTTGCCCCACTACAATGATAGTAGTTAGGAATAATAGCCTTTGATATGGACAACCAATGGTTTGTTTGTTTGTTTTTCTTTTCTTTTTTGAGTTTCACTCTTGTTGCCCAGGCTGGAGTGCAATGGCACGATCTCGGCTCTCCACAACCTCCGCCTCCCGGGTTCAAGCGATTCTCCTGCCTCAGCCTCCCGAGTAGCTGGGATTATAGGCATGCTCCGCCACGCCCGGCTAATTTTGTATTTTTAGTAGAGACGGGATTTCTCCATGTTGGTCAGGCTGGTCTTGAACTCCCGACCTCAGGTGATCCGCCTGCCTCAGCCTCCCAAAGTGCTGGGGTTATAGGCGTGAGCCACCGTGCCCGGCCATGGGCAACTAATGTTTTTTTAGCAAATTATCAATAGAAAAATGCTTAGAGGCCTGGCGCGGTGGTTCATACCTCTAATCCCAGCACTTTGGGAGGCTGAGGTGGGCGGATCACTTGAGATCCAGAGTTCGAGACTAGCCTGGGCAACATGATGAAACTCGTCTCTACTAAAAATACAAAAATTAGCCAGGTGTGGTGGCACACGCCTGTAGTCCTAGCTACTCAAGAGGCTGAGGTGGGAGGATCGCATCAGCCCAGGAGTTAGAGGCTGCAGTGAGTTATGATTGCACCACTGCACTCCAGCCTGGGTGACAGAGTGAGACCACATTTCAATTTATTTTAAAAAAAGAAAAATGCTTAGAAAACAGCCAGGCGCGGCCAGGCGCGGCAGCTCATGCCTGTAATCCCAACACTTTGGGAAGAGGGTGCAGGAGGATCGCTTGAGGTCAGGAGTTCAGGACCAGCCTCAGCAAAATGGCAAAACCCTTCTCTACCAAAAATACAAAACTTAACGGGTGTGGTGGTGTGCATCTGTAGTCTCAGCTACTCAGGATGCTGAGGTGGGAAGATGGCTTGAACCCAGGAGGCAGTGGTTGCAAGTGAGCAGAGATCGCACCACAGCACTCCATCCTGGTCAACAGAGTGATACCCTGTCTAAAAAAGAAAGGAAAGGAGAGGAGAGGGGAGGGGAGGGGAGGAGGCCTGGCGCCATGGCTCACACCTGTAATCCCAATACTTTGGGAGGCCAAAGTGGGTGGATCACCTGAGGTCAGGAGTTCGAGACCAACCTGGCTAACATGGTGAAACTCCATCTCTTGTATTAGTAAAATACAAAAATTAGTCGGGCATAGTGGTGCGTGCCTGTAGTCCCAGTGACTCAGGAGTCTGAGACAGGAGAATAGCTTGAACCCGGGAGGTGGAGGTTGCAGTTAGCCGAGATCACATCACTGCACTCCAGCCTGGGTGAAAGAGCGAGACTCCATCTCAAACAAACAAAAAATGTTATTGATCTTGGCTGGGCGCGATAGTCCACGCCTGTAATCCCAGAATTTGGGGGAAGGCCGAGGTGGGCAGATCACTTGAGACCAGCCTGGGCAACATACCTTGTCTCTGCAAAAAATAAACAAAATTAGTTGCGCATGGTGACGCGCACCTGTAGTCCCAGCTACTCAGGAGGTGAGGAGGTGGGAGGATCTCTTGAGCCTGGGAGGTCCAGACTGCAGTGAGCCATGATCGCACCACTGCACTGCAGCCTAAGGGACAGAGCGAAACACTGTCTCAATCAGTCAAATGGTATTGATCTTGATTACTGAGTTTTTTTGGTACCCCCTTACATTTTACACTTAAGGCGAATGCCTCCCTCACCTTACCCTAGTCCTAGCCCTGCAGAGAAACCTTGTTATCTAAAATCATAGACTATCGGAAAATTTCCTGTTTGAAATAATATCAATAAGAATAAAACCTCCTACTCTTCCCTGGAGGATCTAAGTTACTTTGACACAGAGAAACAGCCTTGATTTCTGACCCAGGTGCAGAGCTTCAGATAATGGGTATCTGAAGCCAAAACTTCACATCTATGTTTAGTGTTTTTTTTTCTTTTCTTTTTTTTCTGAGATAGGGTCTCACTCTGTCACCCAGGCTGAAGTGCAGTGGCATGATCACAGCTCACTGCAGCCTCAACCTCCTAGGCTCAAGTGATCCTCCCACCTTAGCCTCCCAAGTAGCTGACAGACTACAGGCACACGCCACAACGCCCGGCTACCTTTGTTCATTTTTTGTAAAGACAAGATATTACTGTGTTGCCCAGGCTGGTCTTAAACTCTTGGGCTCAAGGGATTCACCCACCTCAAGTGCTAGGATTACAGGCCTGAGCCACTGCACGCAGCCTATCTTTTGTGGGTTTTTTTGAGACAGAGTCTCGCTCTGTTGCCCAGGCTGGAGTGCAGTGTGTGATCTCCACTCACTGTGACCTCCGCCTCCCGGGTTCATGCGATTCTCCTGCCTCAGCCTCCCGAGTAGCTGGGATTACAGGCATGTGCCACCACACTCAGCTAATTTTTGTATTTTTAGTAGAGACAGGGTTTCATCAAGTTGGCCAGGCTGGTCTCCAACTGCTAACCTCAGGTGATCCAACTGCCTCAGCCTCCCAAAGTGCTGAGATTACAGGCGTGAGCCACTGCGCCCAGCTTCTTTTGTGTTTCTAAAGAAAAAGGACCCTAGGTCTGCTTCACAGTCTGAACCTAATGTTAATCCTTTTCCATACCAACCTCCTTTGCTTTGGGCTTGTCAAAACACTGCTTCATTTAAACTTTACCTAAACTCCACTCCTATATCCTATACTAATCCCATTTCTTCCTTTGTTCATTGACACTAAGGTGATCAACCAACTCTGTTTGCCCAGGAATAGGGTTTACTGGGACAAGGGCATTCAGTACTAAAAGCAGGAAAGTCCTGGGCAAACTGGAACAAGTTAAGTTACCTTAGGTGAGACATCCCCACAGTTCCTGTGGGGCGTGGTCTTCCTTGCCGCAGCAGGTTAATAAACCCATCTCTTTTGCGACTATGGATGTGACCTTGGTAGTCTTTATCAAGGTCATTAATGTTGGAAGAGTTCACAGAGGTGAAGTTTGAGATCAGTCCTAGTATGTATTGACGGTGGAAAAATGAATAGGCCTGATTCAGGCTTCAGGTCAGCGGGGTATTGCTGGGGGAATAGTTAAAGGCTGAATGCTAAGCTGCAGAAAGGCAGTGATGGTGGAAGAGTTATCAGAGCACTAGATTGAGGTCAGACTAAATACTGCTGGGAAGCCGGGCGTGGTGGCTCACGCCTGTAATCCCAGCACTTTGGGAGGCCGAAGCGGGCAGCCTGGCCAACATGGTGAAACCTTGTCTCTACCAAAAAAACAAAAATTAGCTGGGTGTGGTGGCTCACGCCTGTAATCTCAGCTACTCGGGAAGCTGAGACAGGAGAATCGCTTGAACCCGGGAGGCAGAGGTTGCAGTGAGCCGAGATCGCGCCACTGCACACCAGCCTGGGCGATAGAGCGAGACTGTCTCACCAAAAAAAAAAAAGATGGGGTTTAAAGTTGGTCCAGAAGTGGTGAAAATGTTAACAGGGGCCCAGATTTTAGATTTTGACAAGGGAGTTATTGACGGTGGATTAGATAACAAATGACCAAGTTCGAGGTCCAGCCAGATGAGCAGTGGTGGCAGCAGAGTTCATAGAAACCAGCAGTTTGAGATTTCTTGTCTAGACCAAATCTGGGGAGTTGTAGACAGATGGTGCAGCTGACCAGTGGCTGCATCGGGGAGGTGGGATCTGGTTCCTGGTGGCCAATGGGATGAAGTAGCAGCCTGTTCTAGGGAGAAGCCCCTGTTGCTATGTGCAGGGTGAAAGGGACCTGAGTTGCTATAAATAGTTAGCCAATGAATGCACGAGAAGATGGGCTTTAGTCTCTTCAGCCTATGGCAGTCATGGTAAACTGTTACTAGGTAGTAACTAACCCCGTTGCCATGTGAAGCGAGGCAGCCAAAGCCTAGCTTGAGAAGCTGTGGACAGAAGGCGCAGTTAGCTAATGGCTGAATATAAGAAACAGGCTCTGGTCTCCCAGGTCAATATGAGGCTGCCTGATCTGTAAATCAGCAGAAGTCCCCATTGTCCAGTGCAAGGAAGGGGCAGGACGGACATAGCCTGACGGGGAGGGTGCAGGTAAATAGCACAGCTGGAGGTATTTGAAGTGGGTGGGGGCACAGCCCGAGGTTGCTTTGGAGAGATGGTGCAGCTAGCCAATGGCTCTGTGTGGGAGGCAAGCTTTAGTCTCCATGGCCAATGAAATGCGAACATCCTTGTCACTAGGCGAAATAATTTTGCGGTTCAAATTACATCATTAAGAATGAAGCATCTTAATGCCTGAGAGACTAAATCACTTTGACACAGAACAGGAGCCTCAATTTCCAACCCAAGTGGAAGACAGGGAGGAGATGTAACATGAGAGGTTGCAGACAGATGACACAAAAAGGAAAAGAAATAAGTTAAATTAACTTTAATAACATACTTTGTTTGAACTACATTAACCAAACATTCTTATTTCAACAGGTAATAAATTTTTAAAATTACCTAGATATTTGGCATTCTTTTTGTGGTAATAACACTGTGAAATCAGATGTGTATTTTACACTGACAGCACATCTCAATTTTGAAAGCTAAATTTTCATCAGAAATACTTGATTTGTACTTAGATTTCACAAAATTTAGTTGAAAACATAGGTTAACATTCCTGGCGTGGTGGCACACGCCTGGAATCCCAGCACTTTGGAAGGCCGAGGTGGGTGGATCACCTGAGGTCAAGAGTTTGAGACCAGCCTGGCCAACATGGAGAAACCCCGTGTCTACTAAAAATACAAAAAATTAGCCGGGTGTGGTGGCATGTGCCTGGGAGGTTAAGGCAGGACAATCGCTTAAATCCGGGAGGTGGAGGTTGCGGTGAGCCAAGATCATGCCATTGTACTCTGGCCTGGCAACAAGAGCGAAACTCTCTCAAAAAACAAAAACAAAAATATTCACAAGTGGCCAGGCACAGTAGCTTATGCCTGTAATCCCAGTACTTTGGGAGGCCAAGGAGGGAGGATTGCTTAAGGCCAGCAGTTCCAGACTAGCCTGGGCAACACAGTGAGACCCTGTCTCTACAAAAACTAAACAAAATTAGCTAGTCATCGTGGTGCTCCCCTGTGGTTCCAGCTACTCAGGAGGCTGAGGAGGGGAGATGGCTTATGGCCAGAGGTTCCAGGCTGCAGTGAGCTATGATTGTGCCACCATACTCCAGCCTGGGCAACAAAGAAAGATCCTGTCTCTAGAAATAAATAAACAAACAACAACAAATTCACAAGTCATTCCAAATATACTTTAAAAGTTTTCCAATAATTTAATTATCTATTTTATTGTGTGTGTGTTAATTTTTTTTATTTTTTACTTTTGTGGGTACATAGTGGGTGTGTGAGTATCTAATTTAAATGTTAAATTAACTAAAATGAATAAATTTAGAAATTCAGTTCCTCAATCTGATTAGCCTCATAGTTTTTTGTTTTGTTTTGTTTTGTTTTGTTTTTTGTTGGAAACAAGGTGTTGCTCTGTCGCCCAGGCTGGAGGGCAGTGGTACAATCATAGCTCACTGCAGCCTCGATCTCCTGGGTTCAAACAATCCTTCTGCTTCAGCCTCCCAAAATGCTGAGATTACAGGCATGACCACTGTACCTGGCCTCATTAGCCTCAAGTGCTCAATAACCATGTGGCTATTTCGGCCTTATCTGATGGCACAATTCTAGACAACATGACTTTTTTTTGAGACAGGGTTTCATTCTGTCACCCAGGCTGGAGTGCAGTGGCATGACCACAGCTCACTGCAGCCTTGACCTCCCAGGCTCAGGTGATCCTCCCATCTCAGCCTCCTGAGTAGCTGCTACTACAGGTGCAAGTCACCACACCCCAGCTAATTTTTGTAGAGACAGAGTTTTGCCACGTTGCCCAGGCTTGTCTCAAACTCCTGGGCTCAAGTGATCCTCCCATATTGGCCTCCCAAAGTGCCAGGATTACAGGGGTGAGGCACCGCACCCAGCCTCAATAACATGCCATTGATGGTGATGGAGCTGAGTGATATTGTGGCATATATATTTGGTTTTGTCCCAGTTTCCGGACAAATGGCTCCAAAAACCCTTGGAATATCCAGAATGATAAGAGTGTCTTTTGCTTGTTAATGAGATGACTGGTGGCTGGGGGCCTCTAGATAGCTTCAGGTTGGGGGCTGAGCAACTAAATAGGGAGTTGGGACTTTGAGCCCCACCCCCAACCTCCTGGGAGGGGAGAGTGGCTGAAGATTGACTTGATCACCAATGGCCAATGGTTTAACCGATCATGTCTAGGTAATGAAGCCTCCATAAAAAACCAAAAGCATCAGCGGTGGCTCATGCCTGTAATCCAAACACTTTGTGAGGTCGAGGTGGGAGGATTGCTTGAGCCCAGGAATTCAAGACTAGCCTGGGGCCGGGCATGGTGGCTCACACCTATAATCCCAGCACTTTGGGAGGCTGAGGTAGATGGATTACTTAAGGTCAGGAGTCAAGACCAGCCAGGCCAACAGAGTGAAACTCCATCTCTACTAAAAATACAAAAATTATCCAGGTGAGGTGGCTCGTGCCTGTAGTTCCAGCTACTCAGGAGGCTGAGGCAGGAGGATCGCTTGAACCTGGGAGGTGGAGGCTGCAGTGAGCCGAGATAGCACCACTGCACTCCAGTCTGGGAAACAGAGAGAGACTCCATCAAAAAAAAAAAAAGAAGAAGAAGAAGCATAGGTCACAACCTGTGCTTGCCATTGGCATCTGAAGTTGGGGGAGGTTTTGTGATACTGAGCCCATGATACTGAGACCATCACCTGATGGTCACCTGACATTGCTGGTCCTAGGTGTGGGAGGAAAGCCTTCTCCTGCCCTGCTCATGCCTAACTAGCTGCCTACTATAACTCTAGGGGATCTGACTTCCAGGTAGGTAATGTTGGAATGGAATTGAATTAGAGGACACTGAACTGGTGTTTGCTGGAGAATGTGCCAGAAATTTGCTGGGGGGCAGGGGGCACTGGGGAACCTCCACACATCTGGTATCAGAAGTGCTGAGTGAGAGTGGAGTGTAGGAAAAGGAGACCAGTCACAGTGGCTGACTCCTGTAATCCCAGCACTTTTGGAAGCTGAAACAGGAGGATCACTTGAGGCCAGGAGTTTGAGACCAGCCTGGGCAACGTAGTGAGACCCCCATCTGATATGGTTTGGATCTGTGTCCTCTCCCAAATCTCATGTTGAATTGTAATCCCCAAAGTAGGAGGTGGAGCCTGGTGGGAGTTGATTGGATCATAGGGGTGTTCCTTCATGAGCGGTTTAACATCATCCTCTTGGTGCTGTTCTCTCGATAGTGAGTGAGTGAGTTATCAAAAGATCTGGTTATTTAAAAGTATGTAGCACCTCCCCCTCTCTCTTCCTGTTGCAGCCATTTAAGTCGTGCCTGCTTCCTCTTCACCTTCTGTCATGATCGTAATTTTCCTGAGCCCTCCTCAGAAGCTGGGCAGATGCCAGCACCATGCTTCCTGTATAGCCTGTGGAACCATGAGCCAATTAAACCTCTTTTCTTTGCCCAGTCTCAGGTATTTCTTTATTTTTACTGTTATTTTTTATTTTTAGATGGAGTCTCTTGCTCTGTTGCCCAGGCTGGAGTGCAGTGGCAAGATCTCGGCTCACTGCAAGCTCCGCCTCCCTGGTTCACATCATTCTCCTGCCTCAGCCTCCCGAGTAGCTGGGAGTACAGGCGCCCGCCACCACGCCCGGCTAATTTCTTTGTATTTTTTTTAGTAGAGATGGGGTTTCACTGTGTTAGCCAGGATGGCCTCGATCTCCTGACCTCGTGATCCGCCCGCCTCGGCCTCCCAAAGTGCTGGGATTACAGCGTGAGCCACCGAGCCCAGCTTTTTTTTTTTTTTTTTTTTTTTTTTGAGATGGAATCTCGCCCTGTCGCCAGGCTGGGGTGCAGTGGTGCAATCTCAGCTCACTGCAACCTCTGCCTCCCAGGTTCAAGTGATTCTCCTGCCTCAGCCTCCCGAGTAGCTGGGACTACAGGTGCGCTCCACCATGCCTGGCTAATTTTTGTATTTTTAGTAGAGACGGGGTTTCACCATGTTGATCAGGATGGTCTCCATCTATTGACCTCGTGATCTGCCCGCCTCGGCCTCCCAAAGTGCTGGGATTACAGGCATGAGCCACTGCACATGGCCCCAGGTATTTCTTTAGAGCTGTGCAAGAACAGCCTAATGTACCATTTCTTTTTTTTTTTTTTTTTTTTTTTTTGAGACAGAGTCTTGCTCTGTCACCCAGGCTGGAGTGCAGTGGCGCAATCTCGGCTCACTGCAAACTCTGCCTCCCAGGTTCACGCCATTCTCCTGCCTCAGCCTCCCCAGCAGGTGGGACTACAGGTGCCCGCCACCACGCCCGGCTAATTTTTTTTGTATTTTTAGTAGAGACAGGGTTTCACCGTGTTAGCCAGGATGGTCTCGATCTCCTGAACTCGTGATCCGCCCGCCTCGGCCTCCCAAAGTGCTGGGATTACAGGCGTGAGCCACCGTGCCCGGCCCTAATGTACCGTTTCTTAAAAAAAAAATTAGCGGCTGGGCGTGGTGGCTCACGCCTGTAATCCTAGCACTTTGGGAGGCCGGGGCAGGTGGATCACCTGAGGTCAAGAGTTCAGGACCAGCCTGGCCAATATGGTGAAACACCGTCTCTACTAAAAATACAAAAATTAGCCAGGCGCGGTGGCACGTGCCTGTAATCCCAGCTACTCGGGAGGCTGAGGCAGGAGAATCGCTTGAACTTGGGGGGCGGAGGTTGCAGTGAGCCGAGATCATGCCATTTCACTGCAGCCTGGGCGAAAAAGCGAAATACTGTCTCAAAAAAAAAAATTAGCTGGGCGTGGTGGCATGTGCCTGTAATCCCAGCTACCAGGAGGCTGAGGCAAGAGAATCCCTTGAACCAGGGAGTTGGAGGTTGCAGTGAGCCGAGATTGCGCCACTGCACTCCAGCCTGGGACAGAGCGAGACTCCGTCAAAAAAAAAAAAAATTAGCTGAGCGCCTGTAGTCCCAGCTACTCAGGAAGCTGAGGTAGGAGGATCACTTGAGCTGGCAGCTGGGATGTTGAGGCTGCAATGAGCCATGATGGCACCACTGCACTCCAGCCTGGGTGACAGAGAGAACCTGTTACAAAAAAAAAAAAGAAAAAAAAGGAGTAGGAAAAGTACTTTTGGTTTTTCCTAAATCACATCAAGCTGAGAGAGACATGATTTTGTATTGTAGACCAGAGGACCATGAATGATAAGAGTTAATAGAGGCCAGAGTTAAAGATGTATGAAAGATGGGTGAATTGCTGACAGAAGCCCATATTCAAGGACAGACAACAGTAGCATTGTGGGCTGGGTATGGTGGCTCACACCCGTAATCCCAGCACTTTCAGAGGCCAAGGCAGGAGGATTGCTTGAGGCCAGGAGTTTGAGATTACCCTGGCCAACATAGCAAGACCTTGTCTCTAAAAAAAAAAAAAAAAAAAAAAAAGGCAGGGAGCGGTGGCTCACGCCTGTAATCCCAGCACTTTGGGATGCCGAGGCGGGCGGATCATTAGGTCAGGAGATGGAGACCATCGTGGCTAACATGGTGAAACCCCGTCTCTACTAAAAATACAAAAAAAAATTAGCCGGGCGTGGTGGCGGGCGCCTGTAGTCCCAGCTACTCGGGAGGCTGAGGCAGGAGAATGGCGTGAACCCGGGAGGCGGAGCTTGCAGGGAGCTGAGATCATGCCACTGCACTCCAGCCTGGGCGACAGAGCGAGACTCCGACTCCAAAAAAAAAAAAGAGAGGCCGGGTGTGGTGGCTCAAGCCTGTAATCCTAGCACTTGGGGAGGCTGAGGCAGGTGGATCACTTGAGGTCAGGAGTTTGAGATCAGCCTGGGCAACATGGTAAAACTGCATCTCTACTAAAAATACAAAAATTAGCTCGGCATGGTAACGCATGCCTGTAATCTCAGCTACTCAGGAGGCTGAGGCAGGAGAATGGCTTGAACCTGAGAGGCAGAGGTTACAGTGAGCTGAGATCATACCACTGCACTCCAGCCTGGGGGACAAGAGCAAAACTCCATCTTAAAAAAAAAAAAAAGGCCAGGTGCGGTGGCTCATGCCTGTAATCCCAGCACTTTGGGAGGCCAAGGCGGGCAGATCACAAGGTCAGGAGATCAAGACCATCCTGGCTAACACAGTGAAACCCCTTCTCTACTAAAAATACAAAAATAAAATAAAATAAAATAAAACTAGCCGGGCGTGGTGGTGAGCCTCTGTAGTCCTAGCTACTGGGGAGGCTGAGGCAGGAGAATGGCGTGAATCCAGAAGGCGGAGCTTGCAGTGAGCCGAGATCGTGCCAGTGCACTCCAGCCTGGGCAACAGAGTGAGACTCAGTCTTAAAAAAAAAAAAAAAAAAAAAGAATAGGCATTGTTGATGGAATAATTAACAGAGGGTTTAAGGTCAGACCTGAGAGGCATTGGTGGTTAAAAAATAGAGATTTCCAGTCTGGACAAGATAACATAGACCTATTTCTCCCTGCTCCTTCCTGCTGAGCACAACTATCAACCCTGGAAATAGTACAAGAGACAACCAAAGGGAAACTATGCATGGCGGCAAGAAGAAACTGAACTCCTTGGCCAGGTGCAGTGGCTCACCCCTGTAACCCCAGCACTTTGGGAGGCTGAGGCAGGCGGATCACCTAAGGTCGGGAATTTGAGATCAGCCTGACCAACATGGAGAAACCCCATCTCTACTAAAAATACAAAATTAGCCAGAAATAGTGGCGCATGCCTGTAATCCCAGCTACTCGGGAGGCTGAGGCAGGAGAATCGCTTGAACCTGGGAGGTGGAGGTTGCGGTAAGCCAAGGTCGTGCCATTGCACTCCAGCCTGGGCAACAAGAGTGAAACTCCATCTCAAAAAAAAAAGAAAAAGAAAGTGAACTCATTTAGGATTCCAAGACTGGAGAAACAGCACTACTACAGGGCATCTTATGTCCCCCCACCCACCAGAAGAAGGCAACTCAAGCCCAGCATTTCGTGACCCTGATCCAAGCCATGGAAGGCAGCCCCGATAGGCTAGTTCCTCCCCTGGATGAAAGGGAAGTCCCTCTGATAACGTGAGGTAAACCCAACACCAACAGTGAGGGGGTGGATCGGGAACCCACTAACAATAAGTGGTCATGAAAAGTGCTGTCCTTCTCCACAGGGCCAGGGATAAGCCTCCCCAACAAGGGACCTCCCCCCGACCCCACCCTGCCCAGGCGGATAGAGACAACCTGTACTGCATCAAAAAGACACAGCCATAGCAAGAGGCCAGGCCTGGACAATCCCTTAACTTAGGTGCCTTGAAGACCAGAGACTCCCTTCTCCCAACAGGAAGCCTGGGACTAGTAGGTGAAACTGGCAGAAATGATATAACCACAGCAGGTGACCAGACTCAGAAAATCCCTCTCCTGCTCAGAGGCACCGGGGCAAACAGGCATCACCAGCAAGGGGACCCAACTACAACAAGCATCCTGGCCCAAGAAGCCCCACTGGCTTTGCAGGCCTGGGATTCTGCTTCCCTGCAGAGACACCTGGGCAGCCAGAAGGCACGGGTAGGGGGACCTCATCACATCGCCCCATCATCAAGAAACACCCGGAGGCCGGGCGCAGTGGCTCCCTCCTGTAATCCTACCACTTTGGGAGGCTGAGGCGGGACTATTGCTTGAGCCCAGGAGTTCGAGACCAGCCTGGGCAACATGAGGAGACCTTGCCTCTACCAAAAATTAAAAATTAGCCAGGCGTGACATCACATGCCTGTGATCCCAGCTACTCGAGAGGCTGAGGCAGGAGGATCACTTGAGCCCAGGAGGTCGAGCCTGCAGTGAGCCATTATCACGCCACTCTCCTTCATCCCAGGTGACAGAGTGAGACTCTGAGAAAGAAAGAAAAGAAAAGAAAGAAAGAAAGAAAGAAAGAAAGAAAGAAAGAAAGAAAGAAAGAAAGAAAAGAAAGAGAAAGACGTGGAGATCTGGCCTGAAGGAAAGAAAGAAAGAAAGAAAGAAAGAAAGAAAGAAAGAAAGAAAGAAAAAAGAAGGAAAGAAAGAAAGAAAAGAAAGAGAAAGACGTGGAGATCTGGCCTGAAAGAAAGAAAGAAAGAAAGAAAGAAAAGAAAGAGAAAGACGTGGAGATCTGGCCTGAAAGAAAGAAAGAAAGAAAGAAAGACGTGGAGACCTGGCCTGTAGAAATTTCCCCTGCTTCGTCAGGCAGCACCAGCAGAGACAAGTGGGAGCCTCAGAGGTACCAGATAGACCAAACAGACAAAAATAACACCACAAAGGCTCTGAAGACTAAACCGCCATTAGAAACACAGCAGAAAAACTAGGCCAAAACCTACATGATAAACCTAAATAGAGTGACTGCCTGCTAAAATAAGACTTAAATAGGACTCCGAGTCTCCTAACATAATAGACCAGGATGCACCTCAAAAAATTAAAAATAGGCCAGGCACAGTAGCTGACACCTGTAATCCCAGGACTTTGGGAGGCCAAGGAGGGAGTATCACTTGAGCCCAGGAGGTAGAGACCAGCCTGGGCAACATAGCAAGACCCTGTCTCTACAAAAAATACAAATATTAGCTGGGTGTGGTGGCACACGCCTGTAATCCCAGTTACTTGGGAGGCTGAGGCAAGAGGATCACTTGACCCCAAGAGGTGGAGGCTATAGTGAGCTGCGATTGATTGTGCCACTGCACTCCCGCCTGGGGGAGAGGGCAATATCCTATCTCACACACACAAAAAAAATTTAAATAGAATTACCATATGATCCAGCAATCTCCCTACTAGATACATAACCAAAGGAAATTATATAATGAACCTGGAGGACAGTATGATAAGGAAATAAGCCAGGCACAGAAAGACAAATATCACATGGTCTCACTTATGTGTGGAATCTAAAAAAGTTGAACTCATAGAAGCAGAGAGTAGAATGGTGGTTACTAGGGGCTGGGGGTGAAGGGGGTTGGAGAGATGTTGGTGAAGGATACAATATTTCAGTTAGGAATAAGTGAGATCTATTGTACAACACAGTGACTATAGTTAAGAGTAATGTACTGTACTCTTTTTTTTTTTTTTAAATAGATACAGGGTCTCCCTGTGTCTTTGGAGTGTAGTGGCGTAATCACGGCTCACTACAGCCTCGGTCTCCTGGGCTCAAGTGATCCTCCTGCCTCAGCTTCCTGAGTAGCTGGGAACACAAGTGTGCACCACCACGCCCAGCTAATTTTTTATTTGTAGAGATGAGTTCTTGCTATGTTGCCCAGCCTGGTCTCAAGCTCCTGGGCTCAAGTGATCTTTCTGCTTTGGCCTCCCAATGTGCTGGGATTACAGCCATGAGCCACCGTGTGCCTGGTGGTGTTGTATTCTTGAAAATTGCTGGTCGGGTGTGGTGGCTCACGCCTGTAATCCTAGCACTTTGGGAGGCCGAGGCGGGAGGACCACTTGAGCCCAAGACTTCAAGACCAGCCTGGACAACATGGAGAAACCCTGTCTCCACAAAAAATACAAAAATTAGCCGGGCATGGTGGCAGGTGCCTGTAGTCCCAGCTACTCAGGAGGATGAAGTGGGAGGATCACCTGAGCCCGGGAGGTCAAGGCTGAGATGAACCCAGATTGCACCACTGCACACCAGCTTGTGCAACAAAGTGAGACCCTGTCTCAAAATAAATAAATTAATTAATTAAATAAAATAAATTACTAAGGGAATAGATTTCAAGTATTCTCACAAAAACATGATAAATATGTGAGGTAATGCATGTTAATTAGCTCAATTTAGCCATTCCACAGTGTATATATATTTCAAAACATTATGTTGTACTATAGATATATATATATATATATATATACACACACAATTTTTGGCCATTTTAAAATTTTAATTAAAAACAAATCGCCAGAATACAATAGAAAATTACACATTATACTAAGAACCAAGAAAATCACAACTTGAATACGAAAAGATAACCAACTCACGCCAACATCAAGATGACTCAGATGTGCTCACTTTGGCAGCACATACGCTAAAACTGGAATGATACAGAGAAGATTAGCATGGCCCCTGTGCAAGGATGACATGCAAATTAAAAAAAAAAATTTTTTGTTTAAAGATGACTCAGATGATGGAATTATCTGACAAGGGTTTTAAAGCAGCCATCATAAAAAGTTTCAGCAATCAACTACAAATTCTACAAATTCTCTTGGAACAAATAAGGAAACAGAAAAATCCCAGCAAATAAATAGAAATTATTAATACAAAAAAATGGAAATATAGAACTGAAAAGTGCAATAACAGAAATAAAAACCACGGCCGGGGGCAGTAGCTCACACCTGTAATCCCAGCATTGGGAGGCCAAGGTGGGGAGCCCAGGTGTTAGAGACTAGCCTGAGGAAAATGGTGAGACCCCATTTCTATTAACAACAACAAAATTAAAAAAAAATTTTTTTAAATCTCACTGGGGCCTGGTGTGGTGGCTCACACCTGTAATCCCAGCACTTTGGCAGGCCGAACTGGGCAGATTACTTGAGGTCAGGAGTTCGAGACCAGCCTGGCCAACATGGTGAAACCCTGTCTCTACTAGAAATACAAAAACTAGCCAGGTGTGGCGGAACATGCCTGTAATTCCAGCTACTTGGGAGGCTGAGGCAGGAGAATCACTTGAACCTGGGAGGCAGAGGTTGCAGTGAGCCAAGACTGCACCATTACACTCCAGCTTGGGCAACAAGAATGAAAATCCGTCTCAAAAAAAAAAAAAATCTCACTGGATGGGCTCAATAGTAGAATGGAGAAGACAGAAGATAGAATCAGTTAACTTTTGAAGACAGATCAGTAAAATTCACCCAATATGAATAAAGGAGTGAAAACTGACAGAAAATATTGAACAGAGCTTCGAAAACCTATGAGACAACAACAAAAGACCCAGTGCATTCGTTCGTTTTCTTTTTCTTTTCTTTCTTTTCTTTTTTTTTTTTTGAGACGGTGTTTCGTTCTTGTTGCCTAGACTGGAGTGCAATGGCGTGATCTCGGCTCACTGCAACCTCTGCCTCCCAGGTTCAAGTGATTCCCCTGCCTCAGCCTCCCAAGTAGCTGGGATTACAGGCATGCGCCATGATGCCTGGCTAATTTTGTATTTTTATTTTTTATTTATTTTTTTATATTTTTATTTATTTATTTATTTTTTGACTCTTGCTCTTTCACCCAGGCTGGAGTGCAGTGGCGTGATCTTGGCTCACTGCAAGCTCTGCCTCCCAGGTTCATGCCATTCTCCTGCCTCAGCCTCCTGAGTAGCTGGGACTACAGGCACCCACCACCATGCCCGGCTAATTTTTTTGTATTTTTAATTTTGTATTTTTAGTAGAGACATGGTTTCTCCATGTTGGTCAGGCTGGTGTCAAACTCCTGACCTCAGGTGATCCACCCGCCTTGGCCTCCCAAAGTGCTGGGATTAAAGGCATGAGTCACCACGCCCAGCCTTATTTGTTCATTTTCACACTGCTGTAAAGAACAACCTGAGACTAGGTAATTTATAAAGAAAAGAGGTGTAATTGACTCACAGTTCCAAATGACTGGGGAAGCCTCAGGAAACTTACAATTCAATCATGGTGGAAGGGGAAGGAGAAGCAAGGCACGTCTTACATGGTGGCAGGAGAGAGAGAGAGCACGCAAAGAGGGGAAGTGCTACACTTTTTAACCATCAGATCTTGTGAGAACTCACTCGTTATCAAGAGAACAGCATGGGGAAAATCTGCCCACATGATCCAATCACCTCCCACTAGGTCCTTCCTCTGAAATGTGAGGATTACAATTCTACATGAAAATTGGATGAGGACACAGAGCCAAACCATATCACCCAGTATTCATACCATGGAAGTCCCACAACAAAAGAAAGGCAATGAGGCCAAAAGAGAATTTGAAGAAATAATGAATGAAATGTCCCAAATTTGGCAAAGGACACAAACCTACAAATCCAAGAAGCAGAGGGAATCTCAAAGAGGATAAACTCAAAGAAGTCCATGTCTAGATATATTATAATAAAACTTTTGCCGGGCGTGGTGGCTCATGCCTGTAATCCCAGCACTTTGGGAGGCTGAGGTGGGCGGATCACCTGAGGTCGGGAGTTCAAGACCAGCCTGACCAATGTGGTGAAACCCTGTCTATACAAAAAATGCAAAATTATCCAGGTGTGGTGGTGCATGCCTGTAATCCCAGCTACTCGGGAGGCTGAGGCAGGAGAATCGCTTGAACCTGGGAGGCAGAGGTTGCGGTGAGCCAAGATGATGCCACTGCACTCCAGCCTAGGCAATGAGAACGAAACGCCATCTCAAAAAACAAAAACAAACAAACAAAAAAAAAACTTTTGAAAGCTAAAGAAAATGAAAATAACATGAAAGCAGCCAGAGAGAAACAAGCATTACTCATAGCAGAACATCAATTTAAATGTCAGCATTCTTCCTTTCCTGAGCAGGAAAAAAAAGGAAAAAAAAAGACAGGAGATTTCTCATCTGGAGGTCAGGAGGAAGTAGCATAACATTTTTCAAAGTGCTGGAAAGAAAAGAGCTGTCAACTACAAATTCTATATCTGGTGAAACTGTCAGGTAAAAAGGGAAATAAAGACATAGACAGGAAAACTTAATAATCTGTTGCTAGCAGGCCTACCCTTAACAACTGACTAAGGAAGTTCTTCAAAAAAAAAAAAAAGAAAAGAAAAGAAAAAGAAAATGAGAAAAGAAAGATTCAGCTAGGTGCAGTGGCTCACACCTGTAATCCCAGCACTTTGGGAGGCTGAGGCTGAAGGATTGCTTGAGGATAGGAGTTTGAGACTAGCTTGAGCAACATAGCAAGACCCCCATCTCTACAAAAAAATTCAAAATTAGCTAGGCATGGTGGTGCACTCCTGTAGTCTCAGTAACTCCAGAGGCTGAGGCAGGAGGACCACCTGGGCCCAGGAGTTCAAGGTTACAGAGAATTATAATGGCACCACTGCACTCTAGCCTGGACAACAGAGTGAGACCCTGTCTCAAAAAAAAGAAAAAGAAAAAGAAAAAGAAACAAACAAACAAAGGAAAAGAAGAAAAATTCTTGGAGCATCAGGAAGGAAAAACGCTCAATGAAAAGAGCAGAAATACGAGTGCATAAAATAGACTCTCCTTTGCCTCATGAGTTTTATATACCATATTTGATGATTGAAACAAAAATTATAATACCATTTGATACTAAAGCAATGATATTTAAAAGTGGGTTAGGTAAAGAACCTAAATGAAAGTGAGGTTTCCACATTTCACAGAAAGTGAGAAATTATTAGTACCTATAGGTTTAAAATATGAGGCCAGGTGTGGTGGCTCACGCCTGTAATCCCAGCACTTTGGGAGGCTGAGGTGGGTGGAACACTTGAGCTCAGGAGTTCAAGACCACCTTGACCAACATGATGAAACCCCATCTCTACTAAAAATACAAAAATTAGCTGGGCGTGGTGGTGCATGCCTGTAATCCCAGCTACTTGGGAGGCTGAGGCAGGAGAATTGCTTGAACCCAGGAGGCGGAGGTAGCAGTGAGCCGAGATTGCACCACTGCACTCCAGCCTGGGAGACAGAGTGAGATTCTGTCTCAAAAAACAAAAAAGGAAGAAACAAACAAATATATATATATATATATTCTGAATTCATACAAAACTCATACAGTAAATCTTAATCTCCAGAGCAATAGTATTAAGAGTTGGGCCTGTAGGAGGTGAATAGATTATAAAGGCTCTGCACTCATAAGTAGGATTTAGTGATGTGACCTTATGAAAGAGGCCTGAAGGAGCTTGTTGTCCCCTTCTGCCATGCGAGAAGACATAGAAGGCACCATCCATGAGGAATGAGTCCTCATTAGACACTGAATCTGCCGCCTCCTTGATCTTGGATTTCCCAGCCTCCAGAATTGTAAGCAGTACATTTCTGTTGTTTACAAATTACCCAGTCTATGATATTTTGAGAGAGCAGCCTAAACAAAGGAAGACAATAGGTGTTTCTTATTCAGATGCCATAAGGCCAACAGGTCAGTAGATAACTGCCATTGAAAAGATAGTTTGGCTGGTCACGGTGGCTCACACCTGTAATCACAGCACTTTGGGATGCCAAGGTGGGCAAATTGCTTGAGCCCAGGAGTTCAAGACCAGCCTGAGCAACATGGTGAAACCCCCACATCTACCAAAAAAAAAAAAAAATACAAAAATTAGCCAGGCATGGTGGCATGCACCTATAGTCTCAGCTACTCAGGAAGCTGAGGTGGGAGGATCACTTGAGCCCAGTAGGTGGAGGATGCAGTGAGCGGGAATTGCGCCACTGCACTCCAGCCTGGGAGACAGAGCCAGACCCTTAGAAAGAAGGAAAGAAGAAAGAAGGAAGGAAGGAAGGAAGGAAGGAAGGAAGGAAGGAAGGAAGGAAAGAAGGGAGGGAGGGAGGGAAAAAAGAAAGAGAGAGAGAGAAGGAAGGAAGGAAAGGAAGGAAGGAAAGAAAGAAAGAGAGAAAGAAAGAAAGAAAGGAAGGGAAAAAGAGAAAGAAGGAAAGAAAAAAGAAGGAAGAGTGGGGAGGGAAGGAAGGAAGGGAGGGAAGGGAGGGAAGGGAGGGAAGGAATCCTGGCTAACACGGTGAAACCCCGTCTCTACTAAAAATACAAAAAATTAGCTGGGCATGGTGGCAGGCGCCTGTAATCCCAGATACTCAGGAGTCTGAGGCAGGATAATCGCTTGAACCCCAGAGGCAGAGGTGGCAGTGAGCCAAGATCACGCCATTGCACTCCAGTCTGGGCACAAGAACGAAACTCCATCTCCACAAAAAAAAAAAAAGAGAGAGAGACACCAGGCCAGGCACGGCGGCTCATGCCTGTGATCCCAGCACTTTGGGAGGCCAAGGCAGGTGGATCACTTGAGGTCAGAAGTTCAAGACCAGCCTGGCCAACATGGTGAAACCCTGTCTCTACTAAAAAGTACAAAAAATTAGCTGGGCGTGGTGGCACACACTTGTAATCCCTACTAGAGAGGCTGAGGCGGGAGAACTGCTTGAACCTGGGAGGCACAAGTTGTAGTAAGCTGAGATCATGTCACTGCACTCCAGCCGGGGCAATAGAGTGAGACCCTGCCTCAAAAAAAAAAAAAAAAAGAAAGAAAAAAGGCCAGGCATGGTGGCTCACGCCTGTAATCCCAGCACTTTGGGAGGCCGAGGCGGGTGGATCGCAAGGTCAGGAGTTCAAGAATAACCTGGCAAACATGGTGAAACCTCATCTCTACTAAAAATACAAAAAATCAGCCAGACGTAGTGTCACATGCCTGTAATCCTAGCTACTCAGGAGGCTGAGGCAGGAGAATTGCTTGAACCCGGGAGGTGGAGGTTGCAGCGAGCTGAGATCGCACCACTGCACTCCAGCTGGGGCGACAGTGCAAGACTCTGTTTCAAAAAAAAAAAGACACCATAACATGCATCTCCATCTCTCTGTCTCTGGCAATGCAGGGTAAGAAGGTTTAGGATTAGCTTGTTTGAATAATTTCAGCATATGGGGCATAGAGACAGTTTCTAGTTGCCTGCCCCTGGCATGGTTAGGACAGAGGGATAGTGGCCAAGAATGTGACAGCCCCATAGAAGAGATGGTTGGGGTTACAGACTCTGGATTGGCTGGTTTGCATTTGAAAGGTACACCCAGGGACAAGTTGCCTACTATCTCTAGGAATTGGTGAAGCCTGGAAGGGACAGCTCCTCCATAGTCAGCAAAGCTCCAGATGGTAAAGGATCAGAAAACAGAAAGTAAAAGACACGGTTAATAGCAGGAAGATTACCACTATTTAAAAAAAAAAAAAAAGACACCGTTATTGACACAGTAGACTGAGCTGGGAGTGGTGGCTCACGCCTGTAAACCTTGCATTTTGGGAGGCTGAGACGGGTGGATTGCCTGAGGTCAGGAGTTCGAGACCAGCCTGGCCAACATAATGAAACCCTGTCTCTACTAAAAATACAAAAAATTAGCTGGGCGTGGTGGCGGGCGCCTGTAATCCCAGCTACTAAGGAGGCTGAGGCAGGAGAATCACTTAAACCCGGGGAGGCGGAGGTTGCATGAGCCGAGATCGCTCCATTGCACTCCAGCCTGGGGAACAAGAGCAAAACTCCTTCTAAAAAAAAAAAAAAAACACAGTAGACTGTGACAAGAGACTAAGAGACACATGCGTATTTTAATACCCAGAACAATCACTATGAAAACTATGCAAGGAAGAAGATACACTCGAAAACATTAAATAAATCAAAATAGAATTCTAAAAAGTATTCAAGTAACCCACAGTAAGACAAGAAAAACAAAGGACCAAGAACCAAAGAAAACAAACAGAAAACAAATAATAAAATGAAAAACACAAGTGTTGACATAGCAATAACTGCCTCAAATGTAAATGGTCTAAACATGCCAATTCAAAGACAGACATTTAGCCGGGCTGGGTGGCTCATACCTGTAATCTCAGCACTTTGGGAGGCTGAGGCAAGAGGATTGCTTGTGTCCAGGAGTTCAAGACCAGCCCAGATAACATAGCCAGACCTCATCTCTACAAAAAAATCAAAAAATTAGCCGGGTGTGGTGGTGCATACCTGTGGTCCCAGCTACTCAGGTGGCTGAGGTGGGAGGATCATTTGAGCCCAGGAGGTCGAAGCAGCAGTGAGCCATAATCACATCACGGCACTCCAGCCTGGGCAACAGAGCAAGACCTTGCCTCAAAAAAGAAAAAAAAAAAAAAAAAAGCTATACCATGCAAATATTAATGAAAAATAATGAAGTGGCTTTATTAAAACCTGATAAGGTAGACTTCAGAGAAAAGAAAATTACTAGAGAAAAAGAGAAATATTGCATAATGATAGAAGTACCAATCAATCCACCAGCAAATCATAAATATCCTAATTATTTATGCACTAAACAACAGAGCCTCAAAATACATTAAGCAAAAAATGATAGAGCTAAAAGGAGAAATTCTTATATCCACAATTATAGTTGGAAACATCAATACCCACTGCTCCCCATCTTATATAACTACTAGACATAAATCAGCAAGGTTATAGAAGATGTTCAAAACACAATCAGGTTGAGCTCATGCCTGTAATCCCAGCACTTTTGGAGGCCAAGGTGGGAGGATCCCTTGAGGTCAGGAGTTTGACCATCCTGGTCAACATAGTAAGACCCTGTCTCTACAGAAAAATTAAAAAATTAGCTGGGTGTGGTGGTGCACACCTGTAGTCCCAGCTACTCAGGAGGCTGAGGTGGGAGGATCACTTGAGTCTGGGAGGTCGAGGCTGCAGCAAGCCAGATTTCGCCACTGCACTCCAGCCTGGGCGACAAAGTGAGACCCTGACTCAAATAAAAAAAAAAAAAGCATAAATAAACTGGTAATTCAAAAAGTTCGCTCATGCCTGTAATCCCAGCACTTTGGGAGGCCAACATGAGCAGATCACCTGAGGTCAGGAGTTCAAGACCAGCCTGACCAACATGGTGAAACCCCGTCTCTACTAAAAATACAAAAATTAGCTGGGCATGGTGGCGGGCACCTGTAATCTCAGCTACTTGGAAGGCTGAGGCAGAAGAATCATTTGAACCTGGGAGGCGGAGGTTGCAGTGAGCCGAGATTGCGCCACTGCACTCCAGCCTGGGCGACTGAGTAAGACTCTGTCTCAAAAAAAAAAAAAGTTCAATAAAATTTATAATCCTCTAGGAAGACTGACAAATATTAAAAGACACAAATCACAAATATCAGAAATAAAATAGGGCTTATCATTGCTGATTCTGAAGACATTACAAAGATAATAAGAGAATAATACTACAAAACACGTTCTGCTCATAAACTTGATAACTTAGACAAAATGGACCAATTCCTCAGATATCCCAAACTACCAAAACTTAACTAAGATGAAGTAAATAATCTGAATGACCATTAAATAAATTTAAATGAATTTATAATTTAAAAGCTCAAAGAAATGAAATCTCCAAATCTAGATGGTTTCACTGGAGATTTCTACCAAACATTTAAAGAAGAATTAACAGCACTTTTACGTAATCACTTATAGAAAACAGAAGAGAACATTTCTCAACTCCTTTTATGACATTAGAATTACCCCGAGACAAAAACAGGCAATGCCAACTTTTTTTTTTTTTTTGAGATGGAGTTGCGCTCTGTCGCCCAGGCTGGAGTGCAATGGCAAGATCTTGGCTCATTGCAACCTCCGCCTCCCCAGTTCAAGCAATTCTCCTGCCTCAGCCTTCCGAGTAACTGGGACTACAGGTACCTGCCACCACACCCGGCTAATTTTTGTATTTTTAGCAGAGACGGGGTTTCACCATGTTGGTCAGGCTGGTCTCAAGCTCCTGACCTTGTGATCCACCTGCCTCAGCCTCCCAAAGTGCTGGGATTACAGGCATGAGCCACTGCACTCAGCCAATGCCAACATTAAACAATAAATCTGGCCGGGAGCGGTGACTCACACCTGTAATCCCGGTAGTTTGGGAGGCTGAGGTGGGCAGATCACCTGAGGTCGGGAGTTCGAGACCAGCCTGACCAATATGGTGAAACCCCGTCTCTACTAAAAATACAAAAATTAGTTGGGCGTGGTGGTGCACACCTGTAATCCCAGCTACTCGGGAGGCTGAGGCAGGAGAATCACTTCAAACCCGGGAGGTGGACATTGCAGTGAGCCGAGATCGCGCCACTGCACTCCAGCCCGGGTGATAGAGCGAGACTTCATCTAAAAAAAGAAAAAAAGAAAGAGAGAGAGAGAGAGAGAAAGAAAGAAAGAAAGAAAGAAAGAAAGAAAGAAAGAAAGAAAGAAAGAAAGAAAGAAAGAAATCTGCAAACCAATATCCTTTATGAACCCAGACACAAAAATCCTCAACAAAATATTAGCAAACCAAATACAACAATGTATTAAAAGAGCTATAAACCATGACCAAGTGAGATTAATTCAAGATATGCAATATTGGTTTAATATTGCATATTGGTTCAATATTGACAATCAATCAATATCATCCACCATATTAACAACCTAAGAAGAAAAATTATACAATCACATTAGTAGATGTAGAGAAGACATCTGAAAAAATCCAACACAAATTCTTGTTTTTTAAAAAATAGTCTCAGCAGCTGGGCGCAGTGGCTCATGCCTGTAATCCCAGCACTTTGTAAGGCCAAAGTGGGTGGATCACCTGAGGTCAGGAGTTCGAGACCAGCCTGACCAATGTGGTGAAACCCCGTCTCTACTAAAAATACAAAAATTAGCCAGGTGTGGTGGTGGGCACCTGTAGTCCCAGCTACTCAGGAGGCTGAGACAGGAGAATTGCTCAAACCCAGGAGGCGGAGGTTGCAGTGAGCTGAGATTGAGCCACTGCACTCCAGTCTGGGTGACAGAGCGAGACTCCATCTCAAAAAAAAAAAAAAAAAAAAGTCTCAGCAAGTTAGAAATAGAGGAGAATGCCCTCAACTTGATAAAGAGCATCTACAAAAAACCTACAGCTAACATCACATTATTGGTGAAAGACTGAATTATTCCCCCTAAGATAGGGAGCAAAAATGTCTTCTCTCACCATTCTTTTTCTTTTCTTCTTTTTTTTATTTTTTATTTTTATTATTATTTATTATTATTATTATTTTTTGACAGGGTCTCACTCTGTCACCTAGGCTGGAATGCAGTGGCGAGATTATAGTTCACTGCAGTCTTGACCTCTCAAGCTCAAGCGATCCTCCCACCTCAGCCTTCCCAAGTAGCTGGGGCCACAGGTGTGTGCCACCATGCCCAGCTGATTTTTGTGTTTTTTGTAGGGACAGGGTTTCACCATATTGCCCAGGCTGGTCTCCAACTCCTGGACTCAAGTGATCCTCCTCCTTGGCCTCCCAAAGTGCTGGGATTACAGGCATGAGCCATCACACCCGGCCTTCTCTCACCATTCTTATTCAACATAGTACTAAAAGTTCTAGTCACCATAACACAAGGAAGGTAATACAAGCATACCAATTGTAAAGGGAAAAATAAAACTGTCCCTATTTGTAAATGATATGATTATCTATGTAAAATATCCCAAGAAATCTACAGAAAAAAAAAAAGCCGACTAGAATTCATCAGGGAGCTCAGTGAGATTGCTGAATACAAGATCAACAAGCAAAAACAAGAAAGAGCTGGGTGTGGTGGCTTGCACCTGTAATCCTGGCTATTCCAGAGGCTAAGGCAGGAGGCTTGCTTGAGGCCAGGAGTTTGAGACCAGCCTGGGCAACATAGCAAGACCCCATCTTTACTGAAACAGAGTTGGCCAAGGATGGTGGCATGCATCTGTCGTCCCAGCTACGTGGGAGGGTCCCTTGAGCCCAGGAGTTCAAAGTTGCAGTAAGCTATGACTGTGTCACTGTACTCCAGCCTGGGTAACAGAGGGAGACCCCATCTCTAAAAAAAAAAAGATCAACAAGCAAAACAATCACACTGTATACTAACAATAAACATATAGAAACTGACATTTAAAATACAATACAACTTACAATTAGTCCTAAGAAAAGGAAATATGTGGGTGTACACCTAACAAAACTTACACAGGATCTATATGATGAAATTACGAAATCCTGATAAAATAAAAAAAGACTAAATAAATGGAGAGGCATGCTGTGTTCATGGATTGGAAAGCTCAACACAGTAAATATGCCCATTTTCAGGCTGGGCATGGTGGCTCACGCCTGTAATCCCAGCACTTTGGGAGGCCAAGGTGGCTGGAACTCCTGAGCTCAGGAGTTCAAGACCAGCCTGGAAAACATGGCAAAACCCCATCTCTACCAAAAAAAAAAAAATTAGCTAGGCATGGTGGCACATGCCTGTAGTCCCAGCTACTCAGAGGCTGAGGTGGGATGATTACTTGAGCCTGGGAGGTGGAGGCAGTGAATCGAGATTGCCCCACTACACTCCAACCCAGGTGACAGAGTGAGACCCCATCTCAAAAAAAAATGCCCATTTTCCCCAAAATTGGTACCTAAGTTTAATGCAATTCCTATCAAAATCCCAACAAAGATTTTTCACAGACATAGACAATAATTGTTTCAAATTAATACGGAATGACAAAGGAACTAGAATAGCTAAGGCAATTTTGAGATAGAAGAACAAAGTAGAAGGAATCATTCTATTCAGTATTAAAGCTTACGATATAGCCACATTAATCATGACAGTGCGGTATTGGTGGAGGAATTGGCACATAAATCAATGAAACAGAATAGAAAACCCAGAAGAAGCCCCACACAAGTATGGTTACAAAAGCAATATAATGGAGAAGGATAGACTTTTCAACAACTGGTGCTGGAGCAAGTGGAGATCCATAGGGAAAAACTGAGCCTCAAACTCAGTCACATCTTACACGAAAGTTAGTGCAAAATGTAAAACTATAAAACTTGTAGGAAAAAGGCATAGGAAAAAATTTTTTGGAATTTTGAGATGGGCAGAGTTCTTGGTTTTTGTTTTGAGATGGAGTTTTGCTATTGTCACCCAGGCTGGAGTGCAGTGGTGCAATCTTGGCTCACTGCAACCTCCGCCTCCCAGGTTCAAGCGATTCTCCTGCCTCAGCCTCCCGAGTAGCTGGGACTACAGGCGTACAACACCCCGCCCAGCTAATTTTTGTATTTTTAATAGAGACGAGGTTTCACCATGTTGGCCCAGCTGGTCTCGAACTCCTGATCTCAAGTGATCTGCCCGCCTCGGCCTCCCAAAGTGCTGGGATTACAGGCATGAGCCACCGCACCCAGCGGAGATGGGCAGAGTTCTTTTTTTTTTTTTTTTTGAGACGGAGTCTTGCTCTGTCGCCAGGCTGGAGTGCAGTGGCACGATCTCGGCTCGCTGCAACCACCGCCTCCTGGGTTCAAGCCATTCTCCTGCCTCAGCCTCCCGAGTAGCTGGGACTACAGACACGCGCCACCACGCCCAGCTAATTTTTTCTATTTTTATTAGAGACGGTGTTTCACCATGTTGGCCAGGATGGTCTTGATCTCTTGACCTCATGATCCACCCGCCTCAGCTTCCCAAAGTGCTGGGATTACAGGCATGAGCCACTGCGCCCGGCCCAGAGTTCTTAAACTTGACACCAAAAGCATGATCTATTAAAGGAAAACTTGATCAACTGTCCCTCATCAAAAATGTAAAACTTTTATTCTATAAAATCTCATGTGAAGATGGAAGGTGAAAAGACAAGTTACAGACCGGGAGAAAATATTGGCAAACTATACATCTTACAAAGCCATTACAAAGATAATAAGGAAATAATGCTATAAAACCCATTAGGCTCATAAACGTGTTTTGAGATATATACTTTGTGAGATATATTGCATAGATCTAATCACAGATATAGACATACAAATTTTAAAATGCCTATCATTTACCTGAACAAACTGTATTGGCAAACTATATATCTCACAAAGGACCACTTTCCAGAATATTTAAGGAACTCTCAAAACTCAGTCGGATAAAAACAAATAATCCAATTGGAAAATGGCCAAAAGACATGAAGAGATATTTCACTAAAGAGGGTATACAGGTGGCAAATAAGTACATGAAAAGATGTTCAACATCACTGGCCATTAGTGAAATACAAATTTTGACTACAATGAGATATCAGTATACATATACTGGAGCACCTGAAATAAAATATAGTGACACCAAATGGTGTCTAGGATATGGAGAAACTTGATCATTCTTAGATTGCTAGTGCTAATGCAGAAAGGTACAACCGCCCTGGAAAATGGTTTGGTAAGTTTCTTATAAAATTAAACATACAATGTAGCAGTTGCATTCTTGGGCATTTATCCTAGAGAAATGAAAATTGGCCAGGCGAGGTGGGTCATGCCTGTAATCCCAGCACTTTGGGAGGTTGAAGCAGGCAGATCACTTGAGCCCAGGAGTTCAAGACCAGCCTGGGCAGCACGTGAAACCCCGCCTCTACAAAAAAACTAAAAAATTAGCCAGGCATCGTGGCACGTGCCTGTGGTCCCAGCTACTCAGGAGGCTGAGGTGGGAGGATTGCTTGAGCCCAGGAGGTCAAGGATGCAGTAAGCCATGATGGAGCCACTCCTGTCACTCACTGCCCCAACGCTGCATACCTAACCCCACAGAGTCCATCACTCAGCCTACAGGATGCCAGAACCCCCAGCACTCAGGCCACAGACTTCCCCATCATTGTATTCATAGACTATATCATTACTTACCAAACAGACCCCACCACTCACCCCACAAACCCCCTTCAGGTCTCTCAGAGTCATAAGGACTTTCCTTATTTCTGGTACCTCAGTGTTAGCGTGGCTTTGTCGGTGGGTGGCTTCTAGGTGATGGGTGCCATCTCAGGTGGTTTCCATTTGGTACAACAGAAGCACACCCTCTGCCAACATGGTGAGGGGTAATCTGTTATACAGCAATACATGAGTAGGATACACACACACACCACATACACACACACACACACACTACACATACATATATATAAGGAAATGCAATCACAGATGCAGAAGGATATAAGGTCAATACTACATGTAACCAGGCAGTGGTTCATACTTGTAATCCCACCACTTTGGGAGGCTGAGGTGGGCAGGTTGCTTGAGCCCAGGAGTTCCAGACCAGCCTGGACAATATAGGGAGAACCCTGTCTCTACAAAAAATACAAAAACTAGTTGAGCTGGTACTCAGGAGGCTGAGGTGGGAGGATTGCTTGAGCTGGGGAGGTGAACGCTGTAATGAGCGGAAATTGCGCCACTACACTCCAGCCTGGGTGACACAATGGGACCCTATCTCAAAAGTAAATAAGAAGGGCCAGGCGCAGTGGCTCACACCTGTAATCTCAGCACTTTGGGAGGCTGAGGCAGGTGGATCACCTGAGGGCCAGGAGTTCGAGACCAGCCTGACCAACATGGTGAAACTCCGTCTCTACTAAAAATACAAAAATAGGGCTGGGCGCAGTGGTTCAAGCCTGTAATCCCAGCACTTTGGGAGGTCGAGACAGGCGAATCACGAGGTCAGGAATTTGAGACCAGCCTGGCCAACATGGTGAAACCCCGTCTCTACTAAAAATACAAAAAATTAGCCAGACGCGGTGGCAGGCGCCTGTAATCCCAGCTACCTGGGAGGCTGAAGCAGGAGAATCGCTTGAACCCGGGAGGCAGAGGTTGCAGTGAGCCGAGATCGCGCCACTGCACTCCAGCCCGGGTGACAGAGTGAGACTCTGTCTAAAAAAATAAAATAAAATAAAATTAGCCAGGCATGGTGGTGCATGCCTGTAATCCCAGCTACTTGGGAGGCTGAGGCAGGAGAATTGCTTGAACCCAGGAGGCAGAGGTTGCAGTAAGCTGAGATCACACCATTGCACTTCAGCCTTTTAAAAAGTTCTTATTATGGAAACTTAAAGCACATGAACCAAAGGTAATAAAAAGTATAACGAACTGGCTTGTAACTGTTACAAGTTTCAATAATTTTTATGAAAATGATCTTAAAATCCAACATATATCACGTATGTGTATAGACTTTTTATATCTCTATAATTGACTTTATGTGTTTTTAGAGTTTTATGTCTTTGAGTTCTCCAGACGTCACATTGTGAGACACAGTTCCAACACTCCAACCTCTGTCTACCCAACTCCATGCCCAACTCCACGCCCAACCCCACCTCACCCCACCCCTGGCTGCCACCTGCACTGCCCCCACACCTGAGCCCCACTTGCTGGAGAAGCTGCGCCTTGGGAGGCGTCACTGCGGACAGACGGACAGCCCCCAAGCACCCGAAGGAGCAAGACCCTCAAGGCCACCAAGGCCATATTGGCTGTGGACAAACTGAGACTTCACAGCTGCTAAGGAGGATGCGAAAGGCAGCAATTATATAAGCCAGGAGTGAGAGACGGGGCCAGATGTAAGGCAGAAGGGGTCTTTGGACAGCGAATCACCTAGACACTGGCTTGTGTCAGGAATGACGACTTCGCTCAGGTATAGGGGCAGGGGAAAGCCAAGTTGTGTCTATCTATGGGGTCACTAATAGAGAGTCTGCGGGGTGAGGAATGATGGGCGACTGGGGTGAGTGAGTGGGTGTGTCAGTTCCGTGTTTTGAAAAGCTTATTTCCTGAATTATTTTCCTGCGTTATATTACAAATGATATGTTGAGATATGGCTTTCTTTTCTTTTCCTTTATTTATTTAGGTGAGACAGGGTCTCGCTCTGTCGCCCAGGCTGCAATGCAGTGATGTAATCTCAGCTCACTGCAACTTCTGCCTCCCGGGTTCAAGCAATTCTCCTGCCTCAGGAGAACCATTTTTAAAATTTTTTAATTTTTATTTTTTTTGAGACGAAGTATTACTCTTGTTGCCCAGGCTGAAGTGCAGTGGCACGATCTCGGCTCACTGCAACCTCTGCCTCCCGGGTTCAAGCAATTCTCCTGCCTCAGCCTCCTGAGTAGCTGGGATTACAGGCACCTGCCACCACACACACTCAGCTAATTTTTTGTATTTTTAGTAGAGATGGAGTTTCATCATGTTGGCCAGGTTGGTCTCGAACTCCTGATCTCAGGTGATCCACCCTCCTCGGCCTCCCAAAGTACAGGGATTACAGGAGTGAGCCACAGCGCCTGGCCTTTTTTTTTTTTTTTTTTTTTAGACGTAGTCTCACTTTGTCGCCCAGGCTGGAGTGCAGTGGCACAATCTCAGCTCACTGCAACCTCCCCCTCCTGGGTTCAAGCGATTCCATGTTTCAGCCTCCCATGTAGCTGGAACCACAGGCACACCACCATGGCCAGCTAATTTTTTTTTTCATTTTTTGTACTTTTAGTAGAGACAGGTTTTGCCATGTTGGCAGGGCTGGTCTTGAACTCCTGGCCTCAAGTGATCCACCCACCTTGGCCTCTCAAAGTGCTGAGATTACAGGCATGAGCCACTGCACCCAGCCTCTTCGAAAAAATTTTTAAAATTAGCTGGGCTTGGTGTCAAGCACCTGTAGTCCCAGCTGCTCACCAGGCTGAGGTGGGAGGATCGCTTGAACCCAGGATGTTGAGGCCACAGTGAACCATCATTGCACCACTGCTCTCCAGCCTGGAGACAGAGCTAGACCCTGTCTCAAACAAACATTAAAAAATAAAATTTGGCCGGGAGCGGTGGCTCACGCCTGTAATCCCAGCACTTTGGGAGGCTGAGGGGGGCGGATCACCAAGTCAATAGTTCGAGACCAGTCTGGCCAACATAGTGAAACCCTGCCTCTACTAAAAATACAAAAAATTAGCTGGGTGTGGTGGTGTGCACCTGTAATCCCAACTACTCGGGAGGCTGAGGCAGGAGAATTGCTTGAACCCAGGAGGCGGAGGTTGCAGTGAACCGAGATTGCACCATTGCATTCCAGCCCGGGTGACAGTGGGAGACTCTGTCTCAAAAACAAACAAACAAAAAGCAATAATAATAATAATAAGTACAATTCAACTACTATTCCTACTGTATTAACACCTTTTTTTTTCTCCCGACCTCAGGTGATCCGCCCGCCTTGGCCTCCCAAGGTACAGGCATGAGCCACTGCATCTGGCCCTTCTCTTGTACTCCTTACTATCTGTATTTGTTCAAATTAATTCACTAATGACTTATCCATATTTATTGTCCAAAGGAAAATTATTTGAAATTATATATTTGGGCTATTGCTTTTTCAATTTTATAATTTAATCTCTTCTTTTATCTATTTATTCCTTCTGCTTCTTTTTTTTTTTTTCGACAAGGAGTCTCACTTTGTCGCCTAGGCTGGAGTGCAGTGGCTCGATCTCGGCTCACTACAAACTCCACTTCCTGGGTTTGAAGTGATTCCCCTGCCTCAGCTTCCCGAGTAGCTGGGATTACAGGCATGCACCACCACGCCCGGCTAACTTTTGTATTTTTAGTAGAGACGGGGTTTCACCAAGTTGGCCAGGCTCGTCTTGAACTCCTGACCTCAGGTGATCTGCCCGCCTCGGCCTGCCAAAGTGCTGGGATTACAGGCGTGAGCCATCGCGCCCCGTCCCCTCTTCCTTCTTGAATTGGATAGTCAATTCATTCATCATCACTTTTTTCTTGTTAAGGTAAGTTTTTGAGGCAATGATTTTTCTTGTTTCAATTTAGCTGTATCTTACAGATTCCACTAGGTAGTTTTTGTTTGTTTTTGTTTTTAAATTACAGACAGAGTCTCACTCAGTTGCCTAGGCTGAAGTGCAGTGGCTGGATTATAGCTCACTGCAGCCTCTACCTCCCAGTCTCAGGCCTTCCTCCCACCTCACCCTCCTCAGTAGCTAGGACTACAGGCATGCACCACCACGCCCAGCTAATTTTTAAAGTTTTTGTAGAGACAGGGTCTTGCTATCAATATAGCAAGCGTATGAAGTGGCATAGCTGGTCTCAAACTGTTGGCCTCAAGCAATCCTCCCACCTCAGCCTCTCAAAGTACTGGGATTACAGGCTTGAGCCATCAAGCCTAGCCTTTCTTTTTTAGTTTAAAAAAATAAAAAGTGCCAGGTGTGGTGGCTCATGCTTGTAATCCCAGCACTTTGAGAGACCAAGGTGGGAGGATCACTTAAGGTCAAGAGTTCGAGACCAGCCTAGGCAACATGGTGAAACCCAGTCTCTACCAAAAATACAAAACTTAGGCAGGCGAGGTGGCACACGCCTGTAGTACCAGCTGCTGGGGAGGCTGAGACACGAGAATCGCTTGAACCCAGGAGGCAGAAGCTGCAGTGAGCTGAGATAGCGCTACTGCACTCCAGCCTGGGCAACAGAGCGAGATCCTGTCTCAAAAACAAAGCAAAACAAAAAGCAAAAACAAAAAAACAGGCCTGGCGCAGTGGCTCATTCCTGTAATCCCAGCACTTTGGGAGGCCAAGGTAGGTGGATCACCTGAGGTCAGGAGTTCAAGATCAGCCTGGCCAACACGGCAAAACCCCATCTCTACTAAAAATACAAAAATTAGTCCGGTGTGGTGGTACGCGCCTGTAATCCCAGCTACTCGGGAGGCTGAGGCAGGAAAATTGCTTGAACCCAGGAAGCAGAGGTTGCAATGAGCCGAGATCGTGCCATTGCACTCCAGCCTGGGCAACAAGAATGAAACTCTGTCTCAAAAAAAAAAAAAAAAATTGTGCAGATAACCTTGGTTGATGTTTTAAACAATATATTGCTTTGAAAAAATCCCAAGCTTACAGAAAAGTCACAGGTATAGTACACATAACTTTTCTTTTTGAACTACTTAAAATTAAAGTGCTTGGTCACATACTTGGGTTAGAAAAAAAAAAAAATTAAAGGCCATGCATGGTGGCTCACGCCTGTAATGCCAGCACTTTGGGAGGCCAAGGGTGGTGGGGGGGTGGATCACGAGGTCAGGAGTTCAAGACCAGCCTGGCCAATATAGTGAAACCCCATCTCTACTAAAAATAACAAAAAATTAGCTGGGCGTGGTGGCGGGCGCCTGTAATCCCAGCTACTCGGTAGGCTGAGGCAGGAAAATCACTTGAACCCGGGAGGCAGAGGTTGCAGTGAGCCAAGATCGTGTCATTGCCCTCCAGCCCAGGCAACGGTGCAAGACTCCATCTCAAAAAAAAAAAAAAAAAAATTAAGTTGCTAACCTGATGCCTCATCAGCCCTGAATGCTTTAATGTGTATTTCCTACAAATGAGAACGTGCTCTTATATAACCAAAATACAGCCATCAAAATCAGGAAATGATGTAATATGTTGCTACCATCTAATCCTCAAACTCCATTCAAGTTTTACCACTTGTCTCAATAATATCCTTTCTAGTCGGGCACAGTGGCTCATGCCTGTCATTCTAGCACTTTAGGTGGCTGAGGTGGACAGATTGCTTGAGCCCAGGAGTTCCAGACCAGCTTGGGCAACATAGGGAGTCCCTGGCTCTACAAAATATATAAAAACTAGCTGAGCCTGTTGGTGTGAGCCTGCAGTCCCCGCTACTCAGGAGGCTGAGGTGGGAGGACCGCTTGAACCCAAGAGGTCAAGGCTGCAGTGAGCTGTGATTGTGCAACTGCACTCCAGCCTGGGCAACCGACGGAGAACCTGTCTTGGAAAAAAAAAAAAGTGAAGGCCAGGCCTGGTGGCTCACGCCTGTAATCCCAGCACTTTGAAAGGCTGAGGTGGGTGGATCCCCTGAGGTCAGGGGTTTGAGACCAGCCTGGGCAACATGGGGAAACCCTGTCTCTACTAAAAATACAAAACTTAGTCGGTTGTGGTGGTACACCCCTGTAATCCCAGCTACTTGGGAGGCTGAGGCACACGAATCACTTGAACCCAGGAAGGGGAGGTTGCAGTGAGCCCAGATCATGCCACTGTACTCCTGCCTGGGCGACAGAGCGAGACCTTGTTTCAAAATAATAATAATAATAATAATAATAATGTTATTATTATTATGATAAATTCACATGCAGTGGTAACAAAAATTATCTAGGGAGGACCCATGCACTCTTCACTCAATTCCCCAAATGGTAACATCCGGCATAACTATAGTACCATGTCAAAACCAGGATATTAACATTGCTGCAATCCAGAGCGTATTCAGATTTCACCAGTTTTGTGTGCACTTATGTGTGTGAGTTTAATTCCATTCAGTTATTTCACATGTAACCACTACCACATTCAAGACAGAGAAGGCTTCCATCCCCACAAAGCTCTCTTGTGCTACCCCTTTATAAATGGAACAGACACCTACCTTCTCCACCACCCTAATCCCTCGCAGCACCTAATCTCTATTTTCTTATTTCAGGGTTATTGTATAAAAGAAATCATACAATATGCAATTTTTTCAGATTGGCTTTTTCACTCAGCATAATCTCGTGGAAATCCATCCAAATCGTTGCATGTATCAAGGGTTTGCTCCTTTGTATTGCTGAGCACTGTTCCATAGTATGGACATATCACAGAGATAAACATTCATCCCTATTGTTGAAAAGGCATTTGGGCTGTTTCACTTTGTGGCTATTACAAATAAAGCTGCTATGAACATTCATGTACAGGGTTGTATTTTTTGTGATCCTCCCACCTCAGCCTCCAGAGTAGCTGGGACCACAGGCGCACAACACCATGTCTGGCTAATTTTCTTTCTTTTTTTTTTTTTAATAGAGACAGCATCTCGCCATATTGCCTACACTGGCCTCGAACTCCTAGGATCAAGTGATACTCCCACCTTGGCCTCCCAAAGTGCTGGGATTATAAGGGTGAGCCAGCACACACAGCCCTTAAAATATATTTTCATGTGAATATTTTTCATCTGTATATCCTTTTGGGAATTGTCTGTTCATCTCTTGTAGAGATTTTTTCATTGGATTTTTTGTTTACTATTGAATTTTGAAAGTTATTTATATATTCAAAATCCTAGTCATTCATAGGGTATGTAGTTTGCAGATGTTTTTCATCCTCTTAATGGGGTCCTCAGCAGAGCAAAAGTTTTTTAGTTTTTGTTTGTTTCTTTGTTTTGTAGAAACGGGGTCTCACTATGTTGCTCAGGCTGCTCTCAAACTCCTGGTCTCAAGCAGTTCTTCCTGGGCCTCCCAGTGTGCTACAATTACAGACATGAGCCACACCACACCTGGCCAAAAGTTTCAAATTTTGATGATGTCCAGTTAATCCAATTTTTTTATGGATCATGCTTTTGGTGTCAAGTCTAAGAAGTCTGCCTAGCTTGTGACCCCAAAGATTTTCTGCTACATTTTTTTTTCTAAAAGTTTGCAGGTTGACATTTTGCATTTAACTCTGATTCACTTTGAGGTAGTTTTTCTATAAAGTGTGCCCAAGGTTTTTTTTTTTTTCTTTGCCCGTGGATGTCCAATAGCTCCAGCTCCGTTTGTTGAAAAGACTGTATTTCCTCCATTGAATTGCTTTTACACCTTTGGTCAAAAATCTGGTGGCTAGGCTGGGTGTGGTGGCTCATGTCTGTAATCCCAGCATTTTGGGAGGCTGAGGCCAGCGGATCACTGAGGTCAGGAGTTCGAGACCAGCCTGGCCAACATGGTGAAACCCCATCTCTACTAAAAGTACAAAAATTAGCTGGGTGTGGTGGCACACGCTTGTGTAATCTCAGCTACTTGGGAGACTCAGGTGGGAGGATTGCTTGAACCCAAGAGGAGGCAGTTGCAGTGAGCCGAGATTGTACCACTGCACTCCAGCCTGGGAGACAGAGTAAGACTCCATCACACACACACAAAAAAATAAATAAAATAAAATTTGTGTGTGTATCTATTTTCTGAGCTCTCTATTCCATTCCACTGATCTAGATGTTTATTCCTTCACGAATACCACACCACCCAAATTACTATAGCTATACAGTAAGCCCTAACATCAAGTGGAGTGAGCCCACTCATTTTATTCTTCTTTTCCAAATTGTGTTAGCCATTCTAGTTCTTTTGCTTTCCATATTAATTCTACAGTAAGCTTGCTTGTGCCTACAAAAAAAACCTTGCTGAGATTTTGGTAGGAATTGCATTAAGCCTATAGATCCTCTTAGGAGGACTGACATCTTTATTGTATTGACTTTACTAACTCCTGGACATGGTATATCTCTACATTGATTTTGTCCTTTGATTTTTTGCATTGGCATTTTGCAATTATTATCATAAAAATTCTGTACAAACAAAAAATAATAATAAATAATACATTTTTTAAAAATTCTATACATGGGCTGGGCACAGTGGCTCATGCCAGTAATCTCAGCACTTTGGGAGGCCAAGGTGGGAGCATCGATTGAGTTCAAGACCATCCTGGGCAACATAGCAAGACCCCATCTCTACCAAAAAGTAAAAAAAAAAAAAGTTAGCCACACCTGTAATCCCAGCATTTTGAGAGGCCAAGGATGGACGGATCACTTGAGCCCAGGAGTTCGAGAACAACCTGGGCATCATGGCAAAACCCAGTTTCTACTAAAAACAAAACAAAACAAAAATTAGCGATGATCCACTCCTGTAGTTTCAGATACTTGGGAGGCTGAGGTAGGGAGAATTACTTAAGGCTGGGAAGTCAAGGCTGCAATGAGCCATGATTTTGCCATTCAGCAGCCTGGGTGACAGAGTGATACCCTGTCTCAAAAAAAAAAAAAAAAACTGTACACATTTTGTTAAAAATCTGTACATATTTTGTGCATTTTTTCTTTTGTTTTTCTGTGAGACAGTCTTGCTCTGTCACTCAGGCTGGAGTGTACCCAGGCAGGAGTAAGTGCAGTGGCACAATGTACAGATTATTATTATTATTATTTTGAGACAGGGTGTCCCTCTGTCACCCAGCCTGGATGCAGTGGCATGATCATGGCCCATTGCAGCCTCAACACCCCAGCCTCAAGTAAGTCTCCACACTTCATGGCTCACTGCAGCCCAGGCTAATTACCATTATTATTATTATTATTATTATTATTATTATTATTATTATTTAATTTTTTGTAGAGATGGGGTCTTGCTATGTTGCCCAGGCTCGTCTTGAACAGGGGATCCTTACACCTTGACCTCCCAAAGTGCTAGGATTACAGGCATGAGCCACTGTACCCTGCCACCTTCTGTATTTAAGTAAGTCTGGGGGAAATTTTTTGGTGAGACACTGGGTTGTCTTATGCTTGTTGGAGACAACTCTTTAAGGGCCTCAATTGCTAATGTCTCATCATGGGAATTTAAGAACTGCTAAGAAACATCTTCATCAGCCCCACGAAACCAGATGGCCACACAGACTCTAACATGGCAAATCTGAGGCTTCCTGGGGTCATAACTGGGATAGTGAGTTACAGATTCAGACCATGACTGGGTGTTGTGGCTTACAACTGTAATCCTAATGATTTGGGAGGCCTAGATGGGAGAATCCCTTGAGGCGGGGAGTTCAAGACCAGCCTGGGTAACATAGTGAGACCCTGTCTCTACAAAAAATTAAAAAATTAGCCAGCCATGGTGACATGTGCCTGTAGTCCCAGCTACTCTGGAGGCTGAGGTGGGAGAATTATTGCCTGAGCCCAGGAGGTCAAGGCTGCAGTGAGCCAAGGTCACACCACTGTGCCCCAGCCTGGGCAACATAGCCAGACCATGTCTCTTAAAAAAAAAAAAAAAAAAGGCCGGCGCAGTGCCTCAGCCTGTAATCCCAGCACTTTGGGAGGCTGAGGCGGGCGGATCAGGAGGTCAAGAGATTGAGACCCTCCTGACTAACCAACATGGTGAAACCCCGTCTCTACTAAAAATACAAAAATTAGCTGGGTGTAGTGGCACATGCCTGTAGTTCCAGCTACTCGGGTGGCTGAGGCAAGAGAATTGCTTGAACCTGGGAGGCAGAGGTTGCAGTGAGCCAAGATCGAGCCACTGCACTCCAGCCACTGCACTCCAGAGCGAAACTCAGTCTCAAAAAAAAAAAAAACTAGATTCAGGCCACTACATCTGCAAGACATCAGCATTTGAGAAATCGCTTGTCTCCATGGCCTGGCACTGGTTTTCATCCTGGTATTAGAAATGCATCAGTGCTCCCTGGGGAAGGGGCCAGTTTCACCAGCACCTGCCCCATGAGCTGTGAAAATGTGCATTCTAAGAAGGAGCCAGACAGGGCCCGAGACCCTCCGTGACCCATGGCCCGTGATAAAGGTGTTGGAACAATCGTGCCAATATGGCCACAGGAAGCATGATTGTTCTCTCCTTGCGCATTGCAGGGGCTGGAGGTTGAAGGTGTGACCTGTGCTGTTGTCCCAGGAGCCGGGGCTTTCTCAGAAGCCCTTTTCTTGTGATGCCCAAACAACCACGCAGAAAATGCTAATTGGTTACCCTCCAAAACAACAGTGAAAAATGATGCTTTAGGCTTCAATAGCCCCATCACAGCTTTCATCTCACCAAGAAACCCTAGGCCAAGCTTGTGCAACCCTCAGCCTGCAGGTCGTATGTGACCCAGAACGGCTTTGAATGTGGCCCAACACTTTCTTAAAATAAAACATTATGAGATGTTTTGTGGTTTTTTTTTGTTTTTTTTGTTTTGTTTTTTAGCTCATCAGCTATCATTAGTATTAGTGCATTTTACGTGTGGCCCAAAACAATTCTTCTTCCAATGTGGCCCAGAGAAACCCTGCCTGGGCTTTTCCGATTTAGCCCTCCCACATTTCCCAGAGCAGGACAGTCCCTCACACCAGTCTCAAAGGCCAGCAGGGCTTTTCCTCACAGACTGAAAGCTATGGTCACTAAAGTGTTCAGAAGTGATGATAACATAATCAAGACTCTTCCTTAGGGCTTGAGGGTTCCAGCAAACATCTCTGCCATCTGTCTGCCTGCTTTTTCTGTCACTTCTGAAATTCTGGTATCATGCCCGTGGTCAAAGCAACTAACTTCTGTGGCTACTAGAACTTTCTTCCTGCTTTTCTCACTCTGCACTTCCTGCTGCTGTCAATGAAACTCAGCTTCTTATTCCCAGGCACTCTCAGAGTGAGGATCCATAGGAGGCTTTGATTCTCAGGACAGATAACCCCATCTTTCCTCTGGTTCTGACCTATTTTTCTGTGTCCTTGTTACTGTGGTCATACCCAGAGAAGTAACATTTTGTCTTGAATTTGTAAAAATCTCTACCTTTCCCCACAAAGGGATTTCAGCACAGTGGCTATTTTAACAGATACCATGCAGCACGTACCACACGTTCCCTTCCTGAGTCCTTGAAAGTAATTTTCAGCTTTTGATCGGCTATATTGTTCTTCCCAGCTACATTTTGGGAAGTCCAGCAGAATAACTTGCTACTCTTTTAAAGGTCCTAATGATAAAACGAAACAAAACATCCCCTTTTTATCATCACCCACAAAGCCCTAATGCGTGCAACAAAGATTGTGAAACGTCCAGGGAACAGTTTGTGAGACAGAAAGGATGGCTTTGTTGATTAGCAAAAAGCTGGAACGTGGACACTGGCAACACAACAGGATTGGGACCCGCCTTCTTCAAGTGAAACAAAGTTGGAATTATTTTCAATTTTAATGTTAAACGGTTTTTTTGTTTGTTTCCAAATTATTTGAAAAGTTACTAATCCAAGCGTGGTATGAGTGGTATCATTTTGGTAACTAGATTAATGCACTACCAGATCCTAGAATTTCCCACTTTACCAAATAAAAGTATGTTCTGTGGAATTCTCCTAGACCAAGACAGGCTTTTCCCCTGAGCAATAGTGATAAAGTTGTCTAAATACATGAACTGGTGGCATTTTTCAAAAAGTAATAATGTTATAATCAAGAGGTGGTGTTGCTATGTTGCCCAGGCTGGTCTTGAACTCCCAGTCTCAAGTGATCTGCCAGGAGGCTGAGATGGGAGGATCATCTGAGTCTGGGAGGCCAAGGCTACAGAGAGCTGAGATTGCATTGCTGCACTCAAGCCTGGGTGACAGAGTGAAACCTTGTCTCAAAAACAAAACAAAACAAAACAAAACAAAACACTGCCACCATGCCTGCCTAATATTTTTATTTTTATTTTTGTAGAGATTGAAGGGGGTCTCACTATGCTGTCCAGGCTGATCTCAAACTCCTGAACTCAAGTGATTCTCCTGCCTTAGCCTCCTAAAATGCTGGGATTACAGGCGTCTTTAAGTGCTGGGGGTCGGCATATTTAAAATGAACACACTGCCTATAATCCCAGCACTTTGGGAGGCCAAGGCAGGTGGATCTCCTGAGGTCAGGAGTTCGAGACCAACCTGGCCAACATGGCGAAACCCTCTCTCTACTAAAAATACAAAAATTAGCCGGGCATGGTGGTGGGTGCCTATAGTCCCAGCTGTTTGGGAGGCTGAGGCAAGAGAATCGCTTGAGCCCAGGAGGCAGAGGTTGCATTGAGCCATATCGTGCCACTGCACTCCAACCTGGATGACAAAAGGGAGGCTCCGTCTGAAAAAACAAATAATTAATTAATAAAAATAAAATGAACACACTGTTTTAGTTTAACAGACTAAAGAGGTGCAACCGTATGGAATAAATGAGCCTGGACTTAGTCTTGTGTTTTAAAAAAGTTATAAAAGATGTATGGGAGCCGGGCGCAGTGGCTCATGCCTGTAATCCCAGCACTTTGGGAGACCGAGGGGGGCGGATCACAAGGTCAGGAGTTCAAGACCAGCCTGGTCAACATAGTGAAACCCTGTCTCTACTAAACATACAAAAATTTGCCAGGCATGGTGGCACATGTCTGTAGTCCCAGCTACTCGGGAGGCTGAGGCAGGAGAACCGCTTGAACCCGAGAGGTGAAGGTTGCAGTCAGCCGAGATCTCGCCACTGCACTCCAGCTTGGGCAACAAAGTGAGACTTCGTCTCAAAAAAAAAAAAAAAAAAAAAAAAAAGATGTATAGGACAACTGGGGAAAATTAAATATGGACTGGATATTAAGCAATATTAGGGAAGTATTTAGAATATTAGGGAATTATTTAGAATTATTTAGAATTGAAAGGTATTACTGTGTGCAGCTAACTTTCAAATGGTTTGGGGCTGGACGCGGTGTCTCACGCTTGTGATTCCAGCACTTTGGAAGGCCAAGGCAGGCAGATCACCTGAGGTCAGGACTCTGAGACCAGCCTGGCCATCATGGCATAACGCCATCCCTATTAAAAATACAAAAAATTAGCTGGGCATGGCGGCGGACGCCTGTAATCCCGGCTACTTGGGAGGCTAAGGCAGGAGAATCACTTGAACCTGGGAGGCAGAGGTTACAGTGAGCCGAAATCGCACTATTGCACTCCAGCCTGGGTGACAGAGCGAGACTCTATCTCAAAAAAAAAAAAAAACAAGAAAGAAAGAAAAATAAAAATAAAAAGGCCAAGTGCAATGGTTCACGCCTGTAATCCCAGCACTTTGGGAGGCTGAGTCAGGTGGATCACTGGAGGTCAGGAGTTCGAGACCAGCCTGACCAACATGGCGAATCTCCATCTCTACTAAAAACACAAAATTAGCCGGGTGTGGTGGCATGCACCCATAATCCCAGCTACTTGGGAGGCTAAGGCAGGAGAATCACTTGAACCTGGGAGGCAGAGGTTGCATGCAGTGAGCTGAGATTATGCCACTGCATTCCAGCCTGGGTGACAGAGCAAGACTCCATATTAAAAAAAAAAAAAAAAAAAGAAAGAAAAAGAAAAAGAAAAAAAGAAAAAATTATTAATGACTTGAAATCCTACCACTGTACAGTTAGCACTACACACACACACGTAATTCTACCAAAGTGGATCATAATATTTATGCTATTATAATGATTTTTCACAGCTATCTATTTTAATGTTATTTTGTTTTCTTTCCTCCTTCCACCTGGTAACCAGCTTCTGCATCCTGGTTTATGTTGTGAAAGGAAAATATCTTCAGCCCCTTCAAGCTGGTAACTGCTCAGGGCAAATCTGTCTCATTCTATTCGAAGTCATCCCTCTGCTCACTGAAATTAATGCATATTCTGATTGCCTCCTTTGGAAAGGCTTATCAGAAACCAAAAGAATGCAACCATTTCTCTCTCACCTGCCTGTGACCTGGAAGCCCCCTCCCAGCTTCAAGAGTTGTCCCTGTCTTTCTGCATGAAACTAGTGTACTTCTTACATATATTGACTGATGTCTCATGTCTCCCTAAAATGTATAAAACCAAGCTGTGTCCCAATCACCTTGGGCACATGTCATTAGGACTTCCTGAGGCTGTGTCATGGGCGCACTTCCTTAGCTTTGGCAAATAAACCTAAAATGATTGAGACTTGTCTTATCATTTTTCTCGATTGGCAATGTCCTTCCATGCCTTTTTCTGATAAGTTGCTGACATGTATTGAACATTTACTACAAAGCAAGGACCAGGACTTTACATACACACTATATTTTACAAAAACCCCATACTGTTATTATCTCCATGGTGTTGACAAACAGAGAAGCTAAGGAAATTTCTCAAGGGCACACAACCAACACATATGTGAACTGTTTTTGGTTGGGTTGTATTTTATATATATATATATATATATATATATATATATATATTTTTAATGTACTTTAACTTCTAGGGTACATGTACACAATGTGCAGGTTTGTTACATATGTATACATGTGCCATGTTGGTGTGCTGCACCCATTAACTTGTCATTTACATTAGGTATATCTCCTAATGCTCTCCCTCTCCCATCCCCCGGTTGGGTTGTATTTATTTATTTATTTATTTTGAGATGGAGTTTCCTTCTTGTTGCCCAGACTGGAGTGCAATGGCGCGATCTCAGCTCACCGCAACCTCCACCTCCCGGGTTCAAGTGATTCTCCTGCCTCAGCCTCCTGAGTAGCTGGGATTACAGGCATGTGCCACCATGCCTGGCTAATTTTGTATTTTTAGTAGAGACAGGGTTTCTCCATGTTGGTCAGGCTGGGTCTCGAACTCCCAACCTCAGGTGATCTGCCTGCCTCAGCCTCCCAAAGTGCTGGGATTACAAGCGTGAGCCACCGCGCCCGGCTTTTTTTTTTTTTTTTTTTTTTTTTTTTTTTTTGGACAAAGATGAGATCTCATTGTAAAACCCTAGTTGCTTTCTCACTCACATCTTGAAATTTTCTTTTCTTCAACTCATCTGGTATACAGGAAGTCCTCACTTAACATTCTCCATAGGTTCTTGGAAACTTTGAATTTCAGAGAAACAACATATAACAAAAACCAATCTTTCCATAGGCTAATTGACATAACAAGGGTTAAGCTCCTATGGCATATTTCTGATCACCAAAATATCACCAAACTTCTAAATAAAGACCCCCAAACACTTCTCATATCAAATACTGAAATAAATGTGAGCTGGCCAGGTGTGGTGGCTCACGCCTGTAATCCCAACACTTTGGGAGGCTGAGGCGGGTGGATCACCTGAGGTCTCACTCTGTTGCCCAGGCTGGAGAGCAGTGGGGTGATCTCGGCTCACTGCAACCTCCGCCTCTCCTGCCTCCCGGGTTCAAGCGATTCTCCCGCCTCAGCCTCCTGAGTAGCTGGGACTACAGGTGCCCACCACCACACCCGGCTAGTTTTTGTACTTTTTGTAGAAAAGGGATTCCACCATGTTGCCCAGGCTGGTCTTGAACTCCTGGCCTCAACTGATCCCCCTGCCTCAGCTTCCCAAAGTGCTGGGATTACAGGCATGAGCCACCACGTTTCGAATGAGTCAATACCCTAGAGGTAACTTCTTGCTGCTGATGACAACCTCCAAGTCCTCCCCCACCGTGCCCCCAGTGGGCATTAACAGTCTCATGGATGACAAATATCAGTGGGCAGGTCTCAGGGACTGTACGATCATGATCATCACCTCCCAAGACGCCAGTTCCTGCCTCAAGATGTCTCTGAAGGTCCTGGGTGGTGGTGGTGAATGTTGGCCATTCAGGCAGAGGCTTACCCATTCTTTCCTGGATGGGCATGAGAGGTGTGTGTTCCTGTATAAGAGCTACAGCTACTGTTTCCCGGCCGGCCTGTGAACCGCAGCCAGAACAGGTTGGCACTTGTGCGTGGGCCTGAAGGGTTAATGATGTCAGGGACCTGCTTGTCCCCAGGAGCAGGGAGGGATGCCTGGGAGGCAGTGTGGGAGGGAGGAGGAGGGAAGGACAGTGTCCTAAGGTGAAGGGGACAGCCTGAGGAGAGTGTGTAGGGATGTTTGTGTCCTGACCCTCATTGTCCCTTGTATTGTTTTCCCTTTCTCCTCAGCGGCCCCCAGCTGCTCTCCCAGCAGGTACCATGTCTCTCCTCTCAGTTTGCATGATCCGCCCAAGCCGACTGCAGAAGCCGACCACTGCTCGCGGCTCACTACGCGAGGACAGAGGAAGCCTCGAGACAAAGCTACTGAGCGGTGTGCGAGGGGCCAACGCAAGGAGCTCAGAATAAACTCTTGTGCGTCTCACCACCTGCTCTCCACCTCTAAATGGGACCAGGTGGCCACACGGAGGCTCAGACAGGGTCAAGAGTGCCATGCTGGCGGGGGTGGGGTGACGATGGGAGTGCTGAGAGTGGACTCAAATGAGGCATTCCCCTTGGTGGGTGGGCGTCTAATCGGTTGAGGGGCGCAAGCTTGGGCTTGGTGATCAGTCTAGGGACTGACATTAACACTACGCTTAGGCCTGGGATTTAGGGTCTTGTCCTGCAATCAAACAGCTTAAGTTCCTAAACTGGAATTTAGCTACAAGGAAACTCCTAGCAACAAGCCAGCCCCTTAGTTACAGTGGGGGCACTAGCAATGCAGGCCTCAGATCTCCCATGGGAACATTTGGCAGGTCACGCTGAGGCCTGGAGGTCACGATCAGAGACAGAATGCTCAGCAGAGTACATATGTGCTGGAGACTGGATCGTACCCAGGCCTGGCCAGGTGTGGTGAGGAGAATGGGATTCAGGCCTAGTGCATCCGGGGGAGGGGGAATCACGCAAGCCCAGGGGTGGGCGTGGCTAACAAGGAGCTGACTCTCGGGGGAGGGAGAGGCTAAACGTCATCCAACATGGCGGCGCCCGAGGAAGGCTACAGTGTGGGCGCCGCCATTTTGTTTGAGGTTAAGGCAAAGGATGCTGAAGGACGAGTAGCACCGCTGTCGGGAGGGCTATGTTCGTTGAAATCGCCCCCTACTCCCCTGGTCTACAACCGCAAATCCCCAGTGAGCTTGCCCGAAGGAGATTGTCAGCTTTCTAGATGGAGCCTATGGGAATTGTGCCAAGTTTAAGAACATGGTTAACTTAATAAAATCTCAATGGCAGACCATACTTTTAAAGAGAAGAAGGCTGGGCGCAGTGGCTCACGCCTGTAATCCCAGCACTTTGGGAGTCCGAGGCGGGTGGGTCACCTGAGGTGGGGAGTTCGAGACGAGCCTGACCAACATGGAGAAATCCCATCTCTACAAAAAACACAAAATTAGCCGGGTGTGGTGGCGCATGCCTGTAATCCCAGCTACTCGGGAGGCTAAGGCAGGAGAATCGCTTGAACCAGGGAGGCGGAGGTTGCAGTGAGCTGAGATTGCGCCATTGCACTCCAGCCTGGGCAACAAGAGCGAAACTCCGTCTCAAATAAATAAATAAATAAAATAAAGAAAAGAGCTTTTATATCAACAGGGAAACCAAGAAAGTATAAATTTAGAGATATACATATATAATTATATAAAAAGTAATCATTTTACATTTTTATATAATGTAAAGTGAACAATTACATTAAGAATCCCCTTGAGGCCGGGTGCCGTGGCTCATGCCTGTAATCCCAGCACTTTGGGAGGCTGAGGCGGGCGGATTACTTGAGTTCAGGAGTTCGAGACCAGCCTGGGCAACATGGCAAAACCCCGTCTCTTCTAAAAATACACAAATTAGCTGGGCGTGGTGGTGCATGCCTGTAATCCCACCTACTCAGGAGGCTGAAGTGGGAGGATCGCTTGAGCCCAAAAGGTGGAGGCTGCAGTGAGCTGAAATCATGCCACTGCACTCCAGACAGGTCAGGCCAAAAGCAAGTTAAGGAGGGCACTATATCTATCAATAAGTCAATCAATAGATCCATCGGTATAGATATACCAATGAAAAGCTATCATTTTCAAATTCTGGATGATGGCTTTCTGACTTGGGGCAAGAAGGTCAAGGCAGGCCTCCATGCAGAGGTGCTATTGGAGCAAAGACAGGAGGGAGCAGCAAGCCACCGAGGCACCTGGGAAAGAGCAAACACAAAGGCTTGAAGTGAGAAGTTACTGGGTGTAATAGGGGCATGGGGCTTGAGGGAAGTTGGAGGGGGGCGACCAGAAAGAGAGCAGAAAGACAGGATGTCGGAGATGACAGGGAATCAGATCTCAGGGTGAAGGGGCATGCAGGCTCACAACATACCTTCTCTTCAGCATCGTAAGCAGAGGCCCGTGTGCAGCTTGGGTCTCCTTGTAAAGCTTGAAGCTGGGTGGGGTTAAGGTGGTCGATCCTCTCTAGCAGTGTTCTGGGTGAACCTGGCTTGAGATGTGTAACTTTTGGTTAAATATTAGATTCAGAGTTAGAATAAGGACTGTATACAAAACGTTGAGTCTTAAAATTATTTGTTTTTTTTTTTTTTGGAAACAGGGTCTCATTCTATGGCCCAGGCTGGAGTGCAGTGGTGCAATCACAGCTTACTGCAGCCTCCAACTCCCCAGGCTCAGGTGATCCTCCCACCTCAGCCTCCCGAATAGCTGGGACTATAGGCACACACCACCACACCCAGCTAATTTTTGTATTTTTTAGAGAGACAGGGTCTTGCTATGTTGCCCAGGCTGGTCTTGAAGTCCTGGCTCAAGCAATCCTCTTGCCTCAGCCTCCTAAAGTGCTAGAATTATAGGCATCAGTCACTGTGCCCAGCCACAGCTTTATTTGTATTTATTTCTTTATTTTATTTTTATTTTATTTTATTTTATTTTTTGAGTCTTGCTCCATCGCCCAGGCTGGAGTGCAGTGGCGTGATCTCAGCTCACTGCAAGCTCTGCCTCCCGGATTCATGCCATTCTCCTGCCTCAGCCTCCTGAGTAGCTGGGACTACAGGCACCTGCCACCACGCCCAGCTAATTTTTTGTATTTTTAGTAGAGACGGGGTTTCACCGTATTGGCCAGGATGGTCTCGATCTCCTGACCTCGTGATCCGCCCGCCTTGGCCTCCCAAAGTACTGGGATTACAGGCGTGAGCCACTGCACCCGGCCTATTTCTTTATTTTTTTAAGACGGAGTCTTGCTCTTGTCGCCCAGGCTGGAGTCCAATGGCATGATCTCAGCTCACTGCAACCTCCACCGCCCGGGTTCAAGCGATTCTCCTGCCTCAGTCTCCCGAGTAGCTGGGATTACAGATGCGCACCACCATGCCCAGCTAAATTTTGTATTTTTAGTAGAGACAGGGTTTCACCATGTTGGCCAAGCTGGTCTCAAACTCCTGACCTAATGTGATCCACCCACCTCGGCCTCCCAAAGTGCTGGGATTACAGGCGTGAGCCACCGCACCTGGCCTGTTTGCTTGTTTTTGCTAAGCACTGGGTCCATGATGATTCCCAATTTACAGTTGAGGAAAATTAGGCCTGTAGTGCTGAAATACTCTGCATGAGGTCACATAGCTAGCAAGATGTAAAGCAGGGATTTGAACCCAGGTCTGACTCTACTAATCTATAAAGATGATAAAGAAATTCTAGGCAGAGTGAGTGGAGGGTGGGATTAGATTTGCTACCTTCTGTGATCTGTACACAGGGCAGGGGAAGAGAAGGTGGGCATGAGAGGCTTCAGAGCTGATGGAATTCAAGCTTTTCATTGAAGCCAATGGGAGGTTTGTTTCTTTTCTTTTCTTTTTAAAATTATTATTATTATTATTATTATTTTGAGACAGAGTCTCGCTCTGTTGCCCAGGCTGGAGTGCAGTGGCATGATCTTGGCTCACTACAACCTCTGCCTCCCAGGTTCAAGCAATTCTCCTGCCTCAGCCTCCGGAGTAGTTGGGATTACAGGCGCCTGCCACCACACCCGGCTAATTTTTTTTATTTTTAGTAGAGACAGGGTTTCAACATGTTGGCCAGGCTGGTCTCAAACTCCTGATTTCGTGATCCACCCACGTCGGCCTCCCAAAGTGCTGGGATTACAGGCGTGAGCCACCACATCCGACATCCGACCTTGTTTCTTTTCTTTTCTTTCTTTCTTCTTCTTTTTTTTTTTTTTTTTTTTTGAGACAGAGTCTTGCTGTGTCGCCCAGGCTGGAATGCAGTGGCACAATCTCGGCTTACTATATCCCCCTCCTCCTCCTGGGTTCAAGTGATTCTCCTCCCTCAGCCTCCTGAGTAGCTGGGATTACAGGCACGCACCACCACACCTGGCTAATTTTTGTGTTTTTTGTAGAGATGGGGTTTTGCCATGTTGGCTAGGCTGGTGTCCAACTCCTAAGCACAAGTGAGCCGCCCGTCTCAGCCTCCCTGTGTTGGGATTACAGGTGTGAGCCATGGTGCCTGGCCCAATGGGAAGTTTTAACTAGTGGGAATAACATAATCACGGTGTATTTCCAGCAGTCGCGTTGCAGTGTGAAGTGTACATTTAAGAAGGGGGAGAGAAGTGGGGATCAGATAGATATTTAGGATACTACTGCAGAAGTCCAGGTGCAAAATGTAATCAAGGCCTGAAGTAAAAATAGGGAACACTCTTAGCCAGGTTCCCTGTACTATGAGGCCCGCTGCATGCGCACCTCCTGGCCCATACACCCTGACCCCAGGGAAACCTTTTCTTGACAACTGGAACCAAGATCTTGGTGTTCTTTTGCAAAGTCAGAGCTTGTTAAATTGGAGTATAGGTTGGGCGTGGTGGCTCACACCTGTAATCCCAGCACTCTGGCAGGCTGAGTGGGGGGTGGATAACTTGAGCCCAGGAGTTCAAGACCAGCCTGGGCAACGTGGTGAAATGCTGTCTCTACTAAAAATACAAAAATTAGCTGGGCATGGTAGTGCCCGGTTGTAATCCCAGCACTTTGGGGGGCTGAAGCAGGAGGATTGCTTGAAGCCAGGAGTTCAAGACCAGCCTAGGCAACATAGTGAGACCCCTGTCTCTACAAAAATAAAAATCAATAAATTAATTTTTTTAAAAAGCAGTGAGCAGCTGGGCACGGTGGCTCATGCCTGTAATCCCAGCACTTTGGGAGGCCAAGGCAGCAGATCACCTGAGGTTGGGGGTTCGAGACCAGCCTGGCCAGCATGGTGAAATCCCATCTCTACTAAAAATACAAAAATTAGCTGGGCGTGGTGGCAGGCGCCTGTAATCCCAGCTACTTGGGAAGCTGAGGCAAGAGAGTTGCTTGAACCCGGGAGGTGGAGGTTGTGGTAAGCCAAGATGGTGCCATTGCACTCCAGTCTGGGCAATAGGGGGAGACCCCATTGAAAAAAAAAAAAAAGCAGTAAGCATGAGATGTGTCAGGGGGTTGAGAGACATTTGAAGAAAGTAAATCCTAGGGTTGGAGGACTGATAAGATGTAGGAACTGAAGATTACAGGGACAGTATCAAATCTGTTTTGAACAAGATGAGTTTGATGTATCTTTGTGACATCCAGATAGAGCTGTCCATCAAATAGTTATATAAAAGGGCTAAGGGCAGCATTTCCCAAAATGGTTGCCACAAAAGATAGTCCCCCAGGGCACCAGCAAATGTTAAAGGGAAAGCGGTGGGAGGGCTCTCCAGGGTCAAAAAAGTTAGGGAAAATTTTGGTTAAACAGGTGCAGAGCCTTTAAGATGCTAATATCTACTGGGAAATTCCAAGAGTAAGGGCATTCATTACTTATTTTTAGAGATTGTGTGTGTAGTGGGGGCGGGGTGTCTCACTTTGTTGCGCAGGCTGGTCTTGAACTGCTAGCCTCAAGCGATCCTCCCACCTCGACTTCCCAAAGTGTTGGGATTACAGGCATGAGCCACCATATCTGCCCCCTGAAAACTGTTTTGACCATGAACCGGTTTCTCTTTCCATAGAGTATCTAGGGGGACTCACGTTCCAAAGAACCGTTTCTGCAATGCTTGTTTTGAGCCTAGGAGAGAAAAGTGCATAACAGCATGGGGCAGCCCCTGCGTTACCATGGGAACAGAAGGCATGGCAGCAAGGAGATCAATAAACAGCCCCTGGAGTGAAAAGAAAGGAGGGCTGCAGACAAAGGCAGAAGCCGAGAGAAAGCCTAAGGAAGGCTGCCTAGATGGCTGGCCACCGCGCTTGGACGGGAGTCAGGAAACAAGAGCGTCTGGGAAGCTTATCTGTATGAAATCATTTTTTCCCAGGCCATTTTCCTCTTCATCGTTTATTCTTTCTGTTGATTTGTAAAACCTTTCACTGAAGCTTTTATCAGAAAAATGTACAAAGCAGCAGGACAGTAGCCATGGAAGCCAAAATCCACTAAGGAGTGGAGTGTGTAACCACTCACCTGCCAGGAAAAAAATATATACACAACCCATGGGTCCAACTGACCGAATTATTCCAAAGTGAATACACATTCCCCACAGTGACAATGCTTAGGTCAAGGAACAGAACATCACCAGCACCCCCGGAACCTCCCTTTGTGTCCTTCCCAAGCATTTGCTCCTACCCTCACTTGTTGCACCGTAGATTCATTTTGTCTGTTCTTTTTTTTTTTTTTTTTTGAAACGGGGTCTCCCAGGCTAGAGTACAGTGCAGTGGCGTGAGCTGAGATCACTGCAACCTCTGCCTCCCAGGTTCAAGCGATTCTCCCGCCTCAACCTCCTGAGTATCTGGGATTACAGGTCCATGCCACCACTCCCCATTAATTTTTTTTGTATTTTTAGTAGAGACGAGGTTTCACCATGTTGGCCAGGCTGGTCTCGAACTCCTGGCCTCAAGAGATCTGCCCGCCTTGGCCTCCCAAATTGCTGGGATTACAGGCATGAGCCACCAAGCCCAGCACTCCCTGTGCTTTTTAATGTATCCGTATAAGAAAATTTAGTTTTATGACAATATTGCCAGCAATACAAAGTATATTTTTAATCCAGACTCCTGAGGACAAGAATCTGAATTTATCCTGCATAGAAGATTAGAGAAGAAATAAACAAGTAACCATGTGTTAAAAGACATTTAGACATTTGGATAGTAACGTTGATTTAAATATAATTCTCTGGCAATGGAAAGTTGTTTTGTTTACAGCCCTTGAGGGTTTGCAAAAAGTCACTATGGTCGGGTGCAGTGGCTCACGCCTATAATCCCAGCACTTTGGGAGGCCGAGGCGGGAGGATCACCTGAGGTCAGGAGTTCAAAACCAGCCTGACCAATATGGCGAAAGCCTGTCTCTACTAAAAATACAAAATTTAGCTGGGCATGGTGGTGCGCGTCTGTAATCCCAGCTACTCGGGAGGCTGAGGCAGAAGAATCGTTTGAACCCGGGAGGTGGAGGCTGCAGTGAGTTGAGATCGTGCCACTGCACTCCAGCCTGGGCAACAGGGCGAGACTCTGTCTCAAAATAAATAAATAAGTAAATAAATAAATAAATAAATACTGATAAGATTCTAAGCTATAAGGCCTGTCTCATTGTATAAATTGTATGTGGAGGGCTCTAGCCAGGTGCCCTGGCAGCCTGGCATTTCTCCGCATAGGCTACAGAGTCAAAGCTTGGGAGCAGTCACCTGAATCCTGGTGGCATGCCCTGGCATCTTCGCCTGGAACACAGCAGTCCTGTGAAGAGCTATCACAAAGCTGTTTCTCATCTGCCTCCCTGGTTCTTTTTTTTGAGACAGGGTCTTGTTCTGTCACCTAGGCTGGAGTGCATGATCACGGCTCACTGCAGCCTTGACTTCCTGGGCTAAAGCAATCCTCCCACCTTGGCCTCCTGAGTAGCTGGGACTATCGGTGCATGCCACTACGCCTAGTTAATTTTTGTATTTTTTTGTAGACACAGGGTTTCACCATGTTACCCAAACCGATCTCAAATTCCTGGGCTCAGCTGGGTGCAGTGGCTCACGCCTGTAATCCCAGCACTTTGGGAGGCCGAGGTGGGTGGATCACCAGAGGTCAGAAGTTTGAGACCAGCCTGGCCAACATGGTGAAACCTTGTCTCTACTAAAAACACAAAAATTAGCCAGGTGTGGTGGTGGGTGCCTGTAATCCCAGCTACTCGGGGGGTTGAGGCAGGAGGACTGCTTGAAACTGGGAGGTGGAGGTTGCAGTGAGCCAAGATCACACCACTGCACTCCAGCCTGGGTGACAGAGAAAGATTCCGTCTCAGAAAAAAAAAAAAAAAAACTCCTGGGCTCAAGCGATCTACCTGCCTCAGCCTCCCAAAGTGTTGGGATTACAGGTGTGAGCCACTGCACCCAGCCTGTCTCTCTGGTTCTGATGACACAGGGGACTTTCTGCCTCAGCAGGCCTGCCCCTTAGGGTACAGTGGAAGATTTCACTGTAATTCTCAATTCCATTTTTTTTTTTTTTGAAACAGAGTCTTGCTCTGTCACCCAGGCTGGAGTGCAGCGGCACAATCTCAGTTCACTGCAACCTCTGCCTCCCGGGTTCAAGCAATTCTAGTGTCTCAGCCTCCCAAGCAGCTGGGACTACAGGCATGAGCCACCACACCCGGCTAATTTTTTGCATTTTTAGTAGAGACGGGGTTTCACCATGTTGGCCAGGCTGGTCTTGAACTCCTGGCCTCAAGTAATCCACCCACCTCAGCCCCCCAAAGTGCTGGGATTACAGGCGTGAGCCACCGCACCCAGCTGACTTCATTGTAATTTTTAAGACGGCTTGGCTGTAGTTTAGAGGAGGGTCATCCACAACAAAGTGAGCCACCATGCATGTTTTGTGTCATCTAGTTGAGTGTCATCCTCTGGGATGACACAATGACCTTGCTTTTACTGTGTGAACATAATAAATCCTTATGCGGCTGGGCAAGGTGGCTCACACTTGTAATCCTTAACACTTTGGGAGGCTGAGGCAGGAGGAATGTTTAAGTCCAGAAATTCAAGACCAGCTGAAGAAGCATAGCAAGACCCCATCTCTACAAAAAATAAAAATAGAATTGTCAGGCGTGGTGGCACATACCTGTAGTCCCAGCTACTCGGGAGGCTGAGGTGGGAGGGTCACTTGAGCCTGGGAGGTCGAGGCTGCAGTGAGCCGTGATTGTGCTACTGAACTCATGCCTGGGTGACAGAGTGAGACTGTGTCTGAAAAAAAATAAATAAAAATAAAAATGAGTTTGTTGTCTCCTTACCAGCTGAATCTAAAGAAATGTGACAAGCCAACTTTACTGTGCTGCTGCTTAACAACTGCTTGGCCGCTTGACAAATTGGCATCCAACGTGAAGCCAAGTAAGGTCACAATGTCTTTTTGGAGAGAAGACAGAGGAGCTCTGCAAGCCAAGTTAAGGGCAATGGGGAGACACCCCCCAACCCTGCCCCCCCCCCCCACCGCCCAGGTCTGATCACACATGCTTTCTTTCTCTTTTTAGGGCACTGCTACATGTAAAAAGCACTCATAGGGAAAACTCTACTACCATTTGTCACCAGTGGGTGAGTTCTCAGTGCAAGTGCCTCTACCCTCTGATGTCTGGAGCTTTCACTACATAGCTGATGTTCCGTTGGGTGGCAATTCAAAAGCATTAGTCTCGGCTGGGTGTAGCGGCTCACACCTGTAATCCTAGCACTTTGGGAGGATGAGGCGGGTGGATCACTTGAGGTCAGGAGTTCAAGAACAACCTGGTCAACATGACGAAACCCCGTTTCTACTAAATGTACCAAAAAATTAGCCAGGCATGATGATGGGTGCCTGTAATCACAGCTACTCGGGAGGCTGAGACAGGAGAATCACTCGAACCCGAGAGGTGGAGGGTGCAGTGAGCTGAGATCACGCCACTGCACTCCAACCTTGGTGACAGAGTGAGACTCCATCTCAAAAAAAAAAAAAAGCCTTAGTCTCACAGCCCGAACCAAGGTGTTGTCGCGCCTCCACCAGCAGGGGTAGCTGGTCAACCCCAACAAAATCCAGAGTCCTGCTTGCCAAGTAAAGTTTCTTATAGCGAATCTGCAGGGGTGGATTCAAAATACTCAGCTCTCTGGAAGCCAAAATGGGGAAAAGATGCTGTTTGTTACAAAGTAGAGAACTCTACATTTCTGATTCGGATGCCAGACCATTAGTCCATTAGTCTTTTGGTTACAGAGTCCCCATTACACTAGGCATTGGCCCCCACCTGCTCCTAATAGATTGACCACATCGAACCTGTGACACCCTCTCAGGTTCTCAGGGGTGCCTCACCATGGTTGATACTGTTACAGTAGGTAGTCAGGCAGACACGAGCAGGGCAGGAGCGCCCCCACCCCCACCCCCAGGAATGTCAGGCGACCATCAGGTGACAGTCAGGCGGTTGTTAAACTGTTTTTCTAAAATGGTAATTGGTTGAGGTTGGCACCAGGGAAAGGTGGTCTCCCAATAAATAGAAAACACCTGAAGCTGGTGAACAGCAGCTTTCTGATAAGATTCCAGGAGTTGGGCGAATGGGCTCAATCATGCGCACTAAGAGGCGGAGTTTAACTGGTATCTGACCTTTCGGCTGGTAAGGGAAGAATGCCTCAAGTGAGCTTGCGTACAACTCCAGTAAACACAGTGTGCATGTGGCCCCTTCTAGGTGCTGGCAGGCCACTGTGCATGGGGACAGCCCACCCCAAGGGAAGAATCATGGGAGAAGGGACGCAAGACCCTGGAAGCATGCTGAAGTATAAAACCCCAAGTCAAAGGTCAAACCATGCACTTGACTCTTTAGTCACCCACTTTGCCCTCTTCCAAGTGCACTTTACTTCCTTTTGTTCCTGCTCTAGAGCTTTTTAATAAACTTTTGCTCCTGCTCTAAAACTTGCCTCAGTCTCTCCTTCTGCTTTATGCCCCTCAGTTGAATTCTTTCTTCTTATGAGGCAAGGATTGAGGTTGCCGCAGACCCACACGGATTCGCCACTGTGAAGGATACTTGTTCAAACTGTGTTATGTTTTACTTGATGGACACACACTCAAGTGGTTTGAACTGATGCTGCTAAAAGTACCGTAATAGTCTGGGCGTAGTGGCTCAAGCCTGTAATCCCAGCACTTTGGGAGGCTGAGGCAGGCAGATCACCTGAGGTCAGGAGTTCAAGACCAGCCTGGCCAACATGGTGAAACCCCGTCTCTACTAAAAATACAAAAAAATTTAGCCAGGCATGGTGGTGCACACCTGTAATCCCAGCTACTTGGGAGGCTGAGGCAGGAGAATCACTTGAACCCGGGAGGCGGAGGTAGCCATGAGCCAAGATTGCTCCACTGCATTCTAGCCTGGGCAATAGAGGAAGACTCAGTCTCCAAAAAAAATAAATAAATAATAAAAGTACTGTAATAATAGATGTGTAATACTGCTCCTGGTTTTCTTGTTTTTTTTTGAGACAGGGTCTCACTCTGTTGCCCAGGAGAGTGCAGTGCACAATCATGGCTCACTGCAGCCTCGACTTCCCAGGCTCAAGCGATCCTCCTGCCCAGCCTCCTGAGTAGCTGGGACTACAGGTGTGCACCATCATGCCCAGTTAATTTTTGTATTTGCTGTACAAACATAGTCTCACTATGTTGCCCAGGCTGGTGTCAAACTCTTGGATTCAAGCAATTCTCCCACCCCAGCTTCCCAAAGTGTTGGCATTACAGGCATGAGCCACTATGCCCTGCCTTCTCCTGATTATATGAGATGTTCTCAATGGAGGAATGCTACAATTAAAACAGCAGCTGTGGGATAGAACACAAGCAGGAGTCCACCTGGCTTCCTCCACCCAGCCATGAGGTATCAGTAAAATAACACAAGATGGAGGAGGGGTGTGGAGAAGATCACTGTATTAAACAAAAACCTAATAGAGATGGCAGTGCTCTGAATAAAAAAATCCAACGGGCTATACAGAGTGCCATCACACTTGGGCCGATCAGGCCTAATGGGCCTTTTGAATGCCAGGGACTGACAATTATGCAGACTGGAAGCTATGGCAAAAAGAAGTTGCCACTATGCCATGCTGCCCCCTGGGATTTTGCATATGGCACTTGCCTTGATACATGGAGATTCCTGAGGCTAACAGGATCTGATTCACAGACAGATCAACTAAGTGAAAGTCTGATGAGGTGCCCTGAGCCATTTGCAGCAGTGCAACCACACACACACAAAAAAACTCTGTTTAAAACTTTGCAGCCTGGGCAAAATTGTGAGACCCCATCTCTACAAAAAATAAAAATTTAGCCAGGCATAGTAGTGCGTGCCTGTAGTCCCAGCTACTCGGAGGCTGAGGCAGGAGGATTGCTTGACCCCAGGAGGTTGAGGCTGCAGTGAGCTGTGATTGTGCCACTCCACTCAGCTTGGGTAACAGAGTGAGAACCCGTCTCAAAACAAAAACAAAAACGAAAACAAAAAACTTTGCATCATGCAGACCCAGGGGAAGGGGAGAAGACCTTCTACTCCTAAGTCCAGCACCAAGGCAAATGGAGCAGAAGGCCTACCAACACCCGAAGCTGAAAAAAGTCCTCCCACCTCCCAACTCCACATCTTCCATCCCCTACCCAGCAGCACCAGATGGAACCAGGGAAGCAACATCTGCCCCTGGCACCAATAAAGACTGAGATAACGCCCTAATGGAACCAGGCAAATGAAACAGACCAGAAGGACACTGTAAGGTCTCTGTAAACAAAATTGTCATCGGAGGCTGGGTGTGGTGGCTCACACCTGTAATCCCAGCACTTTGGGAGAGTGAGGTGGGAGGATCACTTGAGCCCAGGAGTTTCAGACCAGCTCAGGCAGCATAGCAAGACCTCGTCTCTACTAAAAATTAAAATATTAACCAGGCATGGTGGCACGTGCCTATAGTCCCAGCTACTCAAGAGGCTGAAGAAGGAGGGTCCCTTGAACACAGGAAGTCAAGGCTGCAACAAGCTATGATCATACCACTGCACTCCAGCCTGGGCAACAGAGCAAGATCTTGTCTCTACGAATTTTTTTTAATTGTCATTGGAACCTGAATGCTAAACCTAAACAGAATGACTGCCTACTAAAATAGAGATTTAAATAGGACCCTGAATGTCCTAGCATATAGACGAAATGTCCAGGATACAATAAAAAATCAGATGTCATAACAAAACCCAGAGAAATCACAATGTAAATGAAAGGAGACCATCAATAGAAGCCAATAGTGGCTGGGCAGGGTGGCTCACAGCTATAATCCCAGCATTTTGGGAGGCCAAGGCAGGCGGATCACTTGAGCCCCGAAGTTCAAGACCAGCCTGGACAACATGGTGAAACCTCATCTCTACAAAAAAAAAAAAATAAACAAACAGAAAAATTAGCCAGGCGTGGTGGCACATGCCTGTAGTCCCATCTACTCAGGAGGCTGAGCTGGGAGGATCACCTGAGCCCAGGTTAAGTTGAGGCTGCAGTGAGCCATGATTGTGCCACTGCACTCCAGCCTAGGCAACAGAGTAAGACTCTGTCTCAAAAAAACAAAAACAAAAACAAAACAAACAAACAAACAGGCCAGGTGCAGTGGCTCACACCTGTAATCCCAGCACTTTGGGAGACCGAGGCGGGTGGATCACTTGAGGTCAGGAGTCCGAGACCAGCCTGACCAACATGGTGAAACCCCCGTCTCTACTAAAAATACAAAAATGAGCCGGGTGTGGTGGCAGGCACCTGTAATCTCAACTACTCAGGAGGCTAAGACAGGAGAATCGCTTGAACCTGGGAGGCAGAGGTTGCAGTGAGCCAAGATCATGCCACTGTACTCTAGCTTGGGTGATAGAGCAAGACTCAGTCTCAAAAAAAAAGCCAAAAAACAAAACAGAGAAACAGAAGCCAATAACAAGATGAATCAGATGCTGGAATTATCTGACAAGGATTTTAGAGTAGTCATCATAAAAATGATTCAATAAGGAATTACAAATAAACTGGAAACAAAAGAAGAAATAGAAATCCTTGTGCCAGGCGTGGTGGCTCACGCCTGTAATCCCAGCACTTTGAGAGGCCAAGGCAGTTGAATCATTTGAGCCCAGGAATTTGAGACCAGCCTGGGCAACATGGTGAAGCCCCACCTCTACAAAAAATACAAAAAGTAGCCAGGTATGATGGTGTGCACCTGTGGTCCCAGCTACTTGAGAGGCTAAGCTAGGAGAATCAATTGAGCCCAGTAGGTTGAAGCTGCAGTGAGCTGTGACTGCACCACTGCACTCCAGCCTGGTCAATAGAGTGAGACCCTGTTAAAAAATAAATAAATAAATAAATGAAAAAAAAAACAAGAAGGAAAATCTCACCATATAGATGATATAGAAAAAGAACCAAATAGAAATGATAGAAATAAAAATTATAAATGAAAGTTAAAACTGATCAGGTGCGGTGGCTCACGCTTGTAATCCCAGCACTTTGGGAGGCCTAGGCGGGCAGATCACATGGTCAGGAGTTCGAGACCAGCCTGACCAAGGTGGTGAAACCCCTTCTCTACTAAAAATACAAAAATTAGCCGGGTGTGGTTGCACACATCTGTAATCCCAGCTACTCAGGAGGCTGAGTCAGAAGAATTGCTCAAACCCAGGAGGCAGGGGTTGCAGTGAGCCAAGATCGCGCCATTGCACTCCAGCCTGGGCGACAGAGGGAGATTCTTAAAAAAAAAAAAAAAAAAAAAGTAGGCGCTGTGGTTCACGCCTGTAATCCCAACATTTTGGGAGGGCGAGGTGGGTGGATCACCTGAGGTCGGGAGTTCGAGACCAGCCTGACCAAAATGAAGAAACCCTGTCTCTACGAAAAATACAAAATTAGCCAGGCATGGTGGCGCATGCCTGCAATCCCAGCTACCCAGGAGGCTGAGGCAGGAGAATCACTTGAACCTGGGAGGCAGAGGTTGTGGTAAGCCGAGATCGCGCCATCGCACTCCAGCCTGGGCAAAAAAAAAAAAAAGTTAAAACTAATGCAAAGGGTTCAATGGCAGGATGAACGTGACAGAGAAGTGACTTGGCAGACAGAACAGTAGAAATTGTCCAATCTCATCAACAGGGGCAAAATACACTAAAAAAAGATGGACAGTCTCAGAGACCTACAGAGCAATAACAAAGATCTAAGATTTATATCACTAGACTGGACTTCTACAAGTAGACAAGAAACAGAGTAGTGATGAAAAAATATTGGAAGAAATAATGGCTGAAAGTTTCATATATATATATATATTTTTTTAATTTTTTTTTCTCGAGACAGAGTCTCCCTTTGTTGCCCAGGTTAGAGTGCAGTGGTGCTATCTCAGCTCACTGCAACCTCTGCCTCGTGGGCTCAAACAATTCTCCTGCCTCAGCCTCCTGAGTAGCTGGGACTACAGGCGTGTGCCACCACGCCCAGCTAATTTTTTTTTTTTTTTCAGTAGAGACGTGGTTTCACCATGTTGACCAGGCTGGTCTCAAACTCTTGACCTCAGGTGATCCACTCACCTCGGCCTCCCAAAGGGCTGGGGTTACAGGCATGAGCCACTGCACCCGGCCCAAGCTTCCCAAATTGGGCAAAAGACATAAACCTACGGATTGAAGAAGCTGAGCAAACCCCAGTAGGGTAAACCAAACAAAACCCACGCCCATATGTCATCATTTAACCTCTAAACGCTAAAAACAAAGGAAAACCCTTGAAAGCAGCTAGAGAGAAATGACACATGAGGCATAGGGGACACTGATTAGAATGACAGTGGCGTTCTCATCTGAAACTAGGGAAACTGAAAGGAAGTGGCATGATATTCTTCAAGTACTGAAAGAACTGTCAACTGAGAGTCCTACATTGGGGAAAGTCTCTTTCAGGAATGAGAGGGAAATAAAGACATTCTCAGGCGAAGGAAAACTAAAACAAGCCTGTGTTAATCAGTTCAGGCTACCATGACGAAATACCATAGACTGGGTGGCTTGAACAACATGAATTCATTTCTCACAGTTCGGGAGGCTGGGAAGCCCTCAGTCAAGATGCTGGCTGATCTGGTTCCCAGAAAGGGCTCTCTTAGCAGCTTGCAGAGGGCTGCCTCCTGGCTGTGTCCTTCCATGGTGGGAGGAGAGAGAAGGGTAGGGGAAACAAGCTTTCTGGTGTCTCTTATAAGGGTACTCATCCCATTACAAGGGCCCGTGATGACCTCATCTAAACCCAATTACTTCCCCAAAGTCCCACATCCAAATACTGTCACATAGGGGGTGAAGTCTTCAACACATGAATTTTGGGGGAGACAAAATTCAGTCCATAGCAAATTTGTTTCTAGGACATCTGCTATTAAAGAAAGGTGACAGGAAGTTCTTCAAACAGAAGTGAAATAACAGATGAAGGCTTGGAACTTCAGAAAGGAAAAGAGAACAACAGAATGGGTTAAAACAGGAGTAAATACTCTCCTCATGAGCTTTTTTTTCTCTCATGAGGTTTTAAAACCATATTTGATGGTTGAAGCAAAACATTGTAACAACATTTGATACGGTTTTCAATGTATATAGAGAGAACACTTAGGACAATTACATTTTGAAAATAGGATAGGTAAAGGGATCTAAAGGGAAGTAAATTCCTCCACGTCAATTACAGTGGTAAAACACTGACATCGGTGGACTGTGATAAGTTACACGTGCAAGTTGTAATACCTAGAGCAATCACTAAGAAGACCATACAAAGTGATTGTCGTAGTACATTCTGTGCTGCTGTAACAGAATACCTGAGATTGGATAATTTATAAAACACAAAACTTTATTTCTCACAGTTCTGGAGGCTGAGAAGTCCAAGATCCAGTCACTAGCAGGTTTGGCATCTGGGAAGGGCTGCTCTCTGCTTCTAAGATTGTGCCTTGAATGCTGCATCCTCTGGAGTGGGGGAACACTGTGTCCTCACATGGCAAAAAAAGGGGAAAGGGCAAAAAGGGAGGTATTCCCTCCATGAAGCCCTTTTCTAACAGTATTAATCTGTTCATAAGGGCAGAGTCCTCTTGACCTAAACACATCCCAAAAGACCCCACCTCCCAACACTGCTGCATTGGGGATCAAGTTTAGACATGAATTTTTGGAAGGGACACAAACATTCAAATCATAGCAGTGATATGCCCAAAAATTATATAAATAAGTCAAAATGGAATTCTAAAAACAATGGTCATGTACCCACCCCAAGGAAGGCAAAGGGAGAGAAACAAAGAAATGAGAATCAGAGGGAACAAACAGAAAAAAATAATAAAATATACAAATTTAAACCACAATGAGATATCTCCTCACACCTGCCAGAATGGCTATTATCCAAAAGACGAAGTTGGGCACAACAGTGGATGCCTTTAGTATCAGCTACTAGGGAAGCTGAGATGGGAGGATTGCTTGAGCCCAAGAGTTCTAGGCCAGCCTGGGCAACACAGTGAGACCCCTACAACTTCTTTTTTTTTCTTTTTTTTTTTTTTTTGAGACAGAGTCTTGCTCTGTTGCCCCAGCTGGAGTGCAGTGGTGGGATCTCAGCTCACCACAACCTCTGCCTCCTGGGTTCAAGCAATTCTCCTGCCTCAGCCTCCCGAGTAGCTGGATTACAGGCGCGCACCACCACGCCTGGCTAATTTTTGTATTTTTAGTAGAGACAGGGTTTCACCATGTTGGTCATGCTGGTCTCAAACTCCTGACCTCGTGATCCCCCCACCTCAGCCTCCCAAAGTGCTGGGATTACAGGTGTGAGCCACCGCACCCAGACCATAAAATACAATTTTAAAAAAGATGAAAGATAACAAATGTTGGTGAGAATGTGGAGAACAGGGAACCCTTACACACTGTTGTGAAGAATGTAAACTTGTACAACCGTTACGGAAAATTGTATGGAGGTTCCTTAAAAATTAAAAATCCCACTTCTGGGTATACATCCAAAGGATTTGAAATCAATACGTTAAAATGATATCTGCACTCTTATGTTCATGATATCATTATTCATAATAGCCAAGATAAGGAATCAACCTGTGTCATCAACACATGAATGGATAAAGAAAATGTGGTAAATACACACAATGGAACACTATTCAGCCTTTAAAAGGAAGGAAATTCTGTCATTTGCACTAACATGGATGAACCTGCAGGACATTATGCTAAGTAAAATAAGCCAGACACAGAAAGACAAATACCACATGTTCTCATTTATGTATGAAATCTAAAACAATCAAATTCATAGAAGCAGAGAATAGAATCGTAGTTACCAGTGGCTGAGGGTGAGGGGAATAGGGAGATGTCGGTCAAAGGATACAAAGTTTCAGTTAGACAGGATAAAGTTTTTTGACAGCTTTTGCATAGTATGATTACTATAATTAATGATAGCATATTATATATTTTAAAATTGCTAACAGTAAATTTCAAATTTCTCATCACAAAAAATGACAAGTATTTGAAGTGATGAATATATTAATTAGATTGATTTAATCATTCCACATTGTATACATATATCCTAACATCACTTTGAACCCCATAGACACATACAATTATAATTTGCCAATTTACAATAAAAATAAAATTAAATGGCAGATACAAGCCTAAACATATTACTAATTACTTAACATGCACTTTTTTTGTTTGTTTGTTGTTTTGAGATGCAATCTCGTTCTGTCACCCAGGCTGCAGTGCAGTGGCGCAATGTCGGCTCACTGCAACCTCCGCCTCAGCCTTCAGTCGCTGGGATTACATGTGTGCACCACCTCACCTGGCTAATTTTGTATTTTTAGTAGAGAGGGGGTTTCACCATGTTGGCCAGGCTGGTCTTGAGCTCCTGACCTTAGGTGATCTGCCCGCCTCGGCCTCCCAAAGTGCTGAGATTACAGGCATGAACCATCATGCCTGGCCAACCTTGGCAAAGTAAACTTCAAAATTGATTGAGACCTCTCTGGGATACTTTTGGCCAGGCGCAGTGGCTCACGCCTGTAATCCCAGCACTGTGGGAGGCTGAGGAGGGTGGATCATCTGAGGTCAGGAGTTCCAGACCAGCCTGGCCAACGTGGGGAGACCCTGTCTCTACTAAAAATACAAAAATTAGCCGAGTTTGGTGAGCATGCCTGTAGTCCCAGCTACTCGGGAGGCTGAGGCAGGAGAATCACTTGAACCCAGGAGGCAGAGGTTGCAGTGAGCTGAGGTTGCTCCACTGCACTCCAGCCTGGACAACAGAGCAAGACTCTGTCTCAATAAAAAAATTAAAAACACAAATTACTAGTTACTTTAAATGTACATGATTTTTTTTTCCAACCTTGGCAAAGTAAGCTTCGAAATTGATTGAGACCTGTCTGAGATACTTTTTGGTTTACACTCTCTTACGAGGCTTCCCCTTCCTTACCTGGTCCTTTGGCTAAGGGAAAGAGGTTTCCCTGGGTCTCTGGGTCTTTGTTTGTTTAGAGATGGGGGTCTCACTATGTTGCCCATGTAGGATTTGAACTCCTAGGCTCAATCGAACCTCACGCCTCAGCCTCCTGGATAGCTGGGACTACAAGTGCGCACCACCGTGCCTGCCAGGCTTTCCTGGGTCTTTTTTGTCTGCACCGCTTGGTGTTCTGGGTTGCTGGTTTCTCCAGCACCTGGTCTTGGATACGTAAGAAAACCCACAGGGCTCAGCACCATGTCATTTCTCGAGTCTTACTCCCTAGCCATCTGCTGGCATGAGAATCGCTTGAACCTGGGAGGGGGAGGTTGCAGTGACCCGAGATCGTGCCACTGCACTCTGGCCTGGGCGACGGAGCAAGAGTCCGTCTCAAAAAGAAAAAAAAAAAAAAGTTTACTTGCCAAGGTTAAGGACAATGCCCACGAGACACATCTGTGCCTTTCTCCAAAGATGATTTTGAAGGCTTCGATATTTAAAGTGGAAAAGGGGGCGGAGGGGAAAGAGGGAGGAGGGTATGGGTCATCCACATGTTGCAAGAGGAAAGGAGCAGGTAGAGGAAGAGTCAATTATGTATTCATCTTGCACTCAGTAAATCACTTTACATAAGATAAGGGAGCACAGAGTAGCTACCCCTACAGATATTTAACCTTTTATCTGTAGCTATTGGCTTAGGAACAAAAGGAAAGACAGCTAGTTGCATGACTCAGCTTTCAGCTTAATTTTTTCCTTTTGGCAGAGTGAATTGGGGTCCTGCGTTTTTAGTTTCCTTTCACAAGGGGAAGAAAGGTAAATGTCAGAATTGATACATATGGGCTGGGCGCGGTGGCTCAGGCTTGTAATCCCAGCACTTTGGGAGGCTGAGGTGGGCGGATCACCTGAGGTCAGGACTTAGAGACCAGCCTAGCCAGCATGGTGAAACCCCGTTTCTATTAAAAATACAAAATTAGCTGGGCGTGGTGGCACATGCCTGTAATCCCAGCTACTCGGGAGGCTGAGGTAGGAGAATCACTTGAACCTAGGAGGCAGAGGTTACAGTGAGCCGAGATCACACCACTGCACTCCAGCCTGGACACCAGAGTGAAACTGTCTCAAAAAAAAAAAAAAAAAGATTTGATACACAACATATGAAGATACAAAAGGGCTTGACAACAAACTTGCTGTGTATATAACAAAGGCCAACAGGTTGCTTATGAAAGAAATGAAAATATTTTACCCCAGAATACATTTCTTTGACATATTTTGAAATGGCTGCCGCTTGGCCATCCTGACAGCAGCAGCCTTGCAGAGCTGTCTGAAGTGGGGAAAATGTGCATCTGTAGAGAATCTTCATGAATGTATCCATGCCCCCTCCCTTTCTCTGCCTTTCCCTGGATCCAGGAGAGATTGAGAATCTGGCACCTTTAAAAATCTTCACCATCAGGCTGAATGCGGTGGCTCACGCCTGTAATCCCAGCACTTTGGAAGACCAAGAAGGCCAGATCACCTGAGGTCAGGAGTTCGAGACCAGCCTGGCCAACGTGGCGAAACCATGTCTCTACTAAAGATACAAAAATTAGCCTGGCATGGTGGCAAGTACCTGTAATCTCAGCTACTTGGGAGGCTGAGGCAGGAGAATTGCTTGAACCCGGGAGGCGGAGGTTGCAATGAGCCAAGATCGCACCACTGCACTCCAGCCTGGGCAACAGACTGTTTCAAAAAGAAAAAACAAACAAACAAACAAACAAAAAAAAAAACACCTTCACCATCAATTCTCTCTGAGGGAGGAGGCTTCGTCTGCATAACAAGGCCACCTTTGCCAGCCAAGCCTCTTCTCCCCCTCCCATAATCTGGGTGACCAGAATCTAAAACCCCATTATGTCTGTAATCTCGAAGTGATATTTAAGGAGGCTCCTGTGTACACATGTTAAATACATCTGGATGCCTTTTCTCCTGTTAATCCATTCACCTCGTGTCAGTGATTTTCAGCGAACCTTTAGAGAGCCAGCAGCCTATGGCCCCCACACTTGAATTTCTGGCCATGTGTGATCTTCCATCTAAAGGTTTTATCCAGGGGAAAAAGCATCAAAGAGATTATTTTCATTTGATGAGGAGATATATAAAAGGGATTTAGAATTGATATGGTTTAGTCATGGAGATATGTGCTAGCTATGTGACTCTGGCCTAAAATTAACCATATTGTTTCTTCTTCTTCCCCTTCCCCTTTTTCCTCCTCCTCCTCCTCCTCCTCCTCTCCTTCTCCTCTTTCTTCTTCTTCTTCTTCTTCTTCTTCTTCTCCTTCTTCTTCTTCGAAGGAGTTCCCCTCTTGTCACCCAGGCTGGAGTGCAGTGGCGAGATCTCGGCTCCCGGGTTCAAGTGATTCTCCTGCCTCAACCTCCTGAGTAGCTGGAATTACAGGCACCTGCTACCACACCTGGCTAATTTTTTTTGTATTTTTAGTAGAGACAGGGTTTCATCATGTTGGCCAGGCTGGTCTTGAACTCCTGACTGCAGGTGATCTACCTGCCTCAGCCTCCCAAAGTCCAGGGATTACAGGCATGAGCCACTGTGCCCAGCTTTTTTATTTTTTATTTTGTAGACGGAGTCTTGCTCTGTCACCAGGCTGGAGTGCAGTGGCACAATCTCGGCTCACTGCAACCTCTGCCTCCCAGGTTCAAGGGATTCTCCTGCCTTAGCCTCCCAAGTAGCTGGGACTACAGGTGCATGCCACCACGCCCAGCTAATTTTTGTATTTTTTAGTAGAGACGGGGTTTCACCATGTTGGCCAAGATGGTCTTGATTTCTTGACCTCATGATCCACCCGCCTCAGCCTCCCACAGTGCTGGGATTACAGGCGTGAGCCGCCGCGCCCGGCCCACAGCTTTTTTTTTTTTTTTTTTAGAGACAGTCTGATTCTGTCACCCAGGTTGGAGTACAGTAGGTCGCAGCTCACTGCAGCCTTGAACTCCTGGGCTCAAGCAATCCTCCCCGCTCAGCCTCCCAAGTAGCTGGTACTACAGGTGTGTGCCATGATGACTGGCTATTTTTTCTTTCATTTTTTATTTTTGTAGAGACAGGGTCTCACTATGTTGCCAAGTCTGGTTTCAAACTCTTGGCCAGGCTGGTCTTGAACTCTTGACCTCAAGTGATCCTCCCACCTCGGCCTCCCAAAGTGCTGGGATTGCAGGTTTGAGACATCACACCTGGACTAATCATGATATTTCTGACAGTCATACGTTAGAAATTTCTAAAAATGGGCCAGGTGTGGTGGCTTATGCCTGTCATCCCAGCACTTTGGGAAGCCGAGGCAGGTGGATCGCTTGAGGTCAGGAGTTCAAGACCAGCCTGGCTAACATGATGAAACCCTGTCTCTACTAAAAATCCAAAAAATTAGCCAGGTGTGGTGGCATGCACTTGTAATTTCAGCTACTCGGGAGGCTGAGGCAGGAGTATGCTTGAACCCGGGAGGCAGAGGTTGCAGTGAGCTGAAATCGCACCACTGCCCTCTAGCCTGGGCAACAGAGCAAAATTCTGTCTCAAAAAAAAAAAAAAAAAAAGAAAGAAAAGAAAATTTTTTAAATGGAAAAGATAATTGTCATTTTTTGCTTATTTAGAAATAATGGAACTCTGCCTGTGAGAAGAAACCCTGAGTATATCTGCTTTAAGTTTTATTTATTTATTTATCTATTTACTTACTTATTTGAGATGGAGTTTTGCTCTTGTTGCACAGGCTGAAGTGCAATGGCGTGATCTCAGCTCACTGCAACCTCTGCCTCCCAGGTTCAAGCGATTTTCCTGCCTCAGCCTCCTGAGTAGCTGGAATTACAGGCACCCACCACCACACCCAGCTAAGTTTTGTATTTTTCGTAGAGATAGGGTTTCGCCATGTTGGCTGGGCTGGTCTTGAACTCCTGACCTCAGGTGACCCGCCTGCCTCAGCCTCCCAATGTGCTGGGATTACAAGCATGAGCCACCGTGCCCGGCCAAGTTATTTTTATGTTCTCTTAGAGTAGGGCCCAGCAATCAATGACCTGTGACCAAATATGGACCACTGTTTTTGTTTTTGTTTTTGTTTTTGTTTTGAGACGGAGTTTCACTCTTGTGGAACAGGCTGGAGTGCAATGGCGCGATCTCGGCTCACTGCAACTCTGCCTCCTGGGTTCAAGTGATTCTCCTGCCTCAGCCTCCCGAATAGCTGGGATTACAGGCATCCGCCACCATGCCCAGCTAATTTTTTGTATTTTCAGTCGAGACAGGTTTCACCATGTTGGCCAGGCTGATCTCGAACTCCTGACCTTGGTGGACTGCTGCTTTTGTAAATAAAGTTTTATTGGAATAAAAAAAATGATTAGCATTTCTATATATTATCACCAAAATTTGAAACACAATACCATACATAATTGCTCTAGAGAAGATAAAATACTTAGGTATACAGCTAACAAAACATGTAAAGGGTTAGTATTTTTAAAATTACAAAATATAGGCTGGGCATGGTGGCTCACGCCTGTAATCCCAGCACTTTGGGAGGCCGAGGCAGGCAGATCACCTGAGGTCAGGAGTTCAAGACCAGCCTGGCCAACATGGTGAAACCCCGTCTCTACTAAAAAATACAAAAATTAGCCAGGCATGGTGGCGCACGCCTGTAATCCCAGCTACTCGGGAGGCTGAGGCAGGAGAATCGTTTGAACCTGGGAGGCAGAGGTTGCAGTGAGCAGAGATTGCGCCATTGCACTCCAGCCTGGGTGACAGAGTGAAACTCCTTCTCAAAAAAAAAAAAAAATTACAAAATATAAATGAAAGAAATCAGAGGAGATCCAAATAAATAGAGAGACATATCATGTTCATGGATTGGAAGACAACACGGTAAAAAGGAGTGGAGTGCAGTGGCTCATGCCTGTAATCCCAGCACTTTGGGAGGTCAAGGTGGGAGATGGCTTGAGGCCAGGAATTCAAGATCAGCCTGGGCAACATGGTGAAACCCTCTCTCTACCAAAAATACAAAAATTAGTCAGACGTGATGGTGTGCACCTATAGTCCCAACTAGTCAGGAGGCTGATGTAGGAGGATTGCTTGAGCCCAGGAGAAGATCAAGGCTGTAAGTGAGCTGTGATTGCACCACTGCACTCCAGCCTGGATGACGAAGCGAGACTCTGTCGCAAAAAAAATAAAGGCCAGAAAAAGCCAAACCTGCTGGGTTACATTCCCCGAGGGTTGGGCACTCTTGGTCACAAGATGTTCATGGTTGAGGGAACAAGGTAATAATGTTAACTAACTGAATAAAGACCCAGAACTTATGGAAATGTCCTAGTACTTTAAGAAGAAAAAGCATTCTTAGTTTAAGAATAGGTTTTGCTTTAGAGATAAGAGTAACATAGGAAAGTGACAACACTAATAGTCTGTCACAAGCTGATCAGAAACCTTTGCTGTAGAGTACACTATTATTTTTTATTATTTTATTTTTTTTATTTATTTTTGAAACAGGACCTTGCTCTGTCACCCAGGCTGGAGTGCAGTGGCACAATCTTGGCTCACTGCAACCTCAACCTCCCTGGCTCAGGCGATCCTCCCACCCCAGTCTCCCCAGTAGCTGGGACTACAGGTGTACATGCATCACCATGCGCAGCTCATTTTTTTGGTACTTTTTATAGAGACAGGGTCTTACTATGTTGCCCAGGCTGGTCTCAAACTCCTGAGCTCAAGTCATCCTTTCGCCTCGGACCCCCCAAAGTGTTGAGATTTCAGGTGTGAGTCACCACCCCCAGCCTAAAAAATCCTCATGACCTCAGGCCTGACGAAGTGTCATACATAACGCAAAATCATAATCTATAAAATGAAAATGTGATTAATTGAGCTTCATCAAAACCAAAAATTTTTGCCCTCAGAGAGACTCTTTGAAGAGAATGAAAAGACAAGCTACAGACTGGCAGAAAATATTTTGACAGTTTCTTATAAAACTAAACATGAAACTACCATATGACCCGATATTACATTCCTGGGCATCTAGCCCAGAAAAATGAACATTTACATTCACACAGAAACCTGTACAATGAATGGCTTTAGCAGCTTTATCCATAACAGCCAAAAACTGGAATTAGCCCAGATGTTGTTCAGTGAGTGAATGGTTAAATAAACAGTGGTACCTCCGTATGATAAATGCAACAGCTTAGTTGGATCTCAAAGGAATTATGCTGAGTGGAAAAAAAGCCAATCTCAAAGGTTTTATACTGTGTGATTCCATTTATGTACCATTCTTGAAATAACACAATTACAGAAATGGAGAAAAGATTAGTGGTTGTCAAGGAGACAGGGATGGGGAGAAGGGCCTATGAAAGGCTAGCAGCAGCTCTTTGTGCTGAGGGAATGATTCTGAATCTTGATGGTAGTGGTCGTTATATGAATCTACGCATGTGATTTGTGTAACGAATGATTTGTGTGTGTGTATGTATGTGGTGCAATTGCATAGCAGTACACACACACACACACACACACAAATGAGTGCTTATAAAACTGAAGAAATTTGAGTTAAATTGGTGGATTGTACCAGTATCAATTTCCTCCTTTTGATATTATACTATAGTTATCAAAAATTGCATAAATTATTCACAGAACCTCTGTACTTTTTTTTTCCAACTTCAACAGAATGTATCATTATTTCTAAATTAACAGTTAAAAAGGCAGTGAGTGGTGGCTCCCACTTGTAATCCCAGCACTTTGGGAGACTGAGGCAGGAGGATCACTTGAGCTCAGGAGTTTGAGACCACCCTGGGCAACATAGGGAGACCTAATCTGTACAAAAAAAAAAAAAAAAAAAAAGGCCAGGCGCGGTGGCTCACGCCTGTAATCCCAGCACTTTGGGAGGCTGAGGTGGGCAGATCACGAGGTCAGGAGATGGAGACCATCCTGGCTAACACGGTGAAACCCCGTCTCTACTAAAAATACAAAAAATTAACCAGGCGTGGTGGTGGGCACCTGTAGTCCCAGCTACTCGGGAGGCTGAGGCAGGAGAATGGCATGAACCCAGGAGGCAGAGCTTGCAGTGAGCCGAGATTGTGCCACTGCACTCCAGCCTGGGCAACACAGCAATACTCCATCTAAAAAAAAAAAAAAGAAAGAAAGAAAAGAAAAGAAAAATTAATTAGCTGGACGTGGTGGCACATACCTGTGGTCCCAGCTACTCAGGAGGCTGAGGAGGCAGGATCACTTGAATCCTGGAGGTCAAGGCTGCAGTGAGCCATGATTGTGCCACTGCACTCCAGCCTAAGCAACAGAGCAAGACCCTGTCTCAAAAAAAAAAAAAAAAAAGATAACTGGATCACCAAGGTTTAGCTCCTAGTAAAGTATATATCTAAAACAGGCAATATAGTCTCTAAATGTGGCAATTGTCCAAAAAGCATTTCCCATTTGGATAAAATGTTTAATTATGCAGTCAAAGGGAAGAGGAAGAGGCCCAGACTGGCCGTAAGAGACCCAAACCACACAAGGAATTCTTTCCACTCTACCTTTGTCTCTTCCATGCCCACCTCATGGAAACTGGGTTCTGGATTTTGCGAGTGGCCTAGGAGAGGTGTAGAGCTGGAACCATTTTTGTCTCTCTTGGGCTCTTGCTTACAGTTCTCTCCTGGCCTGACCTGTCATCTCAGAATGCTTTGGTAACCTTGTCCTAGACTTCAAATCAAAAAAAATGCTGCTGTGGAGGTGGCTACAAACCTATTAGCAAAATCCAGTGCACTCTGAGGAGGCCATAGCAGTGGGGCCCTGCTGACTCTAAGGGCTGTCTAAGTCTGTTTGGGCTACTGTAACCAACTGCCACAAAGTAGGTGGCTTGTAAACAACAGAAATGCATTTCTCATGGTTCTGGAGGCTGGGAAGTCCAAGACCAAGGCATCAGCAGATTCAGTGTCTGGTGAGGACCTGCTTTCTTGTTCACAGATGGCACCTTCTCACTGTGTCCACATATGATGGAAGGGGCCAACAAGCTTCCTTGGGCCTGTTTCATAAGGGCACTAGTCCCTAATCACTCAATCACCTTCTAAAAGGCCACACTTCCTAATTCCATTACCTTGTGATTAGGATTTCAACAGATGAATTTTTGGGGGTCAGGAGGATGCAAATATTAAGGTCATAGTGATAGCCTCATTGTCCTCTTCAGAAGCACTCCAGCCTGCTTTGCAGCTGTTTACTTTTTAATTTTTAATTTTTATTTTTATTTCTATTTGAGATGGAGTCTCACTCTGTTGCCCAGGCTGGAGTGCAGTGGTGCAATCTTGCCTCACTGTAACCTCTGCCTCCTGGGCTCAAGCAATTCTCCTGCCTCAGCCTCCTGAGTAGCTAGGATTACAGGCATGCGCCACCACACCCAGCTAATTTTTGTGTTTTTAGTGGAGACAGGGTTTCTCCATGTTGGCTGGGCTGGTCTTGAACTCCTGACCTCAAGTGATCTGCCCACCTTGGCCTCCCAAAGTGCTGGGATTATAGGCGTGAGCCACTGCGCCCGGCCTGCAGCTATTTAATTCTGCTCAAAGAGTTTGTTTCCCATAACGGACACACAATTCATTTATTCCTGTTTTAATAAATGATTCTGGCCAGGTATGGTGGCTCATGCCTGCAATCACAGCACTTTGGGAGGCCAAGGCAGGAGGATCACTTGAGCCCAGGAGTTCAAGACCAGCCTGGACAACATAGGGAGAAGCCATCTCTTAAAAAAATAATAGTAATAAATAGGAACAGCAAACCTAATACTACATGTTCTCACTTATAAGTGGGAGCTAAATGATGAGAACTCATGTACACAAAGAAGGGAGCAATAGACACTGAGGCCTACTTAAGGGTGGAGGGTGGGAGGAGAGCGAAGATCAGAAAAAGTAACTATTAAGTACTAGGCCTCTGGGTGATGAACTAATCTGTACACCAAACCCCCATGACATGAGTTTACCTATATAAGAAACCTGCACTTGTACCCCTGAGCATAAAATAAAAGTTAATAATAATATTAATAATAACAAAACTAGCTGGGCATGCCTGTAGTCTCAGCTATTTGGGAGGCTAAGGTGGGAAGACTGCTTAAGCCCAGGGGGTCGAGGCTGATAGAGCAGGAGCACCATCATCTCAGACAAACACTGCCACTTTAAATTCCAGCTGCCTTTCCAGCTTCATGCATTTCAAGGAAATCACTTCTCTTCTAACTACAAGCAGCCAGAAAAGAATAGACAGTAAAACACAGATAAGACAGCTCAGGCACAGAGGAAGGCAGGGAGAAAGTCTCTTGGGTAACTGTCAAACTTCACCCCCATACAATGGGGCCCCAGTAAAACAGTGGGCCTTAATAAGCACATTCCTTTCCCTTCAGGTGCACTAAGATAGGGAAGCTAAAGGCAGACTCGGGAGGGGGGGTATGCCTGCAGCTGCAGGAAGATGTATGTGAACAGACACAAAACTCTCCCTCCCAGATAAGCACAACAAAGAGACACAGAAGCAGTCCAAGCCTCTGATAAACTCTCCCGCCCTGAACCCTTAAAGTAAGAGAGTGCAGCTTCTGAACTAACTCTGCCAGAAGTCCCTCCCAGGTTTAAAATAAACCTGTTGACTGTCAAGCTACCCTCCGTGTTTCTCTCCTCTTTCTTTAATTCTTACATTTGATGCTGAAACCCGGGACGGGTGTTGGGAGGAAAGACTCTCTTGCAACCCAGGAACCAATGGGCAATGGCAGCGCATCCTGAGTTAACTTCCAGATCCTGAGGGTCTCTGGCCACCCGCCCAGTCTTTTCTTTCACTTCAATTTTCGAGCGATTTGCATGAGGAGGACAACTGACCTGAAGGGGACTGCAAGGCTCAGGCTGGGACTACTCCCTGGTGAGCTTTCAAAACACTCAGGTCTCAGGAATTCACCTCTGACCGCCTGTAACAGGTATTTCGCTCCCTAACCCTTGCTCCTTCTTCCTCCTTCTTCTCTCTCTCTCTTTCTCTCTCTCTTCCTTGTGTGCCTTCAGTCTGGGAGGCCCTTTGCTGATTCCAACTGGAACATCTAACATGGGACACTAATTCAGCTGACTGGTAAGGTCTTCCTTCTCCTGGCTTTCTCCCAGTACCTGCCATCCAGGTCCCCAGAGGACCAACAGGACTAAGCTAGAGGAAATCTTAGGGATGCCCAGTTTCTTCTTAGCTTAACCATCCTCTTTTGGAAAGAAGATTCTGGGTCTCTGTCTTTTGTCTGGGGACGCCTAGAACAAAACAGACACCCTCAGCTTCCTCTTACCAGTCCACATGGGTGCCAAACAATCCCACATTCCTACGTCCTCCCCACTGGGCTGTCTCCTTCACAACCTCACCAAACTTGGCTTACGGGGGACCCTAAAGCCAAAACATTTAATTTTCCACTGCAACATGGCTTGGCCCCAATACAGATTAGATAACAACAGACGATGGCCCAAAAATGCTACCTTTAACTTTCAAATTCTCAGGGACCTTGACAACTTTATAACCAGTAATGGCAAATGGCAAACGATTCTCTATATTCAGGCTTTTTTCTACCTTAGATCCCGACCCTCCCTATGTCAAGCTTGCATCCCTCATGAAATCCTTCTTCTTAATGAAAACTCTCCCCAGGTCTCTCCTTCCCCTGGAACCCCTTCCTCTGAAACTCTTTTTGACCCTGCAAATGAACCCCCTCCATGTTCTCAACCCCCTGCACCCGCTCCTCGCCTGTCCGAACCCTCCGCCCCAGCAGCCCCTAACCCTGCCCCTCCTCCTTCTCCACCTGTAACCCGTTCAAAAACTACTCCAGCCAGTCAAACCACCTCTGCCATTCTCCCTCTCCGGGAAGTGGCTGGAGTTAAAGGCATTACTTGCGTTCATGTTCTTTTCTCCATGTCTAATCTGTCGCAAATTGAACAGCATCTGGGATCTTTCTCTGAAAATCCGTCTCGTTATCACAGGAAATTCCTGCACATAACTCAATCCTTTAATTTAACTTGGCATGACTTTTATATAATTCTAACCTCCACCCTCACTCCTGATGAAAAAGAGCTCATCTAGCATTCAGCTGAAGTCCACACAGATGAACTCTATAATCAAGCCCCTATACAAAATCCAGTGGCTAATGATGCAGTCCCCCGTAGAGACTCAGATTGGACTTACCAACAGGGAGACAATGGCATCAGATGAAGAGACCACATGATTAGCTGTCTCCTTGTGGGTATGGACAAAAATGCCCATAAGGCAGTTAATTATGAGAAACTTAGAGAAATTACACAAGAGCCCCAAGAAAATCCTGCCCTTATCACACCTCACTGAAGCTATGCTAAAATATGCCAATTTGGACCCAGAATCTAGAGAAGGTCAAACTTTTCTCCACCTCCAATTTGTTTCCCAATCTGCCCCAGATATCTGGAAAAAATTACAAAACTTAGAGGAGGGTCCCCAGACATCCCGGCAGGACCTCCTAAATGTAGCCTTCTGTGTCTTTAACAACAGAGATGAGGAACAAAAAATTCAAAAAGACAAACATCTCTCATTAAAAAGCCAGATGCTTGCCTCTGCTATCCAAAACCCAGTTACACAAAAGCCTCCCAATGACCCAAAAGAAAACTACCCGACCCCTCTGGGAGTCTGTTTCCGACGTGGCAACTCTGGACACTGGGCAAAGGCTTGTCCTAACCACTGGTCCCCCACCAGACCGTGTCCAACTTGTGGTCTTTGGGGACACTGGAAAGTGGACTGCCCCCAACAGGGACACCCTCCCCGTTTGGGTGCGGCTCATAATAAAGCCCCCTGACCATCACAGGAGGAAATCTCTTCACTGCTGGCGCTGACAACGGAAGACTGAGGGTGACCGGGATCCTTCACCCCCATGCCTAGTGAGTCCACAGAACCCAGGGTAATTGGGATGGTGTCCGGTAAGATTATTTCCTTTCTTTTGGATACCGGGGTGAGTCTTTCGGTGTTAACTGAATATCAAGGCCCATTAAAACACTCATCCATTTCTGTTGTTGGCATGAAGGGCACACAAAAAAACCCACACAAAACACCACCTCTATACTGCTCATTTCAGGGTGTCACCTTCACTCACTCTTTCTTGGTCATCCCTCATTTTCTCACTCCTTTACTAGGAAGGGACATCCTACACAAATTAGGGGGAATCATCCATTTGTCAGCCTTACACCAAAGCCACCCTTATTTATTATTATGTCAAGAACAGAACCCCTCCTCAGACACTCAACATCAAATAGACTTAAACCCCAAATTCCTTAGCCATGTAAATCCCATGGTATGAAACACTAACTCCCTCATAATTGCTACCCACCATTCTCCAATTCAAATTTCACTGAAGGATCCTAAGTGCCATATAGTGGTCCCACAATACCCCCTCAACTCTAATGGATTGCGGGAACTCAAACCCATCATCTCCTGACTTTTGACTGCCAATATTTTAATCCCCACCCATTCTCCCCACAATACCTCTGATTCTCCCAATTAAAACACCAGATGGCTCCTATAGACTGGTTCAGGATTTGCAACAAATCAACTCTGCTATTGTTCCTGTTTATCCTGTTGTCCCAAACCCCCTCACCCTCCTACCACGAATTCCTCCCAACACTAGCCATTTCTCTGTATTAAACCTATTAAACCTCAAAGATGCCTTTATTTTTCTATCCCTCCACTCAAAACCTTTTTGCTTTCACTTGGACTAACCCTGATACAGGCCGCTCCCAACAACTCACATGGACTGACCTCCCTCAGGGGTTTAGGGACAGCCCTCACTATTTCAATCAGGTACTTCAATTGGGTCTTTCCCAACTATCTCTACAGCCTAGCATTTTGCTTCAATATATGGGCAACTTACTTCTTTGCAGCCCCTCTCTAGAACATTGCATTCAACACACCACCAAGCTTTTAAATTTTCTGGCTGAATGCAGGTACCAGGTATCAAAAGGGAAGGCCCAATTGATCTCCCCAAAAGTTTCATACTTAGGACTAATCATAACTCCAAATACCCAAGAAATTCTGCTGGCACAAAAGCAAGGCATTCAACAAATCCCATTTCCCAAAACAAAAAGGAACTTACTTTCTTTCCTTGGATTAGTGGGATATTTCTGATTATAGACAGCAAATTTTGCCATTATTGCTAAACCCCTTTATGAACACACAAAAGGAAATCTTGACCAACCACTCATTTCCACCCCAGACCTTTATCATGCTTTCTCTCACCTAAAACGTGCCTTATTACAGGTCCCTGCTTTAGGCCTTCCAAACCCCCTGAAACCCTTTCACCTATATTTACACAGTTCTTATAATCAGGCCCTTGGACTATTAGCCCAACCTATGGGAGATTCTCTCCAACCAGTGGCATATTTTTTAAAACAACTAGACCTCATTTATAAAAGCTGACCCCTTTGCTTGAAAATTTTGGCCACAGCCTCTCTGATCATCCCTGAGGCACAAAAACTCACATTCTACGAACCCCTTCAGGTATTTTCTTCTCACAGTCTACAAGATATGTTCAGTCATAAGGTGCTCACCTCAATTTCATCCTCTCACTTGCAAGCCCTACTACATTCAATTCCCCTTCAACCCTCTATCTCTCTTCATAAATGCTTCCCCACCCCCAATCCCACCACTCTTTTACCTTTGGACCCCGACCAACACTCATGCTCTAATCTAATTGAAAGTTCGCTCACCATGTTTCACCACCTTACTTCCACTCACATAAAGGGAGCCCCAGATTGGTTTATAGATGGCAGCACATCAAAAAACCCTTCCCTTCAAGCAGGATATGCCATCATTGAGGAATATCATAATAATACCCACTCTTTCCCACCTAGAAGCATCGTAAAGGCTGCCCCTTTGCCTTTGGGCACATCCTCCCAGCAAGCAGAATTAATTGCCCTAATAAAAGAATTAACCCTAGCAGAGAGCATACAAGTTAATATATACACCGATTCTAAATATGCCTATAACATCATCCATTCCAATGCCCAAATTTGGAGCGAGTAGAGCTATCTCATGGCTAAAGAAACTCCGATAATTCGTGAAAAACCAATCCATCATTTGCTAAAGGCAGCTTTACTCCCAGAAAACTTTGCAGTTATCCATTGCAAAGGACATCAATCAAATAACAGCCACATTTCTTTAGAAAACTGTAAAGCTGACTGTTGGGCAAAACAAGCCTCAACCAATCATCCAATTCCCCAATACCTATTTCCCCTCATACAACATATCCCCTCCTTTTATGCAAAACACCAAAAACAACTAATCACGGTGGGGGCACAATTCAAACCCCCATACTGGTTCATAAAAAACAAATTAGTCCTACCTGACCCTGAAAAAACAACTCTTTTATGGGACATTCACAACCTCTTCCACACTAGCCATTCCCCTCTACAACATTTCTTAAGTTCCCATATACACATAGCCCCAGATATAAAGGAACAGTTAAAAGTCATTTCCCATCAATGCTCTATTTGCCAGAAAGCTTCACCCCACTCCAACACTAAACCCCCTTCTTTCCCATCCCATCTGGCCAGGGGACTCCTTCTAGGACAGGATTGGCAAATTAATTTTACCCATATGCCCCCAGTAAAAAAGGTTAAATTTCTTTTAGTTCTGGTCGATACCTTTTCAGGATGGATTGAGGCTTTTCTCACAACCAACAAACGAACTTCTACTGTCACCTCCAAATTAATAACAGAAATCAAACCCAGGTTCTGGGTGCCTTGTTCTTTTCAATCTGACAATGGTCCTGAATTCATTTCTCAAATTACTCAAACACTTGCACAAGCTCTACATATCACCTGGAAGCTACACATCCCCTATAGACCTCAATCTTCAGGAAAGGTTGAAAAAATGAATGGCATTCAAAAAACACCTCACCGGGTACTCGCTCCAAACACATAAAGACTGGGTCACACTTTTACCTTTGGCCCTTCTAAAAATTCAGGTGCTCCCATGTAAACCCTTAATGCTCAGCCCCTTTAAACTCATGTATGGGAAACCACTTGCCCTTTTTGTTCCATCTCAGGGTCAAGCACCACCTCTACCAACCCCTCTCGCTTGCCCTCTTCTGCATACCATCCACCATTTCATTTGGAATATGCTGACAAATACCTGCCACAACCCGCTGCCAACTCCTCTAATCCCTTCCTACAGCCAGAAGACTGGGTTCTCATAAAAAATCCCAGTCCTACCCCCAAATCCCCCCTCACGTCTAAATGGAAGGGACCTTACCAGATCATCCTTACCACACCTACGGCAGCAAAACTCTGGGGACTCCCTAACTGGATTCATTATACTTCTCTCAAAAAGAAAGACAAAAAAACCAATAAACTTCCCTTCACCACATGCTCAAACAACTGAATCTAAAACTCCTTCAGCCTTTTCTTGTGTCTCCACAGGACCCACTTCCCTTTGCCTCACCTGAATCCCAGAGGAAAAAAAGGAAAACTCCACATAAGCCGCTTATGTCTCTTTCTCTTCCAAACTTTCATCGCTTCCTAATCTGCCTTGCTACAGACCTTCAGTGGTACCCTTATGAAGCTCCCATTGCACATCCTGATCAGCTCCTTACTATTTTATGGGACCTATGGCTTCAAGGAACTTTCCAGGACTTTACTCCTACCCAAATAACCTTTTTCTCTTTTTGCTTGCTTCTTTTAATATAAATTCCCTAAGTACATCAATCTCACCAGTACAACCACTCCTCACTGCCCTCAAGCTCGAACACTCTATAAACCTTACACAGTCCCTCTTACTGCCAGCTAACTCTTCCCTTGCTTTGGAATGCTGGATGTGTTTATCACTGTCTTCCTCAGCTTACTCAGCCCTTCCTGCACCCCTTCATGACCTTTTAACTGGAAATATAACCCTAATTTATAAACTCCAAAAAGGAGTTTCCCTTTTTAAAAAAGTTGACACTCTAATCGGTGATTATCCCACTTCCAGGGCCAATCAGGCTAACAAATTATTTCAAACCTATTACAACTCCCTACAACGCCTTAAGCCCCAAGGCCCTCCCATTGAAGGGCCTATAACTAAACACACTCCCCTTTTTCAACAAGCCTCACTTTACTTTTCGGCCTCTAAGGGAAATATCCCTGTAGGGTCATTAACACTTAACCAATGCAACCGCCTATCCGCTATCGTTGTTAAACACCCCTCTGACTACCAAACTAATCAAATTAACTACCAAGTGTCACTTGAAGCAAATGGGAACATTTCTGCAACCGGCTCGTTTTACGGCCTCTCCCTTAACCAATGCCTCCAGGCCTAACCTGTGCTTTCCCTAATGCCCACCTTTTTCCATGGCTCAATATTAATGGCGCAACATCCGACCGCATTAAATGTGTAAAAAGTAACTCTTCCTATATCTCTACTACAGTAGGCGCCTCCCTGGCCTCCTCTTTGTCAGTCTGGAGTAATGAACCACAGGAAAAAAAAACAAAAAAACAAACCAACAAAAAACACCCCATCTTTAATTCACTTGTTCTCTTTCCATATTTCTGCCTGTGTTTACAGCAAAGTCTTGTTCTTTTTGTGTGGCAGCAACACCTATCTTTGTCTCCCCACCAACTGGACCGGAACCTGTACCCTAGTTTATCTATTTCCCTCCATCAGACTAGTTCCTCCTAATCAGCCTTTGCCCATCCCATCCGTCCAATATGTTAGAAAAAGATGGGCCATCCATGTCATTCCTTTAACGGCCGCCTTAGGTATAACCTCTGGACTTTGATTGGGAGCAAGCGGATTAGCCACCTCCTTAACATACTTTAAGGCTCTTTCAACAAAACTACAGGGCTCTTTAGAAGATATAGCCCGAAGCTTTATAAGAGTCCATGACCAACTAGACTCCTTGGCTGGAGTAGTCCTCCAAAACAGATGGGGACTAAATCTTATAATGGTTGAAAAAGGGGGCCTCTGCCTCTCATTGGGTAAGAAATGTTGTTTCTATCTCAACCAATCAGGCCTAGTAAGAAATGCTGCTGAAAAACTAAAAAGAAGGGCTAAAAAGCTAAGGGAATACCAAAAGAACCAAATAAATTCTTGGTTCAAAAACAAAATCATAGCATGAGTCATCCCATTCCTGGGTCCTCTCCTAGTAATATGCCTAGGACTAATGTTTTTATTCTGCCTAATTAACCTTTTTCAAAAAGTTTTAACTGACAGAATCATGGCCATTTTGCAACCACCCAAAAACATTTACAGATGGTGTTACTCCTGCAGTCAATCCGAGACCAAGAAACTCTCCACCCCACCTCAGCAGGAAGTAGCCAGAAAGAACACGTCGCCCCCTCATCCTTTTATAACTATAGGGTCTGCAATGACAGCGCAGGAGCACCGTCATCTTGGACAAATACCGCCACTTTCATTTCCAGCTCCCTTTCTAGCC